>NC_000006.12:88273261-88898261 GCF_000001405.40 Homo sapiens | reverse complement strand
GACGGAAAGTATTTATCTGAGGATTATTTTCTGTGGTGCAGTAGGGCTGGGTCAGACTGGTAATTTTAAGAAGCTAATGGAAGGCGAGAAAGTGGAGACTGAGTTGTGTTAGGGGTTCCCTGTACCACCCTCACTTCTGGAGATTTATTAGAATAACTCAGGACTCAGCATATGGTTGTACTCATAACTCAGATTTATACAGCAACGTACTAAGGATATACAGCTCAATCATAAGAGACAAAGACAAGTAGAGTCTGGGGGGAGTTAATGTGTAGGCTTTCTTGTGCTCTCTTTTTCTCATGAGGGGTCATCCTGAGCTCACTCTTCCTGCAGCAATGTATTTGTGATGTTTCTGTCCATGGAAGCTCATTACACTCTCACTGCTCAAGATTTTTATTGATGGCCGGTCATGTAGGCACTCTGTGCTTAGCATGTAGCAAAATTCCAGGATTCCAGGAGGAAAAAAATTTATTCAGCATAAACTGTATTTTTGGGACAAGTAATCTAGGTTTGGTGAGCCATCCTTATCAGTTGACTGAGAACACTCCAAAAGTCAAGTTCTCAGGTGCCATTCAGGAGCCAACTTTGCAAGCACTAGTGTTAGGTTAACCCTTTTCTGCACACTACTATAAACTATTCATTCAAGTGGCTTGGTTATGATAAAAAAAGGAGCAGAAGGGTAATTGATGCAGACATAGTCAGAAAAGGCTTTTTAGTATGGGATAAATTCAAGCATATTTATTAGTGTGGATAAGGAGCTAGTGAAGTCAATGAAGTTGAAAGTAAAGATTTGGGGAATAATGATAGAGAAATCTCTGAGGAAGTGCAAGGGAATGGAGGTCAAATGCAGTTTTTGGAGTAATAGGTCTTCAGCAATAGGAGGGAAATATCTTTCTTAGTACTGGAGATGTAATTGAGATTGTGATTTTTTCCTCAGTAAGTTTCAGCTGCCTATGTATGAGAGTGGAAAAGACTAACGGTAGGTTGACTCAAGGCTGGAGAAATTCAGTTTGGGTGTGATGAAGAACAAGAGGGTAAGGGGCACTGAGGCTGTCAGAGGAAAAATAATTGAAGTAATCAGCCATAGGTTCTAGGCTGAATAGGAAGTAAGGTCAGGATGAGGGTGCTGTTAGAATATGTAAAGGAGAAATGAAGGGACTGTTAGTCTTGGTGAAATTGAAAAGTGAGCAGAGTGACAGTAAAAGAGTTTATAGTGACATGTTAGTTTTAGAATGCTGTCGGCACTCAATCAATGTGAGTTGTATTGAATCAAAAGGTAGAGTGGTTTGAAATGATTGTGGTAGTGCCATGGAGCAGGATGTTCCAGTTGGACAAAGATGAGGGTCATTGTAAATGAGATGACCTATTGTAAAGGTTGTACAACAGGTCGAGTTATTTCAATGGATGTTGATGTTACCAATATAATGATAGAGGTTAGAATAGTCAGAAAGACCAACTTTTTTTGATGAATGTAGGGCAATATCTTTCAATACACAAAGGATAGAGGGTTTTACTAGTTTAGACTCTCTGACTGTAAACAGCAGAAAATAACTTAAACTGGCTTAAATATTAAGGGTACTTATTCATGAGTAAATTAGTGGAACTCAGGCACTGGAATGTGCCAGATTTTAGGACAATATTGGAACCTGGACCTGGAAAGTTACTTAGAACCTAGTTTCTGCTCTTTCTTCTTAATATCGCATCTCTGCTTTTGTCCCTTTATTTGTATCAGTCTTCTCATTGTCTCTGTCTCTCAAGATTGGCTCTTCCTGATTCCTGATTTTCCTGGGAGATCATTAACTGTCTCGAAGCTTCTAAGGTAACCTGTTATAATTTTAGCCACATGCAGAGACTAACTGCTTGTCTCGGAATCCCAATTCCAAATTACCAGGAGAGAGAATCTGATGGCTTCAGATTGAGTTAGGGGTTATTCGTGCTCCCATCAACTTTGGCTGGAGTAGGATGTTATCTTGTAATGTCATGTAAAATAGCTATTAGGCCCCATCTTTGTGGGTTGGGAGGGCAGCCCTTAAAGAGAGTTGTTATGCCAGTACCCACAGTGGATTTCTGCTTTACTACAGCTGAGTGGTATAGCTGAAAGGAATTAGTGTAAACACAAGAGGGCCTTTTGAAAGAGATTAGGAAAGCAGTGAGGAGGTATAGAACAGTAGTTTAAATTACTGCCATGGATCTTGGGCTGTGGGAGAATAAGTAGCTTTAAGATGACATGATCTGTCTAGGGAGAGCTAGCTTTTAGTTGAGACACGGTACGGGGTGTTCAAGAAAATGGTTGAGGTGATGGGGAAGGTTATTTATGAAAAAGGAATTCCAGGGTTTACATTGGAACTCTTTGGGAAGGTGATTATTGATAAGATGAACCAAGGAAAAGGGGCTTTAAAGCAGTGAGTACAAAACCATCAGAGAAGAAAGGGGACTGAAGAGTTGAATTGTGGATGGTGTCAACTGTAGTTGACCTATGGTTGACAGGGATGAGAAGCACAGATATAATTACTTATTACATTTATGGTTGGAAAAGCTTTCATTTTTCTTTTATTTCCATCTGAGGTTGAAGATAGTTAACAGAGGCAATCTAAGAGTGACTATTTTATAGATCACATCTCTTGACATAATGAAGGTATTTTTGGTTTGAGACTTTATTTTTGTTAAGTACAGTCTTTTCTGATTCTTATATTGATATAACTATGTATTCAAGTAATGGACTCCTTGTAATTAATTCTGATAGTTCTCTTTGGGTTTATAACTGTGGCACATGTCCGATGCTGTGCTTGGCCCCTTACATTCCTAAGACACCTTCTTTATTCATCTTTTGAGTACATGTGTTACTAAGTTGGAAGAGTATGACTTACAGGTATGTTGCTTACTCCTTGAACTGATGTCTGAGATCATTTCTTTGAATACAACGATGAATGTATTTTCCTCATTATGAAAATATGCCTGTTGTACGTATATTCTTGTATACATTTTCTCTTTACACACACACACACACACACACACACACACACACACACACAGAGCTCTCTCTCACATAAATTGCCTCCATCTTCTGTAATATTTACTAAATTTCTGTCTAAAGGATCACTCATTTCTGTTGTGATAGCCATGCAGATTTTAATTTTAAGGCTAGCTGACTCTGTTTATGAAATATATTTCTATAAACATACTTTTTTAACTTTCGATTTTTCTTTATTTTCACAAACAGAAATAATTTGTTGAAAAGTGAAAATAAATGTCAGTGACTTTAATACTCAATTATAGTATGTTCACAATAATTCCAGACCGAAGACATTGCTATTTAAAATTTATTTTTAAAATTAATTATTTATTTTTTATTTTTATAAATAGAGATGGGTCTCACTGTGTTGCCCAAGCTGGTCTTGAACTCTGGGGCTCAAGCAGTCCTCCTGACTCAGCCTCCCAAAGTGCCGGGATTACTGGCATGAGTCACCACATCTGGCCACTGTTTAGAATTAGTGATCTTTCCATTATAAAGATTTAACTATTTTATGCTGAAGTGGCCATATTTTCAAGGAGTGAAACCATCTCATACATAACAATGAAGGTAGTCAGCTGTAGACTTGGAATGAGATCACATATGGGGATGATATCCTTCTAGTTAGCCTAGTACTGCTGTACTGGTCTGTGTGTACATGCGGTCCTTCAACTCAGGCCTTGCAAGGCATGCCGGCTGTGCCATGTTTGTAAATGGGGCAGAGGAAGCTACAACAATGGAAAACTAAGCTGTTTATGTTAGGTACAGCTATTAAAACAAGGTAGGGATGAGGCTAGGCCCTTAACTTCCCTAAGGCATACTTTTCTAGCTACCTTCTGCCCTGTGTCTGGCACCTACATCCTGGATGATTGTTCTCTTTTATCCATTGTGGATTTTTAAAATAAAATAAATATGAAAAGCATCTTGATCTCTTGTTTGTGAGAGGTGATGCCCTGAGATTTAGCTTCAGGAATATGTCATGGCTCATGCTTCCCATATTTCCCAGGGAGGGAAATACAGGATTTTCTAACACTGGTTAAAAATGCAAATTCAAGATTTGGAAGGGCTGATATAATGAAATAATGAGCAGTATCAGCACGTGCAAAGCTTGTTTAAAAGATTTTATTTTCTCCCCTCTTAGACCTTTTGCACATTTAGAATCTTGAAACAGTTTCTAGATCTCTAACATGAAAATGAAGATGGGTATTTTCAGGTTGCTTTCAGCTCTAGGTAGAAATAACCAGAATTGGCTTACATTAAAGAAACTGCATCTAGAAATAAATAAAAAAATTAGTGGTCTTTCTTGGAGTTATATAATTTTGAATAATATAAAAATGGTATTTTGTCAGAACTATTGTAGTAACATTAAATAGCAAATTATGTTAGCCTAAAGTTACCAAGGATGATTTGTGTATGAAGTGTATCATACTTTTTTTTATTGGACTTCTACCTTTCTTTTTACTTATTTGTTGTGGAAGAAAATAGAGGAAGTTAAAAAAGAAGTTGATGCATGGTAGGAAAGATTAAGGAAGAAGAACAATAAATGGATGACAGACATTTACTAGGTGATTGGGGTTAACTTTTATAACCAGACTCAGTAGTTGTTAGATCTGTACTGATGCTCAGTATTTATTGGCTCTGTTAAATTAAAAATATTCAGCTTTTTCAACCCCATAGAAATGTTATTAAAATATTTCTGTGGTAATATTGTGGGAAAGTGCTTGGTTGAATGTGATCATATTTTCTATGTGTTAGTCCTTTTTATTATATGTTAAAAATATAAATAGTGTTTGTGTTTTTAGTAGTAACTTAGGTTAATTTGGCCTTTGCTTTTATTTTGCCCATTTCAGAAGTTAATGTAAATTTCTTAACTTTGCATAGGAAATCCACGTTGATAAATGAAGCTAGAGACTTTCTTTGTGTAAAACTTAAAAAGAACATCTCATGCTGTTAATACCATCAGAATTAGGATGCTTAATATTGAACTCTCTAAAAAGAAGTGTTCTTTTTTAATTAGCATAAGAAACAATTTTTTAAGGATATTGAAATTATCTGAGCACTCAATAAGTAAATATGTTACAAACCTCATCTATCTGGTTGAGCTTTCTTTTAAAAATACTCTTTTTTTCCTTTAGCTGTTGTACTTAATGATAAAAATGGTTTTAAACAGAAATGCCATTGGCTAGTACAGAGAAATAATGGTATAATAGTAGAGGGATGGTACTCTTTGATCCTTGGGCTTATGAAATTCCTAAATTTTGGTTATTTAAGGAAAGCAAAGTAGAAGACAGATAAGTACAAAAAGTGCTTCAAAATTAGGGACAAAAAGTAGGACTAGTGTCTGCTGGAAGGACTCAGGATTCTTCCAGATTTGACAAGAATGTATGTGGATGAAGTATTAATTGTTCTTTTTTTCTTTTCTCAAGTGGCTCAGATTGCCAGGTCTTTGCCAGAAGGTTGAACGTTGTAGCTTGTAGACTAACTTTTTTATTGCCTAATTACATTAACAGCTAGAATTGTTTTATAGATTTTTCTTAAGACTGATGCCAGTCCCTTTATGGACCTTAAAAGAACTGTAGCATACATCTAGACTATTTTTTTTAGGTTTAAAAATTTCCAGAAGGGTTCCTTATTTGTTTGATATTCTCTGTCTGCTTTACTTCGCTGTGATATTTCAAAATATGTAGTTCTGAGTTAAAAAATTTAGATTAAAAATTCCATGATGAGTAATATTTTGTTCTATTAGTATGTTAATATATCCAATGACTGTGGCTTAGCCACTTTGCCTACACTCTTACTCTGGTTTACAAAGATAGAGGTTTTGGTGTTTATCCCCTTAAAGTCCATACTTCATTCATAGTAACACAGCTCCTTTCCCCTTCTCTCCATTGGTGGTTGGTATAGTGTAGGCCTGTTCAAATTCTGTCTTTTACCACTTGATTTACATAAAATCTTTGTGCCTTATTTACTCATCTTTGAAATAAATACAGTACAGTCTATTTTTTCAGTGTTGTAAGGATTAGAGAGAATGTTTGCAAGATGCCAGACATTCTGCTTGGATCTCAATAAATGGTAGATAAATTATTATTACTGTTATGATTTGAGAAGTGCCTATAGAGTACATACGTATATTGAAGAAAACCATGTGCTGGATTTAGGAAAACTAGTGTACAATCTTAGGGGAGTTTATACAGCAGACCGTTTCTGTTAGATATATTGACTTGCTAAGATTTGTGAGAACAAACTAATTTATCTCTCAGTCTCTTCTTTGTAAATGAATTTGAACTCTAATAAAATATTTTTCTTTCCCTTATTTTTCTTATTTTTTTTTTAAAGGGCGCTATTTTCTTGGAAGGTGTTACTGTTAAAGGTGTAACTCAAGTAACAACACAACCAAAGTTAGGAGAGGTACAGCAGAAGTGTCATCAATTCTGTGGCTGGGAAGGGTAATAAATATTTTTAAATTTTTAAATAAAATTTGCTCTTATTTTACAACACTTAATACAAGCATTGACATATCTTCTTGGCTCCTTGAAGTTAGTATGTTTGCAATAGAATACTTTAAAGGTGTCAGATTTCGTTCAAGACAATCAATGCAATAACCAGACAGTTGAGTCAAAATTAGATGACTCACATATTTTCCTAAAGTAATAGAAAATTCTTGTTTTCACTGTCTAGTATTTGTTTCGTGTCTTTGACTCTACTGCTACTGATTAATGTTTGAGCTAGTCTCTCAATTTGATAAGAGGGAAGAGGTGAAATTTGGATCTGCCTCATTTTCCAGTTTTTCTGTAATCAGAAGTCTAGGAAAATCAGCTTTAAATATAAGCAGTGAATGCCATGACTTGAAAATATCTTTCAGACATTTCGTAGTGGATTCAGGAGAGCATACATTGCTCTTATCTGTTGCTCTCAGGTCTTGGCCTGTGGTCATTTCTGCTGATCATTGGTATCTGTGGCAGAGAACTGTAATACAGTTGAATGTAAGGAAAAAGGATTATTGTTAATTCCTAATATAAATTCCTAATGAAAAGAACTTTTATTACTGTTACATAAATACTAGATAAATCATCTAGAAGTAGTTTTAACTAAAATATGAAAACAATGAAGAAATAAGATCGGTTTTAATGTTGTGTTAAACCTTAATCTTGACCTACACCCTTGGTTTTAATGTTGTGTTAAGCCTTAATCTTGACCCATATTTCTCCTGTTTTGTCACTTCTGGGTATCTTTTGAGGAGAAAGTTGCCAACCTTGCAGTTATGTCAAGTTGGCAGTCTCACGTTGGGGAAATATGGGGTCTAGAATATCATGTAAAGTAATTAAGCCAAGATTTAAACTTCTTCCTGAAGTACAAGACTTGTAAACATACCTGCTTTACTATTTAGATCATATATACTAATATTTTAAAATTAGCTCAGTGATTATACCATAGCAGTGGTAATTTAGAACTCTGTTAACTTGCATTCTAAAATGTCAAGAAAATGATAATCTTTTATTAGTATTTTTGTGAAAGCGGATGTTATTCCAGCTGACATTAATCTCATCATAGGGAGAACATTGTGATAAATGTGTGATTCATTTGAGATTGGTTTAAGACATGTATTGCTTTGTATGGATACCAGCCACGATAGTAATACTGTGTTCTTCTTTAAGGTCTGGATTCCCTGGAGCACAGCCTGTTTCCATGGACAAGCAAAATATTAAACTTTTAGACCTGAAGCCATACAAAGTAAGCTGGAAAGCAGATGGTACTCGGTAAGTTAGACTTCTAAAAAAATTACACAAATAACCCTAATGCTTGAAGAATATTGTTTTATTGTTAGAAAAGTTTACACTCTTGAGAGTGTGAATTTCTAATGTGAATAGCAAAATAAATGTTTCAAAAATTATATATTTTTGGTTTTGCTAGTGTTCTAAGCTGTATAGCACAAGTTATCTCTCATTCTGCTAAATTTTTGGTTTCAGAGCTTAGCTAGTTTAACATAAATCTATAACTAGATGTTAAGTTTGAAAGTGTTTTTCTCTTAATGATATGGTTTTTGGTATGTCTGCTGCCCACTGCCTTGTTTTTTAATGATATTGGACATGTTGAGGTTAATAGATAAATTGCCAGTTTGTAATCTAAAAATGATGAACTCTCTCTGATTCATTCTGTATTCTCCTTTGAATAATTTGCCTTATTCTCTTTATATACTCGCAAGGTTGTTGCATTATTACAACAAAGCTTAATTTCAAATTTTATATTTCTAAGTTTTAAGATTTTTTTAATTTGAGACAGGATCTTGCTCTGTCACCCAGGCGGCAGTGCCTTAGCACGATCAAGGCTCACTGCAGCCTTGAACTCCTGGGCTCGAGTAATCCTCCCACCTCAGTCTCCTGAATAGTAGCTTAGCCTCCTGAGTAGCTGGGATTATGGGAATGTGCCACCCTGCCTGGCTATTTTTTAAATTTTTTGTAAGGATGAAGTCTCCTTATGTTGCCCAGGCTGGTCAAGATATTAGTAGAAATTTTATTCTTCCTCAGCAACATTTTATTTTTTTCTTTTGTAATCCATATTTTTTTGCATCTATTACAGTTTTGCTATATGTATGTATTCATTTAGCAAGTTGAAATAATTATTTTAACAGATATTAACATAGAAGTCATTAACTATTTCATAATAAAATGTTTTGGAATAACTGGCAGTACATATATATTAGCTTTTAAGTGTTATTTTGAAGATGACAGATTCTATTTAATTTTTATGAGTTTTGGAAAGTCTTAAGTGGCAGTTATACTCTTTGTATCATGCCATCTCCATCTCCATTTAACATGTAGTTACCTTAAAAGATATATATGGAGAAAAGAAGTGGAGCAGATACAACCTATTTTCATTATTAGGTGACTATAATGATATTTTAACATTATATGCTTTCTAGAATGTTTAAGTATTTTATTATATTTGATTTTTATTGGGAATATTTAAAAATATTTTCATTCATTTTAATTGTCTGCCTCTGTTGGAAACAATTTTTCCCCTCAGTTTAGCATTTTTTAGCTTTTTTAGGGTATTTTATAGGTAAGACATATTCATTTGACAAAATTCAGAAAATAACATTAAAAAAGAAGAAAATAAAAAAGAAATTTTATCACCTAGAGATTATCACTACTGTCCTTATGGTATTGACCTTTTTCTCTGGGTTATATGGCAGGTGTGGTTTTTATTATTATTATTATTTTTTGAGACGGGTTTTCACTCTTGTTGTCCAGGCTGAAGTGCAATGGCACGATCTCGGCTCACCACAACCTCCGCCTGCCAGGTTCAAGCGATTCTGCTGCCTCAGCCTCCCAAGTAGCTGGGTTTATGGCATGTGCCACCACACCTGGCTTATTTTGTATTTTTAGTAGAGACAGGGTTTCTCCATGTTGGTCAGGCTGGTCTCGAACTCCCTATCTCAGGTGATCCACCTGCCTTGGTCTCCCAAAGTGCTGGGATTACAGGTGTGAGCCACCGTGCCTGGCCTGTGGTTTTTATTATTAATGCTTTGTGTACTAATTCAAGTAGTTAAATAACAAGTATTTGATATTTATATGTTTATTTGTTCATATTATTTTGAACTTCCTTAATGAACTAGCCTTAAAAATTAATAATAATGTATAATGCAAAATTGAAACAGTGTAGAAATGAAAAAATGTGCCTTGTGTGCTTGCAGCAGTTATACAAAGAAAGATATAGATCCATAAACAGAATTTGGATCATTTACCCATTCTGCACCCTTCCCTGTGGATATGTGTTTTTGATGGATAAATGAAAATTAGCCTTTCTGCTTATTTTCAGAATATTAAAATTATATTTATTTAATATGTTGGGTTAGATTATGTTCAGAATCTATTAAATTGGTAGTAAGGATGTTAAGGATGTTGTTGAGACATACATTTTAATAGATACGTAAAAATGTCTTAACAAATGTCTTACTTCTGTGGGTGGAGAAAGAGTGGAAAACGTGAGGTCAAGGTGTCTATCTCTAGGCTTTACACTACGAAATGAACTGGGGATTTGGGATTGAGGCATACATTTAACCTCTTAGGAGTTTCATATTTTAGGTACTCTTTTTTTTTTCTGTTGAAATTTATTTTATTATCTTATTTTTTTGAGACAGGGTCCTCACTCTGTTGCCTAGGCTAGAGTGCAGTGGCACAGTGATTGCTCACTGCAACCTTGACCTCCTGGGCTCAAGTCATTCTCCCACCTCAGCCTCCAGAGTCGCTGGGATTACAGACATGCACCACTATGGCCAGCTAATTTTTAAAATTTTCTGTAGAGATATGATCTTGCCATGTTGCCCAGGCTGGTCTTGAGCTCCTGGGCTGTAGTGATCCTCCTGCCTTGGCTTCCCAAAGTGTTAGGATTACAGGCATGAGCCACCACATCTGGCCTTATATACTCTTTACTTTCTGCATTGCTTTCTTCACAGTATCATGGTAAGCTTTGGGCAAAATAATAAAGCCTGCAAAATTTGTCTCTTGTTTCTGCCATCCAACTTTTGTTGATTTTGTTCCTCCTCTGTAGTTGTGTACCCCTTTCTCTGTGTGTTGGTATTGTTAGACCCCTAGATGATTGGCTAAAGTAATTTTTTATGAAGTAATTGGTTAAGATGTTTTTGATTGCTAATGGAAATATCTAATTTCTCCTAGAACCAGGCTCCACCAAAAACAAAAGGAAAACCCTGAGTATTTATTGAATACCTACTCTGTTTTAGGATACTTTTTTCTGGGAGAGAAAAAATTTTGCAAGGTGTTTCTGGGCCAGTGTAAAATCTATCTTTTGCGCACTAGGATTTAAGTACAGTAGCATGGAAGAGGGACTTTCTGTGATTGAATAAGGTGAAAAGAGCCTGAGGAGGCTGTAGAATGGTCTTAGAGGCTATGAAATAAGAGTAACTGATTAATAGCTATGAGTCCTGGACTCCATCGTCGTTAAAGCTATGTCAGGATACAGTGTAGGATTTCTTTTTATTATCCTTATTTCATAATTTAATGGCAATTTATTATATCTCGTAACAATATTTAAACCAAGGATCTCTGAAATTGAGTGTAATAGGAAACCTGGATATAGTTAACAGTAAAAGGTATTGTGTAAGAATTTTGCATTAGCCTGACCAAGGCCTGAGGGCCTGGAGATAACAGTAAGTAGAGTGGCTTTTTTTTTTTTTTTTTTTTTTTAAAGAAATTGTGTTTTGCTATGTTGCTCAGGATGGTCTCAAACTCCTGGCCTCAAGTGATTCTTCCCTGTTGGCCTCCTGAAGTACTGGGATTATAAGTGTGAGCCATTGAACCCTGCCTGGAGTGGTTTTGACAGGAAACTTTAATGGATTTGAAAACATTGTAGAATAGGGAATATTTCTGAAATGTAAAGCCAGGTAATAGAAACAGAAATATGAAAGTTATTGAAAATGAAACAGTGAGAAATTTATATTAGTTGTAATAGGTGAATTGATGGAGACTAAGCCACTGTAATCTCAGAAACAGATGAAATGAAAGTTTGTTTGATGGAAGAATTAATTGTGTTTCGTGTATTTCAATAAACTCATACTTTTAAAAATGAGATGTCTTTAGTTTTTATAGTTCTGAGTACTTTTGGTTGCAGTTTTTGATCTCTAATAATTAAGCATTTAAAAAATCTTCTAATTTGGAATTATGTCAGACTTAGTAAGTCTTCCAAAAATAGTACAAAGAATTTCCATGTGCCCTTAACCAGATTCCTCAAATGTTAACATCTTATATTATTACAGTACAATGGCCAAAATCAAGACATTAACATTGATGTATTGATTATTGACGTTATTCAGATTTCACCAAAAGTGTCAATATTATGCCCTGTTTCTGGTCCAGGATCCAGTCCAGGATCACGTGTTTCATTAGGTTGCCATGTCTCTTCTTTTTTCTGCAATAATTCTTTTTTTTTTTGAGACGGAGTCTCGCTGTTGCCCAGGCTGGAGTACAGTGGCGCGATCTCTGCTTACTGCAGGCTCCGCCCGCTGGGTTCACGCCATTCTCCTGCCTCAGCCTCCCGAGCAGCTGGGACTACAGGCGCCCACCACCTCGCCAGGCTAATTTTTTTGTATTTTTAGTAGAGACGGAGTTTCAACGTGTTAGCCAGGATGGTCTCGATCTCCTGACGTCGTGATCCGCCTGCCTCGGCCTCCCAAAGTGCTGGGATTACAGGTGTGAGCCACCGCGCCCGGCCTCTGCAATAATTCTTTAGGCTTTCTTTCATAACTTTGACACTTTTGAATAGCATTGGCCAGTTATCTTGTAGCTTGTCTCTCAGATTGAGTTTGTTTGATGTTTCCTCATGATTCAAGTTGGGCATGCTTGCAAGAACATCACAGTAGTAATATTCTTCATGTCATTTCAGGAGGCACATAATGTTGAATTCTCCTATTAGTGATGATGTTAACTTTGATCTCTTGATTTAGTTGGTGTGTGCCAGATTGATGAAGTTATTTCTGTTTATTATTTTATTTTTGGTTTGTACTTTATTTATTGATAAAGGCATGTCTGCCATGATAAAGTTATTTTTCCTTTGTACTTAAGAAGCTGTGAGGGAGATACTCTGAGATCATGTAAATATCCTATTTCTTATACTTTTCGCCATTATTTTTAACATTCATTAATGATTCTTACCTGAAACAGTTACCACTGTTATGTTTGCTAAGTGGAATAGTGGAATTCAGCTCTTAGGAAGAACTTTCCCTTCTTTCTCATTTCTTTATTTTCTTGCTTTTTTTATTCCTATCAGTGTGGACTCATAGACACGTATTATATTCTGTGGGTTATAATCTGTTTTAGTAATTATTTTATTGCTCCAAATGTCTCATTTGACCGTTGAGAGCCCCATCAAGTGACTCCTGTCTTTTGACATCTCTCCCTCATTTTTTGAGTACTTTCTTGTTTCTGGCACCCCTAGATGTTGTGGACTTACCTTGTACTTTTCCTACCCCAGCCCTGGAATCAACTGTTTCTCTAAGGAGTGGTATTTAGAAACCAATTTTTGTGCACAAGTTGGGCTCATTAGTACTGGGATGTCATTTCTTCTAGGCCCTCTCAGAAGATAGAGCTAGGAAATATGTGTGTGTGTGTGTGTGTGTGAGTATATACATAAATACACACCTATATCTATTTCAGTATCTGTCTGTATGTATGTGTATGCATACATTTTTTTTTCAAAATCACGAGTTCGTACTGATACTTCCAAATCTAATGCACTGCCATAGGATTTATTGAATTTTTTCTCATTTTCTATTTGTAACTCCTCTCTCTGATAGGGAGACACTTGGTTTTCATTATCCATAATATTTACTATAATACACATAAAGTAGTTTTGGAATTGCTATCCAAAGCCACTGTGAGAAATCCATTTGAATAGAGTGTAATATTTGTGAACAGTTGGTCTGACTTTAGCCTTAGGGTATATAAAGTGTACTGTGTTCCAAAGTTACTTAATTATTTTCTCTCTTCCTGCCAAACCCTTTAGTGTAGATAGTTTTCATTTGTAATACAATTAGTTTCATTTGTTTCTGCTTATATTCTGAGTTTGCCCTCATCCTTTGTTGATTTTAATTTTTCATTTTTCTGAGTGTGTGAAACTCTACTATGATTCAGAGTATGCTCTGAGAAATGTTACTTTCTCCTATCCCTTTTAACCCTTTCCCTTTCTCTTATCTTTTCATTCTGTTCCTACCCACCCCCTTAAATAATCAGCCTCATCATTTTCTGATTTACCCTTCTTGCATTTCTTTTTGTACAGATGAGCAGATGCACTTTTCTTTTTCCCCTTTCTTTTAGGAAAGATACCATACACTTTAGAATTAGATAGTCTTTTCACCTTGCTTTTTCCACTTAACAGTATGTTCTAGAAACCACTGCATTTCACTTCAGATATTCTCATTCTTTTTTTACAGCTGCATTGTACCCATTGTGTGAGTAGTTTATTCAACGACTCTCCTATATAGAGATATTTAGATTGTTTCCAGTATTTTGTAATTACAAATGATGCTGTGATGAATAACTGTGAGCTGACTTTCCCTCCATATTGTTGAAAGTCTAACCTCAGGGTCAATTTCTAGAAAGAAGGATTGCTGAGTTGAAGGCTGGGTGTATATGAAGTTTAGTTAGATACCACGAGTTTCTGCTCCAAAAGGGTAGTGCCAGATTGTATTCCCACAGGCAGTTTGTGAGAATGCCTGTACCACCACAGCCTTGCTAACAGAATGTGTTGGCAAATTTTTTCACCAATCTGGTTAGTGAGAAATGGTATTTCATTCTAGTTTTAATTCTGAATGGAGTCAAACATCCTCTCATATGTTTAAGGGCTATACTTATCTTTTTTGTGAATTATCTGTCCTTGTTTCTTTTCTGTTGTCTTTTGACTTTGTTCATGTTTTTTTGCCATACAAAATTTTATTATTTTTATGAAGTCAAGTTTATTAATTTTTATTGCCTCTTGATTTTGATTTATAGTTAGAAAGCCTTTCCTTATACTGAGATTGAAGAAGAATTCTCTCATATTTCTTCTAATATTTGTATGGTTTGATTTTTTTAATCTGGAAGACTTTTTAAATTATAGGCAATCTAACATTTCTACAAATTTAAAAACTCCTTTTATTGTCATTGTTATTATTATTACTTTGCTGTGAAGAATTAATGCATAAATTCATTTTGAGTGAAGGCTGTCTTCTAAGGTTGGAACTGAGTCATGCTGATCCACTTGGAAGTATGTCATCCTGATAGTGACCACCTTGCCTGTGTACTGGGTGTTAATATACAGAAGGCTTATTTTAAATGTACTATTCAGCAGTGTGTTTTGTTATTTCTTTGCAGTATGTTTTATAATAATGGAAGGCTTTTGAGATGAGAAATATATGGTTTTGGTAGGAGTTGAGGTCAAAAGGAAGGCCTAGTATCTCTAATTCTGATCCACAGGGTTCTAACTTAACTTTGCAAAGTAAGACATGGATTTACAACTGTTTTATATAGTGCATGCTGTGCACCTACTTCCCAAATGCACTTCGATTTTTTTTTTTTTTTTTTTTTTTTTGTCATAAAGAGTCTGGGCTCCTTCCTGTTCTTCTCTCTACAACTCAGCCTGTACCTGAGTGGTACTAGCTATTCTTATATTGCTTTTCTATGGAGGAAAACACAGTCTTCTAGAGCTGAAATCTTAAGAATGTTTTGGGAAGATTAGAGAGCTTCTTTAGAAAAAGTTTCCAGGCATTTAATCATACTTAGTATCTTAGTTCATTTGTGCGGCTATAGCAGGATACCTCAGATTGGGTAATTTATAAACAACAGAAATTTATTTTTCATAGTTCTGGAGGCTAGGAAGTTCAGAATCAAGATGCTAGCAGGTTCAGTATTTGGTGAAGGTTGCTCTTTGTTTCCAAAATGATGCCTTGTTGCTGCATCTTCCCATGGCTGAAGGGGCGAATGCTTTGTGCTCAAATGGTGGAAGAGCAAAAGGGCCTGGCTAGTTACCACCAGCTCTTTTGTAAGATCACTAATCCCATGCATGAGGGCAGAGCCCTTGTGGCCTAATCACCTCCTAAAGGTTCCATCTCTCAGTACTGTTGCACTGGAGATTAAGTTTCACCATGAATTTTCAAACCGTAGCACTTGGTTATATTTTAACTTGTTGAATTTTTGAATTTTTAAATTTTATTTAACTTTTTCCTGAGCTTTGAAAATTATTTCTTGTTACATTCCCCACCACTAAGACTTTAGTAATACACTAAATTATAGTTTCTGTTTCTTGGATTCCTCTGTGTGTCAGGTACTGTGCTAGGTTCTGGGGAAACAGCAGTGAGCAGTGTGGATACTGTCCCTATCTCATAGAACTTGCAGATAACTATTTAACTAATAATAAATTATTTGTGGATAATTGATTAACAGCTTGGCACAAATTCAATTTAGAGCTTCAGCACATATCTCATAGCCAGATAAATTCCCAGTTGATTAAATAAGTGTAAATAAAATTTATTTTCTGAGAAAACAAGATAGCAGAATAAATTAGGTTAGGTATACCTCTGGCACATGTTTCCTCAGCATTCTTTGGATATTTAGGTAGTTGGACCTTGGGTTTAGGAGAAGAATATGGATTGAAAGTACAGATTTGGGAGACAATAGTATGTGATAGTAAAGACAGGGATGTGGACAGGCTGTTGAGTAGAGGAAGCAATGGTGACTGAGAGTAGGGGAGGTGGGAGAAAACCAGGAGAAATATCTGTCATTCAAGCTAAGGGAAAGTAAAAATGTCTCCAAAGAAAGGTTAAATCTTATAGAGAATTAGTAAGCTAAGGAGTGAAAAGTGTCTGTTGAATTTAGCAACAAGATATTTGGGATTGGGTTGGGATGTTCTCAGTTTTTGTATAGTATAGAGTAGGGCAGTGGGAGTAGGTTGAAAGTGATGACACTTTTCCTTTAAACATTTCCTCTCTTTCTTCCTTTGGCTGTTGTTAACAAATGTCTCTCCTGAGGGAGATTCCAAGACAGCAAAGAGAACATTATTAAGAGTTAGTGAAAGTACCTTATTTCATCCAAGAGACAGGTATGGCAGGGCTTTTTATCTGTCAGTGTCTGCCTGCCTGCCTGTCTGTCTCACATTGAAATTCAAATGTGAGATAATTGGCAAAAATTGTTCATTAACTTGTGTATTTGGAATAAAAATGAAGTTGGACTTTTCCTATCAGATAGTGGGACTTTCGATTTGGCTGAGGTTTTGCTAGTGAGAGTTGGTCAAATGAGTTTTACATAGCAAGCATTTTTGTGTAGATTAAATCAGCCAAAACTGCAGTTTTGGGATTTTGATGAAAATAGACTTCAAGCATTTGATAAAATAAAATCATTTTATTTAGCCATAATATTGGTGAAGGTGTATTGAAATATAACACTCCCTCTGCCCCCTGCCCCCACTTTCAGAGTTAAACAAAATGATTCTCAATGAAAGACTTGCAGTTACACTTGATAGTCGCTTTACTATGTCTTTATGCCTCCTTGATTAGATTGTCCTTCAATTTTGTTGAAAGCTGCCAAATAATCAAAGTGTATTTTAAAGGAACTCGTTGAATTTCTGACATTCCCTAAAATACATTTAACTTTTTTCTTAATATTTCTTTTGTCTTGAGTACTCTTGTTTCATTATTTTCATGGCTTTCCCCAGGAGGGGGGAGTCAGTTCTACTTGAGTGTAAATATAATACCAGGAAAAGTGATATAATGTTACTACAGTTACAGTTGGAATTGAACTGTCTTGTAATTGTGAAATCTGCTTTTTCACACATATTCTGGGAAAAGATAGAATTTTATAATAGGATTTATCTGTGTACTTAGTTTATTAGCAGATTTTGTAATGCAATTAAATAAATTGTCTTCAAAATAATTCAACATCAATTGAAAGTGATGAAGACTTAGAACTATATAAAAATTTTAGAATTAATTTTCATGCCTTTTATTTTAATTCTTTCTGCTGAGAGTTTGAGTACTATAAATTTAATTTCAACTATTATTGAATCAGTAGGTAAAAACCAAATGGTTTTAATAAGTACTGTTGTAAAACAAATAGTAAAGTAAAAGATAATAACTCAGATTATGCTCGACACAGGAAAAATGTAAGGCTGTGGGAATAATGTAACAGACCAACAAAAGGGCTGGTGCTATGGTTGCAATTTTTACATATGTATCTATATCTGTATTTATATCTTTTGACTTACATATTTATATAATACACACACATATACAAGCATACCCTGCTTCAAGAAAAACTGAATATAAAAGGTAAATTTGGGACTTGCTTTATAAGGAAAATTATTGCAGGGAATAAAAAAGCCACTTAGGCATTTATGGAAATGTAATTTATATTCAGCTTTTTATAACACATCTGTTTAAGTAGGTGAGGTACATTTGTATAATACTTCTTGAAGGAAATTATAGACAGGTTTATTTTCCTGCATCCTGGTCTGGGAATTTCCTCCCTCCCTCCCTTCCTTCCCTTCTTCCTTTCATTCATTCATTCATTCATTCATTCATTCATTCATTCAGAAATTATATTGGAAACTTATTTACCCCTAGGGCTCTGTGTTAGGTGCTGCATGGATTAGGACTGCTTAAGACAGAATCCTCAGCTTTAAGTTTTTCCTGTAATCCAGCTTTAAGTTTTCGTTCTAAACTTTTTCTGTGAAGGACGTAGTAGTAAATATTTTATCATTTGTGGGTTGTGTGGTCTCTGTCTCAGATAAAAAGCAGCCATATCCCCCTGATTTTACATAAACCAAATGATGTATTTCAATAACATTTGGTGGGTGTATTTCAATAAAATTTTATTTACAAATTAGCAGGTCACATTTGGCTTTTGGATCATAGTTTGACAACCCATCATTGAATACATTCTCCTTAAAAGACAGTCTTTACATCTTAAATGTTCTTTCTTTGTAAGAAAGTGTAAAAAGTGAGCTTAAGGTAGGGAAACATATTTAATATAAAGATTTTTTAAAATTTGCTTTTTTAAAGTTTTGAAGTAAGATTTCTTCCCATTAATTGTAAGTTCATGCTAAGCCATTGGTACTTTGACAAGATTTTTTATGTAATTTACTAAATGTATACATTTGAAAGACAAATTTTTTTTTTCTCATGAAAATCGTGTCCTATGCCTTTGTTAGAGCAGGGTGCTCAATGTGTGGTCATACTACATGTGCCCTAACAAATACACTTCGTGACTTGTGAATAGCGTGTTGTAGAAATAGTTGTTGTGTGGATAAACTGCAGTATGTTTAGGCAGCTTCTGTATTTGCTGCTGTAACAGTATTTATTTATTTATTTATGTAGAGACGGAGTCTCACTCTGACACCCAGGCTGGAGTGCAATGGCGTGGTCTCAGCTCACTGCAACCTCTGCCTCCTGGGTTCAAGTGATTCTCCTGCCTCAGCCTCCTGAGTAGCTGGGACTACAGGCGCATGCCACCACACCTGTCTATTTTTTGCATTTTTAGTAGAGACAGGGTTTCACTATGTTGCCAGGCTGGTGTCAAACTCCTTACCTCGTGATCTGCTCGCCTCAGCCTCTCAAAGTGCTGGGATTACAGGCATGAGCCACCGCGC
The DNA here is from genome assembly GCF_000001405.40 of Homo sapiens. Taxonomy (NCBI): domain Eukaryota; kingdom Metazoa; phylum Chordata; class Mammalia; order Primates; family Hominidae; genus Homo; species Homo sapiens. Next base: position 88,879,120 of record NC_000006.12, on the reverse strand, counting down.
CTGGTCTCTAAAGGTTTTTATACAGAAACATGCAGTTACCCCAGGTGGTTAATAGCTTGCTTGGGTCCCTTGATATGTATCTCATTAATAATGTTTGTAGTGTATGTTTATGCTAATGACTGGAGCCGAATGTTCAGACAGGTATAGTGTGGATAAGGTAATGAGATGCTAGACTAGAAAAGTTTTACATGCTGAGGAGAATATTAAAGAGGTTTCAGATGTCTCTGGAATAATTTTCAGTGAACTACAAACAAAAAAGTATATCTTATTTAGGAACAGAATGAGTCAAATTATGATCAATTAGGTATTGTGTATACTGCTTTCATTTAGATTTGTTCACTTAGCTCTTTATAAATTTCTTTTTGGCTCTAGTTTTCTTCTGAAAGCAAAGCAAATAGCTCCTGATATGTAACATAAGAACTAGAGATGAAATGAATATTGGAATTAAATAAGAATTTATCTCCTATCTTATTATTTACAAACAAATATCAGTTATAGCCATGACATCATATCTAGTATTCAGGAATTCAGCAGTAAATAAAGTTATGTCTGGGAAGGACTTTTACTTTTTTAATTGTTCTGGGGAAACTTAGAGTTTTTGTGGAGGTGTCTGAGGGACCAGACTCCACAAAAGTAAAATATTTGTTTCAAATCATGTAAGTAGATAGTGGCAAAATCAGCATCATTCTGTATTCTAGTACTTGGGCTTTTATAATTAGGTTTTGGCTGGGCGTGGTGGCTCATGCCTATAATCCCAGCACTTTGGGAGGCCGAGGTGGGTGGATCACTTCAGGTCAGGAGTTCGAGACCAGCCTAACCAACATGGCAAAAACCTGTGTCTACTAAAAAATAGAAAAATTAGCCAGGTGTGGTGGCTTGCATCTGTAATCCTAGCTACCTGGGAGGCTGAGACACGAGAAACGTTTGGACCCGGGAGGCGGAGGTTGCAGTGAGCCGAGATTGTACCACTACACTTCAGCCTGGGCTACGGAGAAAGATCCTGTCTCAAAAATAAATAAATAAATAAATAAATAAATAAATAAACAAATGAAATTAGGTTTAAGGTAGTTTTTCCTCATAATAATGGAAATTATACTAACTATACTAATTTTAGGACTCAGTTAATGTTTAGTGTCATACCTCTGGTGATAACCAAAACTCTTAGAGAGAATGTAAGCCAGATCTCGTCATTTAAAGACCCCAGCCCTGTTTTTAATAGTAGTTTCATCAGAACTATAGTTAGGGATCCAGGCCAGTTTCCTTGCAACTGGATGGGACACAATAAAGCTCCTGTGTTTCTTTTTTATCACGGGGAAGTGAGACTACCAGAGAATATTTAGAGGTCAACTCAGAAACACTGTTTATTGATCTGAAGCTACGTTTGATGGTATCTTGTGGTAAATTGGTTTAAAAAGAAGGACTCTTTGACTCCCTCCCCAAGCCTAAATCTTTCTTTAAGTCCCCCTATATGAAACAGATAAAAGCAGTAATGCTTTGGTTGCTGCAAATTGAGGAAAGCATATGGGGTTGCATTCTGGTGTGGCGTCTGAGGTTACCATGGAACTTTTTAGGGCAGCATTTCCAGTTGCGCTACCATCATAGGAAACTTTTATTAAAAAAAAATTCAGAGATTCAAATTCATTAAGCCTGGATTGGTTCTGAGAAAATGCATTTTTGAAAAGCACCCCGATTACTTGTGATTTTTAACCTGATTTGGGAGCCGCTATCTGTAGTGCCTCATGGAACAAAATTTAAAAATCAGTGACCCAATTCAAAGTAGTATTTAGCCAGCTATTGAGTTAAGAACATATCTGAGAATTTCTCTGTTAGTTGGTGGAGACCCACATAAAATGCTTATTATACAGCACTCAATGCATATTAGTTATTGTTGTTATAACTGAAGACTGTTTTGAAAACCATTATTACATGAGAACCAACATTGATTTCCCAGAGTTCACTCAGAATTCTTTTAGGGTGTGGTATAGTTATTGCACAAGAAGAAAATTAAGCAAAGGCAAAACAATCTAACATTTTAAAACCAAATCTTTGAAATACCCATTGGTTAGTAGTCACATCTTTAGGATTTACTAAAGGATAAAAAGGTCCCTTAAATAGCAGTTTCTTTAATCAAATCCTAAGTATGAGAGTTACTACTAGTTAATAGAGATACTGTCTTTGAAATGGTATTTAAAAATAAAAACCAACCAAATTTATTACCTATTACCAAAATCTGCTAGAGAACTCTTAGAGCTGAGCAGATACAGATAAAACTTTGATTGCAAACATAGGTGCAACCCTAACTCAGAATTTTCAGTTGGCCAGGTTCTGGGGGCAGCAAACATGTGAAGCTTTGAAAGATTAAAACAAATGAATTTTTCGTTAATATTTTCAAACATTTTTTCCCCTATATAGAGCTGGGCTACTGGACCCAAACAAATGAGAAACAAGGAATACAGGATAAAGAGATTGAATTTGTCTCTTTGTTCATTCATGTAGTTAACAAATATTTATTGAACATTTACCATATGCCAGAGATTGTGCTAGCTATGATAGGCTTAGCAGGTAATTAGAACTAAACTATATGATGATGATGATGATTGTTTTTTGAGACAGGGTCTCACTGTTTTGCCTAGGCTGGAGTGGAGTGGCACACTCATGCCTCACTGCAGCCTCGACCTCCCACCTCAGCCTCCAGAGTAGCTGGGACTATAGGCGCGTGCCGCCACACCCAACTAATTTTTGTCTTTTTTTTGTTGTTGAGATAGGGTTTCCCCGTGTTGTCCAGGCTGGTCTCAAACTCCTGGGCTAAAGTGATCTGCCTGCCTTGGCCTCCCAAAGTGTTGGGATTACAGGCCTGAGCCACAATACTCAGGCATGATTATTTTTGTATGCTGCTTTTTATCTTAACATGAGTATATTTCATTGTTATAACATGTATTTTTAAAATGACTTAATTGCTGCCAAGAAAAAATAGTTCACCCTCGATTATAGGGGCATTTAGACTCCAGTTTTTTTGTTGCTATAAATAACTGTACTGATCTTCTTATACCCATCTTTGCATAAATTTTGACAAAAATAGTATTACTTAGATATAGTATGGAAACCTTTGAAGTCCTTGATATACCTTGCTAGAGGTTGTAGTGATACACTCCGAACAGCAGTGCTTGAGTGTACATCCTTGGCAATTTGGGGTAGTTTCACTTAATATAAGTAATGTAGCCAAGTTGACAATTGGAAAATGAATTTTTTTCTTAAAAGATTTTATTGATGTAAAAATTAAAGGAAAATGAATTTTAAAATTGCTTTGATTAGCAGTTTTTTTTGAATACTAGTGTGGTTGCACAAGTTCATTCTGTATTTTGGCTATAGCAACAGTTATAACAAGTAATACTTGTTGAACACTTAATGTGTATTAGGCATTGTTCTGAGTACTTTACATAGAACATTTATCTCATTTAATACTCACAACGCTGTAAGATAGCATTGTGAATAAGTAGCTTTTTCAAGGTCACAGACACAGTTATTGTAAGTAGCAGGACTGAGATTTGAATGCAAGTGATCTGGCCCCAGAGCCCAGAATCCTTTTTGCCAGGTCATGTCCTCATTATTTTTTCAATATTTTGATAGTTATTTTTACTGTTTTATGCTAATAGATGAATTTTTCTGTCTTAAAATATATTTTTTCTGATAATGTCTTCTGTCTTCCTCATAAAACATTAAAAAGAAATTAAAAAGTTCTCCCTGTGAGAACTTTTATCCCACCCCTTGGGATAATCAATATTAAGAGTTGGATGTTTGGTTTCTCGAGACATTATACCTTCATCTTCTTACCTGCTGTTTTCTTTCCTTACTTTCTGATCCTCCATATAATGGGATATGATATAGGCTGTTCTCTTATAAATAAATAATAGAAAAACTCTATTATTTTTTTTTCAAATTGCTTTGTGATGGTAATTCAAATTGCATTGCTCCTTTCACTTAATGGGATAATAAATATATTTGCAGACAATATTTACTGCTTTAATAGATAACTGTTAAGCTACTGTAAGCTTTAGAAGGTCTCAAAGACAATACAAGACACTAGAGGAAAGTAAAAGTACAATTCCTACTCTCAGCAGGAAAATGAAGTACAATTTAAGATGTAGTAAGAGATATAACAAAACTATGTATAGTACCAGACAACTAAGTAAGAGATACTAAAGAGCTAATAAAGAGCATTACTTGATACTGTATATGAAATATGACTGCTTGTTTTGATTTTAAGAGTGTGATATTGGGTGTTCATAGATGGATTTTTAAATTTTATATAGGAAATAAGTAAGATATATTTAGTATTGAATATTGATATTTAGTATTGAGTAGTGCTGCTGACCAGATGGAAGAACATTTGCTTTGACCCATCTCAGCAGTAGAGCTTATCTGTTAGATGAGGTGTTAACTGGATTTTCATATTTTTTTTTTTTACGATTCTGTGATACTTTCTTAACTCATTATTTGCTCACATACTCTTATTCATTATGTGTGATTATGGAAGTGGCAAATGCTGGCTTGGATAAAAAAGGGGAAAAAACTTTATCCTCTTTGTGAATCTGTGAAAAATTGTTTGAAATAATTATAGTTGATTTTTCTAGAATGCATGCTTTATACAAAAGAAAACTGAAAGTAATCAGCGAGTCAGGGACAAATGTAAAATAAAACTTTTGGGAAAATTCTTTTGATCTTTTCTTTTCATGAAGATGGATTACTTTATAAAAATTAAAATGTTGTTTACATGCCTCTGTGATAGGTAGTGCTGCCCAGAATACGTTAAGTGGCTTTTAAATTTTATTCCATATCAAGGTAAATCTTTAGAGCAATAAATGTGGCATACCCTGATGGAAGATCACTTAAAAGAATGCTGTATTTTACATATTTAACTTGTATTGCTACAGAGTTCTGAAAAGCATAACCTGTTACATAAATGGTAATTAATGCAAATGAGTATATCATTTGATTTTACACTTTGAAGTCTAATGAAGACACTGTACATTCTCATTATGAGAGCTACTTAATCTGAAAGTAACTAATTAAAATAACCAAGAGAGGCTTCTTATATACAGAACTGGTTGATTCATGAGATTTATTTACTAGTATTGGAACCAATTACCTGATCTGTGCTACGAATAATAAGTTTGCAGTGTCCTGTTATTTTGCAAGCTTTTCAAATTCTCTTAATTAGGTCAAGATCAATGAGTATGTCTATATCTTACTAAACCTATCTTATTATTAATGGTAGTAGTTGAAACTTTTTCTAACTTGGACTTGATAAGCATTTTAGTAAAAATTTCTTTTTTGCCTTGTGATTCTGGTCTTATAATGAAAAAATGATAATGTCTTAAAAATGTGTTTCCCCATTATAAAAGTCATTTGTATTCATTGTAGAAAAGTTAGAAAATGAAGATAAGGAACAGGACAAACACGAAAAACATATGTAATTTCACCAGTTAGAGATGGTTGCTGCTTACATTTTGGTGTGTATGCTTTTAGACTTTTCCCTCTGTCTATATATATTTTTTGTTTCATTGACTAAATGAAAAACATATTCATTCCACAATTTTTTAAGTGTCTGTTATGTGCCAAGTACCAGGTTCTCTTATTTTCTTCCTTTCTTTTTGTTGAATTACTTATTCTGGTAATTATGCTTTTGTCAATAGTACATACATTCTTGTTCTCTGCCTGTACCTTTTCATGACAAATTGTTCTTGGTTTATGGTTGTGATAGCTTCTTGAATCTCTATGAGAATACTAGTTAAAAGCATATTTAAAGTTATCTTTCTCTTCCTTGAATCATCTTTCTTCTTTATGTTTCTAGTTTCTTCAAATGTGTGGTGATCCTTGGTTGGCTGTGCATTTGAAACGAGGCAGAGAAGCTGCTTGGAAGCTCCATGAATGTGGGCTGGGTTTGTCAATTTCTGACCTTTGCTTTATGATAAGCAGTTGTGCTTAGGTGCTCTTCCCTCACTACCCATTTGGTTCAGTTTCTTTTACTTTCTTTCTTTTTTTTTTCTGTTCACCCTCCCACCCTGTTTCAGTTTCTTTAGAGAAGAGCTCTCTGATTTTTCTTTTCTTTTGCTTGAGGAATAACCTGTGTGTTGTGTGTATGAGTTGTGAGAATTTAATTGTTGTACATAGCTAAAAATAACCAATCCCTCCTTTTCAGTCCATATGTCACTGTAGTCATCCTGTGCACTTGATGTTTCTGGGTCTGGATCTTCTTTGGGGTTTTGTAAAATAGGCACCTCCATCTGTGAATCCTGCTACCTCTGTGCATGCTTCTCAGCACTTTTCAGTACTTCTCCGTCTATTTCTTGTCAACCAGAAATTTATTGAAATAGTGCATCTGCTGATGCTCTTTTCTCCTTCCCTTCATTATCTTCATTGTTATAGCCATTTCTAATAAATTACCCTAAAATTACCCCAAAATATAACAGTTTAAAATTCAAATATTTACTGTCTCATCGTTTCTTGGGAGCAGTGTGGTTGGGTGAGTCTTTTTTGTTTTTCTTAAATCCATAGCCTCAAGCATTTATCCCTTGTTACAAGCAATCCAATGATACTCTAAGTTATTTTGGAAAGTACAGTTAAGTTATTGTTGACTATAGTCACCCTATTGTGCTATCAAATAGTAGGTCTTATTCATTTATTCTTTTTTTTTGTACCTATTAAGCTGGGTGATTATGGTTCAATGTCGTCTATCAGATTGCAGTCAAGCTGTTGGCCAGGGCTGTTGTCATTTCAAGGGTCCACTTCCAAGCTCATGTGTATGGTTGATGGCAGGCCTCAGTTCCTCAGCTGGCTGTTGGCATGAGACCTCCATTTCTTACCAGTGGGGAGGAAAAACTTTCCTGTACCCACTTAGGTTCAATAGTTAGGGGCCTACAAATTAAACTGACAAAACATAGATTAGCAAGAGAAAAAACAAAGTTTATATGTGTATGGAAGCACATAAAAGAAGTGGCTTACAAGATGGTTGAAGTTAGTATTCCTAACTTAATGGGACTATGCCTAAAGTTTGTATTCCTAACTTAATGTCTCAAGTTTGTATGTCTAATTTAATGGTGGAAAGGGAAGGTGGAGAATAGGCTTCAGTGTAAGAAAAAAAATGGAATTCTTTAGGAAGGATAAGTGGATTTTTAGAGGAACAAATAGGAGGTAAGAAATGTTTGTTTTTATGGGGGGGAATGGTCTTTTCCATCTTCTTCGTGGCCATAAACTCCTGGAGAGGGGATTTATGATAGTTTTACTCTCAGTCTTCTTTCTGGGAGTGAAGCCACCTAGAAGAAAGGATTTATGGTAGCTTAATTCCCGGAAGTTTCTGCTTTTAGTCAGATAAGGAAAGCTCTGAACAGCCACCTTTCTGCATTTGTTGACTCTCAAATGTCTTCTGGTTAAAATAATCTTCATACCAGCTCTGGGGTTCCGAGTGGGTTCTCACAGCTGCCTGAGTGTCCTCACCATATGGCAGCCAGCTTTACTTATAGCAAATGATCTAAGAGAACACCCAAGATAAAAGTAGTAGTCTGTTTATAATCTAATCTAATCTAGCCCAAGAGGTGACATACAATCCACTTCTGCCATATTCTATTTGTTGTAACATATAAGTCTAGCCCAAACTTAAAGGAGGGGAATTAAGCTCCATCTCTTGAGGTTAAGAGTGTCAAATAATTTTGTGGACTTTCAGGACATATTTTTCAGGACCATATAGCTTTATACTTAAAAAAAAAAAAACTCTGCTATTATTTCAGTAGTGTCTTGGGAAGAATCATTCTATTGTATGGAACATTCCATTGTATAAGTGCATCATACTTTGAAAATTTCTGTGTGGTTGTAAATTTAGCTTGTTTTGAAAGTTTTGCTTTTATAAGAATACCATGATAATATTATTCTAAATAACTTTTTTGAATGAGTAATTATTCATCTGATAGCTTATTATAGGAGTTTATTGCTATGGTCTGTATACTCTAGAATACATTTATGGAAATATGCATACATTTTCTTTGGAGCAAAATCCTCCAGTATATTTATTATTGTAGCAGTTTTTGTAGTAAAAACTACAAACAGCATTTTCTGAAATAATTAATGTATTTTAATGATTTATTGAATAGATCTGAACAATTGTCACTTTTGATTTCATTTTGGGATCTTATGACTTCGCTAGATGGCAGCAGAGGACCAGGTTTAATTCAGACTGCTTTTGTGAAGCAGTAGAATTCTAATGGTATCCAGTGCATTGGACATCTATTTTATAATACAACCCAGAATATTAGCTGGGGATTATTAAGAATTTAGTAAGGATTAGTGGGATCATATATACAGCATTACTGAAAGCATAGCCATTTTGACAATGTTGGTATGTTCTTTTGTGCATTGCATCTGAATTATTATATTTGCAAATGACCTTAAAGTGCCATTTTGGACCTTTTTTGGTAAAAACAATGTAGCCGTATTAAAGTCCCTAGAAGTGTTTTTTCTGTATCAGGAAACTGAGACATTCTTAAGTTGAAATCTCAGAAGGGAAGAATGATATGAAGATTCTCTTTTATCCCATTTGGATTTTTTTTTTTTTTTTTGCTCTTAATTGTGTTGGGAGCAAAGGAGTCTAATAGAAAAACATGATGTTGGAATGTAGCTCTTTTATTTATAGGCAGTGAAATTTATGTTCATAGGATAGAAAAGTTATTTGACTTGTATGTGGTATATGAGGAACAGTAATTTTTATATATGTGCCCTAATGATATATTTTGGGGAAAAAATTCTATAACCATATGTTTTAAAATCATATATAGGATTTTTATTTTCTGGAGGAACTACATTTGGTTTTTGCATGTTTGATGGTAATTTGCTTCTCAAAAGGCAGTAACATGTGAACTAGGTAAAGAAATCAGAAAATGAGCAATTCTGACAGTGCTTTTAAATTGTGAAGTCTGATTTGAAGATTATATAGGTGGCCCATCTTAGTATAGTATCACTCTGGCTTTCAGCCCAGATTTAATGTTGCTGCTATTTTTGCTGGCAGGTGAGCTTCCTTGGACTCATTTTATTTTAGTAACATTTTTGAATTTAGAAATTTAATTTTTAAAATACTTTTGCATGGGCAGAAAACTAAATTTTGTCTCCCTATGAATTATCTAGAATGGCATTTAGGTCTTTTACATCTTATGTCAGCCTGATAGAATGTAAACTACTGGCTAGAGTTGCAGGATATAATATATAACTAGAACAAATCAAATTGCTGCATAAATTACAGCCTTTAAGCAGCTGAACTTTGAGACTGCTCTATGATGTGGCCTTGGTAGTTGCCTTAATGTTATGAGTCCATAATATATTTATTTTTATAGTCTCAGTAGTATTAGCTGTTGAAATTGGTGCTTCTAGGATTTCTCCTGGTACTTTTATGTGAACTTGAACAAAGACTAGTAGCAACCAGTTAATTTCTAATAGTTTGATTCATTAAGAATTACTTACTAGTGTTAAAAGGAAAATAAAAATGGAGGTCACAGTTTAGATAGATCCCAAGGCCAACTGCCTATAACCCTGTAACCCAAACTCAAGTCATTCTGATTCCCCTGAAACACTATCTCTACTTATAAAAGAACCACAAAGCATGAGGTTTACATCTTTGCCAGCATGATTCAGTGAAATTAAACCAATCAGCTATAGACAAATATAAACAGCTCCACTTGCATTAGAATAATGTTAGTGTCTAATGGCCAGTCACGAAAAAGGTCAAAATACTTTCTCCTTTATAAACTGCTATAACTCCTGTGAGGAAGCTTCTTATGACTTGAAGTTTCAGATCTCAATCTGTACTTTTTGCATGACAGTGAGCTTTAAAATTTTTCCTAACTTGATCTAATTTTATGTTTGATACCAGTAAATGGAGAAATTACAACTCTCTTAAAACATTTGGTGCACTTAGATACGGTTTTGTTATTTAGATTTTTCCTTTGTGCATGAAGCAATATTAAATAAAATCAAGCATCATCATGTTGTACATCTTCTACATGTGTTTTTAATTCTCTTTCTTAAAAATACCTTAATTGTGTTATTAGCACATTTCTAAATTTAAAATAATGGGTGATCTTTATAGTAAAATATTTATGGTAAAGTATAATGCCTGTGTTAAAAGTAAATTTATTTCAAGTTTCTTGTAGATTATTAAAATCCCTTTCAGTAAAATTTTTTTCTGAAAATGTTCATTGTTCTATAGAAATAACATGAGAGTATGAAAAAGATGGTGCTTGCTTTAAAGGAAATTCCTAATTTCTGACAAGTTTTAAATGGCTGCTGTTTTGACTACACACTCAGAGCTGCCAAATACAATATTTTGATATGTGGTCAATTTCAATGGCAGTAAAGTTTTAAAAGGAAAAAGAGTTTGTGTGTATTTAAGAAAAGAAAATTGAAGATGTGGTTCATGCCCTAAAATAGGTCAAAATCTAATGAACAATATGAAGTATAATTGCATATAAATGACATGACATAGACTCTAATAATGTGGGAGTTCTTAGGAGGATGATGAGTGAAGGATGAGTAACAGGGGTGAGGGGAGCAATGTGAAGAAAGTCATGAGGTAGAAACAGCCTGAGCTGGACCGACCTGATTAATAATTGATATAAATCCACAATCTTTGTAAGCTCTTACAGTTAAGGCAGTTAGGTGCTTATGAGAAAATTGTTACACTGGTGGCTGCATAAACCCTTTGTTTATATTTTGAAGCATGTCAGAGTTTTAATGATTGCTAAGCCATAAGCTTCTGATTTAAACTTTGACTATGATGTCAACTCCCACTCCTTGAATTGTTCTTAGGAGGCTATTAAAATGGGAGATCCTTTATCTCAATCTTCTTGAAGTTTAGGACCACCTGATTTGCTGAGTCAGTTGGTTAGCCCCATAGCCTTTGAGGCCTTAAAAGAGCTGTTTTTTTTTTTTTGGAAATCAGGTAAAGAGTGTGGTAAGAGACTATTTTCCATAGTGATACAGAAGGCAGGGAAATGAACACTCTGAGGAATAGTTGCTGTGGCAGTGGAAGAGGAAGCACTTCACCTACTTATGTGACTGGAGGAAGAAAAAGGTTGTGATGGCACAGAAAGCTAAGCCTAAGGGGCTTTCCCAGCCGGAGGCACAGGAAAACCCTATAGTAATTCTCTCCCAGTCATCCTTCCCAACACTTTATTTCCCATTTTCAGTATAATTAAAAGACTGTTAGGTGAACCTTTTTTGGGACTTAGTGAAAATTTTACTCAAAGTAGCTTACTTTTAGCATTCATTCAATGAGTCTAGCCAATAGTGAATTTCAAAGGTTGCATAATATAAAATGTGAAAATTAGAAGACTGATTAGAATTAACTTGTGATCATACTTAGTTTTTCTTTTCTTCTTCTTCTAGTACTCTTTGCTCTTTTTAATCCTAGTTAGGATCAAAACAAGCACATTTCTATAGCTAAGAAGAGAAAATCTATTGAATATAACTTTTGGACAGATTCTTCAGTGAAAACTTTTTTTTTCAGATTAAAAGAATTTTTAAAATTCTTTTGCTTTTTTTGGACATCTGCTGTCAGGCTTTCCATTTTCATTCTCTCTCTCTCTTTTTCTTTTTTGAGATGGAGTCTTTCTCTGTTGCCCAGGTTAGAGTGCAGTGCCATGATCTCGGCTCACTGCAACCTCTGCCCCCCAGGTTCAAGCGATTCTTGTGCCTCGGCCTCTTGAGTAGCTGAGACTACAGGTGTGTGCCACCATGCCTAGCTAATTTTTGTATTTTTAGTAGAGATGGGGATTCACCATGTTGGCCGGGCTGGTCTCAAACTCCTGACCTCAGGTAATCTGCCTGCCTTGGCTTCCCAAAGTGCTGGGATTACAGGTGTGAGCCACCATGCCTGGCCCTGGCTTTTCTATTTTCTTTTGCAATTTGAGTGTTAAGGGTGGCTTGAGGTTATTTAGTCTAGTGCTTCTCACAATTCTATGTGTATGTGAATCACCTGGAAATCTTGTTAAAATGCTAATTCTGATTCAGAAAGTCTAGGCTGGGGCCCAAGATTCTGCATTTTTGACAAGTTTCCAGGAGATGCTAATGCTATTGGTCCAGGGACCACATTGTAAGTAGCAAGAATTGACTCCGTTTTCTCAGGTTATAGATGAGGATATCAAAGCTAGAGAGACCAAGTGGTTTTTACAAGGTCCCATACCTAGTTAGTAAGGGTGGACTTTTAATTTTTAATCCGATAAAGTCATATTTTTCAGCATAAGGAAATACTTAAAACCAAGAGAAATCTTCCTCTTCCCCTAAATAGATGGCAGCTCATTTGTTAAACCAACTTTATTCAATTTGAATCTTTAAGATGTGTCTTAAGATTTTCTCTTCCATCCTTATTGCTTTTGAAGATTTGAAGAAAAATAAATAAATGGATACATTGATTTATTTGAATGTGTCTGTATCCAGTTATTAGAGTCCTTACTTTCTGGACTTTAGATGATCAGGAAACAGGTTTAAGTGACCTTAGGAGATAGTAAAATATATTATATTCAAATCTAGTTTTTGAGGTAGAAGCTTCTTGCTATGGTAGGGTAAATCATGTTTTTATTTAAAGTGACTGTTAATGTACACTTTGTTTTCAGACATTTACAAACTGGAGGAGGTAATGTAACTAGTTTTTTGTGTCTTTGGTAGTGCCTGTATGAATACTTTTTGCTCTTGTCTGTGAATCTAGTCTGGTTTTTCTTGTGCCTTAGGAAATTTTAGGATTGTCGCAGCACTGGAGGTGGGGTATAAACGTGTGTAAGTGCATGCTACTTGGGAGATATGGGACTACATAAGAACCCTTTCAACCCTTGATAATTCCATAATTCTCTAATTCTTTGAAGATTGGTGAAAAGGAGGAGGAAGCATATTCTATCCCACGGAAGTGGCAGTTAATGAGATGCATGTTGCCCTTAGCAAATGAATTTAGTCCTAACTTGACAATTCTTTTCAAAAAGTGAAAGATATGCTTTGATAATTTGCTCGTTGCACTTCCCCAAACTGTTAGTTGATTTTATAAATTTGTAGAGGGTGGAGACTTTATCAGTCAATTTTTATTGTTATGACAGTTATTATATTTCTTTTTGGTAGATAAAGGAAACATGAACCCAAGTAGATTTAATTATAATTTTATTTAAGTTATCATTTTACTAATCTTTATTTTAATGAGATAGATTGTGGGACCAAAACATGGTCAATGATAATTTTCCATTGTGTATTATAGCTTTCGGGTTTATTGTGTATGTACCATTATTGTTAGTAAATCTTAAGAAATTCTTTTGGTATATTGGGATATTTCAGGCTCTGGGTTTGTTTTTATCATTCTAATGTTTAGAAAACAAGCTCTTAGACAGATTGAGACCTACCTGATTCAAGTTTTTAAAATATGAATTCTCTGTTTTGAGTTATCGCTCATTCAGTGCAGCGTCTGATTTTACAAAATTTACTTTGGTTATACCTATTCATAGAAAAATGAATTAAGGAACTATTTTACTATAGTTGTTGACTGCCTTTGTGTAAATATGTTTATATGTTTGGGTGTGTGGTCTGTGGGTAACCTTTACCAAGAGTTACCTGTGATTCATTTCTCTATGTTTCAAAATTTCTGTGTTCACTTATCTCTTTCTCTTCTGTGTTCAAAAGGGATGGCTTCCTGTTTCCTGTTTATAGGGTTCTTAAACTAATCCTTTCTGTTTTATTCAGGGTTTTGTTTTATCATTAACCCCAACTCTAACTCTTCTTTGGATTGTGTAAAGTAGTACTAGTAGCAGCTGTAGTTGTAGTGGTAGTAGTGGTAGTCGTAGTACTAATGATATCTAGCTTTAATTAAGTACTTAATTAAGTACTCTGTGCCTTGGACATAATAACAATAGCTGATACTATATTACTGTGTATTAATCACTGTTCTAGTATCTTTTATATATTAACTCATTTAATTCTTTTCTTTAATTTTTAAAATTGTGGTAAATTACACATAACATAAAATTTACATTTTAACCATTTAAAAATATGCAGTTCAGTGGTATTAAGTACATTCATATTGTGTGCAACTGTCACCAACATCTATCTTCAGAACTCTTTGATTTTGTATAACTGAAATTCTATACTCATTAAACAGTAACTTCCTATTCTCCCCATGCCCCCTGGCAACCACTGTTCTCCATTCTGTCTCTGATTTTGATTACTCTAGGTACTTCATAGGGAATGATACAGTGTTTGTCCAGTTGTGACTGGCTAATTTCACTTAGCATAATGCCCTCAAGTTTCATATGCTGTAGCATATATCACAATTTCCTTCCTTTTAAAGGCTGAATATCTTTCCATTTTATGTATATGCTGCATTTTGCTTATTCATCCCTCCATGGATACTTGGATTGCTTCAGTGGTTTAGCTATTGTGAATAAGGCTGCTGTGGACATGAATGCAGTAACTCATTTAATTCTTAAAACTGTCTTAGGACAGTTTAAAACTTCTGGTGAGGAAACAGACACTTAGTCAAGTAACTTGTGCAAAGTTACATAATTAGTAAGAGCTGGTATGGGATGAATGGTTCTTAACCACTATAGTAGAGTGCCATATAATTTTCTATGCTGGTACCTTCTCTTTTGCCTACAGATATCTTCACCCCTCTTTGCTATATGTTAACATGTAATTAATGGTATGTAGTACAAATACTTTTAATGCTAATGTTGGCAAATGAACAGTTCATTTTATTTATTAGTGTTTGTTGCATTTCAACTATACTTCAACCCAATTACAAAATGAAGTTGAAACTCCTTAAGCTGGATTTTAACACTCCTACTTGCTCCCTGTATGCTTCTCTTTCACCATGATGTGATCATTTATTATATGTAGTAGCTATATAATTCCTGGACAAATTGGAGTGATAGAGTGCTTTGACTAGGACCTGTTAATTGGAGTATGGGAGATTTCATGGGAGTTTTGAATAGGAATTTGAAGATATGTATTTTGAGACAGGCTGGTGTAGTAGTATAGCTACATGGGCTTAGAAACAGACATATACAAATTCCTGAGCAGTGGAGGATGGCAAAATGAGAGGAGAATAAGCAAGTTGCAACTGTGAAGTTAAAGCATATAGTTAGGAGTTGGACCTTCATAATATTGGATGAGATTTTTGGTTCCAGTCTGCCTGCTTGATTTTTAGGGATCTAGATAGCAAGCACTATTGAGTCTGGAATTACAGGCTCTGGAACTTGGATTTTTCATCAGAGCCCATAATTATAGCAGTCATACCATTGACAGTTTGCAAATTAATTTTTTAAAATTGTTGAGTAGTTTGGAAAAAATTTGCTCCTTCCTTACACTTGGTATTTAATATGTCATTAATTTTGTGGAATAAGAGAGAGGAATCTAGAAACTGACACTGGGCCCCATGCCCTGCCAAACTCTGTCATAGTGTTGCTTTTTAAATTGACAGATTTACACAAGACTCTAAATCTTGATGGTTGAAGGGACTTTCTTGAAACAGACTTTGAAGACGATTAATAATCTGTTAATAGAAATAAGCACACACGGTACTTTGATAAGGCTTGAGATTTTTTGATTCTTTATGGTAGGTATCTCTACGTCTTCAAAATTTACTTGTGATGAATTAACTAAAATTAAAATGAAAGTTACAGTCTTTTGACTGTCGACTTTTCTATAGACATAATTTACCCAGTACTGTTCATTAAGATTAAACTGTTTAGATAAACAGGACATAGTAAAAAATTTGTGGTAGAAGCCACATATAAACTAAAGATGGCTATGCTTATGTAGAAGACATTTAAATGTTGGCAAATTGTCCAAATCTTCAGTGGCATGCTGCTGGCCTGCCGTTTAATATACAATTAACATTCTAAGATCAAAGACTAGTTAGATTAATTTGACAATTAAATTGGTGAAGAAGTGAATAGGCTTTGCAATTTAAAATTAAATAATACATGTTGTCTGCTTAATTACTGTTGTGTTCATGTAAGTGATCACATAATAGAAGGGAGCTGTGGGCTTAAAGTGAATTTAAGACCATAAAGCCATAATCAGTCACATCTGTTTCATGACTTTAAGTTGATGTGGTACGAGTGTGAAAGAAGAGCTCATTCTTTGAAGAGGCCTGCTGTACTTACAGAATCAATAAGTCAAAACAAAAATAACTGTAGGGTTAGAATCTCTTATATTGCCGAATGAAAATTTTGATAGTTTTTGGTAAAGAGATTATGTTAGAGCTATGTTGTCATTTCACTGACTGTTAGCAGCAGTAAAAAGTCAAAAAATGGTTAGACAGTGTTACTGTGTGTGTGTGTTCTTTTAAATTTGTTAATGTGAAACTGAGGATCTTAATATGAGTCCATTGAATTTCTGGGAAGATGACATAAGGTAAAGTCCTCAAGACTGCCCCCTCTTCAGACACAGTTGCAAGTCTTAGCCTCCAGAACTTCTGACCAGCTAGCTTCAATTTGGAGTTCTCACAACCCCCTCTTTGGATTCAATTAATTTGCTAAAGCAACTCACAGAATTCAGGGAAACTTACGTTTACTGGTTTATTTTAAAGGATATTACAAGGAATACAGATGAAGAGATGCATAGGATGAAGCATGGGGAAAAGAGTGCAGAGCTTTCACGTCCACCCTGGATGTGCCACCCTCCAGTAACGTCCACGTGTTCTGCTGTCTGGAAGCTCCCCAAACCCTGTCCTTGGTCTTTTGTGGAGGCTTCATTATGTAGGCGTGAGGGAGTAAACCATTGACCATTGGTGATCAACTTAATCTTCAGCCCGTTCTCCTTCCTAGAAGATGTGGGGTGGTGTTGAAAGTCCCAACACTCTAATCTTGCCATGTTCTTTCCTAGTCCCCATCCCGAAGCTACCTAGAGCTGCCAACCATCAGTCAACTCATTAATATACAAGAAAGCATCATTTTGGTGTTTCTGAGGATTTTAGGATTTGTATGCCAGGAAACGGTTGAAGAACAAATATATGTATATTTCACAATATCACAGATGCAAACAAATGATGTTTAAATTATCTGGTCTTTTTCTGAGATTCATTAAGTTTAGATTGTATTTCTATGGAATTATAGTATAAATCATAATTAGGTGCCTAAACTAGCCTCTAAAGCTTATTCCTAAGGTAGCTAAATTACTTATTATGTATATATACTATGAAAAATGACAAAATGTACTGTTTCAACACTGGTAATTAAGCAAACTGCCATTGTAACATAAGAAGTTTATGAAAACTATTTTGAATAATTTAAAAACTTTGGGGAAAACTGGATTTTATAAGATAAGGAGATAGAGACTATTATATAAGGAGGTTGTGAAAGGGGTTTTGACACTGATTCTTTATTGTCTAGATGGATTAAACAACTTATTACTTTAAATTTTGCTTTATACAGAAGTGTCACTAGCTTTGATCAGAGTTTTCGTTGGTTCATGAATGGAACTAAGTTAAAGGAGGTGAGAAGGAGAAATACGTTTTTTCTTTTTAAAAAGTTGTAAAATATACTTAAGATTTCTTATTTAAAAAAAAGAGTTGAAAGAAACAGGAAAAAATGGGTTAAAGAAGACATGGGTATATCTTGCAAAAGAGGTTATCAGAGGCAGAATTTACTGAGCAGTGAGGTAATGAGAGAAACAGGCAAAGTGTGCATGAGCCCCATGGGGAAGGAAGAAAGTTGGAGTTTGGCAAGTCAGCTGTTCTTGTATTGTTTTTTGAACACATGACAGGTGTTGGTGAGTAGGGGGCATGGTGTGACCAACTGCTCCTATGTGAGGAAGGTTTATATATTCTGTCTGGGAAAGTGGTCTGAATTTTCTTTATAAGAAATTTTAGTATACTTGAATTTATTTCTGTATACTAATACAACATTGAGAATTAGCTTTCAGGGACTTCTGTGCCAATTCTATTGGGAATAAAAATGAGAAGAAAGGTAGCTTGTATAGAAATAGCAGAGGTTTGGTAGTGAATTCTTATGAGAGAAAAGATGTACAGAGAAAGTAAACTCTAGAATTAGCATTATACACTTGTCTATGTTGAAGGATGGTAAATAGATGGTGTGTCTCTTGGCATGAAGTTACCAGGTAAAGGGCTAGTATTATGTAACCCTTGGTATTAAGGATATGTTAGGGACATTACAGTGGGATTTCATCATAGGCACATTAAACCTCCTTACATTTAGCTGTATATATTGAGGCAAAAACAACAACAACAAAAAACCCATTAACATGTTTTTTTTTTTTTTAAGTTAAAAAAAAAATAGAGATGTGGTCTCACTATCTTGGCCAGGCTAGTCTTGAACTCCTGGCCTCAAGTGATTCTCCGCTTTGGCCTCCCAGAGTGCTAGGATTACAGACGTGTATCACTATGCTTAGCCTTCTTGACTGTAAGCAATAGAAATCAACTTTGGCTAATTTATGCAACGGAATAAATAAGGAGAACCACTTTTGGAAAATGGATAGGAATCAAGGGAAGCCAGCAGCAAGGACCAGAGCCAAGGTCAGGGCACAGGAACACTTTGATTAGGAAGCCACCATTAGCACTTGCTGACAATGTCTTTGCTGTTGCTATAAATAATTCTGCAACTATTCTTGTGCCTCTCTGTCACTCAAGTTAAAAGTTTTGGGAAAGGAACATGGATAGTCTGGTCTAGATCCTGAGCCTATTTCCAGCCTGCTAGGGGTAGGGAAAATCTGGGCCTTTGGTTTCCATCTAAACTCATGGTGTCCATCGTTTCTTCCAAACAAAATGGGACAATTACTGCTTCCTTCTTAAATGCCCCATGGCTCAGTAAATATGCCCAGTTCCTGAAGCCAGAACTTGGAACTTCTCTCATTTTCTCAGTCACATATCCAGTAAATAGCATATTGAATTACTGTCAGTCTGCAACTTGAATATCTTGAGTTTATCTATTTATCTCTAAAATTATTGTTACTACTGTCGTAGTCACTGTGATTTCTCACATGGTCTATTACAGAGGCCTTATAATTTCTCTTGTCTACAGATTGACCCCTATTCTGTTGGGGTATACATTATGTGGTGATGAACTTTTAAAAATGCAGGTGAGATTATGTCATTAGTTTGCTTAAAACATTTTAGTGGTCTGCATTTATTTACCTCCCATCTCTCAGTTCGAGTCCACCCTTTTATTCTGTGTTAGGGGCTGGGACTTTGCAACCTACATTTCCCAGACTCCCTTGCCAGCTTACTTCGTGTTAAGTTTTACCACTGGGAGCACAGGCAGGAATTTGGAAGGTGAGAGAAGGGACTACTCTTATTCCCAGTTTCTGTAAGGACACCTCCAATAGCAAAGGACAACTATTACTCCATTCTCCAACTTCTTTTGTCACTCTCTGCACCAGTCTTGCTGTTTCCTCTCAGAGATACCAGCTTCTGGGCAAGGCATCCTAGGTAGATAGAGTGCCACTTGTATCACTTCCTAACCTGCTGGACTTTATTCCCTTAGTGGTTTGACCATCCTCTATTGGACACCTGTTCATAGGGATTCAAACTTAAGCTACAGGGCCATTTGTGGCCACCTCCTTAGAGGTTAGAGCATTCTGCCACATGGACCTCTTTCACCTTCTTCCAGGCATAGCCCTATAATGCTTTTCTTCCAAGCTCCTAGCTTTTCAATAACAGACCTCTTTCATTTTGTTCCCCTAGTCCTGCGGGTCATAGTGCTTCCTGCAACTATTAATCTCTGAGTTATTTCAGCCTTCCTGTTCTATGTTCTCAGCTTTCCAGTATCTTTGTAACCAATGTGCTGTATTATATATATCTCCTGGGTTTGAATTCTGCATTATGGTTTCTGTTTGTCTCATACAAGTAGTTTTTTGTTTTCTAAGATAAAGTTAAAAAAAAAAGTTAAAATAACTAGTAGCTGGGGGTGGGGGGATTAAACAGATTTTCAGACTGAGTACGGTGACTTATGCCGGTAATCCCAGCACTTTTGGAGGCTGAGGTGGGAGGATTGCTTGAGCCCAGGAGTTTGAGGCTGCAGTGAGCTATGTTCACACCACTGCACTCCAGCCTGGGTGACAGAGTGAGATCCTGTCTCAGAAAAAAAAAAAAGTTTTCATAATTCCTATTTGTCTGTTACTTCTTTAGTCTCATTTCATACCATTTTCCTGCTTTCTCTTTACACTTGAGTATTCTGAACCTTTTTTAGTTACCAGAACATTGCTGCATTCTATCTTGTCTGAAGGACATTGCACCTACTAGTCTGTGTACTCCAACCCTCCCATCCCTCATTTCTCTTCTTCTCTCACATTACAACCTGTGCTGGGTTGACTCCTACATATTGAATGTGAGGGTTAGTATACTGTAGAGGGTGTACAAACAAACTATTGTCTAAATTTTAATATCAGCGTTGCCGTTGTGTCAGCGTTATGACATTGGGCAATGTCTCAGTTTCCTCATCTGGAAAATGGGGATAATAATTTTACTGACCTGGTGAGGTTGTTGTAAGGATTAAATGAGTTAATAAATGAGTTAATAAAAGTGCTCTTTTCTTCAGAACATAGTAATTGCTCAGTAAGTGTAACCTGTTGTTATTATCAGCTATGCATGAATTCCTCTGGAATGCCTTCCATGATCTCCAAACTCTGACAGGCTCTACCTTTGTAGGCTCCTGTAATAGCTTCTTCTTCACTGTTCTAATATGTATTATGGTTGGAATTATTTAATATCTTGTTTTCTTTTTAAGAGTGTAAATGATGTGAAGTTGAGAAGAGAGTCTGTGCCATTTGCTGTTATAACCCTAGCATCTAGTACTGCCTAGCATCTAGACTGGCTCCAGGTCGGCCCTTTAACTTATATTTTAAAAAATAATTGATTAAAAAATTTAAGAGAAAAGCCATAATAAGTTTGATAGGGGCTAGGAAAAATGGATAGAGATAGAGATGGTGGTGAAATAAATCAATGTAAATGATCAGCTTTTCTGTTTTTATTGCCCATCAAAATGCTCTAGTATGGAGGCTGTATGACAGAAGAAGAGGAATATCTGTTGTTTTGAAGCCACTGTGGTACAAAGAACAAGGGTTAGAATCCTGTCTTAATTCATTGCCACTTTGCAAAGGGAAAATGTTTCTCTGGGTCTGATTATAGACTACATTTCTGGCTTGGTGGCTTTTTTCCCCCTTGTAAAGCTTTAATTTTGCCCCCTGTGTCTAAAAGCAATTTGTGTTTATTTCTAAAAATTTTGAAAGTACAGAAAAGCTTAATGAGGAAAGCAAATATCATTGATAATTCTAATACATAGAGATGGGGCAGCTCTTACTATTTTGGTATAGGCTTTACTCTATATTTACGATATACATACAGTTTTGTCCTCCTCCTTTCCTCTGTAATTATTTAATGTATTCTGGTTTTAAACTTGCTTTTTTCCCACTAAATATATTGTAAATCTCTTTCCATATTAATGAATATTTTTATCATTGTTTAAAAAATGCTTGACTAGTATGCTTTTACATGAATATGCAATATTTATTTTACCTATTTGCTGAATGATGGACATTTGAGTTTTTATCCTTTCACTGTTATAAAATATTATGATGAACTTTGTTGTACATACAGCTTTGCTTAACAAATATTGAGTGCCTTCCTTTAGTGTGTATTCAGGTAGACTGTGCAAGATACTTAAGCTGTGAGAAGGAACAAAATAGATAGGATTTCTGCCTTCATAGAGTATAAGATAAATTCCTGAATTGATGATCAGAGTTGGGTCTAAATTGGTGATAACTTTAAATTACCAGGAGTTTAACGACCATTTTACTCTCAGACTACTGGGAGGAATGTGAATTAGGACTCTAAGGTGGTATTAGTTACCATTGTTTTCTGTCAGTTTTCCTTCTCTTTAATTATGTACTTCCTAATTTTATTAATGTATATTTGGTTGTTTTACTTAATTATATATCTCACATCTCAGCAACTGCTCTGAAAGATTATTTCCAGTTTTGGTAGAAAACCTGCATTTACAGTAAAGTAGTCTATACATCTGGCTTTTCTGTAATCCATATACCTTTGGTTTATATACTTTAGCATTTTCTATCTGGGAAACGTATACTGAATTAAATTTTGCCTTTTAATGGGAATGAATGAATATAATACAAATACCTATTGATAATTCTGAATATTAAATTTGCAGTTGAGATAATTTCCTAATTAATAAGAAATTATATTGCATCATAGTTATATACTAAGGCAGTATCTGACAGTTTGTGAGGTAGTTGCTTCTTTTTAAAGAATCTGGCTGCTTTCAGGGACTTTGGAGTGATGTGGAAATATTTCCACATTCCTTACATGAAATAGCTCCTTACTTTTTGTTAGTATCGCATAACAAAAGAACATATGATTTGGAATGACTGGAGTTCAAACTAAAAATCATAGCTCAGGAACTTGTGTTCCAAAGCCTGAAAATTTATGTGTGCAGAAGAATCCCTAAATACCAAGTGCTAAATAATTTCTCTGGTGTTTCTGCAGATGCAGAAGCTATCCTTTTGTAAATCCCGTCCTCTAAAGCTTTTTCTTCCTTAGTCTTTTAAATCTGTTTATACACATGTGTGCATAGAAAATATTTTCTTTTGATTGATACTCTACTTGATTTAAAAGAAAAGGTCTGATACTAAGATGTGTGTGTGTGTGTGTGTGTAAAATAAATACATCTTCACCCTGGGATAATACCTATTGTGTTTAAACATTAAATTTAAAATTCTCAACTTCTGGGCAGTCAGTGAAAGGGGAAATATAATTTCAGTTATCATTATTACATGATCATAAGAGTAAACCATTTCTTTTTTCTGAATTCTAACATTTATTAGCTTAAGTCAGCTTTTCTCAAATTGTAAGTATAGAATACCAATTCTGTCAAATTTTAACAGATATCAGGATTAAGTTTAGGAAACAATGGACTAAATAAGATGAACAGATTTATTTATATATTTTATCATAACTTTAAATATCCTAATATATATCTTGACGTTCTAAGAGAAAGATACAGTGGTTTCCTAACTTATTTGCCTTGAAATACCCTTTTGGTGAATATCAGCTTTGCAAAATGCCAGCCTAAGTCCTTAACAACATGATGGGTTGTGTGTCTTCCATGCCATTTTTGCAGATGATGTCATCATTGCTTTTTATTTGATCTTCCCTTTTGTTGATTTAAATTCCTTTTGAAACATAATCCAAGGCAAAGCTTACTTCTTCCAAGTAGCTTAGATTCTCTCTATCCACCAGGAATTGCTGCTTTTGAAAAGCATGTGCCAGAGGGTCTTGCGAACTAAGTATTCCTGTTGTCTGTGTGCCAGCTGGCCTGGCATTTGGTCTAGGAGTCTTTCAGATACACAGTCAGTCCAGACTGAGGCTGAATTTATTTTTCCTAGTGAAACCTGAGTCCCCACACTCCCCATCTACTAGGGCTGCAGCTATTATAGCAAGGGCCTGAGCTCTCCATCTGCTCCCCAGACACCTGCTGGAACTAATTATCATTATTATTAAAACTTTAAAAAAATTTTTTTCTATTATGTTGCCTTTTTTCCTTTCCTTTTTCTTTTTTCACTTTTTTTTTTTTTGGAACTGATTATTTTGGAAACAGCAAAGAACAACATACTTCACAATCTAATCCAAAAACATAAGCCCCTTTGGTCTTCCATGCTGCTCTTTTCCATTTTGTTTGTACACTTGTTTTCCCTTCATCAGCTCTCCTATTTCTCCTCACCTATCCTAAACATGTGTACTTTGCTCTTCAGAACATTGGTTTGTGGTTAGCCAGTTATCCACTATTATATTAGCTTCCATATACTCTGTTAGCTTGCATGTCTTCATGTAATATTTCTTCTGTCCCCTAATCTTAACTTGATTCAGCTGCATCTTTCAGTCGTTGCTGCCTTTTTTTTGGACATACCTCAGGTACTTTGCGGGTAGGAGGTTGGGCAGTCTGGTCAGTGTTCTCTTTCATTTTCGTTGGTACCTCCAGACCACTCTTCTTCCATTCTTTCATTTAACACCAAACACCAAACAAAAACAGCCTAACAAAATGATTCTGTTTCTTTGAGGCTTATGCCTTTTAACTTTCTAATCTTTTTTGCTATAAATTTTTTCTCATTCTTTGAAGACTTTGGTTCTTGGATTTGATCTTCATTTTCACCCCAAGTCTTCTTATTATCCATTTGGTAGCATAGCTTCCCAGACTGTAATGTCTTCAACATCAGTCCATCTGGACTTTATATGTGGTGTGAAATAGAACTCCATTCTTGATTTGCTGATGGGAAATCAGTGATGATAACCTAACCATTTGAAGAATGACAGGTTGTTAAGTGTATGAATTCCCCCATATGTTGATTGAGTTTAAGAAGATAAGAGATAATTGAAAATCTTATGGCTGTGTTTAAAAATATTTTAATTTTATAGTCATAAATGAGAAGAAAAGTTATACCTGATATTGTGGTACCTGGCTATATCATGATATTGATTCAAAGAGAGGGATTAGCTGTTTTGCTAACAGGTATGGTAGAAAGAGCACTGGATAATTTAAAGTCTGGCAAATGGCAAATCACTTAATGTTTTTCACTGCTTTTTTCTATTTTGAAGTGGAGAGAATACCTAATCCATATAGTTATTGAGCTAGTAAAGTACATTTATATATGTGTATATGTGTATTTTGTAAACTTTGAAAGGCTTCAATGTTTAAGATCTCATAAAAATTAGAGAACCATTCTCTGTTAGGATGGATTCATAAGGTTACTCCTGAATATCACATTATCTCCATAAAAAACTTAGAATTCCCTATACTCTGTGTTTTCTATAGGAAATGAAAAAAGTTAAAAAAATTATTATTTGTGGACTAGGCGTGGTGGCTCATCGCTGTAATCGCAGCACTTTGGGAGGCTGAGGTGGGCAGATCACTTGAGGCCAGGAGTTCGCGACCAACATAGTGAAACCCCATCTCTACTAAAAAAAAGAAAGAAAAAACAAACAAATTAGCTGGGCATGGTGGCACACACCTGTAATTCCAGCTACTCTGGAGGCTGAGGCACAAGAATTGCTTGAACCTGGGAGGCGGAGGTTGCAGTGAGCCAAGGTTGTGCCACTGTACTCCATCCAGCCTGGGCAACAGAGGAAGACTCTGTCTCCAAAAAAAAAAAAAAAATTATTATTTGTGATACTTTAATCTACATGATAAAGAGACTCCAGTGAACATTAGTCTACAGATGTTTAAGGTCTATGGAAAACCAGTATGTTATTTCTCATGACCCTGTTCTTGATATTATACTGTAAATATTAGCTTTTTAATGTTTCATTTACAGGTACATGATGTTGATTGATGGCACAAATGAAGTTTTTATGATTGATAGAGACAATTCAGTATTTCATGTTTCAAATCTGGAATTTCCATTTCGTAAAGATCTTCGTATGCATTTATCAAATACTCTCTTGGATGGCGTAAGTCATATTTATGTATACTATAAAATTAAACATTGCCATTTTTCTTTTCCTTGTAAGTAAATGTGTATTTCTGTTGGTTAAGAAATTTCGAATGAAATCTAACTTTTTTTTTTTTTTTTTTGAGACGGAGTCTCGCTCTGTCGCCCAGGCTGGAGTGCAGTGGCGGGATCTCGGTTCACTGCAACCTTTGCCTCCTGGGTTCAAGTGATTCTCCTGCCTTAGCCTCCCCAGTAGCTGGGATTACAGGCATGTGCCACCACGCCCGGCTAATTTTTGGATTTTTAGTAGAGAAGGTGTTTCACATGTTGGTCAGGCTGGTCTTGAACTCCTGACCTCGTGATCCACCCGCCTCAGCCTCCCAGAGTGCTGGGATTACAGGCATGAGCCACTGCGCCCAGCCAAATCTAACTTTTATTAGGATGTTAAATTTCATTTATTTCTTATGTATACTTATATTGAATTAAGGTCCTCTTAAAGAGAGATCTGCCAACTGAATCTTTGAGCATAAGTAAGACTTTGAGATATTTTCTTTGGTGGAGAAATTTGTTAAAGATATGTAAAGGGTGTTAAATGAGTGCTCTGGTCAAATATGTATACATATGGATAGTTATATAATTTTGCATGAAGAGAAACATATGTTACATGTGGTTAGTAACTTGTCTTTTTCCCCACACTTAGCAATGTGTTTTGGACATCTTTTTCACATAAATGTCTGAATGGTTTACCATTGTGTATATAGAGACCATAAATTGGGGTTTCCAAACTATCTTGACTGTGAAAATTGTAGGGTTAAAAAATTGCTTGTTTAAAATATGACCCTTTCCAATAGCATATCCTAGACCATATGAATTGGAATCTCCCAGGGGCCTACATGTCCGTACAAGTGACCAAGTGATTGTAATTAGGCAAGTTTGAGAAATAGTTCTGTAATTTATTTAACCAGTTCCCTTTTGTTGGACATTTTGATTTTTGTATTTTTTCCTGTATCTAGTAAATTTTCATTCCTGTGACAGCATGAGTAACAAAATACCACTTTCTAATAAAAATGATATATATATACATATGTACATGTATATGTATCTATATGTGTATAGATTTAACTATCATAGTTAATGTGACTGGTACCCTTGGGGTTGTATAGTACATAAAAGTCATAGTCATTTGTGGCAGCTCTGGTAGTTGGTTCATGGGAACAGCAGGAACATTTTAGTTTTTGTTATCTTTATTTAAGGTACTTTTTTTAGCATTATAATTAATAAAATATAAGAAAGGAAAAGACTTAAGTAATAGCATTTGTCAAAGTTTAGTATAGTTTATAATTGAACTAATGTTTGTTGAGTGCCTATTATGAGTTGCTATACCAAGAGTACGGGTATTGCTTAGAGGGTTGAGGAGAAGGCCTCACCCTTGAAACATTTTGCTTAATTGAGCAGGGTGGAGAATGAATGGTAATGATGGAAGAGACCTTTGAATAAAACAATAACCCAAAGAGAGGTATTTAAGTCCTGAGGTAGTTTAGAGGAGAAATAAATCACATCTAGTTAGTTAGGAACTAAATATGTTTTGTGTAGGAGTTGGCATTAGAAACAGAAAGATTTCTATAGAAAGATTTTTGATGGACGTGGGCTGAGGGCATTCTAGGTAGGAAATAATGCTTAAAAATTAGATATTTAACCATCTACAGATTTAACTTAGCAATACTATTTATTTCACCTCAAACTTGGATAACTGAGAGCGGCATAATAGATTCTTGTGAAGTTTTAAAAATAGCAGTATGATTCATGATGTCAATTTACTTGGGCTAGAATTATAGTTGCCATATCTGTTTTTTTTTGTTAATTAAAACAGTCCTGTAGTTTCCTGTTTCTTCTACATTTTCATGTGCAAATTGTTTTTGTAAAATTCCAAATCCAAGAATAATTCAAACCACCTAATTGTCTGACTGTCAGATGTGAGCATTGAAGCTTTTGTTTTGCTTTGCTTAACTATGTTCTTTGACCTATAAAATGTGGAAAATAGGAATTTAGAAATACTGCATTAATTCACTTGAAACACATCAGTGAAATTTAATCAACTTAATATTGAGACTAAGATAAGAATATAGCAGTTAATCATTAAAGTTAATGGCAAGAATTTTGGAAAAATTCCATGTCTTTTTCAACTATTAATTTTTTATAAAACACTACATGCTTATTGTTGAAATTTTAGAAAGTCTGTAAACTTAGAAAAAATAAACAATCAAGAGATGACATTTTATATTTTGATGTTAAAAGGAAATATCCTTTTAGTAACTTTGTTGTGCTAATAATTATATAACATGTATAACCAATATGTATATAGCTGACATTTAATATATGTTATGTATCTGGGGTTCTGTTATTCCTCTTCAATCTGAAGAACTGCTTTTAGGATTTTTTTTTTTTTTAAATTTAGTTCTTTTTTTAAAAAAAATTGAGATACAATTTACATACTATGAAATTCACTATTTTAAGATGTTCAATCTAGTGGTTTTTAGTCTTTTCCACAAGGTCATAAAATCAAGACCACTATCTAATTCCAGAACATTTCATCACCTATATGGACTGTGATGATTAGAACCAAGGGAGCCTTATATGAAAGATTTCAAGGAATGAGTTACAGAGATGAGCCTTGAAGGCCCACAGGTTTTGAAAACCCTTCAGTGGTTCCCTGTTATTCATAGCACAAAAGCCAAACTGTTCAATATAATATTCTTTATATCTGAAGCGTGCCTGTGTCTTCAGTCTCATCTTTGATTGTGATTGCTAATCACAAATACTCAGCTTTGGACAATTTCATGCCTTTGTTATACCATTTGGCCTATCCACTATCCTGCTGGAAAATATACTCTGCATCTTTCAGGATGCAGCTAATGGTCATGTACCTTATTACCAAACTTTCTCTTATTCTTCAAGTAGAAATAACTACACTCCTTGTACTTAGGCTTAGGTAATGCTTTCTTACAACAACAAAATATATTTTTCCTAAATCAGTGTGTTTTTTTTGTAATTTTAGATGGTTGTACATGGAATTTCTGTTATAAAATTAGATAGCAAGAAAACCTATCTGGTTTCCTAGTAAGAATATGAGGAAAGAAAAATAATTTTAGGTCAAAAACATATTAATAATTAAAATTTTAAGTAATACTGCATTTTATACCTGTAGTCATCCTTTAATGTCCTTATCTTGTTCTGTCAGACTGCATTTTTTTTGACTTTTTAATGGCTATGGTAGATTTGCAGTGATCTGTTCATACTCCCTTGCCCTGTTCCCTTTGAACAAAGCCTAGTAAAGTGGTATGAAACCAAGAAAGGCCACATGGCTCACATGGGAATTAAATCTATAATGAGGATGCCATTTATTGTCATAGATTTTATGATTAAAGTAATTGGTGTATAACAAAATTTAAAGCATTAATGATTAAACAAAAATATTTTTAAAAAAGATCCTGACGTTTAGAATTTAAAATTTGTAGTCTTCCTACCCTTAATTGTCACTTAGTAATTCAAGCATAAAGCAAAATGTAGCATGGAAATTCAAATATGAAAAATATGATGAGATATTGTCAGGTGATTCTATTTCAGTATAGAATAAATGCATGATGGGGATGGGGGGCTAACAGTTTATTGATATGATCTGGGTACAAGTGTGTTCACTTTGAAATTTCATCAAGTTGTATATTTATGGTTTATGTGCTTACTGTGTGTATGCCATATTTCAATTAAATTAAAAAAAATTGTTATTAAAGTATGAAGAAACTTACCTTCTTTTCTCTTTCAAGGAGATGATTATTGACAGAGTAAATGGACAGGCTGTTCCTAGATATTTGATATATGACATAATTAAATTCAATGTAAGTACCTATAATTTATAAAATACAAGTTATTACTGAAATAATGAATGTATTTTTGACAATAGTCTTTGGTGCTGCCTTAGAGATAGTAGGAAAGAAAATTTGTGACTCAGGTTACTCACTGGGAATCTTTTTTTTAATCCTTTTATATCTCCTTTTCTTTCTCTTATTGTTAATTTTCACACATTTCTTTGTTTTAGGTTTCTTTAACTTGCAAGTGAGTAAAGAATAATGGCATAACTCTGATAAAATAAGACAGCATTTCATAAAATGAACATTTCTGATTTTAATTATCCTGTACTTTTTTCTTTTAAATCTCATGAGTTTATTTCTGTCACCAAAACAGCAACAAAACAAAAGAGAAACTGATTATGAGCTGTTGAATGGGTAATAAATTGCAGTATTAATTCAGGATTGCATTAATCCAGGTTATTAAAAGACATTTTTTTCTGGACATTTTTAATGCACACATCTAATTTTTTGATTGAAATTCTGTATTTAAAACAAAGAACTTCAAATTTAAGAGCCTCAGGGCCAGAAAACATCAAGTTTTATTTTGTTCTGTTTGACTGTATTCCTCATAAGTACTGCTTTCCAGAACTGGCTTAATCTCATCACAGATCTTGGAATAACATTCATTGGCCTATAACTAGACATAAGGGGTGGCGGGGTGGCTTTGTTTCTTTGTGAGTAGGGAAGTTCTGTCTCCTTTACTTCTTGACACTGAGCTCTGCTTTAATACATGTTCAGTCTGGGCTTACTCTCACTTCTTAGCTGAGTACTGTCTCTTAGATAGCAGTTTTCTAATACTTTTTAAAAATATGAAAAATTTCACCATATAGAAGAGTCTGAAAAATAATGTAAGGAATACTCATGTACTGACCAGCTAGATTTGTTAAAACTTCATACTTTTGGTCCACTTTCTTTTTAATAAGACATGATTCATTACGAATCCAATAGAAGTTTCTTAGTTACACCTCTCTCCTAATCTCAAATCTCTTGCCCAGAATCAGCCTCTACCCTGAATTTGGTGTGTTTATTGTTCCCATGAATGTTTCAGATACTTTTACTACCTATGTGTGTATCCATGAAATATATATGATATTCTTTTGCAAGGTTTCTGGTGTTATATAAATGTTATTGTACTATACCTTTGCTGACCTTTGCTCAACAAGATAATGTTGAGATTTATTTGTACTAATATGTCTAGATTTAGTTCATTCACTTTAATTACCATTGAGTATTAAATTGTATAAATATACAGAATTTATCCTTTTTCCTTTTGATGAACATTAAGGTTTCCATTTTTTGCTTTTATATTACTACTATATTGAACAATTTTATGTTTTTTTCTTGTGCGCACATGAAAATTTCGCTAGGACAGTTGTTCTCATTCTTGGAATGTAATTACCTGGGAAGTGTTTTTAAAAACTCTGTTCCGTCATTAGTGTATCATGGAGATGGTGATTAAATCAGCAGCTTCAGCTATATTATCTGCATTGCTAAATTTCTCTCAGAAATAGTTGTTTCAGTTTGCCAAAGTTCGTTTTATCACACATTTATATTATTACCAATTTGATGTGTGTGAAATGGTATCATCCTGTTTTAATTTGCTTTTCCTTGATTACTAACAAGGTTTAACATATTTCTTATTTTTTTTTTTTACTTGTTTGGAATTTATATGATTTAATTGCAAGTTTGTATAATCTTATAATACAATCTTCTGTTTTTCCTATTTGGTTGTCTGTTTTTTTCCCTGATTACCAATGAAGTTGGACATATTTCTGAGGTTTATTTTTATTTGTTTGTATTTTTCTTTTGTAACTTAATTGCAAGTTTGTTCTATTTGGTTTTCTGTCTCTTTTTTTTCTTCTTAATATGTAGGAGTCAATTATCTTTCCTAGATTCTAGTCCTTTCCTGGTTATATGTGTGGCAATATGTTTTCCAAATCAGTGTTTATTAATGCACAGAAGCTTTAAATTTTAATAAAGTCAATCTCATCAGACCTTCCCAAATATTATACTTTTTGTTTTGTTTAAGAAATTAATCTATATTTTATTCTAAAAATGATTGTTATGCTTTTTGTCCTTAGGTCAATAATTGTTTATTCAATACATATTTATTGTGTGCCTATTACCATATTTTATGATTTTAAGCCACGTATATTTTTACATTTCTGATATTGGGATGCATTTATAATTGAAAGTATCGTATATTTAATTCTTTAATTTACTATGGAGTCTTTATGGATGATTAACAATATTATTTATTTTGTATCACCAAATCAGGGCCACTGTTAGAAAAAGAATTTTTTTGAAATAATATTTAAAATCTTTTCAGTCCCTTAGTTTATTAGCTTGTCCAGAAAGAATTTCATCAATCATCTTTTTTTTTCACCCTCTGACTCTCAGCATCGATCATCTTTTATATGTCAAGTACATATGTACTGGGTATACAAAGATGAATGAGACATAATTTCTTGCCTTTAAAGAATTCACATGCTAGTGTACTGGCTTCCAAAGAAGGCCATTTGCACAGCGTTTCATTGGAATTTGGGAAGAACACAGGAGAACTTAAAAAAAAATTTAATATTTTATTTTGTCAGTTTTATAACATTTTACATTAAAAACGTAACATTTTGTAATATTTTACAGTTGTGTATGTATACACATTTTTAAAAAACAGGCATTTTTTAATGTATTTGTTAGGATATGTGTTTAGATTGGATATAAAATTAAAGCAAATTTGCAGACTATTGATGAAATATAAATGTAAAGAAATAATTATAACTTTAAAATCATAAACATAACAAAGGTATATAAAAGATATAGTGGTATTAGAGAGGTGAGAGTATTCCAACTTCCCTGGGTATAGTTGAGTCACTGAAGCATGGAATTGCAGACCGAGAAAGTGACACAAATTAGTTTTGAAGGATTGAGTCATGGAGGTCAGGAGCATTAGATGGTTTGTTAGCATACATTTTTTTTTTTTTTTTTGAGACAGTCTTCCTCTGTCACCCAGGCTGGAGTGCAGTGGCATGATCTCAGCTCACAGCAACCTCTGCCTCCCGTGTTCAGGCAATTCTCATGCCTCAGCCTTCCGAGTAGCTGGGACCACAGGCGTGTGCCACTACGCCCAGCTAATTTTTGTATTTTTAGCACAAAAATACAAATACATGAGGTTTTGCCATGATGGCTACGCTGGTCACGAACTTCTGGCCTCAAGCAATCTGCCCGCTTTAGCCTTCCAAAGTGCTGGGTTTACAGGTGTGAGCCATCTGCACCCGGCCTGCTAGTATACTTGACGGATGGTAAGGTGTGGGACATAGCAAAAAATGAGAATGGATTGTTAAGTAGAGGGCCAGATTACTTGAATAAGGCATTTTAACTTAGTTCTTTATGTAATAAGGCATTGTTAAAGGGTTTTCATTATAGTAATGATATGAATATACTTTTACTATTTTGAAAGATAACTAGTGGCAGCATGGATAGTGTTTTGAAGGGAGTAAGAACTGAAAACAGGGAGACAAGCTAGTCAATAATTATTGAGTGTTTCCTGTAGTCTCTTCTCAGTAATTCAACACCTATCTGTTGAGAGCTTAACTTTGCCCATAGGCATTGTGGATTTGAAGGTGAACTTGCTTTCAGTCTATTCTTGAAGTTTGGTGAATTTATGTATAAAGGTAGAAAGCTTCTAGGAGGGAATTTAGACATTTACATATGTTTTAACAGTTGTTAGACTTTTTTTTTTTTTAGAACATAAAAGAGGGCTTACTTATTCTACTTTAATTTTATAGGTGTCTGAATTCTTTTAATAACTCTAATAAACCAGCCTAACGTTTTAGATTTTTCAACCTTGTTGATGATGTTGATTGCATAGAAGAGATGACACATGGACTGTATGGTTATTTACTAGCATTTCCCCAATAAATATCCTTTACAGATGGTTGTATGCCTTTATGTAAAGAGAACGTGTGCTACCTCATACCTCTCACTCACTTTGTCTCTCTCCTTATTCTTTGCTGAATATCAAAGTTGTCATCCTTCTAAAGTTGAGAAAAAGACATCCCCAAGGTATATTTAATGTTTACTCCTTAAGCAAGTGCTGCCACCCCTATGTAAACATTAGGTTGAGTAAATGTTAGGTTGGAGAATATACATTGGAGAAGAGGAAAAAGACAGAAAAGATGGGGGAAAAATGCACTTAAGGTGTGTCCAGTTGCAAAATAAAAGAGTAGCTTATGTGCCATTGAAGCGATAATTACTAATCTGGATGGTTACTGTCAACCAGATAATATGTTATAACTGTGTTTGTAT
Organism: Homo sapiens; assembly: GCF_000001405.40. Lineage (NCBI taxonomy): Eukaryota > Metazoa > Chordata > Mammalia > Primates > Hominidae > Homo > Homo sapiens. The sequence goes on along the minus strand of NC_000006.12, from coordinate 88,845,437 downwards.
ATGCCACATGGATAGGACGAGACTTATCCTCAATTCATACAAAAGTGTTCATGTACTTTTTATTTCACAGTTCAAACCATATATGCTTTAAGAACATTCAAGGGAAAGTGTATTTGAGGGAGAGTACTATTTCTTTATAACTGTATAACTTTGAACATATTATGTAAACTTCTGTGTTAGCTTCCAGAGTTGAGGGTGTATTTGATACATGTCTTCTACTTGCTGATGTCTATAGCATTAGCACTTTAAACAACAAAAAACATTGTAGGTAACTGTGCGACCTATTTTGGTGTGTTACTCGCTTGTACTTTTCTGAATTCTGTGGATTTTAGTTTTTATACTGTAATAGGGTACTGTTAAAGGGTTTCAACTAATTTATATAAATAATTAAAAAAGACTAGTGAGTATATATTTTTTCTATTTTAAAATGATTCTGTACCTATAAATAGTAAGTATATTAATACTTTAATTCAGATGTGAAATTGTTTATTTTATTTTTTATTTTTTAAAATTTGGAAGTGGTGGTCTTGCTCTGTTGCCCAGGCTAGCCTCAAACTCCTGGGCTCATGTGATCCTCCTGCCTCAGCCTTCCAAAGTGCTGGGACTACAGGTGTGAGCCACCACACCCGGCCTAGATGTGAAATATTTCGATCAACTTACAGTAGAATTGTGCCACTTTCTCATACTGTTTTATACAGTTGTATTTTAAAATAAGTCTCTTTGTGTGTTTAGATAGTTGTATTGTTAGTCAAACTAATTATTAGGGTTGGTATATATGTTTGTGCACGCTGTGCACTGAATAACTCCAGAGGATGCTGTTTACACAGACTATTATGTACATTGTGGCAGCCTTGATAATTATGCTGATAAAATAGTTGTTAGTGTTGAAATTTAACTAATTCTTTATTTAATTCAGTCACAGCCCGTTGGAGATTGTGATTTTAATGTTCGTCTGCAGTGTATAGAACGAGAAATTATAAGTCCTCGACACGAAAAAATGAAGACTGGGCTCATTGACAAAACACAGGAACCATTTAGCGTCAGAAATAAGCCGTTTTTTGACATCTGTACTTCAAGAAAGGTAAAGTTTAATTTTTTTTTAAATTAGTGCTAATAATGTCTCATAATTCAGCTTACAAGATGAATATGAATGACATTTTGCTGCCCAGTTGTCTTGACTTTGTCAGAAAATACTCGAATTGGGTATAGCGCTGTTTTGGCCAAACATGGTACGACTCCTAGGCTTTTTCTCTTGAATAAGATTCTCAGTGGTGGCACCTGAAACTAGGCTGTTTCCCTTTTTCTCATAATAGTTTTTGTTTCATGGTCATTGGTCATACTACGTTTTTTAAAAAGCTATAAGCAACATAGAACTGTATTGAATGAAAATCATTAGGCCTGCTCCTACACATCCTGAAGGTAAAGTGTTTGGTACGTACTCTTATTAAAAAGATACATTTATATATATGTGTATGTATATATATATACAGATATATATATAGATATATATACACACACACATACATTGAAGGTTTTCTTTTAGTATTTTTGTTGTTTCCACTTAAAATGAATCATATACTAAGGCCAGGCTCGGTGGCTCATGCCTGTAATCCCAGCACTTTGGGAGGCCAAGGCGGGCAGATCACAAGGTCAGGAACTCAAGACCAGCCTGGCCAATATGGTGAAACCCGTCTCTACTAAAAATACAAAAATTAGCCGGGTGTGGCGGCGCATGTCTATAGTCCCAGCTACTCGGGAGGCTGAGGCAGGAGAATCGCTTGAACTCAGAAGGTGGAGGTTGCAGTGAGCCGAGATTGCGCCATTGCACTCCAGCCTGGGCGACAGAGCAAGACTCTGTCTCAAAAAAAAAAAAAAAAAAAAAAAAAAAAGAATCATACTAAATATTCCAAGATGTTGGTTCTTTTTGTTTTGCTTTGTTTTTTCACTTAACAGTATGGCTTGGAGATATTTCCATGTCAGTGTATAGAGATTTGCCATGTTATTTGTTAAGTGCTGCATGGTAATGATAGTAAAGGTGTACTATACATTATGTTGTAATTGATGGGTTTTTAGATTGCTTCTAGTCCTTTGCTATTACCAACACTGTTTCAGTGAACATTTTTGTTTATATGGGTGGATATTTCTTCAGGGTAAGTAGAATTTTTGGTTTAAAGATTATGAGTAATGTTAGTAACTACTGCCAAATTCCTTTCCAAATAAAGCAATTTTGTCTCCAGCAGATGAGAGAGCTCATTTTCCCATTGCCAGCACTCTTTTTTTTTTTTTTTGATCTGTAGGCAAGGCAGTGTATTGTAATGGGAAGGTGAGTATGAGTTTTTTGTTTTGTTTTGTTTTGTTTTGTTTTGAGGCAGGGTCTCACTCTTGCTCAGCCTGGAGTGCAATGGTGCCATCTCGGCTCACCACAGCCTTGACCTCCTGGGGTCAAGTGATCCTCCCACCTCAGCCTACCGAGTAGCTGGGACTACAGGCGCATACTACCATGTCCAGCTAATTTTTTTGTATTTTTTTCTAGAGACGAGGTTTCCCTGTGTTGCCTAGGCTGGTCTCCAACTCCTGGGCTCAAGTGATCAGCCTGCCTTAGCCTCCCAAAGTGCTGGGATTACAGGTGTGAGCCACCATGCCTGGCTGAAAAGTTCATTTTTATGTAGTTAAATTTGGCAGAATATTTCTTGCATCTTCTGGTTTTCTGTCTTGCTTAAGAAGCCCTTCATCTCTAAAATGTTTTTATATTATGTTCTAATATTGCTATGATTTTGTCTGATGATTACATTTAGATGCTCTATTTTTACTCTTCCATTCCTTCAGGGAATTGTCTTCTGTTTGCATAGTCTATTTAGCATCCAGTTTCTTCTATTCACTGTCTCTTCTTCATGCCCTGTGTTCTCACATGAACATACTAATTCTGTTTATGCCTCATCTTCTCCATTTTCCTTTTCATTCTCTTTTTTTTCTTTGTTATTATTTTTAGTATCACTCATATGACTACTGTTATTACTGGTACTACTGTTATTGCTGCTGCATAGTTTGTTTTCAGTGGGATATTTACCAGATCTAGTGTTTAAAAGCAATTGTACCTTGGTATTTCTGTTTTTTTTAAGACATATAAACTGCATATTGACTATTTCCTAAGACTTTTCTCCATTTCTCATTTGTGCTTTTGGTGAGATTCTTATTTCTTTGTATATAAACTATACATGGTGTTTTCTGTGTGCCTGTTATGTGTTAGGATGTCTGATTTATTGAACCCACCTTTTAATTTGTTTTTCTTCTCTGACTTCCCGTTTTCCTTTCTTCCTTGTTTTATAATTTGTCTGCAGTTTTGAATATTCGTAAGACATTCTTGCTTTTGGTAGTGGTTAACTTTCTTAGCAAACCGATTGATGGTTCTAATTCATAGATATGTTAGTTGGCAGTCATAAAGCTCTGCTCTCCTTATCAGAATTTAAATGTATTTTGAGCCTGCATACCACATGGTCCCATGCTTGATTGTATACTGATAAACATTTGAAATGTTTTAGAAGTTTTAGAAGGGATAAGGGGGCACATTTGGCATTCAGAAGAAGGCCAGCTGGCTATTTCCTAAGAAGCCTGAAGGAATGTTACACCTTTTGTGAAATTTGTCATATTCCAGAATCAGGTTTGTAGCTTCACAGATTCAGAAACTTTGGGAGGCATTTGCTCTTTTTATATTTCTCTATTGTGAGTTGAATTTATAGTTCAGCTTTGATACTGGGTTATGAGTACTTTTACATTAAAATTGCACGTGGCATCCAAGAAGTTGCATTGTGGTGGGATTTTATTTTCTAAACCAGTGTTTTATATGCCTGGTTTAGGGCATTTGAAAAATTGGTGGCCATGAAGAACCATGGTCTGTTTACATTCAACCCAGGGAATAGTACCCAAATAATTTATATTTTTTGGGAGGAGGGTGGTTATGATAGAATTGTACAAAAATATAGCAACATATGCAATCATGTTTTAAACTCTTCACCTGCTCCTACTCTAGTCTGCTTAATTTGGTGTCAGTCTTTGGATATGATATTAGCTGTAAGTAATCCTAGCACTATTGAGTGGCTATCTTTTTCATTCAACAAATACAGAGTAATCATCCTACTTTTATTATGATTTTGTGTAACACCTGCTTGGCATGGGAATTTTGGTTGACCTCTGCCGCTATGATCTTTCGACTGTTCACTGCTTGCCTTTTGTGTCTGTTTTGGCAGCAGGGATATTAAGGGGGTACCTACAAGAGCCTGTGTACTACTGTGCCCTGTCCAATAGGTTGGGTAAAGATAAAGTTAATATTTAACCATCTGCTCTGTCCACGGTGGAAGTCTATTAACTGAAACTGTGTTCTCTTATGAGAACATTTTCTAAATTGTAAATACAGTATAAAAGTTGGGCAAAAGCCAGATTCCTTTGGTTTGTGTTCATTTTTAAAAAATGAATTTCACAGGTTGTGCTGTCATAATTCAGAGTTCAGCATTTAAGAAAATGTGTTTAGATAGTATAATTTCATTAGTCAAATCAGTACTGCTTAGAAATATTTGCTAATGTGTAATATCAGAACTATTTTTTAGGGATTTGAAACAATTATGTGGAACAACTTGTTATGTAGTTTTTCACTAGAAAGACAGTGTTCTTACTATGTTTTTCTTTATACTTAGCTTATGTAATTCCTTAAAATCATAGGATATTTCTTTTTTAAAAGCAATTCTTGCTAGGCGTGGTGGCTCACACCTGTAATCCTGGCACTTTGGAAGGCCAAGGCACTTGGATCGCTTGTGCCCAAGAGTTCGAGACCAGCCTGGGCAACATGGCAAAACCCTGTCTCTACAAAAAATACTAGAAAATTAGTCGGGCATGGTGGCACATGCCTGTAGTTCCAGCTATTCAGGAGGCGGAGGTGGAATGATTGCTTGAGCCTGGGAGTTTGAGGCTACAGTGAGCCAAGATTGTGCCACTGTACTTCAGCCTGGGTGGCGGAGTGGGACACTGTCTCGAAATAAATAAATAATAAAAGCAATTCTAATTTTTAGAATTTTGAATAGTCTCCTCTCCTCACTTTCAGTTCTTATTATTGTTTTTTGTCCTTAATGTCTCTTACTGAAGTATTTTCGGTTGTAGAATACAAAAGGAAAACACACTTTATAGCAGAATTGGCATAACATGTAAGACCTTAGTAACACCAGTTATAGGATAATAACTACAATTGACAGGTTATTGCTGTGGAGATTTTTATCTTTGCTAATGGGATGGTAAAATAGTGATATTACGAACCTTACAGCATTTTCAGGGAAGTATAGATCATTTATTTTAAGAATGGTAGCTTTTATGAAGTTTTAAACAAAATTTACAGCTATAAAACATGCATACTAATTTTGTAGAAAAATAATAGAATTTCATATGTGTATCTTTAAAATCTCAAAGATGATTCTGATTTTAGGAATTTATTAATATTGCTCTATAACTCTTTGTTTTGTTTAATTTGATCTGTTAAACACAATAAAGGGATAATTGTTCAGTTTTTAACTTTAATATACAGTCAGAATACAACATCCAAAATAGTAATAACAAGCTGTTTTTCAAATTGCGATTCTATTTACATTTCCAGTTTGAAGGCCAATTCAAAAAGAATTATTTGAACAGACTATATATGACTAACAAAACTTTAAAAACATGCAGTAAAAAGTTTCTCTGAAAGCTCCCCATCCATTTATCACCTTCTCAGTAACCATTGCTGTTAGCTTTTAGTGTATCCATCCAGAATTTCTTTAGCAATAAATAAACACATTTATTTATATTCTTACTATCTCCATAAAGTGATGATTTTTTTTTCTTTTTTTCGAAACAGAGTCTTGCTCTGTCATCCAGGCTAGAGTGCAGTGGTGCGATCATGGCTCCCTGCATCCTTGACCTCCCAGACTCAAACAATCCTCCCAACTCAGCCTCCTGAATAGCTGGAACTATAGACCGGAACCACCATTCCTAGCTAATTTTTTAATTTTTTGAGTGATGGGATTTTGCTGTATTGACCAGGCTGGTCTCAAATTCCTGGGCTCAAACGATCTGCCTGCCTCGGCCTCCCAAAGTGTTGAGATTACAGGCATGAGACACCATGACCAGCATGGTGATTTTTTAATACACTGTTCTGTCGTTTTCTTTTTTTCTTTAAAAAAAACTTGACAGTATCTCTTAAGTCTCTTCACTCCAGTATAGGTACACAGAGATTAGATCATCTTCATTTCTCTTTAACAGTTGCACAGATTTTCATTGTATCAGTATGCCATAACTTAGCTAACATCATAGTCATAGACATTTGGGTTATTTTTAGTCTGTTGACATGGTTTTTTTTTTTTTGCATATAGATATTCAGTTGTTTCTATACCAGTTGAAGAGACTATCCTTTTCTCATTGAATTACTTTTGCACATTCATAAAAAATGAAGTTTGTTGTGTATGTCTGGTTCTGTTTCTAGACTGTCTGTTCAGTTCTCTTGATCTATTTGGCTGTCTTTACTCAAGTACCATACTGTCTTGATTATTTTTGGTTGTTGTAAATCTTGAAATCAGATAGTATTAATGTTCCAACTTTGTTGTTCTTTTCTAAGTTGTTTTGGCTATTCTAGGCCTTTGCATTTTCATGTGAATTTTATAATTAGCTGTCAATTTCTACAAAAAAGCCTACTGGGATTTTGGTTGGAATTGTAATGAATATATAGGTCAATTTTGGGGAAGAACTAACATCATAACAATGCCAAGTTTTCTAGTTCATCAACCTGGCATATATTTTCTTTTATGTAGGTCTTCTTTATTGTCTCTCAGCAATTTTTGTAGTTTTAAGCATGAGATTTTGCTCATCTTTTTTCAGATTTATTTCATACTTTTTGATATTGTCATAAAAGTCTTTGTAAAATTTCCGTTTCTGACTATTGGTAGTATATAGAAATATACTTTTTTCCCCAAAGGAGTACGTTGATTTTTGTATTTTGATGTTTTATCTTACAGTCTTGCTAAACTCAATTATTATACTAATAATTTTTTGTGAATTTCATCAAAATTATTACATAGACAACTATATAAGTGAAAAAGGTGCTACTTTTCCCTTTCCAACTTGGATGCTTTTAATTTTATTCTCCTGCCTTACTGCACTGACTAGAATCTATTGTTTAATGTTGTATGGAAGCAGTGAGAGTGAACAGCCTTGTCTTCTTCCACATCTATAGGGAAGGAAAATTTTGTTTTTAACTATTAAATATGATGTTAGCTATAGGACTCTAGGATAGATGCCTTTTATACATGGTTAGGTTTTAAACTTGAAAGCTGATAATTTTGACATACAATCTTATTTATCGAACTCTCTTACTTTTGTTATTGCTTGCAATAATTTTGCAATTTTTTTAGGTATTCATATTAAGTGTAAATAGTGATATTTTTACTTATTGGATTTTTCATACATTAACTTTTGTCTAGTTTGATTATACATAAATACAGTTTTAAATTGTGGCAGTAGTTATGGGGATTCTTTTTTCCTGATTTGAGTGGGAATGCTTCTGGTGTTTCTTCAGAGTATGATATACTGCCTTTAATTCTGAGATCTGTTTTATCAGGTGAAACAAGTATGCGTTTGTTTTATTTTTAACCAAGAATGGGTGTTCAGTTTGGTCAAATGGCTTTTCATCTACTATAGATCGAATACTATTTTTTTTTCTGTTTAGATCTGTTTATCTCAGGAATTATATGAAAATATTTCCTGATGTTGAATCATTCTCTCATTCCTGGGATAAGCCCTACTTTGTCTTAATATATTATTTTAAAAATTGTACTGCCCAGTTTTTTTTTCTAACTTTTTTAAAGGATTTTTGCATTGATGTTTATAAATAATCTTGATATGTTGTAAATCTTTGGAAACTTTTTCATCAGTGGTACACTCTGTTATACTCTGTTTTCATCAGTGTAATAAAAAAACTTGGTTTAAAAAAATATGTTCTAGAGCTTTTTTTTGTTGTTGTTGTTGTTTTAAGACAGGGCCTTGCTCTGGTACCCAGGCTGGAGTGCAGTGACACAATTATAGCTCACTACAGCCTTGAACTCCTGGGCTCAAGTGATCCTCCTGCCTCAGCCTCCCGAGTAGCTGGGACTACAGGCACGTGCCACCACACTCAGCTAATTTTAAAATTTTTTGTGGAGATAGTGCCTCTCAGTATGTTTGACCAGGCTGGTCTTGAACTCTTAGGCTCAAGGCTGTGCTCTGGCCTTGGCTTCCCGAAGTGTTGGGATTACACGGTAAGCCACCATGCCCGGCCAGAGCAGTTTTAATAAAAACATTGGAATTACCTGCTTTTTTAGGTTTTTGAGGAATTCCTCCACGGAATTATTTGGATTGTAGTGCTTTGGGTTTGGGTTAATATCTTTTTCACTTCCTATGTGAAAATTGGTACATTTAAATTTTTCTCTCCCTTTGAGTGCAATATCCATTTATTAAAATACCTGAAGTTTCTTCTTTCTTTTTTTTGGGGGGTATTTTTTTGCACTTGATCTTAGCCAAGAAGTTGAGAACTGATTTTTAAAAATGTGATAGCTATTTAATTTTTTTCTCCTCCCATGAACTTTTAGATTAATTTTTTATTTCTGCTCTTTTCCTAAGCCAAGCCTAGTTCTGTTTTTATTTTATTTTAGAGATAGGATCTTGTTCTGTCACCTAGTGGAGTGGAGTGGTTTGATGACAACTCACTGCAGCCTTGACTTCCTTGGCTTCAGCAATCATCCCGCCTTAGCCTCCTGAGTAGCTGGGACTATAAGCACGTGTTATCATGCCCGGCTAATTTTTGTATCTTTTGTAGAGATGGGGTTTCACCGTGTTCCCCTGGCTGGTCTTGAACTCCCGAGCTCAAGCAGTCTGCCCACCTTGACCTCCCAAAGTGATGGGATTACAAGCGTGAGCCACCACAGCTGGCAAATATCTGATAATTTATTTGTCATGTTAGTAAGGGTTTTGCGGTTTTGGTTTATTTTTTCATCTTTCCCAGGATTGTGAGAGTTTTAAAATTTCTAGTGGAAGAGTCTTTATTTTCTGAGTTTATTCTTAATTTAAAAATTTTTATTATAGTGACATGAGAGAATATTATCTGCACTTTTCTACTTTTTGGAATTTATTATAAAGTGTCATCAATTATATATATATATAAATCTCATTCATATGTCATTTCAGAGGGAAATTTAAGAAAATCATATAATGCATACTAAAGAGAATTCATACTTTCATATGGTGAACCTAAAGATTTATTGTCCCAGATAACTTCCTTTGGAGTAGTAAATCATATATATATATGTAAATCTTATATATACATGTAAATCTTATATATATATATATATGTAAATCTTATATATATATGTGTGTGTGTGTGTGTGTGTGTGTGTGTGTGTGTGTGTGTGTGTGTGTTTTTAATAGAGACAGAGTCTTGCTGTATTGCCCAGGCTGGTCTCAAACTCATGGGCTCAAGCAATTCTTTCACCTCAGTGTCCCAAGTAGCTGAGCTGCAGGCGTATACCACTGTGCCTGGCTAATTATAATACTTTCTAAAACTTTCTGGTACAGATCTATCACCTTAAAATTCTGGTAGTTACTGACTTTTTGTCCTGCTCTGAAGTTTAATGTTTTTATACGATGTTTTTCATAGGCATTTTAGTAGATGTTTTGGAAAGTTTGTACCAAATCTGCTAGACAGACAATATTTTAAACTACAAAGCTCTGTTATTACTTGCTTAGTCTGAGAAGCTGCTTTTTATGTTTCATAATTATTTTCCCCTTATTTTCAGGGAATAGGTTATCTGTGTATATAAGTAGATGGGAAAGACCACTCTAAAATTGCTCATTTGTGGAGTGATAACATTTCCTGATATATTCTTGTCTAATTGCCTATTTTTCTGCCCAATTGGCAAAAATAATAATGCATTCTCTTCTTTGACAAATTTCTCATGTTTACTTTTCCTGTTGAAATAGTATGTTGTCTTTCTTTATTTTCTGCTTGTCTGTGTCTGGAACTCTGTACATTTCCCTTAGAGGGAGTCAGTTGTGTATAGTTAGGATCTAGTGAAAGAACATGCAAAGAATCACTCTTGAGTGATTTTAGGAAATTGTGCTTGATTAAAAAAAATAAGCAAGTCCCTGTCCCCTTTCCCCCATTTCAAAAGCTAGAATTAAAAAAGAAAACAAAAGAACAGATAATCTCTTGAAGTTCCTAGTGGCAAAGCTTTTCTCTGCTTGGAGTCATTTTACTTTCTACTGTCTAATTAGACTAGAAAAATTTTATGTGGAAAATATTTTTAAATAATTTGCTTATTGCTGTTTCAAAAGTAAAATGTTTGCTTTATAGGATGAAAGAGTAGTAAATGTTAAGATCTCCTTTCTAATAACTGTTGAGAGTATTAAATAGACAATTACAAAGGTTATTCTTTTACTACATTTAATTTTTCAAGAACACATCTACTTTTAAAATAATTTTATTAATATTAGTTATTTGCATGCTTCGTTAGGCAGGAATTTAAATTTTATGTTTATGTATTTCATTTGGCATTCAGATTTATTTTCTATGTATTGCTTTTCTTTTCTTTATTTTCTTGTTTATCACTAAATATAAATTTATAAGTTCTTAAGTGTCTGTTCAAGACTAGTAGTTCATAAAACCATAAGGCTTGTTATTTTTATATCACTGTTCTATGACTGTATCAGTGTTGTATTGTTTGTATCATAGTAAAAGAAACAGAACCTTTGAGAGTTTGTTATGGCAACTGTGGTTGAAGAGAAGAAAGAATTTTTGCATAAACATGAAGATCTATTGTTCACACATAGAGATTTTCAGTGATTATGCCTAATTTTTAATGAAATTACAGATATAATGGTGCAACTGCATTTTGATTTGAAAGCAGATGCAAGATAAAATGAGGATGACCATTCCTTATCATGTTTGTGGTGTTCAGTTTTGCATTATCTAGTCTATTAATATGTCATTCATTATTGATTATTGAATATGGCCTGATGGATCCTTTCAATCTCATTCATATGTCATTTCAGAGGGAAATTTAAGAAAATCATATAACGCATACTAAAGAGAATTCATACTTTCATACGGTGAACGTAAAGATTTATTGTCCCAGATAACTTCTTTTGGAGTAGTAAATCTTATTCATTGACACATGAAGAAATAATTGTATCTCATGCCATATATATTTGAAATATTTCTATGAAAGATTTTTAATTGTAACATGGAGAATTTTCTATGTTTGCTAAATATGAGAGCTAATTTTTTTTATAATTAACATTCAAAAAAATACCTATTTGTAGATTCAGAGGAAAATGATGATTATTATTTTATTTTATTTTTTATTCTTTTTTTTGAGACGAAGTCTCGCTCTGTCGCCTAGGCCAGAGTGCATTGGTGCTATCTCGGCTCACTGCAACTTCTGCCTCCTGGGTTCAAGCGATTCTCCTGCCTCAGCCTCCTGAATAGTTAGATATCAGGTGTGCGCCACCACACCCGGCTAATTTTTGTCTTTTTAGTAGAGATGGGGTTTCACCATATTGGCCAGGCTGGTCTCAAACTCCTGACCTCGTGATCTGCCTGCCTCGGCCTCCCAAAGTGCTGGGATTACAGGTGTGAGCCACCATGCTCTGTCAAAAGATGTTATTGGCCTCCAAAATAATTAAGAGGCAGTTACTTTGCCTAAATCTGATCAATTAATTGTTCTGTGATTGTGAATTTGCTGCAGGTTAACAAAGCCATAGGATTGACATAGATCACATGACTGTATTCACATTCAGCTGAATACTTTTCTAAAAATTATGCTTTAAGTTCTGGGATACATGTGCAGAACATGTAGGTTTGTTACATAGATGTGTTACACACATGTGCCATGGTGGTTTGTTGCACCCATCAACCCGTCATCTACATTAGGTATTTCTCCTAATGCTATCCCTCCCATAGCCCCCAACCCCCAACAGGACCCCATGTGTGATGTTCCCCTCCCTGTGTCCATGTGTTCTCATTGTTCAACTCCCACTTATGAGTTGAAGATGCAGTGTTTGGTTTTCTGTTTCTGTGCTAGTTTGCTGAGAATGATGGTTTTCAGCTTCATCCATGTCCCTGAAAAGGACATGAACTCATCCTTTTTTATGGCTGCATAGTATTCCATGGTGTCTATGTGCCACATTTTCTTTATCCAGTCTATCGTTGATGGGCATTTGGGTTGGTTCCAAGTCTTTGCTATTGTGAATAGTGCTGCAATAAACATACATGTGCATGTGTCTTTTAGTAGAATGATTTATACTCCTTTGGTTATATACCCAGTAATGGGATGGCTGGGTCAAATGGTATTTATGGTTCCAGATCCTTGAGGAATCGCCACACTGTCTTCCACAATGATGGAACTAATTTACACTCCCACCAACAGTGTAAAAGCGTTCCTATTTCTCCATATCCTCTCCAGCATCTGTTGTTTCCTGACTTTTTAATGATCACCATTGTAACTGGCATGAGATGGTATCTCATTGTGGTTTTGATTTGCATTTCTCTAATGACCAGTGATGATGAGCATTTTTTCATATGTTTCTTGGCTGCATACATGTCTTCTTTTGAGAAGTGTCTGTTCATATCCTTTGCCCACTTTTTGATGGGGTTGTTTTTTCTTGTAAATTTAAGTTACTTGTAGATTCTGGATATTAGCCCTTTGTCAGACGGATAGATTGTAAAAATTTTCTCCATTCTCTAGATTTCCTCTTCATTCTGATGATAATTTCTTTTGCTGTGCACAAGCTCTTTAGTTTAATTAGATCCCACTTGTCAATTTTGGCTTTTATTTCCATTGCTTTTGGTGTTTTAGTCATGAAGTCTTTGCCTATGCCTATGTCCTGAATGGTATTGCCTAGGTTTTCTTACAGGGTTTTTATGGGTTTAGGTCTTATGTTTAAGTCTTTAATTCATCTTGAGTTAATTTTTGTATAAGGAATGGGTCCAGTTTCAGTTTTCTGCATATTGCTAGCCAGTTTTCCCAACACCATTTGTTAAATAGGGAATCCTTTCCCCATTTCTTGTTTTTGTCAGGTTTGTCAAAGATCAGATGGTTGTAGATGTGTGGCGTTTTTTCTGAGGCCTCTGTTCTGTTCCATTGGTCTATATATCTGTTTTGGTACCAGTACCATGCTGTTTTGGTTACTGTAGCCTTGTAGTGTAGTTTTGAGGTCAGGTAGCATGATGCCTCCAGCTTTGTTCTTTTTGCTTAGGATTGTCTTGGCTATATGGGCTCATTTTTGGTTCCATATGAAATGTAAAGTAGTTTTTTCCAATTCTGTGAAGAAAGTCAATGGTAGTTTGATGGGGATAGCATTGAATCTATAAATTACTTTGGGCTATATGGCCATTTTCACGATATTGATTCTTCCTATCTGTGAGCATGGAATATTTTCCCATTTGTTTGTGTCCTCTCTTATTTCCTTGAGCAGTGGTTTGTAGTTCTCCTTGAAGAGGTCATTCACATCCCTTGTAAGTTGTATTCCTAGGTATTTTATTCTCTTTGTAGCAATTGTGAATGGGAATTCACTCATGACTTGGCTCTCTGTTTGTCTGTTACTGGTGTATGAGAATGCTTGTGATTTTTGTGCATCGATTTTGTATCCTGAGACTTTGCTGAAGTTGCTTATCAGCTTAAGTTGATTTGGGGCTGAGACGGTGGAGTTTTCTAAATATGCAATCATGTCATCTGCAGACAGAAACAATTTGACTTCCAGTCTTCTTATTTGAATACACTTTATTTCTTTCTCTTGCCTGATTGCCCTGTCCAGAACTTCAATACTATGTTGAATAGGAATGGTAAGAGAGGGCATCCTTGCCTTGTGCTGGTTTTCAAAGGGAATGCTTCCAGCTTTTGCCCGTGTAGTATGATATTGGCTGTGGGTTTGTCATAAATAGCTCTTATTATTTTGAGATAAGTTCCATCAGTACCTAGTCTATTGAGAGGTTTTAGCATGAAGAGGTGTTGAATTTTATCGAAGGCCTTTTCTGCATTTATTGAGATAATCATGTGGTTTTTGTCATTGGTTCTGTTTATGTGATGGATTACATTTATTGATTTGCGTATGTTGAACCAGCCTTGCATCCCAGGGACTAATCCGACTTGATCGTGGTGGATAAGTTTTTTGATGTGCTGCTGGATTTGGTTTGCCAGTATTTTATTGGGGATTTTTGCATCTGTGTTCATCAGGGATATTGGCCCTGAAATTCTCTTTTTTTGTTGTGTCTCTGCCAGTTTTTGGTATCAGGATGATGCTGGCCTCATAAAATGAGTTAGGTTGGAGCCCCTCTTTTTCTGTTGTTTGGAATAGTTTCAGAAGGAATGGTACCAGCTCCTCTTTGTACCTTTGGTAGAATTCAGCTGTGAATCTGTCCGGTCCTGGGCTGTTTTTGGTTGGTAGGCTATTAATTACTGCCTCAGTTTCAGAACTTATTATTGGTCTATTCAGGGATTTGACTTCTTCCTGGTTTAGTCTTGGGAGAGTGTATGTGTCGAGGAATTTATCCATTTCTTCTAGATTTTCTAGTTTATTTGCATAGAGGTGTTTATAGTATTCTCTGATGGTAGTTTGTATTTCTGTGGGATTGGTGGTGATATCTCCTTTTTCATTTTTTTATTGTGTCTATTTGATTCTTCTCACTTTTCTTCTTTATTAGTCTGGCTAGTGGTCTATCTATTTTGTTAATATTTTCAAAAAACCAGCTCCTGGATTCACTGACTTTTTTTGAAGGGTTTTTTTTTTGTGTCTCTCTCTCTCTCCTTCAGTTCTGCTCTGGTCTTAGTTACTTCTTGTCTTCTGCTAGCTTTTGAATTTGTTTGCTCTTACTTCTCTGTTTCTTTTAATTGTGATGTTAGGGTGTTGATTTAAGATCTTTCCCGCTTTCTCCTGTGTGCATTTAGTGCTATAAATTTCCCTCTAAACACTGCTGTAGCTGTGTCCCAAAGATTCTGGTACGTTGTGTCTTTGTTCTCATTGGTTTCAAATAACTTCTTTATTTCTGCCTTAATTTCATTATTTCATTATTTATTTCTTCCTTAATTAACTTCTTTATTTCTGCCAGTAGTCATTCAGGAGCAGGTTGTTCAGTTTCCATGTAGTTGTGCGGTTTTTGAGTGAGTTTCTTAATCCTGAGTTCTAATTTGATTGCACTGTGGTCTGAGAGACTGTTATGATTTCTGTTCTTTTGCATTTGCTGAGGAGTGTTTTACTTCCAATTATGTGCTCAATTTTAGAATAAGTGTGATGTGGTGCTGAGAAGAACGTACATTATGTTGATTTTGCTTGGAGAGTTCTGTAGATGTCTATTAGGTCTGCTTGGTCCACAGTTTGAGTTCATGTCCTGAATATCCTTGTCAATTTCCTGTCTCGTTGATCTGTCTAATATTGACAGTGGGGTGTTAAAAGTCTCCCACTATTATTGTGTGGGAGTCTAAGTCTCTTTGTAGGCCTCTAAGAACTTACTTTATGAATCTGGGTGCTCCTGTATTGGGTGCATATATATTTAAGATAGTTACCTCTTCTTGTTGCATTGATCCCTTTACCATTATGTAATGCCCTTCTTTGTCTCTTTTGATCTTTGTTGGTTTAAAGTCTGTTTTATCAGAGACTAGGATTGCAACCCCTGGTTTTTTTTTTTTTTTTTTTTTTTGCTTTCCATTTGCTTGGTAAATCATCCCTTTATTTTGAGCCTATGTGTGTCTTTGCACACACATAGGAGCTGGGTCTCCTGAATACAGCACACTGATGGGTCTTGACTCTTTATCCAATTTGCCAGTCTGTGTCTTTTATTTGGGGCATTTAGCCCATTTACATTTAAGGTTAATATTGTTGTGTATGAATTTGATTCTGTCATTATGATGCTAGCTGGTTATTTTGCCCATTAGTTGATGCAGTTTCTTCATAGTGTCGATGGTCTTTACAATTTGGTATGTTTTTGCAGTGGTTGATACTGGTTTTTTCCTTCCGTATTTGGTGCTTCCTTCAGGAGCTCTTTTAGGGCAGCCCTGGTGGTGACAAAATCTCTCAGCATTTGCTTGTCTGTAAAGGATTTTATTTCTCCTTCGCTTATGAAGCTTAGTTGGCTGGATATGAAATTCTGGGTTGAAAATTCTTTCCTTTAAGAATGTTGAATCTCTCCTCTGGCTTGTAGGGTTTCTGCAAAGAGATCTGCTGTTAGTCTGATGGGCTTCCCTTTGTGGGTAACCCGACCTTTCTCTCTGGCTGCCCTTAACATTTTTTCCTTCATTTCAGCCTTGGTGAATCTGATGATTATATGTCTTGGGGTTGCTCTTCTCGAGGAGTGTCTTTGTGATGTTCTCTGTAATTCCTGAATTTGATTGTTGGCCTATCTTGCTAGGTTGGGGAAGTCCTCCTGGATAATATCCTGAAGAGGGTTTCCATCTTGGTTCCATTCTCCCTGTCACTTTCAGGTACACCAATCAAACATAGGTTTGGTCTTTTCACATAGTCCCATATTTCTTGGAGGCTTCATTAGTTCCTTTTCATTCTTTCTTCTCTAATCTTGTCTTCAGGCTTCATTTCATTAAGTTGATCTTCAATCTCTGATATCCTTTCTTCTGCTTGATAGATTCGGCTGTTGATATTTGTGTATGCTTCACGAAGTTCTCATGCTGTGTTTTTCAGCTTTCTCAGGTCATGTATGTTCTCTAAACTGGTTATTCTAGTTAGCAATTCCTCTAACCTTTTTTCAAGGTTCTCAGATTCGCATTGGGTTAGAACATGCTTCTTTAGCTCGGAGGAGTTTGTTATTACCCACCTTCTGAAGCCTACTTCTGTCAATTCCTCAAACTCATTCTCCATCCAGTTTTGTTCCCTTGCTGATGAGGAGTTGTGATCCTTTGGAGGAGAAGAGGCATTCTGGCTTTTGGAATTTTCAGCCCTTTTGGGCTGGTTTTTCCTCATCTTTGTGCATTTATCTACCTTTGGTCTTTGATGTTGGTGACCTTCGGATGGGGTTTCTGAGTGGCTGTCCTTTTGTTGATGTTGATGCTATTCCTTTCTGTTTGTTAGTTTTCCTTCTAACAGTCAGGCCCCTCTTCTGCAGCTCTGCTGGAGTTTGCTGGGGGTCCAGTCCAGACCCTGTTTGCCTGGGTATCACCAGCAGAGGCTACAGAACAGCAAAGATTTCTGCCTGTTCTTCCTCCGGAAGCTTTGTCCTAGATGGGCACCCACCAGATGCCAGCCAGAGCTCCCCTGTATGAGGTGTCTGTTGACCCCTGCTGGGAGGTCTCTCCCAGTCAGTAGGCACTGGGGTCAGGGACCCAATTGAGGAGGCCATCTGTCCCTTAGCAGAGCTGGAGTGCTGTGCTGGAGATCCGCTGCTCTCTTCAGAGCCAGTAGTAGGCAGGAACGTTTAAGTCTGCTGAAGTTGTGCCTATAGCTGCCCCTTCCCCCAGGTACTCTGTCCCAGGGAGATGGGAGTTTTATCTATAAGCCCATGACTGGGGCTGCTGCCTTTCTTTCAGACACCCTGCCCAGGGAGGAGGAATCTAGAGAGGCAGTCCGGCTACAGCAGTTTGTGGAGCTGAGGTGGGGTCTGCCCAGTTGGAACTTCCTGGAGGCTTTGTTTACACTGGGAGGGGAAAACCACCTACTCACGCCTTGGTAATGGCAGACGCCCCTCCCCCCACCAAGCTCCAGCATCCCAGGTTGACTTCAGACTGCTGTACTGCCAGTGAGAATTTCAAGCCAGTGGATCTTAGTTTGCTGGGCTCCATGGGGGTGGGATTTGCTGATCTAGACCACTTGGCTCCCTGGCTTCAGCCGCCTTTCCAGGGGAGTGAACAGTTCTGTCTTGCTGGTGTTCCAGGTGCCTCTGGAGTATGAAAATAAAACTCCTGCAGCTAGCTCGGTGTCTGCCCAAACGGCCACCTAGTTTTGTGCTTGAAACCCAGGGCCCTGGTGGCGTAGGCATCCGAGGGAATCTACCGGTCTGCAGGTTGCAAAGACTGTGGGAAGAGCGTAGTATCTGGGCCTGAGTGCACTGTCCCTCATGGCACAGTCCGTCATGGCTTCCCTTGGCTAGGGGAGAGAGTGCCCAAACCCCTTGTGCTTCCCAGGTGAGGTGATGCCCCACCCTGCTTCAGCTCACCCTCTATGGGCTGCACCCACTGTCTAACCAATCCCAACGAGATGAGCCAGGTACTTCAGTTAGAAATGCAGAAATCACCGCCTTCTGCATTGATCTCGCTGGGAGCTGCAGACTGGAGCTGTACCTATTTGGCCATCTTGCCAGGCCTCTGAATACTTTTTTTTTTAAAGTGTGTAACTCAACAATGTGAGCCACTACTTTGGCATTGTCTGACTTAGTAGGTTTTTTAGAATTTTAAAGTGAAATATGGCAGTTAAATAATAGCGTCTGCCCTTTCCACTTGCATAGAAGCTTCTGTTGGTCATTGTTGAAATGATGGAGGTATTTAGTTCCAGCACATTAATTTTAAAGTAATTTTTATAGTATATTATATATATATATATACACACACACATATATATATATATATATATACACACACATATATATATATATATATTTTTTTTTTTTCTTTTGAGACAGGGTTTTGCTCTTGTTGCCCAGGCTGGAGTGGAATGGTGTGATATTGGCTCATCGCAACCTCTGCCTCCCAGGTTCAAATGATTCTCCTTCCTCAGCCTCCCAAGTAGTTGAGATTACAGGCATGTGCCACCATGCCTGGCTAATTTTGTATTTTTATTAGAGATGGGGTTTCTCCATGTTGGCCAGGCTAGTCTTGAACTTCCGGCCTCAGGTGATCTGCCCATCTTGTCCTCCCAAAGTGCTGGGATTACAGGTGTAAGCCACCGCACCTGGCCGATGATTTTTATACTTCGAGCAGAGCCAGTCTTACTAAAAGTAAAATATAGAAAACTTGTGTGTTATTATTGAATTATTGCAATAAAATTTTAAAATACTTTGAGAAATTACTTCAGTGAAGCCGTTAAACTCGTAGGTTTAAGTTAACTTCTCTAAGGCATGAGTGTGAAGACAAATGCATGAAAACAAACTGTAAATCACAGATATGATTCTAGTACACAATTGGTGATGGTGTTGAAGAAGGGTGTCAGACAACTCTGTTGTTTATATGGAACCAGATTTTCTGTACCTTGTTTACCAAATAAGATGCTATCGGTTGTAAACCATGCCCCCTGCCCACCTTTTTCTTTTCATACCTTTGGAAATCTCTTACCCAGTGGTACATGAAATCAACTGTGATTTGTCATTGTAAGATAAGTGCTGTTTTCAGACATGTGAACGTGTGGGCTGTGAAATGGGGAAGTATATATTTCCCAAAAGAGGGAAGAACTCTATATTTTCTATGCTAATTGTAAAATTGGTTTGAATGAACCAGGCATTTGAATAGATTAGAAAGAGATCAGCATCAATTTGTTTGTGTTCTACCATTGTGCCATCAGTCTTGCCTTACTTTGTTGGACACGGGTGCAGAGTGAGGAGAAGGATAGTGGAAAATGCAAACAATTTATATGAACATAAGGAATATGGCAACTATAAGGCATACATTTAAAAATAATGGTCATAATCAGAGCAATTTTGTATATTAGTGATAGCTGAAAAGCTCTAATAGTGAACTATTTCAGTAGAAGACCAATAGAACACACTGTGCTTTGCAGTGGAAGAAACAGTACCACTGTATAACAAAGTTTGGTTGTAGACACAAAACAAAGGCAAGGTTTACATGTATTCAAATAAACATTTTTAAAAAAATATATGTATGTCAAACATATACACACTGATTTGGAAAATAGGCTGTATTTATTTAAAAGTAATGGTTTTCAAGTTAGTATCTCTGATTAGATGTTTAGAATGCTACCAAAATTTTGTTACTAATGTTTCGATGAATATCTCTTTAGATAACTTAGTGAAAGTTCATGAGTTATTTCCTTAGGATAAATTCTAAAAATGGAATCTATGCCACCAAATATTCTTGAAAGTTTGTGCTACTGTGTACCTCCACCCATGTGGTAGGCAGAATTTTAAGGTGAACCCCAATGCCTGTTGTGTAACCCCCTCCTCTTCAGTGTGGGTGGGATCTGTAGCTTGCTTCTAACCAACAGATGGCAAATGTGATGGGATATTGTGTCAATTATTAATTTATATTCTTAGTTCTCAGTGTACCCTTCAGTGTATGCTCTATGATAACTGACAGACTTCCTTTAAGCATTTTCACTTAAGAATTTTGGCATTTTGTAAATAATTTTTGGTTATTCTTTTCCTTTCATTTTTACTTACATGTTTTTTAGAAAACAGACAGAAGGCTGGGTGTGGTGGCTCACACCTGTAATCCCAGCTCTTTGGGAGGCCGAGGTGGGAGGATCACTTGAGGTCAGGAGTTTGAGACCAGCCTGGCCAACGTGGTGAAACCCCGTCTTTACTAAAAATACAAAAATTAGCTGGGCGTGGTGGTGGACGCCTATAATCCCAGCTACTCTGGAGGCAGAGGTAGGAGAATCTCTTGGACCCAGGTTGCAGTGAGCCGAGATCGCACCACTGCATTCCAGCCTGAATGACAGAGTAAGACGTCTCCAAAAAGAAAAAAAAAAAAAAAAAGAAAACAAACGTGTTTTCAATTTATTGCAGGGTCCTTTTTGTTGGCGTCTTGTTTATATGTGTTTTCTTTCAAAGCAGACCTGTCCAACGGAACTTTCTATAAGATGAAAATGTTCTGTAATCTTTGCTATGTACTACAGTGCCTCCTAGCCAAACATGGTTATTGAGTAGTGCTTGAATTGTGGCTAGTGCAGCTGAGGGAACTAGATTTTTAATGTCATTTAATTTAAATTTTAGTAGCCACATGTGGCCATTGAATAGCACAGTTTTAATATATAGTTGTGTGCCACTTAACAGTGTTTTGGTCAACTTTGGACTGCATATATAATGGTGGTCCCATAAGGTTATAACAAAGTTGCCCTATACAGGTGTACCATTTTTTATCTTTTATACATAAATACTTACCAGTGTGTTAGAGTTGCCTACGGTATTCAGTACAGAGTATAGTTACATGCTGTACAGGTTTGTAGCCTAGGAGCAATAGGCTGTATATTGTATAGCCTAGTGTATAGTTGGCTGGACCATCTAGGTTTGTGTAAGAGCAGTCGGTGATGTTTACACAATGACAGAATCACCCAACAATGCATTTTTTTCAGAAGACACTCCTGTTGTTAAATGATGCATAACTGTATTTTTAAATTTAATTTGCTGGTATGTAGGATTTTTGTGCCTATATCATAGATTCTTTTTACATTTAAAGCAAAATAAAACTTATCTTGATGTATACCTGTATGATCTAGTTCCTGCCCACCTTGCTGCTAATTTTCTATGATTTTCTTTTACAGTTACTGTTCACTAGTGTTTTTATTTCTTGTATTTCCACATATGATATTTTATAGTTCATGTTAAGACATTTGCACTCTGGAACTGTGCTTAGCTTTTATAGCTGCCTCTTTCTAGTTCTCAGCTAAATCTCAACTCTTTTGTTAGCCTGATCTTTGATTTTTTTTCCAACAACATTTTATTTAGAAAAAATTTAAATATACAGAAAAGTTGAAAGAATTTTATTGTGAACACCCATGAAGGCCTAGAGTCTATATTTTCCTGTACCAGCTCTAACACATATTAATTCATCTATTTCTCTATCCATCCATTAGTCTATTTTTTGGGGTGAATTTCAGAGTAAATTGTAATCTTCCATTTATTTTCAGTTTTATTTTTTACTGGGTTTATCTCTTTATTTTGTTGGAGAAGTTCTTTACATATCTTGGATATTGGTCTTTTGTCAGATATATTTTTCTGATATATTCTCCCACTTTGTAATTTGCTGTTTTATTTTCTTAACAGAGGCTTTTTTTTTTTCTTTTTTCCTTGGATGGCATTTTGCTCTTGTTGCTCAGGCTGGAGTGCAATGGTGCGATCTTGACTCACTGCAACCTCAGCCTCCCGAGTTCAAGAGATTCTCCTGTCTCAGCCTCCCAAGTAGCTGGGATTACTTACAGGCACGTGGCACCACGCCCAGCTAATTTTTTGTATTTTTAGTAGAGACGGGGTTTCACCATGTTGTTCAGTCAGGCTGGTCTCGAACTCCTGACCTTAGGTTACCCACCTGCCTCGGCCTCCCAAAGTGCTGGGATTACAGGCGTGAGGCACCATGCCCAGCCAATTTTCTTAACAGAGGCCTTTGATAGCAGAAGTTATTAATTCACTCGTTTGATTTATGAATTATTTTTCTTTTATGGATAGTGCTTTCTTGTGTCTTGCGTAAAGAAACCTTTGCTTGCCTAACCCAAGGTCAGAAATATGTTCTCCTATGTTTTATTCTGAGAGCCTGTGGCTTAGTTTTTATGTTTGGGTGTATTATCTGTCTCAAATTAATGTTTCTGTTAGTAATGTGGAGTAGGAATTGAGATTCATATCACCCTCCCCGCTTGTTATTCTAGCACCATTTGTTGAAAAGACTTCTTTTCCTGGACACCTTTGTCAAAAATTAAATCACTGTATTATAAATGTTGATGTATTTGTTGGTTGATCACCTGTTTTTAATTGCCATCCTATCAATGTTCACTCTTTTTATGTGATACAGACACACTTTCTGATAAAATAATGTGATAGATTTGCCACTATTGCAAATGCCTGGAACGACGGAATGGGTGATAGAGGTTGGTCTGTAGTTGACAGTAGATGGAGAATGATTTTGTAGTTGTCTGTTTTTATTATGTAAAATGAATCAGGGGATTTATACCTATTTTTCTATGACAGAGAATAGTTTATTTACACTGTAGTGAATTGTTCTGTGAAAGCCTGAATGAACTCAGTCCTAAAATAACTTTTAGGATATTTTTAAGGAGGAAAGTCTTTGAAAAACATAGTTAGCAACTTTTAACATTTTTATGCGTCACCTTTGTTAATATGTCATTTTTAGAAAATTATCAATGTCATTAAAATGTTCAAATGTATTATATTGGTGTTGGACATATATTTTCTTTTAAATTTTGTTTTCTACGTATCTGTGTAACTTTAGCATTGTGCTATCATCTCGAGGGGAAATCCAGGTGTATGTTTGAATCCCTTCCCAAATGTGTCTCTCTAATTCCCTGAGCCCACTAAAATCTCTACTTGTTTCCTTTTCCCTTAGCAGTGGCCTTTTGCCTAGGGAAAAAATATGGATTTTCTAAGTTTTGCCATATGTTAAAATCAGGAAATGCCCCTAGAGAAAAACTGGCTGTATAAATTCAGTTCACTTTTTGGCCCTTCCCCTGACTGCACAGCACTTAACAGAATGTTTTAAAATTTGAAGTTTATCAGCTTTTCCCATTTGTTTTCAACTTATTTATTTTTCTTAGTTCTAATTTTGTTGTTGTTTGTTTGGTGACTAGGGAATGTAGTTGGTATGATTTCTAGGAATTTGCTGGTTTTTTTTTTTTAGTGGCCTAATATATCATCAGTTATAAACATTTCTGTGAATGTTTTTATGTTATAGTTTTGTCATAGGTAAGAGAGGAATATTAAAATGTTTCAGTGCTATTACATTTTGTCTTTTTTCTAATATATTAAAATTTTAGCACATAAACATTTATTACTCATTTCTTCATTATGAATTTTATTATCGAAATCAGTTGACACCATTTTTTCTTTCAGTTTGCTTAGGCATATTTTATACAGAAATATTAATTTCTTTTATTTTGCTTTTGTTTACTTTGAATTTTGCTTAATCGTATTTTGCTTAGAAATATTAATATAGGTTTGCATAATATTTAATTTTCCTTAAAAATTTTGCTTAACATGTGCTTCTATATATTTTATCTTTTATACTTTTCTTTGTTCTTCTTTTTGTATTATTGGATAGTTCCTCAAAATGCCCTATATTTCACACATCTGATTTTTAGCATAGCATATTTTTCAGAAATTTGAGAATGTAAAACATATGCTTTCTAAAATTTAATTAGCACATTTTTTTCTTTAGTGTTTCTAAGCAGACTTTTGCTTGGGGATGTATAACACACACTGAAACATACACAAATCATAAGTTTGCAACTTCAGAATTTATTTATTTTTTTGCATGTGAAGGTCCGGTTGTTCTATCACCACTTGTTGAAAAGACTATTTTCGTTTCATTGCTTTTGCTGTTTTGTCAAAGATCACTTGACTGTATTTATGTGGATCTATTTCTGGGTTCTATTCTGTTCCACTGATCCATTTGTCTGTTCTTTTGCCGATATTATACTGTCTTGATTACTGTAGCTGTATAGTAAATTTTGAGTCTGGTAGTGTCAGTTGTTGCTCTTATTCTTCTCCTTCAATATTGTGCTGGCTATTTTAGATCGTTTGCCTCTCCATACAACCTTTAAAATCAGTTTGACAATATTTAGAACATAACTTTCTGGGATTTTGGTTGGGATTGTGTTGAATCTGTAGATCAAATTGGGAAGACTGACATCTTGACAATATTGAGTCTTCCTATCTATGAACATGTGCTGTCTCTCCATTTATTTAGTTCTTCTTTGGTTTCTTTCGTTGGAATTCTGTAGTTTTTCTAATACAGATTTTTATATGTAGTTGTTATGTTATCCCTAAGTATTTCATTTTTGGAGGGTGCTAATGTAAATGTTATTGTATTTTAAATTTTGAAATTCACCTGGTATATAGGAAAGTGATTGATATTTTTTCTGTATACCATTGCTGGTATGTGGGAAAGTGATTGAGTTTTATATATTTGTGTCCTGAAACCTGGCTATAATTGCTTATTAGTTCCAGGAGTTTTTGTTTATTCTTTTCATACTTTCTGCATAGGCAATCATATCATTTGTGAAAAAAGACAATTTTATTTCTACCTTCCCAATATTTATACCTTTTACTTGTCTTACTTTATTAGCTAGAACTTCAGTATGATTTTGAAAGGAGTGCTGACAGAGAATATCTTTGTCCTGTTCTGACATTAATGAGAAAATATTTGATTGTTTTTTGATTCTTCCTCTCATATTAGCCAAACATGGAGGGCTGGGTAACTGGCCAATGTTTTAAAATTTTGCTTTCTTTATTTAATAGTGTGGAACTGCTAGCCTCAGATAAGTCATCCATCATCATCATCATCATATCATCATCATCAGTAATATATTGTTAAAATTAGACTTTTTCACTGGGTAATTGGTAGGAGCCTATAGGTTTTCTTGTGATAAGTTCAGTCCTCAGAAAGCACCACTCTTGTGGCATTTCAGGGCTTAAATTCTTAATACTCTTTGCTTGGTTTTCCAAGTCTAAAACACTGTTCCACATATGATTCTGTACAATCTCATATCTAGTCATATTGCAGTGCTGAGAATTGTAGTTCCAGAGAGGCATGTGTGGAGATAGGGTTTTGAGAATGTTCGTGAAATGTTTCACCTACCTAGTAGGTGAAATAATTTTTGAAAGGTGAAATAAAGATCCGCAGCTGTAGCAGGTAGATAGAAATGCCTCTTTCATTGCTGGATGGGAGACATATATTGTAAGAGAGTGATCACGTTTGATGTGGAGTACTTTTAAATAATAATTTAGCAGCTGTCTGTTGGTAGAGATTAATGAGGTAGAGTGGAAGAGAATGTCAGTAGAGTTGAAAATATTTAGGATCTTGGACACTAGGATGCTGAGTAGATTGTCCACATGTATGGTAGCATACATGAAGAAGACAAGGATGATTCAAGTACTAAAGTCCTTGTTGGTAGTTTGATGAATTACATGGAAAAGTTAGGGTTAAGATTAGAGTAGCTGGTGGTTATGATGCCAAAGGATTAGGACTCTTTACTCAAAAGTAATGTAGTGTCTTGGAAATAACATTGAATTTCTAGGAGAATGCAGATCCTACTGTTTGGATGGTTGTTTTGTGGCACATGTGTTTATTAGCTGCATGAGCTCTTTCAGCACCCCTTTCAGAATTTGCCCTTTTTCATTCTTTTTTTCTTGGGGCTGTTTAATTCATGAGCCCCGCCTTGCCTTTCCTGTTACTGTATCTGTGAGTGTAACAGACTATTTCTACTTGAAACCTTCCTCTTAATGACCTTCTCTTTTCTATAGTTCAGTTAGGTGCTAAGACATCATTTCAGGAAAAATGACTTTATCTTTTATCTACCAAAAAATATATTTAAGTTTTATATAATTTTGGGGAATACTTAATGTTATGAAGAATACTATTCTTGACATTAAATAATTTTTTCTAGGTCTCATAGATGTTATAATAACTGTATATTTCAAAATTAAATTTTCTAATAATTTGCTGTTTATTGAATTATGAACTGAAAGAAAGTAGGTTGAAGATATTAAAGGACTAGTATTATTATTTTTATTGAAACTGTGATGTGGATATAATTTTACCTATCAGCAAACAAATATGTTTAACAGAAGTCTTTTTATTTATTATGACATAAATGTATGGTCACATAAATGGTTTTGGCTAACTAAATATAGCTCTGTATAGAAAAAACATAATGATTAAATTTTGCAGTCATTTATTGCTGATTTTAAGAGAAGTTAATTTTATTAAAACTGTTCTCAGTATGTATCACAAATTTATTTTTCTCTTGTTGATTATGGCTTTTGCAGCACAATTACAAAACATTTTAAACTGGGTTTATCATACTCGTAATGAATTGGTAGTTAATTTCATAGCCTTATTTTATCAGTAACTGTGCATTCATCTTTAGCCTGACTTGATTTGGTTCCTGATGGACGAAATAAACTTTTTTCTTTTTTTCTATGAGTCGGAGTTTCACTCTGGTTGCCCAGACTGGAGTGCAATGGCAGGATCTTGGCTCACTGCAACCTCTGCCTCCCGGGTTCAAGCGATTCTTCTCTCCTGAGTAGCTGGGATTACAGGCATGTACCACTATGCCTGGCTAATTTTTGTATTTTTAGTAGAGACGGGGTTTCACCATGTTGGCCAGGCTGGTCTTGAACTCCTGACCTCGGGTGATCCACCCGCTTCAGCCTCCCAAAGTGCTGGGATTACAGGCATGAGCCACCGCGCCCAGCCCAAAGTAAACTTAAATTATGCTCCTGGTTAACCCAATGTCTTGAGCTTATGTTTCTAATATGCTGACTTTCAAAAAATGATAGTATATTTGGCTGTATTTTTAGGTGTTTAAGAATACTTAGGAACAATTGCACATAATGCTCAACCTGATGGAAATTACAGATGGTTAAAAGAAAATAAACTGTTAGATGTTGACTCATCTTACATCTGTATAGAAGAATGATTTTAAAATGATGTGAATAGGCCGGGCGCGGTGGCTCACGCCTGTAATCCTAGCACTTTGGGAGGCCGAGACGGGCGGATCACGAGGTCAGGAGATCGAGACCATCTTGGCTAACACGGTGAAACCCCGTTTCTACTAAAAGTACAAAAAATTAGCTGGGCGTGTTGGCGGGCGCCTGTAGTCCCAGCTACTTGGGAGGCTGAGGCAGGAGAATGGCATGAACCCGGGAGGCGGAGCTTGCAGTGAGCCGAGATGGCGCCACTGCACTCCAACCTGGGAGACACAGCGAGACTCCGTCTCAAAAAAAAAAAAAAAAAAAAAAAAAAAATGATGTGAATAGACTTGGATGGTGAAGGCATGGGATAGGTTAGTTATCATTTAGGTTCAGAGGTTGGCAAAGTACGTGAAGGAATAGGGTTAAGGTTGCTGATTAGTTTGAGGAGACATGATATAGTTCAGAGTGGTTTATTAGTTTTCTGATAGTTGGAGAATATGAGTGTGTGTGTGTACACGTATGTGTTGTGTGTATATTTAGTGTATTTATATCTACACCTCCCCCCACTTTTTTTTTTTTTTTTTTTTTTTTTACTTATTTTTTTGTAGAGACAGGATCTGACTTTGTTGCCCAGGCTGGTCTTAAATTCCTGGCTTCAAGCGGTCCTCACACCATGGCCTCCCAAAGCGTTTGGATTACAGGTGTAAGCCACTGTGCCTGGGCCACATTTTGGGTAGGATGACCAGAAAAATTAAGCTGTAAAAGATCCAAAAAATGTACCTTTTAAATTCCATCTGTCTGATATGTCTGAAGTGAGATAACTGTACCTACTTAGTCCAGATATATGGTATGAAGAGGTTCTGAATACCTTGCATATTCCTTTTTGCTGTCTGAGAAGAAAGGGGTTTAAATGAAAGGCATGTATATATTTAGGATTCCTTTTACATACGCTAGACCAGAGTGGTTTTTGCTCTAGAGTGTACAAGGTGCCACCGTTGTTCTTCAGTGTGTCTCTAGAGCTTGCAACAAGCTAAAACTTATCTTTTGGTGCTTCAGGTCTAAACTGTATTACTGGCCAGACTTTAAGGATTGAGTTCAAAGTTCCAGTGTTGATTTGTATGTGAATAGTTTTAGGTCTCCATATTATTGTTTGGAAATAATGAGAATCTCTCCCCCAGCCTGTGTGCCCCCTGTGTCCCCATTTCCTCCTTAGACTGTGATTACTTCCAGGAAACAATGACATTGAAATTTTAAGTACTCATATATCTGGGTCACCTTTTCTAAGTTTTGGTGTATTGTAAATCAATGCTTTCTCTAGATATAATTAGAATAGGTTTTATTACTGATTCTAGGGTGCTCGCAAAGGTTTTTTTGAATGTTATTTTCAAATGGAAGCTTGAATGACTCATAGTTTCATATACTTGAGAACAAAAGAGTAATAAATTTAAATTGGTGGTGTTATTGGTTTAAGTACATTGCTTTTCCAATACCTAAAATATACTTTGCTTAGTCTTACCTCTGATACCTAGTATTTTATGTCAAATACCCCATTATGTGCTATGGGTTTTGTCCCACTCGTTCTGTTCATTCTTTTTTCTCATTAAAGAAGTTTTTCATTTCTTCCCCCTTTTGTGTACTTTGCCCTTCTTTTTGCGTGTTCTTAGAATTCTTAGTCTTAGCCTAGGGACTATAAGTGCACATATATGTCCCCATATACTGTATACACATATGTGCACCTCATGAGAAGATTGTAACTCACTAGACTGAAGTAGGATGGAATCTTCCTGGGAGATAATGTACATATAGAGGCATGGAAGATAACTAATAGAACTTTAATTTTGACATTGGAGCCTAATGACAATAAAATGAATGAAAGTCAGTATTCTTTAAAGGTGTTATGTCAAATCCCAGTGAACCATGTAATTACTTTGCTGCATTAAATTGTTGATAAATGCTTAATTTTAAGTACAGGAAATAAAATCACCGTAACAGAGGTATACATATTTTGCTATTTTGTTCACAATATATTTCATACAACATTCTAGATAGAAATCTTAGGTCTTATTTTTATATGATTTTGAGCTTTCTCTTTCTGTCCTAGCTTAAAATTGATACAAAGAATAGGGAAATGTTATACTTTTTTATATTGTGGAAAGTAAAGTTTATTTCTGAAAGTCTCACTTCCATTTTCCTGTTACTTTATTAGGCTGCAGAACATGTTTAGTTTACAGCTAAAATGCCATTTGGTATCCCAGTGTGGGTTGTCCTCATCCGGAGACATCAATGTCTATTAAAGTGAAGCTAAAGGTCTCATCTGTGATGGCTAACTGGGTCACTTTACTCATTAACAGAGAAGGCAACTATCGCATCATTCTACAGTCTGTCACTTCCGGAACAGCTTCTTGGCAATAATGCCTCACAGGGGAAGTCATAAGCTTTCCTGCTGATGGGTGTGACTTTGAGGACAGCTGAAATGGTATCAACTAGAGAAATACAGTGACAAAAACCTATTGGAATACGTTTAGGCCAACCGCATGGTCCTTGCTTCAGATACCAGCCTCAAGTTTGGGGGTCCCTAGGGCCTCCTTTACTTCAGACTTGCTGGCTTTAGATACTGAGGTCCCCACTGACTCCCTCAGATTTGATAATTCACTGGTATGACCCACAAAACTCAGAGCACTAAGAATTATAGTTTTATTATAATGAAAGGATACATACTAAAACCAGCCAAAGGAGAGACACGTGGGCAGAATCTGGGAGGGGCTCAAAAGCAAAGCTTCTGGTTGTGCTTTCCTGGTGGAGTCATGGATGCTGTTACCTCTTCCTGGCTATGATGTATGACAGTCCAGGGAAGTTAATGCAAGCTTTTGGTGTCCACAGTTTATACTGGATTTTGTTCACATACTGTCCCTGTGTCTGACCTTTAGTCTTTATCTCCTCCCAAAAGTTCAGGCTAATACATTTAGTTTCTAGTTTCTTTGGAGATCAGAGCTGACAGGGTATTCCAGGAAGCTCCCATCATGAGTCACATTGTTAGACTCTCCAGTGACTCCAGGTACTCTTATCAAGGAGGATATCCCCTGGGCCTAGAGATCGTTTCCCAGTAGCTGAGGGCAAAGGCCAGGCCCTCTCTTTGGTAAAGTGAATTCCTCAACACACCTATTTAAACAGAGGGTATATTTTTGCAATTTCTCATATTACTCTTTATTTGAAAATCTTAAATTTTATTTTACAAATAAATGATTTTCCCTTAATGTTCAAATTAGAACTATTTAGCCTTTTCCTTTTTTTTAAATCTCTCTACTTTTTCTCCCTCATGACATCCAGACTAGTCATTTATGCAGTTTAGTTGTATTTTTACTGCATTATGTATTTATGGCCAAATATCCATTGTATTCGTATATTCATTTCAAAAGTACTTACTATTCTTCTAAACTGATAGGTCATGCTTTTCTATCCACAAAACAAATACTCACTTATATTTCTTGTCAGCTGCAATCTGGATACAGAGTATAGCATGAACAAAGGTTTAATGATATCAAAGTATATAAATATTTTAGAAAAGGTGAGCATTTCATTGTGATTTGATTATAGACATATTCAGGAGAGTTTTCCCAGGAAAAAAAGGGCTTTAAAAGCTATACTAAGGCAACTTGGACTATAGACAGTGAAGGGCATTCAAATATTTTTAGATATGACCATGACACACAACAAATTGTTTGTTTTAGAAAGTCAGTGAGTAGCATAGTGAGTAGAAATAGTTTGAAGAAAGGAAATTCACCTAGAAGCAACTCTATATGCCCAGTTAGGACGTTATTACTGTTGTCTTCACTGGAGATATATATAGGTAATAAAGGATGATTTATTAGGAAGTTATTAACTTATGAGAGATGACTTTAGCTTTTTTTTAAAATCTTACCCCTTTCATAATACGTACACAAGTCTAATCAACTTTTAAACTTCTCTAACAGTTTTTTATGTTTTCATTTTATAAAACCTCTTGTGATAATACAGCCTATGTATTTTTCTACCTAACCTATAACCTATGGTTATAACCTAGCCTTACCAGCTTATTTTTATAGATTCTTGCACTGTGTTATTCATTTTATATTTATTTAACACACATTTGTTAAGTGAGAGCTTACTGTGCACCAGATTATTGTAATAGATGTTGAAAATACAATGAATGTAAGATGTGATTCCTGACCTCAAAAAGCATACATATCAATTTAGTAGTCAGACAGATGGGAAAAGCTTGTGATGGAGGGAAGCATAGGATACTTTGATAGTTTATTGAAGGAGCATATAACCTAGACTAGAGTAGAGATTAGGAGAAGTTTTTGGGACTCTGACACTCTAGTTTAGAATAGCAGCTAACAATATGGACTCTGGAGCCAGAATGCATTTGGATTCTCAGTTTCTTGCTGTGTAACCTTAGGCAAGTTCTTAACTTCACCTTTAAAATGGGAATCACAATAATCCCTACTGTATATGGTAATTATGAGGCTAAAAATGTTACCGAGCAAAAGGGCTTGCTGCCTGATGTGCTAGAAGCCAATACTATGACACTTGAGTTTTTGGGAAAATAAAAGCTTTTTATTGCAAGTCGACTAACAAGAGGAAAGGAGTCCAGCTCAAATCTGTCTCTCTGTGCTGACTTTAAGGCAGTAATTTCATTAGAAAAGGTTTAGGGAGTGTGTTCAGGGATTGGTAGGTTATTGGTGGAAGGAGAGGAGAGGTCTGGAAAGTCCTCAGGCATGCACAGCTATTTATTCATACTACCTCATGGATCTCATGTGCAAGTTTCAGGGGGAGTTAGTATGCAGCCTGTGGTGGAAATTTGATCTGTGACACCGGCAAGTTCGTTCTGTGCAAACGCCAGTAGGCCATATCGGTTCCAGTTGATTTCAGCCAGGTTTTAAATCTCATAAGTGGAGGGAGTTTCAGCGTTTCAGCAATTTGTTTCTTTTTTTAATTTGCCACCCTGCAGGCTCAATAATTTCTGCCAGTCACTGGTTTCTTTAACTCTTTAGGGCATAGTTTAAAAATAAGTTAAAATATGTAAAGTGTTGGAACAGTACCTGGCATATATTAGTAGTTTTGTATGTATTACCTCCTTCTCTTGCTCTTCTCATCATTTTCTAAAAATGAATATGTAATTAGTACTCAGTAAATATTTGAATAAATCCTTAAATGATAGATGAAAATATAATTGCTGTTTTGTTTCCTTAGAAGTCTTTAAGCATCTCTATTGAAAGCATTTAAGGTAAAAAAACTATTTTATGTGTATTTAGGTCCATATTAACTCATAAATTCATGAGCTTCATAAAGTGTAATCTCATATGATATGTAAACAATGTTGAATTTGACTGCTTGTAGATGAGGATGTCTTCTCCAGTTGGTCTCACGCGTCCGTCTTACTGTATACCCTGTCCAGTTCAGGTTATGGCCTGGCACGTATAGACATTTGAGTTTGGGGTCTCCCCACTAGACCCTGCCACCTGCTCTTCCAAGATAGACATGGAGTAAACTCTTTTACATCTCAAACACTTAACACAGTGGTTGTCACTTATTGGTACTAAGTGAATGTTTGTTGAATGAGTGAATGATGCCTAAATTATGAAATAAAAAAGAATAATTAGAAATCTGATGAAAAGAACTTTTATTGTTCCATGAGGATGTGGTTGACTACTTCTTTGTGGATCTATGAAGGGATTTTGGTAAAAATAAGACTAACGGCAACCAAAATTAAGAGGGTATATTTTCTAGAGAAATTTTGTTTGAGATTTTCTAACTTGTCAAATAGGATTCACCAGAATTATTATGCCTCTTTTTAATTGCAATAATATTGGTTAATGAAAGAGCCAACAATAGTATTGCAAAAGCGATTTATATTTTGATTAGCTAACTTGAATGACATAGTTGTTTAGGCACTATTGGTAAATAGTGGCAATCAAGTCATTCTTTTTTAAAAGAAGATAATGATGTTGGCTTTGTGATGAGCAAGAAGGATGACTTGTAGGATTATTATTTACTGATTAGAAGGACATTCAGAGTACAGAAGCATTGAATAATCCTAACCTGAACTAGAAGTTAGAATTTGGGATTGAAAACCAATAAAGATTAGTATCCAGGGGAGTGCAAATTTCCATTTTTGGGGGGGTTTTAAAACTAAACCTTGGATTTGTGGGGAGTTATGAAAGCACATAAAAGAGTCAAGAGATAGAAGTTACTATATTGAGTATTCTCAGGCAATGAGTTGAGGCTTTGTGGGAATATCTGCTCAGAAGATGTCTGAGTAGAATAGACCAGAACTGAAAGGTGGAGGTAGTTTATTCTTTTTTAAGTATTCCATTGGTATATTTTCCATACTATAATGAATTGATATTGCCAATTCGTATTTCTAATAACATTGGAGATTGAGTTTCTTCTTCACTGTAGTCTTAAGCTGTCATTTTGCTTATTATTTTTAAAAGGCTCCTTTCTATGCTTTGTAACTTTGCAGTTTCTATTTTATTTCTCATGTTTCTAATGTCAAGCCTTTTGCATTATGTTTCTCTGCTTATGCATTTATAACAACTTGGTTTTCGGTTACATCATGATTCATAGACATAAAACATCAACTCAGAGTCAATCATATGGTAACCTTTGTCAGTTCCTCCAATCTTTGGTCCATGCTACATGCCCTCTGTAGGATATTTCAGATGGTATTCAAAGATAAGATTATGTTCATAAGTAAGCAAATTTAAGTTTTATAGGAAAAACCTTATGAAAAGTATCATGCTTTATTAAAAATTGATATATAATGTCTACTGTTTTACTTTTCATCCAATTATCTTCGAATTTTGTCTGGAGGGAAAATTATCAAGAAAATTGTAATTCTGAAAAGGATTGTATCCTAGTTTAGGGTGATTGACCAGATATTCCACTTTAAATTTCTCCAAGATTTTTCAATTAACCATTTCTAAATTAAGATTCTTTTATTTGTTAGAAGTGTTTTAAAAACATCTAGGGTAATTTAAGTAGAACCACGTTTCTGAAGAAAGATTGACAAGGAGAAATTGTAATTATGTCATCACATTTAAATGTTTTTACTGTCAAATTGAAATTAAGGTATTATTTAGGCACATTGGCCAAGGCTTATGTTGTTATTGGGTCCTCATATCCCATTAGCATGTCCTAATGCTGGCTTGGTTTCTAGCATTGGAAGGCAGTCAGGAAATATCTATCTCATGAACACTGCATGCAATTGTATTTTTATTGGGATGTTAATCAACCAGTGAATTATCTATGAAAAACTTAGCTTAGTACTTCTTACATTAGGATACCAGTGCAACTCATGAATAAGTTTTACTTTATATATAGAAAAGGAGAAAAAGAAACAGTAGGTTATTTTTTGAATGTAATATCAGACACAAAAGAATATCAAAGTGAGTTTAAAATTATATCTGTTATTTAAATTATTAAATAAAACCTGACTTTTCAAGTCGTGCTATTTTAAGCACATTGAGACTCTCTTTTTGACTTTTTGCTAACTCCTTTTTTTCATGGAGACTGTGCCTGACAGACTCTTCTCTCAAAGGCTGCCCATCATCGTTGCTGAATACACTTCCCAATGTTTGGTTTGACTTACAACCTTGGCCTCTCAATTTCTTTGAAATTTTCATCTCAGCGACTTAATTTTGAAATTTGGAAATTCATTCCTACCTATTACTCAGTATGCTAAATTTGGACATACTGCTTTGATACAACTTCCATCTTTAAAGGCAGCTGGGACATTTCATCAGCTTCACCATCCAGTGAGCTATGGCTGTTCCGTCTTCAGTGAAGTCCGGTCTTAGCCTTAGGAGGGGAGAAGTTGTTTTTATTGTGTACACTATCTCAGCCCAACTGGCTATTTTTTATATCTGAGATTATGAAATTCTTTACAGTTCTCCTTACTTTCTTAAAGTGGAAGTTGAGGTCGTTGATTTGTAACCTTTTTCTTAATTTTTTTTATTATAAAAATGGGTAAAAAATTTTTTTTTGCTTTTGTTAGGCGATATCTAATTCTGTTGCCCAGGTTGGAGTGCAGTGGTGCAATCAGGACTCATTGCAGCTGCAACCTCTGGGGCTCAAATGATCCTTCTGCCTCAGCCTCCTGAGTAGCTGCGACTTAGGTGCATGCCACCATGCCTGGCTACTTTTTAAATTTTTTGTAGAGACAGGGTCTCACTATGTTGCCCAGGCTGGTCTCAATCTCTTGGCCTTAAGTGATCCTCCCACCTCAGCCTCCCAAAGTGCTGGGATTACAGGTATGAGCCATTGTGCCTGGTCATTGATCTTCTTTTTAATTAGGTATTTCATGCAGCAAAATTTTCTGTAAATATGCTTTAGCTGCATCTCTCAAACATTAATCTACTCTGTTTTTGTTTTCATTCTGTTTAAAATACTTTAAAATTTCCCTTTTAATTTCTTCTTTTATTCTTGGGTTATTTAGAAGTGTGTTATTTAATTTTCAAATATTGGATGACTTTCCAAATATTGACATCTAATTTAATTCATTATGATCAGAGAATATACTTTGAAATGTGTTGTACGCATTTAGGAAAAAAAAGCATTTTTTCCTGGTTTGGGTGGAGTATTTTTATAAATGTCAATTAAGTCAGGTTGTTTTATAGTGATCTACGCTTCCATATCCTCACTGGCTTTCTGTCTGCTTGTGTTCTGTAAGTCTTTTCAAGATGTCTTTACTACTAGTGATTTTTTTTTCTATTTGTCCAGTCGTTTGCTCAGAGAAGAGTGTTAAATTCTCTATGTATAATTGAGGATTTCCCCACTATTTTTCTTATCTATTTTGTCAGTTTTATTTTGAAGCTTTTTTTAAGGTGTGTATACATTTAAGATTGTTACAGACTCCTGATGAATTGACCCCCTTTGTCAGTATGTATTGTTTTCATCTCTAGTAATTTCTTGTTCAGAAGTTCTCATTGTCTTATATTAATATAGCCTAGATGCTTCAGCTTTTTTCCATTAGCCCTGAATTTGACATCTTTTTCCATCTCTGTACTTTATACCTAACGGACTCTTTATGTACAAAGTGGGCTGTTGTAGACACTATTATATAGTTGGTTCCTTTTTTTTTTTTAAGAGGGATCTCACTCTGTCACTCAGGCTGGAATTCAGTGGCATGATCTTGGCTCACTGCAACCTCCGCTTCCCAGGCTCAAGTTATCCTCCCACAGCAGCTTCCCAAGTAGCTGGGACTATAGGTGCATGCCGCCATGGCCTGGCTTTGACTATGGTTTTGACTTTGGTTTTGACTATGATAAACCTACATTTTTTAAAATATTTTTTGTAGAGATGGGGTTTTGCCATGTTGCCCAGGCTGGTCTTGAACTCCTGGGCTCAAGCTATCTGCCTGCTTCTGCCCCTCAAAGTGCTGGCATTACAGACATACATCCAGCTGGTTCTTGATTTCTTAAAAAAATTTATTAATAATGACAATCTCTGCTTGTTGATTTTGTAATGTTGTGGTTTTTAGAAGAAATATCATTAGAATGAAAACAATCTGGTTTAAATCTACTATCATACTACTTGATTTACTACATGGCTTGCCCCATGTTTTCTCATTTACTTTTTTCCTTTTGTCTTGCCATCATTTAGATTACTTGAGAATGTTCTTATTCCATTATATCTCCACTTTTTGGGCCTATTAGATATATATCTTTGTGTATATTTTAGCAGTTGTTCTAAGGTTTATAGTGTCTGTTTTCACAATTTACTTTTAAATAATAGTATGCCACTTCCTAGTTGGGGTTCTTACCTCATTTCCTTTTATACAATTTGTTTTTACATATGTTATAAATCCTACAATACATTGTTAATATTTTTACTTTAATTAGTCAATTATATTGTAAGAAAAGAAAGAGGAACACAGATTTCTTATATTTATTCTAGTTTTTAACCATTCCAATGCCCTTCATTATTTCAGTTTAGATACAGATTTTATTCTTGTATCATATTCCTTCTACCTGAAAATTTTCTTTTAAAATTTCTTATATTCTAGCTTGGTGGAAATATGTTTTATCAGCTATTGTCTGTCTGAAAAAGAACTCTACTGTGCCTTTATTATTGAAAGATATTTTCATTTGCTAAAGATTTTTGGATTGACATTGTTTCTATTAATATTAGTATGTTAAAGGTGAGGTTTCATTGTCTCATGGCTGGCGTAATTTCAGATAAGGAGTCTGCTGTCAATCTTATTTTTGTTCCTCTGCCTGTAATCTTTTCCCCCTTCTTGCTGGGTTTTGACTATGATAAACCTACATTTTTTTTTTTGTTTTTCTTAAATCTTTCTTCCTGTCCTCTTGGAGTCCATTGGGGTGTGTGTTTGTGTTTATGTGTTTAATTAATTTTGTAGCAATTGGAGGCATTATTTCTCTCAGTTGGTTTCTTTGCTTCCTTGTATCTTTCTTTTTGTTTTCGCATTCCAGCTGTACAAATGTTCTGTCTTTGGCTGTAGTCTCCCAGCTCTTTGATTCTCAGCACTGTTTCTTTTTTCCCTCTTTTTTTCTTTTTGTATTTCAGTTGGAAAAAGTGCCACGTACGTTTCTTCTTTAAGTTTAGTGACTTTTCTCTTCTGTGTCCAGTCTGTGGATAATCTCATTGATTATCATTCCCACTGATTAACATTCTTTTTCTCTGATGTTGTGTGTTTTTATTTCTGCATTTTCAATTGTTTCATTTTTATTGTTTCCATCTCTGCTGAAACTCCATATCCGTTTATGCATGTTTTCCACTTTTTTGTCTAGATCATTTACAATGTTATTTTTATTTATTTATTTGTTTTATCAACTTTTAAGTTCAGGGTACATGTGCAGGATGTGCAGGTTTGTTACATAAGTAAACACATGCTATGGTGGTTTCCTGCACAGATCATGCCGTCACCCAGGTATTAATTCAGCATCCATTAGCTATTCTTCCTAATGCTCTCCCTCTCCCCATGCCCCCCACAGGTGCCTGGTGTGTGTTGTTCACCCCCATGTGTCCATGTGTTCTCATCAATGAACTCCCACTTATAAGTGAGGACATTCAGTGTTTTGTTTTTTCGTTCCTACGTTAGTTTGCCGAGGATAATGGCTTCCAGCTCCATCCATGTCCCTGAAGGATACGATCTTGTTCCTTTTTGTGGCTGCATAGTATTCCATTGTGTATATGTATCATATTTTCTTTATTCAGTCTATCATTGATGGGCATTTAGGTTGATTCCATTACTTTGCTGTTATAAATAGTGCTGCAATGAATTTACACATGCATATATCTTTATAATAGAATGATTTATATTCCTTGGGTATATACCCAGTAATGGGATTGCTGGGTCAAATGATACTTCTGCCTTTAGGTCTCTGAGGAATCACCACACTGTCTTCCACAATGGTTGAACTAATTTACACTCCCACTCACAGTGTAACAGTGTTCCTTTTTCAGGCCGGGTGCGGTGGCCCACACCTGTAATCCCAGCACTTTAGGAGGCCGAGGCAGGCAGATCACGAGGTCAGGAGATTGAGACCATCCTGGCTAACATGGTGAAACCCCCTCTCTACTAAAAAGACAAAAATTAGCCAGGTGTGGTGGTGCGCGCCTGTAATCTAGCTACTTAGGAGGCCGAGGCAGGAGAATCTCTTGAACCCGGGAAGCAGAGGTTGCAGTGAGCCGAGACTGTGCCACTGCACTCCAGCCTGGGCGACAGAGTGAGACTCCATCTCAAAAAAAAAAAAAAAAAGCGTGTTCCTTTTTCTCGACAACGTTGCCAGCATCTGTTGTTTTTTGTAAATGTTATTTTTAAAGTCTTTGATAATTCCAAAATATAGACCCTCTCTTTGTCTGCTTCTGTTGACTGCCTTATCTTTGAATATAGGCCATTTATTTTTCCTTTGTGTATGTGTGTGTGTGAGACAGAATTTTTAAATTAGACGTCTTTCGTGGATTTTTCTTTCCTATATGAACAAAAGAGACTGAGGTAAGTATCTTTATGCTTGGTAACAGGCATACTTCTTTTAGTTTGTTAATAGGCTTCATTTGTGGGTGGGGAGGGGTAGTGGTTGAATCAGCCTGTTCTATGTGTTGCTATATAATTACATCTTCAGTGCTCCAAAGAATTTATATTTTCTCAGCAGTTGGCTGCTGTTACTTGTATTTATTGTAATGCCTAGAGTATAAAAGGGTTTTCTCCTGGTGTTTCTGTTTCACGTTTAGCTTTCAGTAGGCTCTGCTCCCCTGTACCACAGAGTGTTCTATTTTCATACTTCTAGTACTTTTCCCCATATGTAAACAACTGTTTCTTGCCGCTCAGTGCCAGACTTGTGAAGACTGTGGAGTTTTCTTAGTTTTTCTTCTCCAGCCTTAGTATTAAGCAGAACCTGAGCACCTGAATCGCAGGCATGGGGTTTTCCTCAGTGGGTCTTCCCTCTCCCTCTTGCCAGTGAAGTTTTGCCTTGCATAGGGATATTTTGTCAGGACCAAGTCTTTCTGCTTTTTATCAATATAATATCATTGGTCCAAGTCTGTCTCCAGCTTCTTGTATAGCTGCATATGGATTTATTCCCAGGTAACTTTTGCATCATATCAAGAAGGGTTTGGAAAGCAGGAGGGTTTTAACGTCTGTGCCCAACCAAGGTGGGGGCATTCTCATGTTTCCTGCCCTGCCTGTGGTCTTTCTTGTGAAGCCTGATAGAAGCCTGAGAAAAAGTTTGTATCTCTTGTGTTTTGGGCTTCCAGGGATTCTAAACTGTTCCACTCGCCCAGACTTAGTTTTTAAGAATTGGTCAGTTGTTGTTTTCTTTGTACTCACTTATGGCTGCCACTTCCTCTTCCTTTTCTCTACCAAAGAAGACATGAGTTCATATACTTCACCCTCCTTTGGAGGGGCTGGGATTCAGTTTATTTGGTTGCCTGCAGATGTCAGCTTTCTGATGGCCATAACAAAAGTTATTATTTGATAGATTATCTGCTTTTTTATTATCATCAGTGTAGAAGCAGCATTCTCTTACTATTTTTCACATCGTAAATGAATGAGGAACTTTTTCTTAAACCAACCTTTTAAAGGTATCTTCAAAGAGCAAAGCACTTCTAAGATTATGAACATAGATCTATGGAATGAATGAGGGGAAAAAGCATTTTCTTAACATTAGTCAACCAGTACTTGTAGCTTGGGATAACATCTGCAGTTATAATCTCATGTATGATTTGAAGAATGCTGTAAATCAGAGACAGCAGCAGGAAAAATAATGGAAACTGGCTAAATGACTTAAAAGTTGGCTCTAATGATGAAGATACTGATATATGGAAGATGGCCGTAACAAGTTTGGATACTTTTTTTTTTTAAGAATTGTAAATAAACAAAAGCTAATATTTCTAATTTAATAAACACATTACATATATGATCTCATATGAATATATAAATCAGTTAATATAAAGTATACAATATTAATAACATTTTTAGATTACATCTCTATTCTTAGAAAACCTTTTTTCCTTCAAGAATTTTATCTCCCTTCATATTCACTTTATTCATATAGTATATTCTATAATGCATTTAAAGTCTATAAAATTTTTGTTAAATATACAAATGGGGTCTTGCTGTGTTGGCCAGGTTGGTCTTGAACTCCTGGCCTC
This sequence comes from Homo sapiens, assembly GCF_000001405.40. Classification (NCBI taxonomy): domain Eukaryota; kingdom Metazoa; phylum Chordata; class Mammalia; order Primates; family Hominidae; genus Homo; species Homo sapiens. The sequence continues at coordinate 88,804,426 of NC_000006.12, read as the reverse complement.
AGGCAGTCCCCTGCCTCAGCCTCCCAAAGTGCCAGAATTACAGGTGTGAGCCACTGTGTCTGGCCAAGTCTATAAAATTTAAGTGGCTATTGGAGGACCTATATATTTAGGAACTTGCAGAAATCTTTGGGGCATTTGTTTCAGAGAGTCATAAGACTTTATTTAGTTATCTCTTTATTTTTAGTTAAAGTCTGATGTAATCTGTTCTGAGTGATTTTACTTTACTCTCTGAATTAAAGCTAGTTGCTTATGTCTGATGACCTCAGTTTCCTTTTCTGGCAAATTGAGTAATAATTCAAAACTTGAGAATACACATCTCATGAGGAGTTATGTATTTTGAATGATATGTTAAGTACCAAGCACAACACTCCATTGTAGGTCTTTGATACATGATAGGTGATATCATAAATATTATGTGTCAAGTAAAGAAAAAAATATTGTCTAGAGTAATGCAGAGGAACTCTTATTTTGACCCATGAATTTTCAGTCCTTTAAATACTCTGATTTATAAAAAGAGTAGAATAAAAAATGAAATTACTTTCATTTCTGCAGCAGGTAGAATCATGTTATGTAGAGTCTTGCTAACTGGCTATTTTTTATTGTTACTTTACATACAGGCATGGTCCATTACATGAATTTGAGAAGTTTGGTTGAAGAATGGAAACTACCATGTTAACTTGCCATAAATGATGTACCTACAATACAAGTAGAGCAAATGAAAGATTAAAGGTTACATTTTTTTAACCTTTTTTTTTTTTTTGAAAAAAGAGATTATTGTGGTATTTGGTTTTTATTGCATCATTGCTCAGCAGAAATGCTATGAATTTAGTTTTTTTTTTTTTTTTTTTTTGAGATGGAGTCTCACTCTGTTGCCCAGGCTGGAGTGCAGTGGCACAATCTTGGCTCACTGCAACCTCCGCCTCCTGGGTTCAGGTGATTCTCCTGCCTCGGCCTTGTGAGTAGTAGCTGGGACTACAGGCGCGCGCCACCACACCGGTTAATTTTTGTATTTTTTAGTAGAGATGGTGTTTCACCATATTGGACAGGCTGGTCTTGAACTCCTGACCTCATGATCTGCCCGCCTCAGCCTCCCAAATTGCTGGGATTACAGGTGTGAGCCACCATGCCCAGCCAACTTTTTCATCTTTCAAAACTGAAACTCATTAAAGACTACCCCCCAAGCCTCTGGCAATTACTGATCTAATTTCTATCTCAGTGTCAGAAAGGAACATTAAAATTTTAAGGAAATATAGATTTTTAAACTCAAATTTGAACTGCCCTCAGTTTAGAGAAATTATAGATTTTGAAGGATGAAATGGCAGAGAAGATGAAGTCACAGTTTGGGAAGAGAATCACAGATTTTTGTTGCAAGTGAAATACGTACTTGAAGTTTTGGTTGTTGCTTTTGGAAAGCAAATCTTGTAAACTCTTTAAGCATAGTGCTTTCAAGAGTGTGTGATTGTGATAAAAGGGATGTATAACACACAGCATATCCAAAAATTTAGAAGACATATTTGAATCCTAGAACTATCCTGAATTTTCTGTTAATTGGCCAGAGTCTAGATAACCTGGTGTTGTGGGAGGGACCTGGTGGGAAGTAATTGATTCGTGGGGGCTATTTCCCCCCATGCTGTTCTCATGATAGTGAGTTCTTATGTGATCTGATGCTTTTATAAGGGGCTTCCCCCTTTGCTTGACACTCATTCTCTTGCCTGCTGCCATGTAAGACCATGCCTTTGCTCCTCCTTCACCTTCTGCCATGACTGTGAGGCCACCCCAGCCATGTGGAACAGCAAGTCCATTAAACTGCTTTTTCTTTATAAATTACCCAGTCTCGGGTATGTCTTTATTAGCAAGTGTGAAAATGAACTAATGCACCTAGCTCTGTGAAAGTATGTTTTGTTCTCTTCCCCAAAATGCAGAAATTCATGTTTCAGGCCTCCATCAGTGATATACATGTTGAGTTCTTCAAAATAATAAAAATCTGTGAAAGAGATACATTAAAACTACGTAATCAGTCAGAATTAATTAGAGGGTATGGGGTCTATAACTCTGTTGATATGGCATTGAAAAAACTGTTAGTTGTATTTTTCACGGTGTATTCTTTGCAATGAAATTCTCTGCTTGGAAAAATATAAAAAAGACACAAAAAAACCCCAAAGTAAGATTAAAAACATTCTCTAAGGGTTCTTGGAAAACACAATGTATTTATGGATTATAATCTCCATGTTTGAGCTGGTTTGTGGTTACAAATTCTTGCCCCCAAGCAAGTTTGTTTGTAGCTTTGGACTATAATCTTCATGTTTGAGCTAGTTTGTAGTTACAAATTCTTGTCCCCAAGTATTTCTTTGCTTCTCCTGTTTTTGTGTGTGTTTATTTTTTATTCCTTTTATCTATTACTTTCCAGAGTTTCTACTTTCACTTTGTTTTTGCTTCTATGTCTTTCTTCCTTTTGTGCTGGCTTAGGAATACATTTAAAAATATGTTTTCAGTGCTTTATTCATTATTTTGGTTGTTGTAGTTAGGACTATTGTTTAGAATATCTAGCCTGCCAAGGAATGGAAATTTGTGTGTGTGTGTGTGTGTGTGTGTGTGTGTGTGTGTCTGTGTGTGTGTATTCAAATCTTACGATGTATTAACTTAGATTCCTTTAGACCTATCCCTTTCTCTTATTTTGTATTTCAGTTCTTATAACTTATATATTAAGAAGTTTTTATAAAGCTTAGCAAGAAGTTTAAATACTTTTAAAGTGATTATTATATTTTTAAAGAATACATGTGTATTTATTTTATAGCTACTTGAAGGAAATTTTGCCAAAGAAGTGAGCCATGAAATGGATGGACTTATTTTTCAGCCTACTGGAGTAAGTTCATTTGTCTGTGTGTGTGTGTTCGTTTGTGTGTTTGTGTGTGTGTGTACACAGATATACATATACATACACATACACATGTATGCCTCAAACTTATTTACTTGGGATTGATTACTGCTGTGATTGCCACTTTTCCTTAAAACAAATTGCTCATTATGAAAGATTTTATTTATATCTAAATACATGTAATACTAAAATGAGCACCCATCTGTTTTTCACTCAGCTTAAGAAATAAGCATTTTTGGTCGTTACATTTCAAAGAAACCAGTCTTTTAATATAATTAGTTATTAAAAAATAATTTTCTACCAATAGCATTACATAAATGTTTATTTCCTTTTGTAACTTGGTATACTTTTATGTATTAATCTCTCTAAAACTTCATTTTGCTGTAGTTTACTGTAGAGTAAAATTCATACTTTGTCACTACTTGAGAAAGAATAAAACTTTTGAATATTTTTTCCATGTTAAATTTTTGAAATGCACTGAAGAACTTTTACCAACTTAATGGTCGAATCATATATTTGAAGTAAGTTGTATTTTACTCTATAGCAGGTTTTCTCATTCTCAACCACTGATGTGTTGGGCCAGATAATTCTTTGCTGTGGGAGCTGTCTTGTGCATGGTAGGATGTTTAGCAGCATCTGTGGTCTCTACTCACTAGATGCCAGGAGTATAGATGCCAGGAGCATGCTCCCTATTCCCATTTGTGACAACCAAAAATATAGTCTGACATTGCCCAGTTTCCTCAGAGAACATAATTGGCCCTACTTGATAACCCATGTTCTGTAGGACGGTGTTTTTCAAAATGTGGCCTGTAGAGGAGGATTAGCACCACCCAGGAAGTTTCACAGATGCAGCTCAGCCCCACACCTATTGAGTAGAAACTCTGGGGATGGAGTTTAGCGGTTTGTGTTTTGACAAGTTCTCCAAGTGATTCTAATGCATGTTCAAGTATGAGAGCTACTTACTCTATAGGAAAGAGTTTATTTCATGTGCAACCACCTCATCATATGCTGCTTTTTTTCTTCACCAACTCTTCTTTTAGTAATTAGAGTATAAGCTAGTTGAGAATTTATATATGGAGACATCAGACTGGGTGCCTGGGGTCAAAGAAAGGGAACTAATAATTTGAACACAGTGTATTAAATACTGTACAGGTTGAGTATCTCTAATTCAAAGACTGATATGCTATAAAATTTATAATGTTTTGAGCACCAGCATGATGCTCAAAGGAAATGCTCGTTGGAGCATTTTGGATTTTTGTATTAGGGATGCTCAACTGTTAAGTATATATAATGCAGATATTCCCCAATCTGAAAAAAATCAGAATCCAAACCACTTCTGGTCCTAAGCATTTCAGAGAAGGCATATTCAACCTATGCATGTAAAGCATTATATCTTTACGTGTGTAATAAATCTCTGCTAAAATGCAAATTTAGAGACAATGTGATATGTGATTGGCATCTGTCTGTCTTCTAGCCCCCCTTGCCAAACAAAGAACAGAAATATCTTCTGTGGTTAAGGGAGGAGGAGAGGGAGGAGGACATGGAGGAGCACTAGAGGTTAGGGACGGAAATGGAAGAAAATACTATTTTAGGAAAATTAAAGTTGAATCTTTTAGTTCTAATATATTCCAGTCTCCCTAGACTGAAAGAAGCAAAGTCTAAATATAACAATAAATTCAGAAAATTTCAGTGTGTGAAACTCATGGTTCAGATCTGTACATATATGGCATATGTAGGAAAAATGGCCTGACAAATAAGTGAGTCTCTTTCTTGGATGTCTAGTATAGGCAGTTGATTTGTCATTCCGTTCCCTTTCTAGTAACCATACTTTTTTTTTTTTTTTTTTTTTTTGAGATGGAGTTTTGCTCTTGTTGCCCAAGCTGAAGTGCAATGGCGCAATGTTGGCTCACTGCAACCTCTGCCTTCTGGGCTCAAGGGATTCTCCTGCCTCAGCCTCCTGAGTAGCTGGGATTGCAGGTGCGCACCACCATGCCCGGCTAATTTTTTGTATTTTTAGTAGAAACGGAGTTTCACCATGTTAGCCAGGCTGGTATTGAACTCCTGATCTCAGGTGATCCGCCTACCTTGGCCTCCCAAAGTGCTGGGATTACAGGTGTGAGCCACCGCGCCGGGCCGTAACCACACTTTTTATTACAATGACTTTGTAATTGATATCTGGTATTAAGTCAAGTCTCCCTGTTCGCCAGCATTACCTTAAATATTTGTTGACAATTGGTTTAACGTGAAAGTTTCAGAATCAATTTGTCATGCTACCCAGAAATTTTTGTTAGGAGTTTAATTGGAACATCTTTGAATTTAGATTAACGTGGAGAAAATTGATGTGTTTGCAATGTTAAATCACTTTCTCAATGAATGCTATGGCTTTTTTTTTTCAGGTCTTTTTCTGTTCTGTAACTGAGTTTAAGTTTTTTATTATTGTTATGGTAACTTCTAAATATTTGTCATTTTCTGCTTTTGTGGTAAATTGTGTCTTTTTTTATTGCTACTTCTAGTACACTGCCACATTATTGATTTATTTTATTGATTCAACAATCCTGTTGAATTCTGTTAGTTCTCATCATTGTCTAATTTTACACATTGACCAGGACCTCTAGTATTGAATTAAGTATTAGTTCTAGTTAGATAAGGGAGAAGACATTTATACCTTCTTCTCAACCTCAAAGGGAATGTAACTAAATTTTCTCCATTAAGTATGTTTGTGGTAGATTTCTGTTAGATATCCTTTATTGTGTTAAGAAATTTCTGATTCTGTTCTTCCAATAATTCTTTTTAAAATCATAAACAGGTTTTGGGCTTTAACACCTTTTAAAGCATTAATTTTAAGGCAGTAATGCCTCTTCGGTATCTACTAAGGTTATCATGTCATTTTCATTTTTACACCATTTATGTAGTAAATTACACTGATTTTTCTCATGTTGACCCATCCTTGCATTCCTGGGATAAATGCTACTTGATCATGATATATATAATTTTTTAAGCATACTTTTGGATCTAGGTATAATTGCTTCTTGAGGATTTCTGCCACCTTATTTCTTACAGTTCATTTTTCTCTCTTTTTTTTTTTTTGAGACAGGGTCTCACTTTGTTGCCCAGGCTGGTGTGCAGTGGCACAAACATGGCTTACTGCAGCCTCGACCTCCTGGGTTCAAGCAATCCTCGCACTTCAGGTCCCCAAGTAGCTGGGACTATAGGCGCGCACCACCACGCCTTGCTAATTTTTGTATTTTTCGTAGATACGGGGTTTTGCCTTGTTGCCGAGGCTGGTCTAAAGCTCCTGAGCTCAAGCAATCCGCCTGCCTCAGCCTCGCAAAGTGCTGGGATTACAGGTATGAGCCACTGTACCCGGCCAATTTTTCTCATTTTTTATATTCAGAATAATGAAGGTAATATTTTTTATTGTTGAAAAAATTATGTAAGTTGCACATAATCCATGGTAATGCCTATCCATGATTTAAAAAAACCAATTAAATGAGTGATTTGTGCTGAAAAATAGAACAGTCTCTTACCAAACAGTCTCTTACCTTTTTCTGCACTCTGAGTACTACTCCTAGGAGGCAATTATTTTCCTCTTTTTTTTTTTTTTTTTTTTGGCTTTTGCTTCTACAGTTCTACACAGTCTATGCTGTTCTTTTTTGGTTTTGTATTTTATACATAATCTGCTTACTTTGTACTGTGGAAGAATAGGATTGAGCCCTCTAATTCCACTAACCCCCTCCACACCCCTTTCTCCTTCTGTCATTCTATTGTAATTACATCACATATTTGGTCAAATTAATATTCAATTTTTATATTTTTATGGTGACATAAATATTGTTCCTATCTGGGTCAAATAGTATACAATTGTATTTTCTTTTTTTAGAAAAGTCTTGTCATCTAGCATTAGGAATATTTTTGGTTATTATAATTATTAATATTTCTTTCTTTAAACTCTCCAAAAGAACTGTTTACTTTTTATCAATGCAGTCAAATATATAAGGTCCATTTTTCATTTGAAGGCATTCTTTCTGAAGCCTTCCATTCTTTAGTCCTGCTGCATAGCCTTTTCTTCTTAGAGTTTCTTTTCACTATTTCATCCAGGAAATCCCTTTTACCTTTCTTCTCTGATAGATTTCCCTACTTTTTTGACTTTATCTTTTCTGCTTTTTTGATTTGAGTGATCTTGAAAACCTAATGCTGTACAAACTGGTCCTTATACTTATGGAGCTTTTGTTTCAGCTGTAAACTGAACATGTTATTTTCAGTGGTCTCTAATCTGTTCTACAATTTTATGGCTCTGACTTAGCCCCAAATTTTTTATTGTGTTTGTGTAGTTCTGTGCAACTTGGTATAATCTTGATTATCTCGTAATAAATCAAGCCTCCCTGTTTGCCAGGACGTTCTTAAATATTTGCAGACATTTTGTTTAACACGTAAGTTTCAGAATCTGTATGTCATGTTACCCAGCAATTTTTATTAGGAGTTTAATTGGAGTGCCTTTGAATTTAGATTAATTTGGAGAAAATTAATGTGTTTGCAATATTAAATCATCTTCTTATATATACTAGAGAATTAGGGAAAAGGTGCAATAAACCGTAGCTCAGGACTACCTGTCTAAATGTCAGAAATTTCCAGAAGTTTTAGATCTACTCTTAGTTTACATATTCAATTTTGTATTTTTAAAAACTTTATCTCGTAAGTTATAACTGATAGCAATATTAGACAATAGAACTAAAAAGGAGAGAGTAGTTGTACTCAAATTCTGTATTTGTAATAAGCTTCCTAAGACACTGGCTTTCTCAGCCTCTTCCACCTTTTGGATGGCTGTCTTTATACTTGTCTTCTAAGGTAGTTCTATCCCCCTTTCCTTCTCTTCATAGAGAAAAGTGTATTTTTTATGGCTATAGCTGTTTTGGTTAAATCAACCTTTAACCCATGCCTTTTGTTTTGCTTCTAGTACTCTATTTCTTCGTTCATATTATACATTTCTACTAGGGACAACCAATCTTCAAACAATCAGTGAAGTCTGTTAAGTGGCTCATCACTTTGTCTTTTTGGGTTGTCCTTGCTATTTATTCCTTATTTAAAAAAGACCATGTCAGATTTGGCTCAAATTGTTTTATACTCAGCCTATTTCAGTAGCTTCTTAACTGCTCTTTGTATCTGTATTATCTTTCCAGTCTACCCCTGTTTTTTGACCTAGTAAAATTATACTATGGAAGAAACCCTTATATGGGGGAGACCAGTACTGACTGATAGAAATATAACATGTAACACAAATATGATCCACATATATACTTTAAATGTTTCTAGTTGCCACATTAAGAAAAAAAGTGGTAAAATTAATTTTAATAATATATTTTACTTAAACGACTATATCAAAAGTATTATCATTTCAACATTTACTCAATATAAAAACAATTATTATTTTTGTACTGAGTATTTGAAATCCAGTGGGAATTTTACACTTACAGCATGTCTTGGACTTGCCACTGTTCAAGTGCTCAGTGGCCATGTGTGTAAGTAGATAGTGCAGGTATAGATATATTGATTTATTGTTTCCCATTTCTTGTATGTGCTCATGGCATTTGTACATGATTCATTTGTGATCTTCAGTTGAATTGTAATTCTCTGTGTAATGATAGATTTTTCTTCTCCAGCTTGCAGAACAAAATAAGATTACATTTCTTTATTCAAATGCAATAGGCAGGCTCCTACACTCCTTCCCCTTCCAAATCATAGTGCATTGCAGTATTGCGAGGGTCCCTTTTTTTATTTTTATGTTCTTCCCTTTTAAAATTGTGCTTTGAGTTGTTTATTTCTTGTTTTTTGTTTGTTTGTTTGCTTTTTTTGGTGGTGGTTTTTAAAAAATTATACTTTTAAGTTCTGGGATTCATGTGCGGAACATGCAGGTTTGTTACATAGGTATACACGTGCCATGGTGGTTTCCTGCACTCATCAACCCGTCATCTACATTCAGTATTTCTCCTAATGCTATCCCTTCCCTAGCCCCCAACCCCCCACAACATGCCCCAGTGTGTGATGTTCCCTCCCTGTGTCCATATTCTCATTGTTCAGCTCCCACTTATAAGTGAGAACATGTGGTGTTTGGTTTTCTGTTCCTGTGTTATGTGCTTCGAGTTATTAAACGTGTTCTATTCAAGGGGTCTTGATTCCGGACTTCAGTTTCTGTAACGGTGAAATGCTACTGAGTTTGTAGATGGAAACCATTTTTTGTGCATTTACTGCCTTCAGCCCTCTATGTTGATAGTGTTGAAGAGAGGTGTTTTTAAGCTACACCTGTTAGTCTGATGGTAGTATTTTAGGGTATAAAGAGTTGAAAAGATAGTTGCTAGGTTTCTTTCGTATCACCTTAGTCATGAATATTTAATCTTAAACCTCTTTAAACAAAATTGACACATACATATTTGCATTAAATAACTATTCCTCTATCATCACTTTTATAGCAGCTTGGTCAGAAGTGATACACCTTTGTCTAGAATTAGATCTTTCCTTCCATGACAGCCTAGGTCCTGATCATCAACCTGTACCTTCTACTTCTCTGATATGGAGATTTTTCAGTTCTCTGGTAGCAGCTGTTCTCATTCTGAGGCCACCAGTCTAAGAGAGATGAGATCTTAGATTCCTGTGCACACTCTGTGTCTTCATTGCTCTCCATTCCATAGGATTTGTGGGAGATTGATTTGCTTTCATGAAGCTGAAAGCAATATCTTTTTCTATCTTTTCTCTTGAAAAATTGTTACTAATTGCCAAATTGCTTCAGAACTAAAACTGATTGCTTAAATGATTATTCTCAAAGCAAAAATGGTTCTCTTTAAAGATGCCTTTCTGTTTCTAGCTACCCCTCACAAGCTCTCTTTTGGTTATATTTTTGCCTCACAAAATCTATGGGCTGTGGTTATATTTTTGCCTCACAAAAATCTATGGGCTGTGGTTATATTTTTGCCTTGCAAAATAATCTGAGGTTATTAGTCCTTTCCTTCCTTATTTCTTTTTAAACCTCCATTGTCTAGGATAGCGTTTAGCCCAGTATGTCTTAGAAACTGTTTGTTAAAGGAATGAAAATGCATCTTTGTGTTTTCCCCAGTCTTTCAGATTTGACTAGTTTTTTATGTTATCAATGTAGGTAAATACCTTTTAAATTTATAGGTATTTTATTTTCCTTGCTGCATAGGAATATGTGTAATCTAATTTATGCTGTTATCTTTTTTCCTTTCAAAAAACTTATCAGTGGCTTTCTTTAAATTCTCACTTTTCTTTGCCAAGTCCAGAATCCAAACACCATTCTTCCCTAAAACAATAACATGAGTTTTGTCCTCTGCATATTCTCTTCAGAAACTTCCCAGTGGGTTAGGAGTGGTCTCTGGTTAAACAAACAAACAAACAGACACCACTGAATATCTTTTTGATTCTCCAGTTTTTCATCTGTAAAATGTAGAGGCTGTAAGAGCTTAGCTTTGAAATTCTCTTATGGTCATATGATGATCAGTGCAAATGATATAAATCAGTACTTGAAAATTCTTTCTGCCAATAACCTGGTGAAAATTTACTAAGTAATGAATTTTTAATAAAAGAAGAAACTCTTTTATTTTAGTTTCCTAAAAATAATTTATGTTTTAAATGGCAAGTTAGACAATTAAAATAAACTAGACTTCTTATGAAGTTTGATAGTATGACTATTACATGACTGTATTCTATTGATTTTTTTCTCCTGCCATGATTTCTTTTTTTGGTGGGGGAGACAGAGTCTTTCTCTGTCGCCCAGGCTGGAATGCAGTGGCGCAGACTTGGCTCACTGCAACCCATGGTTCCCAGGTTCAAGTGATTCTTTAGTAGAAATGGCATTTTACCTTGTTGGCCAGGCTAGTCTTGAACTCCTGGCCTCAAGTGATTTGCCCACCTCGGCCTCCCAAAGTGCTGGGATTATAGGCATGAGCCACCACACCTGGCCATCCTACCATCATTTCAATAGACTTTTCACTTTTATATCTTTTATCTCCTAAGTTGTTAAGATTATAAAATATATGGAATGTCTCTGAAAGGGTCACATTTTGTTCATCAGTGGACATGGTCAGCTTCTTCCAAAAGTATTAATTTATTTTTATTAGAACAGATTTATTTTATTTATAACAGATTCTAGATTAGTTTACATTTATAACTTATTTCAGAAAACATGTTTTACAACTACCTATTTTGGTAACAGTTTAATTGATGGCATAGCACTGTACTATACTAGTTATAAGTATCTAGTTCATCATTTTCATTTTCTATGAAATTTTAATGATTTCAGTCTTTGTTTCTTAATGTTTTATTTCTGATTGTAATTTCTCATGATCGTTTTCTGTCTAGTTTTTTATTTCTTAAAAGCACATGTTACCAACTTTAATTCTCTTAGTTTTTATCACTAATATGTACCTTTCATCATATTTTTGATGTGCTCTTTAATTGGATGGTTAATTTCTAAAACAGCATCTGGCTGTAAGAAGGATGTGGTACATAATCACATGTCTACCCATCCTAGTTAATTCAGTGGTTATTTTACATTCCTACTATTTTTTTTGGTAAATATTCTAAAGGGTATTCTAAGTATAAATATATATTAACGGTGCCATCCAGAATAGGCTCCAGTTTTGCATAAATCCATTCGGGTAGCAGGAGGCAATTTTCTCTCTCAAATGCAAAATTTCATTATATTGAATTGTGTAGCCTTTGTTATTTTTTCCTTATTTTGGTTTTGCAATTTCAACCTCCGATTCTCCTGCAAAGGCTGATTTTTTCCTATTTTTAGTTTATCCTCAGTTTAGGCCACCATCACCAGAGTGGTCTTATGTATTCCACTTTCAGACTTTTGATTTGCCAAAGCCCCAGATTAAACCTGTACTTAGCTCTTATGCAGAGATTTATGACTTTTCTACCTCTTTAAAAAAATGGAAATATGTTTCTATTAAAATAAAGTTGAATGACATTATCAGACACTATATGATATTCTGCTAAAGAAAGCAGAGTTTAAGACACATTTTTCTAATAATTCTTACTCATAAATTCTCTTTATGACTTTAAAAGAAAGAATACTTAAGATTTTTCTCACTTCTTTTGTGCTTATACATTGTCATCAATTTCCTTTTTACCAGTTCAAATAGCCTTTTTCTGATTGCTGTTTGTATATTCAAAGGAACCACCTTAATTTTCCTTTTCACCTGCACTAGGTCTTATTTGTAAGGAGGAAGTAAGAAGAGAGTTGATTATAGACAGATGTGGCTTCCAGTGGTGAGAGGAGACATGATTTTAGGTGGTCCAGGGACAGGGCATCAGATGACACTGCATCATACAATGAGAAATGTAGTCCCATTCTTGTTTTTATTCAGTCTTTCAGATTATAAGGAGAAAGTCTATTTCTAGTTTTTAATATCTAAAACTTGCTGATCTTTTCAACAAGTGTGTGGGCCCACTTTTAGACTATTCAATAGGCAACATATCTACTAGAATTTAGTATCATTGATTAATTTCTGTCTTTTCTAATTTTAGGACTACTGGTTATTTAAGGTAAGCAATACCGTTTTCTCGAATAGTATCAATGGTGTACCATTTGTTATAAAGTTTCCATTTAAAATATATATTTTTTAGATTTTTAGAGTGAACTATTTTAAAGAAAAATATAATAATAGTTATGGTATTTTGATGTGACAGAAATCCTGGGCCGAGCATGGTGGCTCCCGCCTGTAATCGCAGCACTTTGGGAGGCCAAGGCGGGCGGATCACGAGGTCAGGAGATCGAGACCATCCTGGCTAACGTGGTGAAACCCTGTCTCTACTAAAAATACAAAAAATTAGCCGGGTGTGGTGGTGGGCGCCTGTGGTCCCAGCTACTCAGGAGGCTGAGGCAGGAGAATGGCGTTAACCCAGGAGGCGGAGCTTGCAGTGAGCCGAGATTGTGCCACTGCACTCCAGCCTGGGCGTCAGAGCCAGACTCTGTCTCAAAAAAAAATAAATAAATAAAATAAAATTTAGAAAACGTGATGGTACTAGCTAGTTACTGTATTAGTTTCCTATGGCTACTTTAACACATTACCACACACTTGATGGCTTAAAACAACATACATTTATTCCCTTACAGATCTGGAGGTCCCAGCAATTTGGGAGGCCGAGGTGGGCGGATCACTTGAGCCCAGGAGTCTGAGATAAGCCTGGGCAGCACAGTGAGACCCCATCTCTATAAAGAATGAAAAAAATTAGCCAGGCATGGTGGCACACACCTGTAGTACTTGGGAGGCTGAGGTAGGAGGATTGCTTGAGCCTGGGAGGTCAAGGCTGTAATGAACTGTGATCGTGGCACTGCACTCAGGCCTTGGTGACAATTGTTTTTTAAAAAAAATTGAAAAAAAAAAAAAAAAAAGGTACTTGTGATTGCATTTAGGGTTCATCTGGGTAATTCAGAATAATCTCCCCTGCCCTTGAATGGCCTTAATTTAATCATACCACCAAAGTCTCTTTTGCCATATAATGTAACGCATTCCTGATATCTCTAGGTCGCCATTTTTCAGCCCACCAAAGTTATAGCTTAATAAGACGTTTCCGATGGATAGCTGTAGACCTTAATACCCAGTGTAATTTCTGATTCTGTCTTTGTAAAATTTGTAAATTACCTTTCTTTCTTAGACTTCCTATTAAGAGCAAGTTCTAAATGAGAAGTTTAGGACCCTTAATCAGGCCAAGAACTTTTTAAGTAAAATTTGCCAACATTTCAAAATTTTTCTTCTGGGGAAGTCTAAAACTTTCTGATGAACTCAGCTTTAATAATTAAGTGCAGGGCAAGTAATACATTGTTATGAGAAAAGTAATATAGTATATTAGAGGTAATCTGCATTTTAAAAATAATGTCAAAATGTGTATAAATTTTTCTTTTATTTTTAAATTGGAGGATATACAAATTTTATAACGTGTAGTTATTTTCCCTGAAAATCTTTTAACCTGTCTGGAGGTCAATCCTTCAGTCTTTTGCCTGCTCTTACTATTCTTGGAGTAGAGAAGGTAAAGGAGCTAGGGTCCACTCTTGGGTAAACTTTCACTTAACCTTGCAGTTTCAGTTTTTCTCTTCTGTTTTGAATCTTCTCCACCATAGCTCTGCCTTCAGCTTTTTCACAGAATAAACATATCTCCTGCCTTTTGCCCGCAGTGGAGGAGAGAAGCTAGAGGTTTAGTGGTCCTTCTATAGACTTTCCCTGGTCTCCTTGTTTTATGTCCTATGCCTTACCTTTATCCCCTGGCAGCCTTCTAGGTTACCTGTTATTTATATGACTCAATCCTTTCTGGGGCACTGCACCAGGAATGACTTGCATTGGCGTCCTTCTTTGCATGTACTTAGTATTTGGTTTTCTTTGCTGTATGCTGTGTTAACTTCTGTACTTTCTATCTTTTAAAATTACATTGCTATGGGTTTTTTTCTGCTATTGTCAGTCTCCTATTTTTGTTTTCCCTTTCTGTTGATACCTCTTGTTTTCTGTAACTCTCACCTTTAGTGAGGTTTTATATCAAAGCGGGCATAAATACATGTTTAGTCTACCATTTATCCTAAAATCTTTGAAACTTTTTATAGTGTGGTGTTGCATCTATTGGTTCCTATTAGCCAACAATTCAAGTAAATCAAGAAAGGGATAGTTGAGTGAAAGGGTGAGTGTATATAAAGTGGAGAACAAGTCCTGATGAAGCACAGGCAAAGCCTGTTATCCATCCTCTGGTACCACAGAAATATTCCAAAGGCAAATGAATGGCAAAAGATGATGAGGATTACTAGTGGATCTACTTGTGAAAAAACTCCTTGGCCCAACTGTGTTTGGTGCTAGTTACTTAAAACTTAGCAAGAAGTTTATTCTGCTGTGTTACATTAATTATAATGAGTGAATTGAGGTTGAATAAAGGGTAGAAGATGTTAGTACTGTTGAAAAAAGAAGATATATCTATAGATATCTACATATTTGAGACAGAGTCTTGCTTTGTCGCCCAGGCTGTAGTGCAGTGGTGCAATCTCGGCTCACTGCAACCTCCGCCTCCCGGGTTCAAATGATTCTCCTGCCTCAGCCTCCTGAGTAGCTGGGACTACAGGCACACCCCACCATGCCCAGCTAATTTTTGTAGTTTTAGTAGATACGGGGTTTCACCATGTTGGCCAGGATAGTCTCCATCTCCTGACCTCGTTATCCACTGGCCTTGGCCTCCCAAAATGCTGAGATTACAGGCGTGAGTGTAATTAACACACCCGGCCTAATTTTTTGTATTTTTAGTAGCGATGGGGTTTCCCCATGTTGGCCAGGCTGGTCTTGAGCTCCTGGCCTCAGGTGATCCACCCGCCTCAGCCTCCTAAAGTGCTGGGATTACAGGTGTAAGTCACCGTGCCCGGCCAAGAAAGAAGATACTTTGAATCCTAGCAAGTTATTGAAGAATAGTGATAAAAAATACTATATTAAGATGATGATTCTATTGAGAACAAACTCCCAAAAACCAGCTTAGGAGAAAGTTTTATTGTTTAGCTTTTGATTTAATATTCTACTTTCAGAGACATAACCATGTAACACATTCATAATTGGACATAGTTTACTTATTACTTTTATAAGAAGGAAAAGTTAATCAGTGGTTTAATCAAGGAAATAAAACTTAGGATATTTGTGTTTATAAAGAAGTACACTAATATCTTATTTTGAGTAAGACACAGAGCAGTCATTAATCATCATGAAAGCCTGGATTCAAACAAAGTAGATTACCTTGCATTTACAGAATTATAGAACATCAGAGGTTATCTAGTTCACTCACTGGTTTCAAAAATATAAACTCCAATGTTCTAGGTTTCTGTGAAGTGCCTTAGGTGACTGCATGGAGGGATAGGTTACTAGGTCAGCATTCTGTTTCCATTGCAGTGCTGCTGATTTACTAATATTACTTTTATATATTGTGCTTGTAGATGAGATTATGTTTTAAAAAGGGCTTTAGCTGCTAAGTAAATGATGTTCGAATCAACTGCTTTTTTGAAAGGTCGCCAGTCATCTCCTTTAATTAAAAAATCAAGATAATTTTCACCCTTTTTTACTGGATCATTTAGCATTAGTCTATATTCTGTTCACTCTTTCTTGAAATACTTTCTTTTATGGCATCTGTGACACCACATGCTCCTGATTCCTCCTAGTCTTTTGCCATTCTTTGCGGTCCCTTTCGAGCTCTTCCGTCTTCTACCAGCCATTGAAGTTTGGTGTTTCTCGGGGCTCAGTGCACCAGATTTCATTCTTTCTCATGCCCTACTCTTTCTAGTAGTCTCATCCATACCTATGAATTTAGTTCATTTTTATCAGCATGTTACTCAGACTTCAGATTTCTATGTAAGCCCCAAATTTGGTTATCTTTTTGCCCACTCTGATACTGCCTTTTGAATTTCTCAAAAACATCAGAAACACAATACAGACAGTTCCCAGCTTATGATGGTTTGACTTATGATTTTTCTGTGGATAGTAATGCCGTTGTAAGTTGAGAAGCATCTGCATATCAAAGACAAACTCTATCTCTATTTCTGAAATGATCAAATAAGCAGACATACAAACTGGTTCTTTTCCAGCATTTCCACCTCAGTTACTAAATGCAGTTACTTAAATCAGAAATCTAGCTGTCATCTTTGGCACTGTCCCCTTCCTTCATCTCCAAGTCTTTCTTTATCTTTTAAGTATCTCTTAAATTATTCCCTTTTTTCTCCATTGTCACTGCTACTACTCTAATCCAGTTTGTCATTCATTGCCTCTTGCTGGAACCACTACAGTGGCATCCTAACCAGTCTTACAGCATCCATTCTTGCCTCCCTCCAATCTTTTCTTCACTCCTTTTTTTTTTTTGTTTTTGAAATGAAGTTTCACTCTTGTTGCCCAGGCTGGAGTGCAGTGACGCGATCTGGGCTCACTGCAACCTCAGCCTCCTGGGTTCAAGCAATTCTCCAGCCTCAGCCTCCTGAGTAGCTGGGAATGCAGGCCCGCACCACCACACCCAGCTAATTTTTGTATTTTTAGTAGAGACGGGGTTTCACCATGTTGGCCAGGATGGTCTGGATCTCTTGACCTTGTGATCCGCCCACCTCGGCCTCCCAAAGTGCTGGGATTACAGGCATGAGCCACCACGCCTGGCCCAATCTTTTCTTCTCTCCATATCGAGTGATCTTCCTTAATCTCTAGTGCTTTCTCCTTGTTCTCAGGTTAACCAACATTTCTCAGGAAACCAACATTAGATTTGGAGCCAGTTTACTTTTTTCTTTATCATATTTTGCCTTTTGGTTTCCCTGTGTGTTTTGCTGTTGATTCAAAAATAACTTTAATGTTTTTTATTTAAAGGTGGCTTAATTATATTATTCACAAACAGTGATATAAACAATAATATAAACAGTCAATTAGTCAGTTTGGGGTGCTGTAACAAAATACCATAAACCGAGTGGCTTATAAACAACAGAAATTTATTTCTCACAGTTCTAGAAGCTGGGAAGTCCAAGATCAAGGTGTTGGCAGATTCGGTGTGTGGTGAAGGCCTGCTTCTTGGCTTATGTTGTGTCCCACATGGCAGAAGGGGCAAGGGAGCTTTCCTGGGTCTCTTTTCTAAGGGTAGGAGTCTCATTCATGAAGGCAGAGTCCTCTTGACTTAATCACCTCCCAAAGGTCCCACCTCCTAATACCATCACATTAGGGGCTTAGGATTTAAACATAGGAGTTTTGGAAGGGACACAAACATCAGTCTGTAGCACAGTGTTTTAAAAAAATTTGAAATGTAACCTATACTTGACAAAAATACTTAAATATTTGAGAAAAACTTTGGTATTTTCTTCAAAAGGAAAAAATTATCTGTTTGTTTTCAGTATAAACCTATTTTCTAAGGTTTAAGGTTCAAGCTTTCCTCAAACAGAAATGATCATTTTTAAAAAGAACCACTATCAAATTGAATTTTCCATCTCATTATCAGCTTCTGTAATAAACTATGTTTTATTAGACTCCTATCTATATGGTTTTCAGTTCTGTGATTACACTTCCATTTTGAATTGCTAATTTTTGGCCATTCGTCACTTAAAAATGAATATTTTAACGTGATGATTTGGTATTTTAATATGCAGGTATTCAATCTTTTACATGATAGCTATTAGATTGTTTAATTTACAAAGTTGGTAGTAAAATGAAATCTTATTTGTTTACTAGCTTTTATAAGTTGATTTTAGTGTAGATTTATGTAGCATATTACAGTTTTACATGTGGAAATAACATTAATTTTTAACCTTTTGAAAAATCAGCTTTGATTTTACTTTTATCATCTGGAGAAACTATGTTTCTAGACAAGAATTGTATGCCATTAATCTATCACTATGAAATAAAAACAGAATAGTGGATTGTATAATTGAAGTAAGAATAAAAATCTTGAAAATATTTTTGTTTTATATTTAGAAAAATGGCTTTTCTTGTTGTACCCACTAACTCTACTATGGTTAGTAAAACATAATTGTTTCTATTGAGTCTAGAGTTATTTACTTTCAAGTAGTAGAGATATAATTGTTTTTTAATGTTTTCATCACTATTTTGATTTTCCTATAAGGTGGTTCAGCTTGATTTTATGTATCTGGTATTCATCAGTTTGCATAGAAATTTAGAGTCAGCTTTGATTTTAATATTGCATTCTTTTGAAATATTAATATTTTTATTAAATCTTTACTACTGCCAGGTATATTGAATGTTATGGATAGATTGTAAAATGAAAATTGGAATTAGCCTAATGCCTTGTCTTGAAGTACATGACAAATTAGAATGGTTTTCCTCTGTAGCAAGGATGTTACCATGGTGAGAGCTTCTGTTTCCATGACATTT
Source organism: Homo sapiens (assembly GCF_000001405.40). Classification (NCBI taxonomy): domain Eukaryota; kingdom Metazoa; phylum Chordata; class Mammalia; order Primates; family Hominidae; genus Homo; species Homo sapiens. Next base: position 88,785,667 of record NC_000006.12, on the reverse strand, counting down.
GCTTGCATATTTTGATAGGTCTTCATTTGAAGAAGGGCTCTGTTTTCTGGCAGGCTGCAAAAGTGTCATTCTATCTTTTCTCAAAATGTGTTACTTTTATTGAAAAATATAATTTTCCAAGGAATTGTAATAGCAAAGTGCCAAGAAAGAAAATATACCTTATTTTATTTTTTTTTCCTTGTTCATCTTTTAGAGCACAGCAAAATATTCTTAGCTTGCTTTGTGTAAGGAAGAAAAAGCAAAACATCATTTTCAAGTTTTTAAAATAAATATTTACTTTTTTTTGAATTTTGTTGGCAAAATAAACAGCTACAGATGCATAATTTGTAATCAGTCTCAGCTAGATATAGATATATCTGTACAACTAAAAGGAATTGCTAATGATGATATATTGGTAGCAGAGAAAGGGGAAATAAATATAAATAAGGACTTCACAAAAATGAAAGAAGCGGTGAATTCCTAGAGGGTAAATATACAGAATACCAAATCAGTTCTCATATAAATGATACATATTAAACACTTAATGAATTAGGGATAGTTCTTTTTATTAATAACTTATGTTTAATGTTGAAACATTAATGGTAGATTTTTAAAATTGTCATTTTACAGTGGTATAATTTTAATTTTTAAACCAGATAATACAATCACGTGGTTCAGAAATTTTAACATGTATTTAAAAAATACATAGAAGAAAATTTCCCTCTCATACTTCTTCCCAGTTTCTTTATATATATAGAAGCAAATACAAATGTGTGAATACATTCTTATTTTCATTCCACTTTTTTAAAAAGATAGCATATTATTTTACACTTTGCTTTTCAGAATTTGTCCGGGTATATTTTTAATGTCTATTTTGTTAGCGCTCTGATTTAGGCATCTAGGGAGACATATTGGAATCATAGCAAAAAGATAGGGTTTATTAATTGATATTTCTTATCCCTTATGCTTATAGCAATTCCACATTTTAGAAGGAAATATTTAAAAGCACACATTTTGTCTATGTAGGGTCAGAAAATTGATTTTCCTTTTGTTGTCCAAGTTCAGTGATAACTTTAGTAGCTCTTTCTACTGACAGACCAATTCATTCTGTAAGAGCTACAAACTGAAATAGTCTCTAAAGAATATGTATTTATACATGCTATTTCTTCTGCCTGAAACTATTTTCTTTTCTATATTACTCCCATTTATCCTTCAACTATCAAGTTAGATGTGCTTCCTTGAGGAAGCCTGGTTGTATAGGTGAGCATGACTCTCCCCTGTGCCTCCACAGTATTCCCATTGGCCTCAAAGCACTTAACGTGTATTAATTTTTAGTTATTTAAACATTACCATTTCTCTTACTAGATTGTAAGTACCATGAAGACAGAGACCATCTCTGTCTCATTCACAGTGATATTTTTAGTGCTTGTAGCAGTAGGGTGAATATTAAGTACTGTGCTGTACGTGTGGGCAATCTGAATGTCTGCTGCTCAGATTCACTGTACTTTCTCTTGTAGCTACTTAACTCATCCTTATTGCCTGTATAATTCTCAGCTTAAATTTTACTTCCCCTGGGAAATTTGTTTTTATCTTTTTGACTGTGTTACATTTCATTTTCTCAGCTATTATAGCACTCTGAACTTCATCTTTCATTAAATTCTTCACAGTTTTTTGTAACTGCTTATTATTTGTCTGAAACCCCCATTATCTTTATCTTACTGTCCTCTAGCACAGAGGTTGACACAGGCTTAGCAGTTGATCAATAGGTACTGGTTTAAAAAAAAAGAATGAATGCATACTTTAGATCAGTGATTCTCAACTGGCATGATTTTACTTCCCAAATAACATTTGACAGTATGTGGGGACATTTTTTATTATTTTGATTGGCCCATAGAGGCCAGGGATGCTGTTAAACCTCCTACATTGCACGGAACAGCCCCCACAACAAAGAGTCAACTGCCCCAATGTCAGTAGTATTGCTGTTAAAGAACCCTGCTTTAGACTGTGGATTTCTTTGCTTTCTCCATATTGTCTTAGATTTATAGATTTATAAATGTATAGGGCTTTTGAATATACTTGAACAGATATCTTAACCATTTTGTCTTTTTTCTTTAAATTCTATATTTTGTGACAATTTAACTTTTTTGACGTATAGAAATTGTATGTATTTAGGGCATACAGCTTGATGTTTTGATATACATTGTGAAATAATCACTACATTCCAGCTAATTAACATCTGATATCTCTGTCTACCTGCCATTTTTGTACCCTTTGACCAGCATCATCCCATTTCTAGTTCCTTCCGTTTCCAGGCAGCCACCATCCTAATCTCTGCTTCTATGAGTTTGACTAATTGAGATTCCATGTATAAGTGAGATCATGCAGTATTTCTCTTTCTGGCTTATTTTTGCTTAGTACAGTGCTCTCCAGCTCCATCCACGTTACCACAAATGGCATAAATTACTTTTCTGGGGGTAAGGCTGAATAATATTCTGTTATATGTACACCACGTTTTCTTTAACCATTCATCCATCGCAGGGCATTTAAGTTGCTTCCATATCTTCGCTATTGTGCATAAAGCTGCAGTGAATGGGAGAGAGCAGATATCTCTTCATGATCCTGTTTTCAATACTTCCAGATACATACTCAGAGGTGGGATTGCTGAATCATAGGGTGGTTCTGTCTTTAATTTTTTGAGGAACCTCAATACTGTTTTCACTAATGGGCTGTACCAATTTACATTCTCACCGAAGTATACAAGGGTTCACTTTTCTCCATATCCTTGACAACACTTGTTATTTCTTGCCTTTTTGATAATAGGCATCCTCGTAAATGTGAAGTGCTGTCTTATTGAGGTTTTGATTTGCATTTCCCTGCTGATTAGAAATGCTGAGCAGCTTTTCAATAGGTCTGTTGGCCATCTACGTTTCTTATTTTGAGAAGTGTCTATTCAGGGCCCTTACCCATTTTTAACAGGTTATTTGTATTTTTAATATTGAGTTGTATGATTTTATATATTGGATATTAACCCCTGTGGATGTATAGTTTGAAGATTATTTTTTCTCATTTCATAGGTGACCTTTCACTTTGTTCATTGTTTCTTTTGCTGTGCAGAAGGTTTTTAGTTTGATATAGTCCCACTTGTCTATTTTTGCTTCTGTTGCCTGTGCTTTTGGTGTTATATCCAGAAAATAGTTGCCAAGACCAGTGTCAAGAAGTTTTTCTTTGTTTACTTCTAGGAGTTTTACAGTTTCCACTTTTGTGTTTAAATGTTTAATCCATTTGAGTTGATTTTTGTGTATGGTGTGCACCTTTTTGTCTTTCCATTCACCCCGTACAATGTGGTAGTTAGTATATATTTTGGAATCTGGAATAAAATACTTGGGTTCAAATATCTTTTCTACCAATTTCTTTATGACTCTGTTTTGTGATCCATGAGAAAAGGGTACTATGTTAGATTGAACTACCTCATGGAGCTATTTTGAGAATAAAGTGATTTAAGAACACTCAAACCAGTAACTGGTGAAAAGTGAAAAACTCAGTCGATGTTAGCCCTTAGAAGTTATTGCTGCCTTAATTATTCTGTGTAAAGGGCATAGTAGGGGATAAAACTAGAGAGGATGAATAAGGCTAGGTAAGTGGGCACGGGGAGGTGGTCTTTGGTTGTTAGGTTGAGAAGCTTGTATTATTTTCAGTAAACCATCTAACCAGATGGATTCAGGATCAGTTGTATTTGATAGGGCCTGTTGATAATAGGGATAACAGTTAGGTTGATCACAATAGCCTGGGTGAAAAAGTAATAGAGATAATTGGTGGAATATGGAATTGGTAGAGATCGCATCAAAGATGATTCGAGAGTTTTGAACCTTTCTGGTTAGGAGCATTATGTTAATCAGAAATGGAAATCAGAATGGAGATGAACTAGTTTTTTGTTTAAGAATATAAATGATTCAGTTTTAGATTTAAAACTTTAGGCTGCCTTTAGGGTACTAATGAATAAGCCAGTGCCTGGCATACTTTTATTTGGGAGAAAGTTAGGACAAAAGATGAAGATTTGGGAGTAATTTTCATTGTAAGTGTATTTGGAGTCTTAGAGGAGTGGATGCTGTATAATGTGTAACAGTGAAAAGACAAATAATAGATTCTTGAAGAATGTGCGTTCATAATTGATTCCATTGTTTTACTGTCTCTAGTAGCATTACTGTCTAGGATTTCTAAAGTTTTCTTTAAAAATAAATGCTGTAATAAAACTAATATTATAGTAAGGACAGGGATCTTTCTTAGCTTCAGATGTGATCTTTGTGAAGAAGGCATTATGTCTCAGGTTTTACTGTAGAACCTGGTGATAACTACTCACATTTTACTAGTGGAAATAATAGAATAACATAAGCCTGCAAGGTGTTTTTAGATATCTCTGGTCTAGATATCCTGTTTTAGGCAAGCAAAATGCTATTATTGCATTTTTACAAATGAGATAGATAAAGCCCACTTTGAACTTGCTTAAAATAATTACGTTAGTAGAGGCAAAGAGGGACTAAATACGTTGCTCCTTTGCCGTTACTAATGCTAGCTTCATTTACATCAGGTTTTCTCAGCCTTGGCACCATTGACATTTTGGGCTAGAATTCTTTGTTGTGGGCAGCTGCCCTGTGCTTTGTAGGATGTTTAGTAGCATATCTAGCCTTTAACCACTAGATGGCAGTAGCACCCCCTCCCCACCTCTTGTTCAACCAAAAATGTCTCCACGCATTGCCAAATATCCCTTGGAGGCAAAATCTCCCCTAGTTGAGAACCAGTGCTTTACACCACAAATATATATCATGTATACCTCCAGTTAGCTTCCTGTCCACCTTAGTTTTACAGACTTCTCTTTGGCATATGGCCATCTTCTACCTCTAAGCCAGGTTCTGTTCTCATCTGGTCAACACTTTCTTAAGCATCTTATTTTGCTGCCTGACGTTTACATTTATTATGTTTTTGACTTTACAATGGCAATGGATATCTTGGGTTATATTGGTAATTACGTTTACACCTAACATATCCCCAGTTTTTTTTTGACAGCTCACCTCATACAATCAGATTTATTTCTATAAACTAAGTATTGTATTTATCAGTTAACTATAGCTCTGATAATTATTTTAACCTAGATACATGCTGGTAAATTGAATTATATTACTCTGACTATACACGAGAACATGTAGAATGGTGTTTTTATATCCTTGTTTATAGTTCAGCAAGATTCTGTATTTCAAGTTTGATAAATCATAAATATTTATTTCTAAAAGGCTTATTCAGTTTCTGTATTTGTAATATATTTGCTCTTATTATTTTGGGGATCATGAAAAAGGGATTATTTGGTAGTGATTTATATAATCTTTCATAAATATTGTTAGCTTATTTCATAATCTCAGATATTTCATTTTTAAATTAAGTGTACCTGAGACAGATATTTTTGTAGTAAGTTTTGAAATTCTGTATTTTTAATTATTTTATTAAAGTATTTGAGCATTTTACTAGGTGTTTTGTAGGCACAAAATTGATGTGATTTTTTCTGAAGTAGAATTACATTCTAATGGGTATTTCAATATATTTTACTCATAGAATCTGTGTCATTGTTGAATCTACATTCAATAACTGGGAGCTACAGTATTCTTAAAATACCATTTTCTAGATTAATTAATTAATTTATTTATTTGAGACAGAGTCTCACCCTATTGCCCAGGCTGGCGTGCAGTGGTGTGATCTTGACTCACTGCAACCTCTGCCTTTCAGGTTCAAGCAATTTTCCTGCCTTGGCCCCCCCAGGTGGCTGGGACTACAAACATGCACCACCATGCCTAGCTAATTTTTGCATTTTTAGTAGAGATGGTGTTTCATCATGTTGGCCAGGCTGGTCTTGAACTCCTGACCTCAGGTGATCTGCCCGCCTTGGCTTCTCAAAGTGCTGGGATTACAGACGTGAGCCACTGCACCTGGCCCCATTTTCTAAAATTTTATAATCATTAATTTTCATAAAGGTGCTTTGAAATTCCTAATAATATCAAGTCTAGTATTCCAAATTAATATGAATGATTTGATGTGCAATGAGATGAGGAGTTACTTAAGTTTCTGAATTATTGCTGTGTAAAAACAGAAGAGTTGATACATGTTGTTTTCTTATTAGACAAAATTGAGTCTTGATTTCCAGGCAAGAGAATGTGAATGATATTTAATATCTGTTATATAAATAAAATTACATATTAAAGCTTTTTAGAATTTATCATTAGGTACCTATTAGGAGATATTTTAAAACTATACCATCATTCAACTTTTCTAGATTTAATAACTTAGATTGATATTGGTTTCTAAGTGTTCTTGTAGTCACTTACTATAAACAAGTAGGAAACGGAACTAAAGGATGATTTGCCTGTAAGTATGAAATTTCCTTGGCAGAGGTTGCAAATGCGGTGGGATGTGCATAGTGTGTTTCAAGCTACACAAACTTACTCTTTTTCTTGGGCCTATTCTCTCTTGCTGACACTCCTTTCTCCCCTTACTTTTTTTGACCCTTTACTACTGTAATGAGCCACTGTTACTTAAAGGCCTGTGACTTTTCTGTCAAATAAGCTTTACTAGGAAAATGACTATATTTTATCAGATTCTCTTCACTAATGGGTTGACAATGGGAAAATGTTGCAGTTTCAACATTCCAAAAAAACTTTCTAAAGAGATTTATTTGTGATTATCCTGAAGCATGTATGTTACCTAAATAAATCTCTCAGGGCAAATATATGGAAGAAAATTTCCACTGAAAAATTATATATTTGATTTTATACTTACTCATGCTTCAATACAAAACTTGAGGGAAAATAATGTGCATTATTTTCTTACACGTGGCACAGTTAAAAGGTGTTTCCTATCAATTCCAATGATTTTTTCTTTCTTAGCAAAACTTAAATTATATTGAATCGTCATTGTATGGACTTCCGTTTGAAGTAAGCAATCCTGTGATTATGATTTTTGCAGTTTTAAATAATTTATAAAAATCTGTTTGAGCTGGGTGCAATGGATTGCACCCTTCGTCTCAGCTACTCAGGAGGCTGTGGTGGGAGAATTGCTTAAACTCAGGAGTTCAAGGCTGCAGTGCTGTGACTGCACCTGTGAATAGCCACTGCATTCTAGCTTGGGCAAGATAGCAAGACTCCATATCTAATTTTAAAAATTAAATTAAAAATTTGTTAGAATGCAATTTGACTTGGATAATTTAAAAATACTAGTATTGGACACTTAGCAATTTTTCCTTCCTAAGTATTTTTCTTATAATATGGCCCCACCCTCCATAATGCACACACTGAATTGGGAGACTTGCCTCTCCTTTAGCACATCCTATATTTCTCTACTCCTGTTTTTTTGCCCATATTTACTTCATGCTGCAAATCTGCATGAGTGAATATTACCCATCCTTCAAGGCTTACAATGTTCATTCCTCTATAATCAATTTTAAGACACTCAGGTAATACCTTTTCTTTTTTTACTTTGTACTCAGAATACATTTAAAATCCCCAAGTGAGATTTATCCCTGGGTTACAAGGTTGGTATAAACATATGCAGATCAATCAATATGATATACCACAGTAACAGAATAAAAGCTAAAACCACATGATCATCTCCACAGATTCATACAAAGCATTTGGCAAAGTTCAACATCTTTTGGGACAAAAACTTCCAATAAAATAGGTATAGAAGAAAATTTTCTCAACACAAAGGCCATTTATGAAAAGGCCACAGCTAGCATCACAATTAATGGGGAAGAACTAAAAGCTTTTCCTGTAAAATCCGGTACAAGGCAAGGATTCCCCATCTTGGTGCTTCTATTCAACATAATACTGGAGCTACTAGTAAGAGCAATCAGACAAGAAAAAGAAACAACAGGCATCTAAAATGGAAAACAAGTAGTAGAATTATCTCTGTTTGCAGATGACATGATCCTATATGTAGAAAAAGACTGTTACATCAAAAAAACCTGTTAATTCAATAAAGTTGTGGGATGCAAAGTTAACATACAGAAATCAGTTACATTTCTTTACACCAATCGATAACAGCCTATCTGAAAAGAGAATGAAGAAAACAATCTCATTTACAATAGCATCAAAAAGAATAAAATACCTAGGAATAAATTTAACCAAGATGGAAGAAATTGAAGATGATACACATAAATAGAAAGATATTCCATGTTAATGAATTGGAAGATTTACATTGTTAAGATGTCCATACTACCCAAAGTGATACACAGATTTGGTGCAATCCCTATCCAAATACCAATGACATTTTTTACAGAACTAGAGAAAAACAATTCTAAAATTTGTAGGGGACTAAAAACCCTGAAAAAGCCAAAGCAATTTTGAGAAAGAAGAACAAAGTTGGAAGCATCACACTTCCTGGTTTCAAGTTATATTACTAAGCTCCAGTAATTAAAATGGTGTAGTACTGAAATAGAAACATACACATAGACCAGTGGACCAGAATAGAGGGCCCAGAAATAAACCCAAGCATGTATGTTCAAATTTTTGACATGGGCACCAAGAATACACAATGGGGAGAAGATAATCTTTTCAGTAAATGATGTTGGGGAAGCTTGAATATCCATATACAAAAGAATGAAATTGGACCCTTATACCATACACAAAAATCCACTTAAAATAGATCAAATGCCTAACTGTAACACTTGAAACTGTAAAACTCCTAGAAGAAAACATAGTGGAAAAGCTCCTTGATGTTGGTCTTGGCAATGATCTTTTTGATGTTACATCAAAAGCTCAGCCAACAACAGCAATAATACACAACTGGGACTACATGAAACTAAAAAGCTTCTGCACAACAGGAAACAATCAACAAAATGAAAAGGCAGATTGGGAGAAAATATTTGCAAAGCACATATCTGATAAGGGGATATCTATAATATTAAAGGAATTCACAACTCAGTAGCAAAAAACAAAACAAAAACAAATAATCCAAGGACTTGAATAGACTTTTTTTTTTTTTTTTCCAAAGAAGCCATGAAAGTGGTCAACAGGTGGCTGGGCATGGTGGCTCATGCCTGTAATCTCAACACTTTGGGAGGCCAAGGTGGGTAGATCACCTGAGGTCAGGAGTTTGAGACCAGCCTGAACAACATGGAGAAACCCCATCTCTACTAAAAAAAAGAAGAAAAAAAAATGCAAAATTAGCTGGGCCTGCTGGCACATGCCTGTAATCTCAGCTACTTGGGAGGCTGAGGCAGGAGAATCACTTGAACCTGGGAGGCGGAGGTTGCGGTGAGCTGAGATTGCGCCACTGCACTCCAGCCTGGGCAACGAGAGGGAAACTCCGTCTCAAAAAAAAAAAAAAAGGTCAAAAGGTGTATGAAAAGGTGCTCAACATCACCAGTCACAGAGAAATGAAAATTAAAACGTCATTGAGATATTACCTCATGCATATTAAGATGGCTATTATCGAAAATACAAGATAACATACAAAATAGTTGGTGAAGGTGTGGAGAGTAAGGGTGTCCCACTGTTGGTAGGAATGTAAATTGGTACAACCATTATGGAAAACAGTATGGAGGCTCCTCAAACGATTAAAAACAAAACTAATATATGACTCAGCAGTTCCTCTGAGTATATACCAAAAGAAATGAAATTAGTACCTCATAGAGAAATGTATGCCCCCATGTTCATTACAGCATTATTTCCAACAGCCTGCATATGGAAACCACCTAAATGTCCTTCAGTGGGTCAATGAATTAAGAAATTATGGTATATTTATGCAACAGAATATTATTCAGGCTTAGAAAAAAAGATCCTGTCATTTATAACAACATGGATGGAGCTGGAGGGCATTGTACTAAGCAAGATCAGCCAGACACAGAAAGAGAAATGGTGTGTGATTTCACTTACATGTGGAATCTCAAAAAGTTGAGTACACAGAAACAGAATGCAAAAAACACCTATTATGAAGCTACTTGGTTAATAAGCTCTTTTAAATGGGGGAGAAACAAACCCAGTTGGTAACTCATTAATAACAACTTTTGATTATAGGTGATAAACTAATTCTGTACCTCCTTATTATAATTGAAACAGATATAAATTACTCTGTCAGTTCTAACTGTACCGTCTTCTGTGGTTAGAAATATAAAAAAATTAGCAAGCTCAGGTCAGAGGGAGAGCATGCTTTTTATCCCCCCTCTCAGTTGTGGGTATTCAAAGGGATTTGTTTTGTTGAAACTAGAAGCTACTGTTCAGGACTAGGAAGAAGGTTATCAGTGCTGAGGATGGGGGAGTTGGGGAGATGTAGGTTAAAGAGCACAAATTTGCAGTTACGTAGGCTGAATAAATCTGGAGGTCTAATGTACAGCACAATGACTGTACTTAATAATATTGTTTTATATACTGGAAGTTTGCCAAGAGAGTAGATTTCAGATGTTCTTGACACACATGTACACACATACAAGGTAACTGTGAGGAGATGGATAATGTTAATTTGCTTTACCATAGTAATCATTTCACTGTGTATATCAAACATTGTGTTATAATGTTATATACTTTACATATCAAAAAATTTCAATTAATTTTTCATTCTGTTGAGTAAATGCATTCCAATTAGGATACCTATAAAGTGAATATACAAATATATTGATTAGTGTGATTTATTTATATTTACATATTATATACATTAGGAAGTTATAATGCTTAAGAACACAATTATTTACAAAGCTTTTGTTTATTAAAATAATTTTTATAATCTCTAATTACATGGACAGTGTTGTACAACCACCTCCACTGTCTATTTCCAAAACCTTTTCATCATCCCAAACAGAAATCATTTAACCACTAAGCAGTAACTTCCATTTTCTTCCATACTGTAGCCCTGGGTGACCTCTAATCTACTTTCGGTCACCATGATTTTTTTCTATTTTAAATATTTCATGTAAGTGGAATCATACAATATTTTCCTTTTGTGTCTGGCTTATTTCGCTTAGCATAATGCTTTTGAGGTTCATCCGTTTGGCAGCACGTATCAAAACTTCATTCCTTTTTATATTTGGATAATATATGTATATACAACCTTTTGTTTATCTACTCACCTGTTGATGGAGACTTGTATTGTCTTTACCTTTTAATTTTTGTGAAGAATGCTTCAATGAACATTGACATACAAGTGTCTGTTTGAGTAGCTGTTTTCAGGTTTTTGGAGTGTGTACCTAGAAATGGACCTTCCGGGTCATGTGGTAATTCTGTGTTTGGCTTTTTGAGGTACTGTTAACCTTTTATCTATAGTGGCTGCACCATTTCACATTTCTATCAGCAATGTGCATGTTCTGATTTATCCACATTCTCACCAACACTTGTTAGTTTCTGTGTTTTTTTTTCTAAATTATAGTCACCCTAGTTAGTATGAAGTGGTATCTCCATTTGATTTTGATTGCATTTGTTTAATGATTAATGATAGTGAACATCTTTTCATGTGCTTATTGGCCATTTGTATATCTTCCTTGGAGAAATGTTTATTCAAGTCTTTTGACTTTTAAATTTGGGTTTTTTTGTTGTTAAGTTGTATCCATTTTAACAATATATTCTGGATATAAATAGATACATATCCAGGTTTATATCAGATGTATAATTTGCAAACATTTTCTCCCATTCTGTAGGTTGTCTTTTCACTTTCTTGATAATGTTCTGTCATGCACAAAGGTTTTTAATTTTGATTAAGCCCAAACTATGTAGTTTTTCTTTTGTTGCTTATGCTTTTGGTGTCAAAACTAAAAATCTACTGCCAAATCTAAGATCGCAGAGCCTTATGTTTTCTTCTAAGACTTCTGTGGTTTTACATGTTACAGGTTGTTTATTCATTTTTTGTTAATCTTTGTATATGGTATGAGGTAGGCATTCAATTTCATAGTTTTACATGTGGAAAACCAGCTGTCCCACCTCTCTTTCTTAAAGAGAGTATTCTTTCCCTCATTGAATGGGCTTGGCATCCTTGTGGAAAAGAAATCAATTTGCTATAGATTTATGACTTTATTTATGTACTCTTAATTCTATTCTGTTGGTGTTTTTGTCTATCTTTATGCTAGTACCACCTGTTTTGATTACTGTAGCTTTGTAGTAAGTTTTGAAAAGTAAAAAGTGTGACTCTTTCAATTCTTTTCTTTTTTCAAGATTTTTTTTTTTTTACCAATAATTTTTTATTTATTTATTATTATTATACTTTAAGTTTTAGGGTACATGTGCACAATGTGCAGGTTAGTTACATATGTATACATGTGCCATGCTGGTGCGCTGCACCCACTAACTCGTCATCTAGCATTAGGTATATCTCCCGATGCTATCCCTCCCCCCTCCCCCCACCCCACAACAGTCCCCAGAGTGTGATGTTCCCCTTCCTGTGTCCATGTGTTCTCATTGTTCAATTCCCACCTATGAGTGAGAATATGCGGTGTTTGTTTTTTTGTTCTTGCGATAGTTTACTGAGAATGATGATTTCCAATTTCATCCATGTCCCTACAAAGGGCATGAACTCATCATTTTTTATGGCTGCATAGTATTCCATGGTGTATATGTGCCACATTTTCTTAATCCAGTCTATCATTGTTGGACATTTGGGTTGGTTCCAAGTCTTTGCTATTGTGAATAATGCCGCAATAAACATACGTGTGCATGTGTCTTTATAGCAGCATGATTTATAGTCCTTTGGGTATATACCCAGTAATGGGATGGCTGGGTCAAATGGTATTTCTAGTTCTAGATCCCTGAAGAATCACCACACTGACTTCCACAATGGTTGAACTAGTTTACAGTCCCACCAACAGTGTAAAAGTGTTCCTATTTTTCCACATCCTCTCCAGCACCTGTTGTTTCCTGACTTTTTAATGATTGCCATTCTAACTGGTGTGAGATGATATCTCATTGTGGTTTTGATTTGCATTTCTCTGATGGCCAGTGATGGTGAGCATTTTTTCATGTGTTTTTTGGCTGCATAAATATCTTCTTTTGAGAAGTGTCTGTTCATGTCCTTCGGCCACTTTTTGATGGGGTCTTTTTTTTTCTTGTAAATTTGTTTGAGTTCATTGTAGATTCTGGATATTAGCCCTTTGTCAGATGAATAGGTTGCGAAAATTTTCTCCCATTTTGTAGGTTGCCTGTTCACTCTGATGGTAGTTTCTTTTGCTGTGCAGAAGCTCTTTAGTTTAATTAGATCCCATTTGTTTGACTCTTTAGGTCTGTTGAAATTTTACTTGAATTTGAAGAGCACATTTTCATTTCTGTGGAAAACGCTGTTGGAATTTTCTTAGAGATTGCACTGAATCTGTAGATTGTTCTGGGAGTATTGACATCTTAACACATTGAGTCTTCCTATCCATGAACATATGATGTCTTTCCATCTTTTTTTTTTTTTAAAGAAATCAGTGTTCAGTATACAGATGATTCACCTTGGTTAAATTAATTCCTACATATTTTGTTCCTCTAGATGCTATTGCACATTTTTTTTTTTTGAGACAGAGTTTCACTCTGTTGCTCAGGCTGGAGTGCAGTGGTATGATCATGGCTCACTATAGCCTTGACCTCCCAGGCTCAAGCAATCCTCCCACCTCAGTCTCCTAAGGAGCCGGGACTACAGGCATGTGCCACTATATTTGGCTAATTATTAAATTTTTTTGTAGAGATAAGGTCTTGCTTTCTTGCCCAGGCTGATCTCGAACTCCTGGGCTCAAGCTGTCCTCACACCTCTACCTCCCAAAGTGCTGGAATTACAGGCGTGAGCCACCGTGCCTAACCCTACTGTAAGTTTTTAAAAATGTCCTTTCCTTTTTTTTCTTTTGATTTTTATTGCTGGTGTATAGAAGCAAAACTGAATTTTTGCGTTGATAATTTCACCAAAAATAGTAAATTATTAGGAATACATTTAACAAAAGCCATGCAAGATCTCTATACTGAATACTACAGAACATTGTTAAGATTCATTTAAGGATGAGTAAATGGAGAGATTTACAGTGTTTATGAATCAGAAAATTCAATTTGGTTAAGATGTCATTTCTTCCCTAACCTATTGATTGATTCAGTGTAATCCTCATTAAAATCTCAGCAGGCTTATTTTTCATAGAAATTGGCAAGCTGATTTTAAAATGTATGTGGAAATGTAAATGCTACATTAGCTAAAAGTGTTTTGAAAAAGGAGAATAAAAGTCTGAGGACTTACACAGCCTGTTTTCAAAATGTATAAAGTTATAGTAATTGAGACTATTCTATTAGCAGGAAGAAAGACATATATGTTAATGCAACAGATTAGTGAGAAAAGAAATTGTGTGTGTGTGTGTGTGTGTATATATATATATATATATATATATATATATATATACACACACACACATACATACATACAGTCCTGTGCTTCATACCATAGAAATTAATAAGCTGAAGTAGTTTGTATACCTAAAAATAACAGCTGAAACCATAAAACTTGTCTAAGAAAACATAGTAGAAAATTGTAATGACTTTAGGAAAATATTCCTTAAATAGGTCACAAAAAGCACAAATTATATAATTTTTAAATGGATAATTTTGACATTACTAAAATAAAGAACTTTGGTCTTCAAAAGAAATTATTTAGAAAATGAAAAAGCCAAAGACTTGTAGAAAATATTTGTAATACATATATCCAACCAAGACTATTTATTTACAATATGTAAGTAACTTCTTACAAGGCAGTAATGAGTCAAACAGCTCAGTGCAAACAAGAGTAAAAGATTTGAACAGACACTTCACCAAAGAAGGTATACAGATAGCAATAAACAAAAGAAAAGATCTTCACCATCTTTGTGTCATTAGAGAAATGCCAATTAAAATGATGAGACACACACTTTAGAAAGGCTAAATTAAGAAGACTGACAATGCCTAGTCCAAGGCGGATATGGAGCAAATGGACTTCTCATTCATTTCTGGTAGGAATAGAAAATGTTACAGTTTGACAGTTCTTACAAAGCTAAACATGCATTTGCCATGTGATACAGTCATTCCACTCTCCTAGTTATTTACCCAAGAGTTAGGAAAACATGTCAATACAAATGTTCAGAGCAGCATCATTCATGATAGCCAAAAACTGGAAACAACCCAGATATCCATCACCTTGTAAATGTGTAAACAATTTGTGGTATATACATACAATGGAATCCTAGTCAGCAATGAAAAGGAACATACTACTAGTATATGCACCAGGATAGATTCATCTCAAAAATCTTACATAAAGTGTTTCTTTATTTTTTATTTTTAAAGTATTTCTTATGTAGCTAGAAAAGGTACAACTGTAGTCGTAGAAAGCAGATCACTGTTGCCAGAATGCTGACGGAGGGAATTGACTGCAAATGGTAGCAAGAAATTTTTTCACATCCTTGAAATGTTCAATATCATGATTTTGGTCATGGTTACGTAACTGTATATATTTGTCAAGATTTGTTGGTTAATTTTATTCATTATAAATTATCCCTCCATAAAGCTGAACAAGAAAAAAAAGCATTTTTAAAAATGAAGCTTCTTTTAAGTCATAGGAAGGTTGGATAGAATCACTGGTTTTATTCTTTTTCTGGACTTTCACAAACAAGGGTCTACATGTCTTTGGTAGGAAAAGAAGAAAGGTCATCAATAAGAAGGTAGATATCTAGCCTGACTTGTTGGTTGAAGATTAAAATTATGTTTAGAAAAGAAGTAATTTTGCTTAATAAAAAGTTACATTAGGTTTAATACATTGAATGTTTAATTTTTAACTTCTTAGTAACGATTGTCATCATTTTAATTGGCTTTAGAAATACAAACCTGGTCGATGTGATGATATTTTGAAATGGAAGCCTCCCAGTCTGAATTCTGTGGATTTTCGTCTAAAAATAACAAGAATGGGAGGAGAAGGGTAAGTATGCACTTTTGTACTTTTTGCATGAAATAATACTGTTTGTGTAAGGCTTCACCTTTTACAGGGTATTTCATATATACTTTACAATACTTTAAAGAAAGAAACTAAAATACTTTATTTTACAAGATATTTTACATATATACTTATACAACAATTTCGTTTTCAGAGATTACTCCTTTGACCTGTGTCAGCTAACATATAGCAGTTTCCTTTAAAGTTTACTGATCTTTGTTTTAAAATCATTTTCATTAATATAATTATATTAATAACAACAATATAAAAGGTAATAATAATATTAAAAAACGAATTTTGGCTGGGCGTGGTGGCTCATGCCTGTAATCCTAGCACTTTGGGAGGCCAAGATAGGCAGATTGCTTGAGCACAGGAGTTTGAGAGTAGCCTGGGCAACATGACGAAACCCCCCTCTACCAAAAATAGAAAAATTAGTTGGGCTTGTTGGCACATACCTGTGGTCCCAGCTACTCGGGAGGCTGAGGTGGGAGGATTGTTTGAGCCTGGGAGGCAGAGGTAGCAGTGAGCTGAGACTGCACCCTGCTGCACTCCAGCCTGGGTGACAGAGTGAGACCACTTCCCCCGCCGCACACCTCCCCCCAAAGAAAAGAACTTTGTTAAATTGTAAAGTGAAAATTTTACTAAATTTTGAGATTTTACTGAAAAATAATTCTCTTATATGAATTATAGATCTAGATATAAGATATGATCATTGGTATTATAATTAAGCATATCGAAATAAGTCTTTTTTACTTTGAAGGAAATTACTTCATGTTTGCATTTGCAGAGCAAATATTTTCTATACTTTTGTAGGGTAAGTTAACTGTTGACTTTCATTAAGATTTTTTATAATGTCTATTAAGTGTTAATTTTTAAATTTATTGGTTAATCTTCCTTTTATGACTTTTTGGTTGCTATCTTAGAATAAAAGATGCTTTAGCATGAATATTTTCAACATTTTTCCAAAGCCTTGTTTTTATTTCACTTTTGTTCTATAACTTTTTAAGTATCTTGGCTAAGTAAATACATTACAACAAAATAAGAAATCCTTAATCAAGGAAATCAGAAAGAGAAAGTAAATAAGATAATACTAGCAAAGAGATTAAAGCTTACCAGTGCATCCTGTGAAATTTTTACTTATCAAAGGTAAAGCACAGATAGCATTTTTGCTAGCTGATGGAACAGGGGATATATGGAGTCCAGACTCCAAAAGATTAAAATATATTAAGAAACTATGCATTATCAAAGAAAGGAAACTGTGCATTGTGGTGAATCTTAAGTGAAAAGGTGGGTTTAATAAAGCATGTGGGTATTCGTTTTCAAACAACAGGGTATTTAACATTTTATTTGAGGCTGGGTGCAGTGGCTCATGCCTGTAATTCCAGCACTTTGGGAGGCCAAGGTGGGAGGATCACTTGAGGCCAGGAATTTGAGACCAGTCTGGGCAAAATAAGGAGGCCCTGTTTCTAAAACAAACAAAAATTAGCCGGGTATGGTGGTGCATGCCTGTGGTTCCAGCTACTTGGGAGGCTGAGGTGGCAGGATTGCTTGAGCCCAGAGCAAGTCTCTGTCTCAAAAAAAAAAGAAAGAAAAAGAAACACACACACACACACACACACTATCCCTAAATGTTTGTGGCTTAATTTACAATTGGGACTTAATGGCAAAAAGTTGTTAGAACAATTATCTGGAACCCCCAAGAATATATTGAGCTCTATATGAGTCTGATTATAATCCAAGGATAGATAAATTTGAGGCTATAGGAATAGCTGGAATACACACACAGGAATGACTTTCAGGATAGTTTCAAAAATGTCTTTCTCTTATCTAAACATTGGATAAATATTGATATGTTGAACATTCAAGATTAGTCTTCCTGACAAAGTGCCCAGTGTACAGATTTTCTCAGTTGCCAGTCAAATGTGGGATTGTTTATCACTAATCATGCAAGTTGGGTGTAGGTTTGATATGTTCTTCTGGAAGTGCCTTACAGAAGACCATCTCACTATTAGAAAAATTGAGGCTAAGAAACTAATTCTAGTGGGGCTACGCTGTTTTTTTTTTTTTTTTTTTTTTTTTTGACACAAGTGAATATAGTTCTTCGAAAAATAAGACTTCAAAGATGAAGTAAAATTTTGTTAAACTGCTTCATTACTAAATCTTCTATTTTTCTTAATGCTATATTTGTATTTGGTTAAAGAGTATAGACTCTCGGATTGTTTCATTGGGTTTTTTAAAAACAACTTACTTTTGCCTTTTACAGTCAGTTCTTAGTGGCACTTAAAGGCTTCCTGAGGCTAAACATAGAATACTCATTTCTCTAGTAGTAAAAAATGTTATTTTTTCTTGCAGTTTCCTATTGTAATTAAACATAGCATGATGTAATTCAGTTTAGTAGTTTGTCATCCTAGTTTTGCCTTTATTCATAGTACGTTTTAAATATATTTTGTTCTTTTAAAATTTTACCTATTTAATGTCTTCTTCCTAAAAAATGGAATTACTTTTGAGTCTAGTGCATCTTTAAAACTCATCCAAATGTTTCTCTAAGGTGATTTTCAGATAGGAATATGCAATTTACATCAGTGTATGTACATTATTTGTGTAATGGGAGTCAATTTTCAAAAATAGAATATTTAATATGAAATATAACATGGTAACTATTACATAAAACATATTCGGTTAGCCAGAGTAATATGCTTTTTCTAAATGTAAAGAATGTTGTGCATTATAGCAGTCTTTACTGAATAAATGAGTTTATATCTAATGCTTAGCATTAACTCAGTATTTTAGAGAACACTGTAAGAAATATGTCTATACTAGTTCGAAAGGGGAGTAGCTATGTCTCTGAATCATTAAGCATGCACTAGTGAAGTGGGACTAAGCTGTTAAAACACCATGAGAGAAGCTCATATCTTTGATTGTACTTCCAAATATTTCTACAAAGCCTAAAATGGAATAGAATATCTTGAAGGTATAATATAAATAATAGTCTTTGAAAATGACTGCAGTAGTTTTCTAAGAAATGAAGACTTAGGCATTCTAGGTATGTTTTTGAGTTTGACTTTAATGAGGTGCTAATAGTATAGATTTCTGTTAGATTGAAATTTAATACAAATAGAAAAATCTGTTCTATGTGTTGAGTGCCCTGTTGATGGCAATTAAAATCCATACTTTGCTCTTCTTATCTCCTATTATCATTTCTGAAAATTTGAGATATATTAACATTGATTTATCATGGCCTAATATAACTTTTGTATATCTTAGCAATTTATATTGTGTTGAGTTTTATACACAATATAGATTTTCATCTGAGAGCTATTTGTTGTTTTAAAAACATGATGGCTTTATATTAACTAACTTGTGACCTAAAACCATGGTCATTGTCAAAAGCTAGAATTACAAAAGTAGTCTGTACTCTGGAAATTGCAAACTCTTGAGTACAATGTCAGTGATATATAGTGATTGGTATAAACTTATTATTTGTATAGAATAGTATTTTAGAGTTCAGGTTTTAAAGCTGGACTGCCTAGGTTATCTCCTTACTGTCTGTGTGATTGAGCACATTACTTTTTTCTGTGTGTCAAGTTCTTCATCAATAAAATAAGTTGGCCTCATAAGACGTCTGTAAGGATTAAATAAGCTAATGTATGTAAAATGTTTAGAACAGAACCTGGTACATGGTAAACGTTTAAATATTTGCCATTATTTTTATTGTTTTAATCAAAACAAATTTAAAAGTGCATCTTCCCTTCTTGCTGCCTCTGCAATACTACCTGTTACTTGCTGCACTAAGTCCAACTTTCTGTGTGAATCATTTCCTATTTGATTCCAATCTCTGTTAATTTTCTCTTTTAAAATGCATATATCTTTAGCTTTTTTGTGTAATTTGTCATAACTGTTAAACACCTGGAGAGCAAGAGCACAGCAAAGTCAGTAACTTTTCATTATAGAGGTTTTTGTAACAAGTCTCTTAAAATAACCTTGACAGTATATATACTGGTATATATAGCATATAGTGGTTAAGAACATAGGTTATTGGCCAAGTTTGCCCAGAACCAAATCCAAGTTCCACTACTTATTTGCTGTGTGGTCTTGTTAACTTAACCTACCTAACCTTCCTCATCTGTAAAATGTCCACAGGAATAATGTTTATTTTGTAGATTTGTTGTGCTGAAGATTTATGTATACTCAATATTTAATTGCATGGGTAAACAAAGTAAATATAAGTCTGCCTTTATAGAATTTACAAGCTAATGGGCTAAGATGAAAAAATAATACTACTTTATCAGGTTTTGTGGGGATTAAATAAATGATGCATGTAAATTCAGCATAAAACTCAATAAATAAATGTTTGCTTTAAAAAATGGTTATAATTATTAATTGAACCTCAGCAGAATGTATGGTTAAGTCATGGATTAAAAACATAACTCTGTATTATCAAGTGGAAAAAAAGTGCCCTGAATGAAGAAGCCTCACTTTGCTGTGAAAATATAAAAATTTTTGTCCTTCTAATAAAAAATATACATTCTAAAACAAGAATGAAATGTAATTTTTTTTTTTTTTTTTTGAGATGGAGTCTCACTCTGTCTCCCAGGCTGGAGTGCAGTGGTGGGATCTCAGCTCACTGCAAGCTCTGCCTCCTGGGTTCAGGCCATTCTCCTGCCTCAGCCTCCCTAGTAGCTTTGACTACAGGCGCCTGCCACCATGCCCGGCTAATTTTTTGTATTTTTAGTAGAGACGGGGTTTCACCGTGTTAGCCAGGATGGTCTCGATCTCCTGACCTGATGATCCACCTGCCTTGGCCTCCCAAAGTGCTGGGATTACAGGTGTGAGCCACCGCACCTGGCCCAAAATGTAATTTTTTACCTATCACATTGGAAATAATAACATTGTCCCTTTTGGTTAGAATGTGAGCAAATAGGTACTCTCCTAAACTGTTTGGTAGGAACAGAAGTTGGTACAACTCTTTCAATGGGCATTAAGGTAGTATATGTCCTGAGAAAATATGCTCCAATTTTGTGAAAGGAGAGATGTTGTTTGTCTTCTACATAGTTGTATTCTTAGTACATAGCATGGTGACTTGTTTATAGTAGGCACTCCAGAAATATTCAGTGATGGAATGTATATACAAACAAATAAGAATATGTAAAAGTATGTGTATAATAATTTTATTGAAGCATCATTACAATAGTGAGAAACTGGAAATATTCAATGTCTTTTTCACTGTAAAAGTCTTTTGTAAAATATAGTTGTATACATGTGTCTTCCTGTATGTGTTTCCAGGAAAGTTGCTAATAGTATTCTAAAAATCTCTAATAGTATCTTTTAGAAATTGGTCTAGTCTGTTGAGATACAAGATTTCCTAGAGCTTTGAGGTTGAACTCAGACCTAGCATCTACATTTGTTGTTTGATTTTACATTCACACATAGTTGTGTGATGTTAATAGACATACCAGTTTGGATTTAATTAAAAACAGAAACACAGCAAATATTTTAACAGAATGAATTTAGTTGAAGAATTGTCTGTTACGAAAGAACTGAAGAGATGAAAAAGTCTTGCAGAGGAAGCAAGCACTGCAGGAAGCGTCTACCATGCAGCGAACTGGGGTAATGAAGAAATGAGGGTAGATTATTAAAATTTAGAAGATTGGAGGAGGCCTTATAGGGTTCATAAGAAGCCAGTTGCTGCCCAGCTGTCATTCTTGCCACAAGATCTTGGAGGAAGGATTCAGAGGCTCCAGACAATTGATATACTGGGTTATAAGGCCCAAGTGGCAGAGCAGCTTATACTATAGCATGAACTTGCTGCAGAGCCATCTTTTGTTCTGATTTCAACTTAAAAATGGTAGCCTAACAGGTTCCTTGGTCAATGAGTTGGAGTACTGCTTCAAAATCCACAGTGATTGTTAATCTTTGTAACGTCCTTTTTAGTATCCACTGATAGTGCAAGTAGAGTAACTTGTCTCTGACACCTTGGAGAAGCTATCCTGATAGGCTTCCAACCATTGGACCCCTAGAAATCTTACTTAGGCAATGGGCTCTTAATTTTTGTGGGTTTTATGTCTTCTGTCTTACATGTGTCTTAGCAAGATGTCTAAAGAACTTTATACTTCCTCTTTATCACTCTTAATAAGTACAAAATCATCAGCATTGTTGATCAGTGATTTGTTCTGTGTAGTGTCAGAGTGACCACTGTCTCTGAAAAAAATTAGAAAGACGATAACAAGTGAGAGACAGAAATTGGAGTCCTTACACATGGATGTTGAGATTGTAAGTTGGTGCAGCCAGTGTGGCAAACAGTTACATAGTTCCTCAAAATGTTTAAGATAGACTTACCATGTGACTCAGCAATTCCACTCTCAAGTATATACCCAAGAGAAATGAAAACATATGCCCACACAAAACTTGTACGTAAATCTTCTTATCAGCATTATTCATAATAGCCAAAGGGTGGAAACAACCCCAAATATTTATCAACTGACACATGGATAAATACGCAAACAAAATAACTCTTCCACCAGGCACAGTGCCTCACTCCTGTAGTCCCAGCACTTTGAGATGTCTGAGGTGGGCATAGTGCTTGAGTCCAGGAGTTTGAGACCAGCCTGGGCAACCTGGTGAAACCCCATTTCTAACAAGAAATACAAAAAAAAAAAAAAAAAAAAAAAAAAGCTGGCCATGATGGCACATGCCTGTAGTCCCAGCTACTTGGAGGCTAAGGTGGGAGGAACACCTGAGCCTGGGGAGGTTGGGGCTACAGTGAGCTGTGGTGGGGCCACTGCACTCCAGCCTGAGTGACAGAGTGAGACCCTTCCTTAAAAAAAAGGAAAAAGAAAATACCTTTCATTTAGACGACTGTAGTGGATCCTCTTAAGCAAAGAGACTCTGGATATTATGCCAGCTGGATTTCAATTCAAGCTCTGCCACTCTTTACTCAGGTTCTCTCTCTGTTGCTTGTGTTTCTGTAACTTCATTATGTGGATAATAGTGCCTACCTCGTGTGGGACTTTAATGACATAATACATGTAAGTCCTTTAAACTACTGCATGTTACATAATAAATACTAAATATATATTTACTATTTTTTAAAAAGACCACTGTCTCTGTAGATTCTACTGTGGCAGAGAGCAGAAAAGCAGTATGCTGTGGCTGCAAGATATACTATTGGTCATTCTAGGCAAAGGCAGATGTCTTCTGATAGTACCACAGATTGGTACAGAGAAAAAAGTATTTGCCAACTTGTATATAAGATTTTAGAGGCTACATTGATTGGTTTCGTTAAAGACAGCACATCTGAAATGGCAGCTGCACTTGGTTTAACATGATTAAATTTATGATAATCAAAAATCATTCTAAATCTCTGATGGTGGTACTAATTTTTGTATTTCCCTTGGAGATATGTTACTGCTTTTGGTTTATTTCCCTGGTAGGGAAGGCTGGTTGAAGGGGCTTTTATTTGGCCTTTCCTAGCATAATGACCCTTATTCCGTGGGTCAGACAGCCAATGTGGAAATTCGTTTTCCAAGTATTTCTCTTCCAGTTATACATCCAGTAACTGGAAAATAACCGCAGGTTGTATTTGTGGACATACCGTCACACTTAGATTTAAACTTGAGCCAGTAATCCATTTATCACCTGATTACCCTAAGCTCTCCATTTAACTTACGGACTGCAGTGGCATTTTGGGTTCCTGGCAATTCGTGTCTGTTTAAAGTAAGTGTCTGGTAATCCCCTAGTGGTCTGGGTGTTCTTTCTTTTGGATTATAATTTTTTTATTAGATTTTTCTTTTGAAAGAAAGAACATCCGTACCACTAGGGGGTTACCAGACACTTACTTTAAACAGACACGACCACTAGGGGATTACCCATCGGGGATTACCAGAACAATCACTTTAGCAAATGCTGCTCATCCTTTGAAAAACTGTTGGAAGATTTACAGCAAGGGTCAGCACTTTTTTTCTATGAAAGGCCAGATAGTCAATATTTTAGGGTTTGTTGCCTATGTATCTCAACTACTCAAGTCTACCATTGTGGTGCTAAATCAAAGCTAGACAATATGTGTATGAGTGAGCATGACTGTGTCACAGTGAAACTTTATTTACAAAAACAGGTGTGAGGCCAGATGTGGCCTGTAGACTATAGTTTGCCAACTGTGGATTTACAGTACTGTACATGGTTGTAGTAGTATTGCAATACCTTCTTTAAGGGGATCTGGCCTCCCACTTGTATTGGGAGGCTTAGGTATTTTTGTTGTTGTTTGTTTGTTTTGAGATAGAGACTTACTCTGTTGCCCAGGCTGGAGTGCAGTGGTGCAATCTCAGCTCACTGTACCGTCCACCTCCCGGGTTCAAGCGATTCTCCTGCTTCAGCCTCCAGAGTAGCTGGGATTACAGGTGCCTGCCACCATGCTGGGCTGATTTTTTATAATTTTAATAGGGGTGGGGTTTCACAGTGTTGGCCAGGCTGGTCGCAAACTCCTGACCTCAAGTGATCCACGTGCCTCGGCCTCCCAAAGTGCTGGGATTACAGGTGTGAGCCAACATGCCTGGCCAGAAGGTTCTGGTTTGTTAACCAGGTAAGGTCTGCACATTTAAAACTGAGAAATGCTAGCTTCCTAGCAAGCAGAATGGAATATATAGAATTGACTGCATGGTCTCCTTTACTTCCTATCGGAAAAGTCTTTTTACTCTGCTGACTAGAGTGTATGTGTGTGTGTGTGTGTGTGTGTGTGTGTGTGTGTATTTCTTTTGCTTCAATTCATTAAAAAAAAAAATAGAATGAGCTGGGTTTGGAAGCTGAGGCAGGAGGATTGCTTGAGCCCTAGGAGTTTGAATCCAGCCTGTGCAATACAGCAAGATCTCATCTCTGGGAAAAAAAAAAAAAAATCGTTTTCTCATGCTTATTTGAATTAGTGTTACTCTTTTTGAGAAGGAAATTGTGGTGGTAAAATATTTTTCTGAATGTTGAAGAACTGTTCTTATATAAGGAAGGATTAAGTATGGGGGAAAAAGTCTTACTACTTTGCTGAGCAGCATTTTTCTGTTTTCTACCCTCTGCCTCTTTCACAAAATGAAATGTTTAATTCTTTCATTTATATTTTATTTAAAAATTATTTTAAAGAAATAGACATAAAACACTAATGTAATCACTATTATTATAGTATGCTTAATGACTAAGCTATTTGGTATGTAGCTGGTTGTATTTTTTTATGTATAATATAGCTATTTTTATTATTTAGCAAATGACCCATAGTAACTGCTTTCTTATTTGAAAATATTCTCATCACCCAAACATATTTTAAGACAAATGCTTCGTTGGCTTTCAGTCTTTGAATGGTTACTACTGTTAACATTCTTGATTATGTTTTACTTCCAGTGTGCCTAGGAGAGGCAAGGAGGAGCTGTGACTGAACTCTTTTCAGTTCCTTTGCCTGGTTATCTCTTGGGTATTAGTAACTCTTGTTTCCTCTGTTATTTCATCCTTCCTGCATTCAGCAGAAAATCTTTCCCAGGCCGCTTACCAAAAACCAACATCATAATCAAAGTGTCTACAAGTAACTAGTAGGAGAAAAGGAGCATGTGGCTTTAAAACATCTACTTATGACCTCACTGGAGTCAAATTACTTATTTTTACTTGTTAATTTACTAAATAGAAGTATATATCACCTTTGTTTTATAATTTGATTCTTTGGAATTTAATTTTCATATTCATTTTAACACTATTCTTTACATTAGTACCTTTCGCTTATGTGATTTTTCTCAATTAATATATATTTTCATTAATTGCAATTTCTCTAAGTTACCTTTTATGTTATAAAAAGCTTGTTACCTGGTGGATATTATATAGATTAAATATTAGTTAAATTCCTACTTTGAATCACATTGAAGTTGGTGGGGGGGAAAATGAAGTAACTTAGGAACATAGGATTTGAATGCAGACCCTCATGAGAGATGAGATGGGAAGAACTGCAAACAAATCTTGAACTCCTTTTTTATTAGGTTTGTTTTTTGCTGTAATTATGGTTGTGAAACGCCAAACTACTTTAGAAGTGTTGTAGGATTGAGCAAATGGGTACTGATGTTGGGAGTCAGGGTTCTCAGTGAGGAAGGAGAAAGATACAAATATGAAATGGAGGAAGGCAGTGAAGAACTCTGTGAGATGGATTAGAATTTTTAAAATATTTGAATATATATGTTCACATGTATGTGCATGTATATGAATACATATACATGATTGTGTTTGTGTATGTAATATGTGATACACATAAACTCATTTCCTAGCTCTGTCCACTGACAGGACCTATAAGCAGAGGCACCCTGGTAATAATAAGCATATCCAGCACGAAGATTTTGGTGTCTAACACCATTCCTCACCAAAAAGAACCAGAGATCTTCAGAGAAATGTCTTATTCTAGAGCCGGGTAGGGAGGATGCAGGATAGGCATAGAATACCTTCTTATGCCAGAAAGTAAGAAAGTACATCCCCAACCCAACAAAAACAATGTATGTCGAAAGGATGCAGGAGCCAACTTGAAGGTGCTCCCACTGGCCAGATCTGGGATATAGTGTGGACACCAGAAGGACAGTAATGAATTATGAACTTTGCTAAAAATAGGAATCTATGAGTCCATACTGCCATACTGGTAATAAATGAGCAGAAGAGATGGTTTAGCTTTTAGCAGAATGCTGATTGGTAAATGTTCTGAGTCCTGGATTTGGAAAATTATTTTGCCACCACCATAGTAAAGATCAGCTCTAGTGAGAATAATCAATGGAGTTAATGGGTGAAGCACACCAACATGGCACATGTATACATATGTAACAAACCTGCACATTGTGCACATGTACCCCAGAACTTAAAGTATAATAAAAAAATAAATAAATAAAATACAGCAAAAATAAATAAAAAAGAATAATCAATGGATGCTAAGTCTGGGAGGGAAATTTTTATAAGATATTTTCATGGTTGTAAATGTCTTTCTGTGGATTGCTTATAACTTGCAAGGGCAAAATAATAGACTAGAGAGTTGAGAAATTGGACAACCCCTTACTAGCTTATCAGAGTTAACATCAGCAGTGAGGATAAAATGAACATTATGTACTAGTTCAGTACTATACCTAGCATTCTGACTATGGGTATCTAGCTCTAATCTGATAATGAGGAAGCATTAAACAAATCCCAAATGTGGAACATTCTGTGTTTTTTAAAGGGTCTCTGTATTATTCAAATATGTCAGTTTCATCAAACAAAATCTGAGGAATTTTTACTTAAAATATACATAATTTCAGATGGTCAAAAACTACCTGGAGCAATAGACACCTTTCGACGAAAGTATAATAGCTCTGAGGCTTGCCTTGTGTACTTGACTATCCCCTTCTTGGTTGAGCGTTAGTTCATTTATTCCTTTCTGTGTACCGGGCACTGGAGTGTATTCAGTGATTATTTTCTAAATTGAATTTCTGAATTACAATTATCACAGCAGTTATAAAATTAATTTTGGTAATTTCTTATCAAAAATTGTAATTATTAAGGAACAATTCACAAACACTTTTGCCAAACGTTAATCACTTAAGGGCTTTTTGTTTTTCTCTCTCTTACGAGGAGGGAGCATTGACCTTTTAAAATGAAGCAATATAGAGACAAAGACTATCAAATAAGTAAAAACAATCTGAGATAACTGAATTTGAAGCACAGAAGAAAAAACAGATATGAAATCATTTAAAAATAGTTTTGAAATCTTTTAAATCACTTAAATAACCATGTGTCTGATGTATGGTATACTGAAACTTAAGATAATGCTTATATGACAGATGAAGATTGCCTAAGACTGTTACTTAAACATGTAACAATAGGAGTAAAAGTTGCTTTTTGGAATCTGAGGTTGGAAAATTTCAAAGAGTTTAGAATTAACTTTCAAAAAATTTAGCTACATGGTTGGCCTGTCAAAACTTATAGTGTGACTTCAAATCTTATAGTGTGACTTCAAAATATGTCTTTGTCTTTTCAACCAAATGTATTTTGTTATGTTTTGTTATTTGTTCCTACTTTCATTGAATTTAATCAGAAAATTTAGTCTGTAAAATCTTTTGAAAACATTTTGTTAATCTTGTCTATAACATCATATGTTGTCTTTTCTGGATATTTCTTAGACATAACAACAGTGAAATTATTTTTACTATTTAAAGAATACAACATTTTCTCTTTGATTATGCAATTAAGTATTAAAGTTTATATTAGTAAATTCCTTTACTCTCTTTACTAGCTCTACCCCATATAAGAGATACTTGAAGCCTTACATTATAATTAAGTTTGCTTTGCATATTTAATACCTTTGTATTTAGATACTAGGTTTGATTTCTCCAGATATACAATTGATATTTCTGTCACCCAAATCATGCTTTTTGTTATTAAATCATGTACTTCTTTTTATTGCTTTTAATCCTAAATTCATCCTAGCTTGATACTAATACTACCTGTCCTGCTTGCTTTTCCTTGAATTTGTTGTGGATCTTTTCTCCCATTCATGTATCTCCATCCTTTTTGTTTCACTGTGGTAGGTCATTGCCAAAACTATCATGCTGAGATCCTCTGGTTTTCGGACATAGCAAATACATGATCACATATCCTCAGGGACCAGTAACTGATATACATTTATAGTGTATCAGTGTGTGGTTACGTGTTTGATGACTAGTCCTTTTGTGAAATTAGTTGGTAATGTAGCAGTGTGGCATAGTGGATGTTAGTTGTTAAAACTGAAAAGTGGTTCATTAAAGACAATTTGTTTTTTTGTGATAAAATTGTGTAATTTTTTTAGGGTTTTAGTCTGAGGATACAAGAGTCATAAAAAGCTAATAACCTTCACTCTCCCAACCTGTCCATCCAGCGTTTTCCTTGACCTTCACTCTGGACAGTTTCCCCGACGTTGCTAGCACTTAGCTCCAAGTGAACAAACTAGAGTAAACCCCAAAGCCATGTTTTTTGAGTTTTCCTGATTTGATGCTGTCTTGTTAAAACCTGGAGGTTATCTATTAAGAATGTAATTATAAAGCATAATTTGTATGTAGTCAATATAGTCATTATTTTCAAGCATCAAACTCAATCCTTCATTGGAAAAATTCCTTTACTTTCTAAGTGTGTACTTGAAAATATAGTTGGTTTTATTTAACTCAGTCTGTAGCCTCTTATTTTTAACACAAGAATTTAGTCCATTCAACATTTGTATGCTAAAGTATGTCGCTTTATTCCTTCTACTTTGTTTATTAATTTTACCTCTTTTTTGTTTGCTTGAGATGGAGTCTCACTCTGTCACCCAGGCTGGCATGCAGTGGCATGATCTTGGCTCACTGCAACCTCCGCCGCCCTGGTTCAAGTGATTCTCCTGCCTCAGTCTCCCGAGTAGCTGGGATTACAGGCGCGCACCGTCACGCCTGGCTGATTTTTGTATTTTTAGTAGAGATGGGGTTTCACCGTGTTGGCCAGGCTGGTCTTGAACTCCTGATCTTGTGTTCCCCCTGCCTCGGCCTCCTAAAGTGCTGGGATTACAGACATGAGCCACCAAGCCCGGCCTAATTTTACCTCTTTAACTTTCCTTTTTAAAAAATTGTTTCTGTGTGATAATTGGTATTAGTTGCATTTTCCTCTTTGTTAACCTGAACTGTCTATTAACTTTTCATTATATTATTGGTTACCTTTCCTTTCCTTATATTCATAATCAGATATATTTCTCTGTTATTACTTGAAAATAAAGTACCAACTCTCCCCCACCAAGATGTTCTTTTTTTTTTTTTTTTTTTTTTTTTGAGACGGAGTCTCACTCTGTTGGCCAGGCTGGAGTGCAGTGGTGTAATCTTGGCTCACTGCACCCTCTGCCTCCCAGGTTCAAGCAGTTCTCTGCCTCAGCCTCCTAAGTAGCTGAGATTACAGGCGCCCGCCACCATGCCTGGCTAATTTTTGCATTTTTAGTAGAGATGGGGTTTCACCATCTTGTTCAGGCTCGTCTTGAGCTCCTGACCTCGTGATGCACCTGCCTTGGCCTCCCAAAGTCCTGGGATTACAGGTGTGATCCACTATGCCCAGCCTCAAGATGTTCTTTTCATCCTCCCCTCATCATATAGAAATTTTAGAATAGTTTCTAATACCTTACCTTTCTTCTTACTTTAGAAGTCTTTGGCATGCTTTTATTCTCACCACCCATTCCCCCCTAGCTTTTATTGGAAAATTTTACTGGAACATTTTCCCCAACCCAATCCCTACAGGTATTACTGAAAAAACTTAGTAGTTTTTTTTTGTCGTTGTTGTTTGTTTGTTTTATGAATTTCTCTTACAGACATGAATGTCACTTTTATTTCAAGAATTTTTTTGTTTGGATCTTGTTTTGTTTGGATCTAAATTGTTTGGATCTAAATTTAAATTGGGTTCAATTTAAATTTAATGGCATTTATATACTGCAAGATTTGTCACCTACCACTTTTTCCTTTTCTTCATTTTCTCTTTCTTGTTCACATTCATTTGTTCTTTGGAGTAATTTTCTCAGATGGGAATATATAGATTTTTAATCTGAATTTTTTGCCTAACTGCTAACGTCTTCCTTTTTCCAGACAGGCAAATCATGTCTTACCTGGATATAGAATTCTTGGGGTGCAGTTCTTTTCTCCTTCTAATTGCCTTTTGGCTCCTTTACAGGTTTCTGCCAAGACCAGCTCGGTCATGGAGACCCCAACCCAGTGGCGCTAGAGAAATTAAAGACACACACAGAAATATAGAGTGTGGAGTGGGGAAATCAGGGGTCTCATAACTTTCAGAGCTGAGAGCCTCGAACAGAGATTTACCCATATATTTATTGACAGCAAGCCAGTGATGAGCATTGTTTCTATAGATTATAGATTAACTAAAAGTATTCCTTATGGGAAACAAAGGAATGGGCCAAAATAAAGGGATGGGTCTGGCTAGTTATCTGCAGCAGGAACATGTCCTTAAGGCACAGATCACTCATGATATTGTTTGTGGTTTAAGAACGCCTTTAAGTGGTTTTCCTCCCTGGGTAGGCCAGGTGTTCCTTGACCTCATTCCAGTAAACCCACAGCCTTCAGCGGGGGCATCATGGCCATCACGAACATGTCACAGTGCTGCAGACATTTTGTTTATGGCCAGTTTAGGGGCCAGTTTATGGCCAGATTTGGGTGCCTGTTCCCAACAAGTTACTTTATTCCCATTTTCCTTATTGGCTCACTGGGGCTCAAATCTGGTTTTTGGAGTGCTCTAAGTGGTGGCAGTCTACACAAGAAGGAAATATATGTGTTCTTTATCTTGGTGGATCATAACTGGAGAAATGTTCCCTACATCCTCTACTCTGTAAAGTGTTTCATCTTAGGCTTCAAATATGTTCAGCCCATAGGAAGGTCAGGCACATGACCTGGGGCCAATGTTGACCTGATCTCTAGGGTTTTTAGATTTCAGTGGCCTGTACTCTTCTCAGGATTTGCTAATTTTCCAATCTTTGTCTTTAGGGTCTTCTCAATCATTTCCCCTGCTAGGAAGCCCTCGAATTTCATACCTCACTTTACTCAGTAGACACTTGGATTCACAGGCTGATATTTTGGAGTTGGGTATGAGGAGAAGTCAGACATGTTTAGATTTATCATCTTCCTAGGATCCTTAATAGTTTATTTTTAATTTCCAAGTAGTCTTTGTCTTCTCTTTTTTGACTTTATTGTTTCTTTTCTTATTTTATAAATTATGACAAGAATGTTCTGAACAATTCCCTTCTAGGGAGGAGATGGGCAGAATAAAGATTTTCTTTATGGTCTAATGCCATATGTTCTATTTTAACTTCTATTTGTAATCATCCTTACATTTGTCAAGGCCTTTTTAACCCGTACTTTCTAAATATCTGAATCTAGAGTGAAACCCTGTCCCTAGTAAGAAGCTCAGAGTATTCAGCTACTCCTCTGTTTTTGCTGCTCTTTGTCAGTATAATCTATGATTTTAGATAAAATCATGTATATTGTGTTTTTATTTTCTTTCAAAAAGTTTTCTTGCATTTATATTTTAATTATATAATTCTATTTTTAACAATTATTTAAATCATTACTATTTAAACGGTTGCATTTTGGGTGGATTAATATTTAACAATTATTTAAACTTTTCTGTATTTTAATTGGAATTGGTATTGACAGTCATTTCATACCCAGCTTTATTCCTTTTTCAGAACTTTTCTATCAGTTCAAGTAGTTTTATATAATTTTTTTTTTTTTTGAGACAGGGGTCTCACTCTGTTGCCTAGGCTAGAGTGCAGTGGTGTGAACACAGCTCACTGCAGCCTCAACCTCCCAGGCTCCAGCAGTCCTCCTGCCTTTGGGCTCCTGAGTAGCTGGGACTACAGGCACATGCCACCACACATGGCTAATTTTTAAATTTTTGTAGAGATAGGGTCTCACTGTGTTGCCTAGGCTGTTCTCAACTCCTAGGCTCAAGCAGTCCTCCTGCCTCAACCTCCCAAAGTGCTAGGTGTGAGCCACTGTGCCTGGCCTTAGATTATGTTGGTAAGGAGTAAGTTTATTATTTTTTCATAACCATTATTTCTTCTTATGTCTTCCTAAACAGGAATGTTTCCATTATGGTGTAATTTGCAAAAATATATAATTACCTTAATTTTAGGGGGAAATAAAAGATAACATTACAGCAGCTTTCACTGATTTGTTTTTTTAAAAGTTAATTTGAAATATTAATTCTATTTATATTTATTTTTACAAGAAGCTTTTTCTCCAAAGAGTATATAAAGACATTTTTTGCTTTTAGAATCTTGATAATATCTGTAGGATCATCAGAAACGTTTAGATTATGAAATCTTTTTTTATTTTTTAAAATTTTTGTGGGTACATAGTAGGTGTTTATATTTATGAGGTACATGAGATGTTTTGATACAGGCATGCAATATGAAATAAGTACATCATGGAGAATGGGGTGTCCATCCCCTCAAGCATTCCTTTGGTTTACAGATAATCCAGTTACATTCTTTAAGTTATTTTAAAATGTACAATTAAGTTTAGATGGTGAAATCTTGAAATGTGGAGAATTCCCACTTCTAAAAACATATTTGTCTTCCTAAGTTTGTATTGTATATATATTCAAAAAGAGTATTTTTCATGACATTGCTTTAGTCTACTACAAGAACAATTGTTTATAGTAAAAATATTACTAAGCCTTGGTAAAATGAAGCAGTTATATTGTAGTCTGGTGGCTTATATTTGATATAATTGTAGGTGGAATTTTTTAAATTAGCAATTTGTTATAGTTTGCTCTATTAAGATTTAGCCTAAAGTATTTATGAAATTCCTATATTTTTATTGCTAGACACTCCAAGTTCAAATACTTGTTTATATCCTCAGGATAAAGAAGGAAAGATTTGAGCTTTTTAGCCACTGTACATTTCTTAATTAAAACCAGTGAGGAATAAATTAAATAGCTCTGATTATTAAAATAATTGTGAAATAATTAGTAATAGAATTATATTTCTTTAACTTGCACAGTCTGTTTTGAACCAAGTCATTTAATTTGGTTTAAAGAGTTAATTATGATGAGAGGATATTTAATATCCTCTAGCATATGACAGCTTCAAAATATAAATATGGTAATTTATTATAAAATGAAGAAAGCTAGGGCACATCATTGTTAATGCAGTCCTTTTATCTCTGGAAAATGGAACTCATATTAAGCTTTGACTCTCAAGGGAGAGAATATGGGGGGAGGGTATGGAAGAGGTTACTCTATTCTTTGTGTACATCAGAAAACTATCTTAGCAAACTAGACTTCCAAGTTTGGAATGATGGGATTATAGGAACAATTATGACAAAAGATTTTTGCAGAGCTACATACATATAGTGGTGGAGCTAGTGGTTGATTTTGATTTTATTATATTGGCACCTATTATCTATGACCTCTGTTTAAAAAAATTAACCTTAATTGTAGGAAATGCTTTTTACTGTATAATAACAATTTAAGCTGTAGATTTTTTAAATGCCCATATAACATACCAGCATTGCCTAATATAAACACTACAGATTTAACAGTTGTATTTATATTAAATTATTACCATGTATTCTTTCAATAGAAACCTCTTACCAATGAGAGGGTTTCAGTATTTACAGCTCAAAGATGCTTTATGTTCATATTGATAAATGGAAGCCACTACAGGTTTCAGAAACATGTTTTCAGTCATCAAATGAAGTCCAGGTAATGTGGCCTTTTGAACAGTACACTGTATTTTCATTTAATTGTTTGAAATTGATACTCTAAATTACTATAGTTAATATGTTAGTATCAAGAATATTTTTACTGACCACTATGCAGTTACATGAGTTATTTAAATATTCATCAAATTTACTTCTTTTTGGTAGTGTTCTAATATTTATAAGTCAAGCTGGAATATGTAGTATTTAGATTTAAAAATTGCATGAGCATTTAAGTGGGTTCATTGTAGAAGGCATAGACCATATCACATGGTCTCAAGGGAGTGTAGAATAAATTAACTGTAAATTACGTGAATTCATTACTAAGGAACAAAGACCTTTATTCATCTTTTTCAGAATCTATTTTATGGAAAAGAAAAAAATGGACTGGCTTACTTGTCTTCAATTTACTTTTAAACTTTCATTGTTCTAAGTAGCAGTGCTAGTTATAACTGATTCATCACTATTCAGTAAGCATTTATTGAAAACCATCTATGTGCAAACCACATTGTTAGGTGCTGTGAATAAAACGATGGATAAGCCCTATCCTGGAGGAGTGAAAACCTGACTAGGATGGCAGATATAAATAACTATTACTGTGCCAAATGCTATACTATTAGAGTAAGTAAGGTTAGTGAAGGAGCCTAGACAATTTTATATATTCCACATATAAAACAGAAAAAATGTAAGGTAAAATATGAAAACATTGTCATTGTTAGTAATAGGACCAAGAAGGTTCCAGAGAAGATGGTTCACTTGAATAAAACTTTATAAATATGTAGGAATGACATTCAAGACAGAAAGCATAGCCTGAAAGAAGGCGTGGAACTCGGGAATGTTTATCTAATAACTAGAGTTAATGGAAGTAAATAAATCAGGCCAGGATCACACTGTGATAGATCAGGAAAGCCAGAGTAAGGAATTAGGACTTACCCTGGAGAGGTAGTGAACAGTAGTAAATGGAATTGATATTATCTGTATTTTAGAAGGAACTGGCTAGGAGATAGAGACTGTCAACATATTCCAACCAGTTTCATAA
Source organism: Homo sapiens (assembly GCF_000001405.40). Lineage (NCBI taxonomy): Eukaryota > Metazoa > Chordata > Mammalia > Primates > Hominidae > Homo > Homo sapiens. The sequence goes on along the minus strand of NC_000006.12, from coordinate 88,750,492 downwards.
GCCAGAAACCTGTGGACCATCTTTGCCTCCCTCACCTGACGATCCAATGAGGTACTGTCAGTTTTGCTTCCTAGATACTGCTTAAATCTATTGACTTGCCTCTGTTCTGTAGACATGATCGTTATTCAAACTTGCATTATATTGCCTGGACTAATGTGGTAGCCTCTAACTGGTCTTACCATATTACCCTTGCTCTCACTAGTTACTACATTGTTTGACATTACTAGAACGCTGCTATCTCCCACCCCAACCCCCTTCTTTTTCATTAATATTTAGTATTTGCCTGGTGTAGTGGGTTGAATTGTGTCTCTCAGAAAGGTATGTTGAAATCCTAACCCCTGGTACCTGTGAATGTGACCCTATTTGGAAATAGGTTTGTTGCAGGTGTAATTAAGATGTAAGTTAAGATGAGCTCATACTGGAGTAGGATGGGCCTTTAATCCAATGACTCATGTCCTTATAAAGAAGGAAGACACAGAGAGATTATACATGAGGGGAGAATGTCTTGTGACTATGGAGGCAGAGACTGAAGTGCTATAGCTGCACGTCAAGAAACACAAAGGATTGCCAGTGAACCACCAGTAATTAGGAAGAGGCAAGAAAGCATTCTTCCCTACAGGTGTTGGAGGGAACATGGTCCTGTCTACATCTTGATTATCAGACATCTGGCCTCCAGAACTGTGACATAATAAATTTTTGTTGTTTTAAGCCGTCCACTTTGTTGTGGTTTGCTATGAAAGTTTTGGTAAACTAATACTCTTGGTATACATTGTTTTATTTTTTAGCTTTCAGTATTTCTCTCCTTATATTTAGATCTCTTGTGAACAGCATTTATCTGGATTTATTTTTTATTGTTGTTACTCATTGACAGTCTTCATAAATGGAGCATTTCATCCATTTACACTTAATTAATCATAAGTAATGAATTTTTGCCATCTTATTTTGTGTTATTTGTCCTACTTTTTCTATACTTTTCCCTCTTTCTTGCCTTTTATTTTGATTTTTTTCCTTATTTTTTTTTCCCTGCTCAATTTAAAGTCATACTTTGAAATGTTGGAGTTTTCTTGGTGATTACCCTAGAAATTTTAGCACGCACATCTAACTCTTTAAATCTAAAGTTAACATTTATACTTTTCCAAGAAATGTAATCCTTTCCAAGTTACGTTTGTATTTCTTCTATTATAGCCCACAATACCTTATTATTTTTGTTACATACAGTCAATATTTGATTGCTTTTCCTACATATTTACAACTTCTTTTGCTGTGTGTTCCTTCTATTACTTCAGATTTTCTGCCAGTAGTTACATTCTTTAACATTTCTTTTGGCTCTGCTGGTAGCAAGTTCAGTTGTTTTAGTGACAGTCTTTATTCTATCCTATTTATTGGATATTGAATTCTAAGTAAACAGTTATTTTTTCTTCAGCATATAGACAGTTTTATTCCAGTATCTTCTGACTTTCCTTGTTGCTGTCGACAAATCAGCTGTTCGTATAGTTGTCTTCTTACCCCAAAAGAAAGGTAACCTTTCTTTTCTTTGTTCTTGTTTTTAAGATTCAATCTTTGTATTTGATGTACTGTAGATTTACTATGATGAGCCTCGGTATGGATTTTTTTTTTCCCCAACTGGAACTTATTAGGCTTGTGGAAAGTGCATTACATTGTTTTTCATCATTTCTGAGCTTTTCCTGCTATTATTTCTTCAAATATTACTTTTCCCCATTTTTTTTCTTCTTTGCTTCCGGCATTTCACTTGATTAATTGGTTAAACAAATAAATATTTTCTGTATTTGCAGTTACTATTTTAGGAGCTTGTGATATATTCATGCAAAATCAGATCCCTGATTCATGGAACTTACATTTTATTTAAGAGAGACAGACAATAAACATAACAAATAAGTAAATTAGATAATATGTTGAAAGCTAAATCAGTATTTGTAAAAAAATTAAGTATAATAAGGGGTTGAGTGTTCCAGTTTGAAGGGGAGGAGTGACAAATTAAAATATTTTAAGTCCCATTGATAAAGTAAGATTTGAGCAAATAGTTGAAGAAAGTGAGGGAGTTAGCCAAGCAGATAGTAGATATGAGGGAGAAGCACCAGATGGAAGAAATAGCTGGAGCAAAAGATCCTGTATAGGCCTTGGAGCCTGTGTGGCAAGAGATGACTAAGTGAAGGAGGGAGAGAGAAGTAGAAGAGATCGGGCCCTGTATTATCTCATCTTATGGCTACTGTTAGGGCTTCAGCTCATACTCTGAGGGAAGTAGGAGGCATTGCTGGGTTTCAGGATGATAACTGACATTCGATTTGACTTTTTTTTTCTTTTAATTTCCCTTTGAGAATCCCTCTTGGATAGGAAAGGGTCAGGAAAGAGTTCATTGTAGGAATCCAGGCAAGAGTTCTTGTGACTAGGATGGTAACATTAGTAATGGTGAGAAACAGTCAGATTCTGGATCAAAAGATCCAGAAGGTGTAGTGTAGTGATTTTCTTTACTGTGTTAGTTTAGTTAAACTAAAATTGCGTTTTCCAGAATTCTCTTCCTTGTGTGGTACTAGATGATAGCTAGCCTTGAGAAATGTGTGATACTTGGAAGGCAAAAATAAAACAGCAGTCATTACATTCAGATATATACATAATCATTGCTCTGTTGGCTTACCTGTTAGCTTCTGTGAGTCATGGGCCAAATGAATGTATAGCTCCATAGGAAAGGGAAACAGATTCTTCTGCAGGTCATCTACAGCATCAGGTTTAGATAAGATTGAAAACAGACTTGGGTTCCAGTTTGTCTCCATCAGTTCCAGTTTGTTCTCAGGCATTGCAGTTTGTCCTATTTTATGTCCAGGCTTTCTTCCCAACTGTCTGCCCTGCTGTCATAGACTTTAGGCTCACCATCAAACACGGGGATACAGGCTTTTATAGACTTCTTCACAAGCTCCCATTAATGGTCTCTGGTTAGAAGTATTTTTCTGATCCTCCAACTATCTCCTTCAGGATCTTTACTCCCTCGCTTCTACCACAGTAGTATAAGGCCTAACTCTTATAATAAACTCCTGATTCTATATCACTGGATGGTTCTGCTTCCTAGATTAAAGCGTAAGTGGTATATTGAGCTGACAGATTTGAGAAAGAGGAGCCATGATTAATTCCATAGGGAAGAATGTGGGATGAGTGGTTTGGGAAAAAGGTTGAGGTTTATAATTGTTCACAGCCATTTGAGATTTATATGATGTATGTATGTGCAGGACGGACTGATAATTAAATGGGAATGTGATAGATATCACCATTCCTGCTTCTTTCAAATTTTGATGCCCACCCCCTGCCCCAACACAATATTGCTTTTGGATTACTATTTTGCCAGGCAAAGGAAGTTCCTAGAGCTTTTCTTTATCTCTTTCTACTATAATGACCCTTAACCCATGTGTAAGAGAGTGCCTATGGGGATTCTGCCGGTTATTAAGTATGTCTATTCCAATTATACATTCAGGAATAGGAGAAAGTACCACAGGGTGAGTCTGTGGACTGACTGGGTCTGCTATGGGTCAAACTTGTGTTAAGACTTCACCCATCACCTGATTTCTTTAAGTCTTCACTTTGATGTGTTGTGTCATAGTAGCGTGTTGTGCCCCAAGAGTTGGCATCACTTCCCTGGAATCAGTATAGAGTATTTCTGAAAGGTCTGGATATTAATTTTTCTCCATGACATAATCATTCTAGTACAGGGGTGCCCAACCCCCAGGCCAGACCAGTATAGGTCTGTGGCCTGTTAGAACCAAGCTGCAACAGCAGGAGGTAAGTGGCGGAGGAGCAAGCATTAACACCTGAGCTCTACCTCCTGTCAGATCAGTGGCGGTATTAGATTCTCATAGGAGCACAAACCCCATCGTGAACTGCTCATGCAAGGGATCTAAGTTGCGTGCTCCTTATGAGAATCTAACTAATGCCTGATGATTTGACATGAAATCTTCCCCAAAGCATTCCCCCACCAACATTTGTGGAAAAATCATCTTACATAAAACTGGTTCCTGGTGCCAAAAAGGTTGAGGACCGCTGCTCTAGTAGATAGCAATAGGCCCTTCTGGGGATGATTTGGTACATAATTTAAAGCATATACTTGTGGCAAAACTACAGGGTCTTTCTGCAAGGGGACCTGGCCTCCCCTTGCATCAGGGGCCTTTGGGTGTTGGGACTGACTTGTATCTGAAAACTGGGTAAGAGGGGAGTGGCAGGCCACAGCTGGACCACAGGGAGCAGCCAGTTGGTTGTGAAGAAACTTGCTGGAAAATGTTGGAAAATCAGAGTTGGTCTGCTAGAAGCCACTCTTTGGTGGTGGGGAAATTTGCCATAGAATACCGGCAGGCTAGAGCTGGTCTGCTAGAGCCTTGCAGGTGAGTGCCACCAGGCTTCCCACACAATATTTAGCTGACAACTGCATCATAGAAAAACATCCAAACCAGAACCCAGGCTATGCCCTTGTAGTGTCCCTTCACTGCTCTGTACTCACAAAGCCTGACATTTGTACCTGCTGGCAAAGGAGCAGGGTTACAGGGTCCTGATCTTGTATCACAAAGCAGGGCAAGAGGGTAGCTTTGGAAATAAGAGGCAGTAAATTGATAACTTCCACAATTAAAATTGATAACTGGTACAGTTATATTTGAAGTATATAAGGGGGCCAAGTTATTATTTTGAAAGCCAGGGCAAGAATCTAGCCTTTTTTTCTTCTGCTTTTTTTTTTTAATACGACACATACTTCAGATAGCCAAATGGTAAGTTTCTTTTTATGAAAGTTTTCCAGCCATGTAATGAAGAAGGAATAATAGACTATCACCATTTTGTAACTTCTAATGTATTTAGACCGGCACTCTTCTATAGAAATATGTGAGTCACACATGTAATTAAATTTTTCTAGTAACCATAATAAAAAGTAGAAACAGGTGAAATTAATTCCAATAACATATTTTATTTAACTCAATATATCTAAAATGTTGTCATTTCAACATCAGTGTAATATGTATCACCCCATGTGTCTTTTCCCTTTGCTGATTTTCTGTGCATCCTTTTGTTGTAATAACTTGTAACTGTGAGTGCAACATCTGAGTCCTTTGAGTTCTTCTAGGGAATCCTCGAACTTGATTCCCAATACCTCGATTTGGCTTTGTCTGGTACTTTCTCATAATTAGATTGAGGTTACGCACTTTTTGCAAGAATACCACAGAAATGATGTGCTGTTTTCAGTGTGTCATATCAGAGTAGATGATATAGATATGTCTCATTACTGGTAATGTTAACCTTCATCACTGTTAAAGGTGGTATATGCGGAGTTTCTCTTCTTTAAAGTTGCTGCTTTCCTTTTTCTAGTTAATAGGTTCTTGGAGAGTGTATGCAAATATTCTGTTTCTCCTCAAACTTTCTCCTACTAGTTGTAGCTTCTATTAGCAGATCCTGCGTGCAAAAATTATCACTGCAGTGTTCCTTATGGTAATTTTTTATTTCCAGGAAAAATACTTTGTTTTAACCTCTAAACTGATTAGAACTATATATACTTAGAAACAATAAGTTGGTTTTATTTGTAACCAAAAATATTCATAATTTGATGAATTTCCTTAGCTTGTTATTTATATTAAGCATCATATTTGTAATGTTTCGTTAACTTCCCAAATACTTGAAATTTATCTCATTTTAATTGTCATGATAGCAGATGATTATAATCCTGAGATTTTAAGCTACTTTCTCCTAAATTACTCATCTTGTTTAGTATATGTTATAATAACAATGCATTGAAATTCTTTGTCTTATTAAGAATCAACCTCATATCATAGCATAAAAAACTATTCATATGTAATAGCAGAAATCAGGTTTTCTAGAGGAAAAGAGCTAATGTAATGATTAGTTTTCTCTTCTTCTATTGTCTTCTGTATTTATAAAGAGTAGTAAGAACAGGCCGGGCACGGTGGCTCATGCCTGTTATACCAGCACTTTGAGAGGTTGAGGTGCATAGATCACAAGGTCAGGAGATCGAGAATATCTTGGCCAACATGGTGAAACCTCATCTCTACTAAAAATACAAAAATTAGCCGGGCGTGCTGGTGCGCGCCTGTAGTCTTAGCTACTCTGGAGGCTGAGGTGGGAGAATCGCTTAAACCCGGGAGGTGGAGGTTGCAGTGAGCCAAGATCAAGCCACTGCACTCCAGCCTGGATGACAAGAGCAAAACTCTGTCTCAAAAAAATAAATAAATAAATAAAAGAAAAATAAAAAGGAGTAATAAGAACAATCCTATTCTTACCAACTATTTTAGAATGATTACTAGTTGTTGACAAAGCTGTTTTATTTCCTTATGTTAAATCATATAGTCAGGAGATGATGAACTCATGAAAGCTTGTTTGATAATGAAATTTATTGTATAGTGACAAATGCAAATATAAATTCAACATAAAATGTAGCTTAAATATGGTATTTTTATTTCTTTGGGGGAAAAAAGGTGAAGAGTACCAACAAAATGTTTTTAGGCTTTATACTAAGCCATTTTTATTTATCATTTCAATTCATCATACTAAACCTATAAAGTAGATGTTGTTGCTATCTTCATTAAAAATAAGTAAACTATTGGCATGGCTGCTGTGGAAAACAGTATGGTCATTCCTCAAAAAATTAAAAATAGAATTATCATATGATCCAGCAATTCTGCTTCTGAAAATGAGGTTTCAAAGAGATTTATACCCTCATGTTTATAGCAGCATTATTCACAATAGCTAAAATGTGGAAGGGATATAGTGTCTGTAGATGAATGGTTAAGCAAAATGTGGTATATACATACAATAGAATATTATTCAACCTTAAAAAGATAGGAAATTCTGACATATGCTACATTGTGAATGAACCTTCAGGACATTATGCAAAATGAAATAAGCCAGATACAAAAAGACAAGTACTGTGTGATTCCATTTATATGAGATGCCTAGAGACAGGAAGTAGAATGGTGGTCACCAGGGGCTGGAGGGAGTGGGGAATGGGAAGTCATTTTTCATAGGTGTAGAGTTTCAGTTCTACAAAACAAAACAAAACAAAACTTATGGAGATGAATGGTGGTGATGGTTGTATGACATTATGAATGTATTTAATACCACCGAACTGTTCACTTAAAAGTGGTTAAGATGCTACATTTTGTTCTGTATATTTTACCGTAATAAAAAAAATTGGAGAAAAAAACAAGTAAACTTCTTTAAAGTGGTTCAGGAACTTGTCTAAAATCACATAAGTCTTAAGTATAGGAATTAGTATTCAAACAAATCCTTGTTATACTCCAAAACTTACTCCTTTTCTATCATAGTCATGGTTTTCAAACTGCTCCATGAACAATACAGTGTTTTATTTGAGTGAAGAGTCTTCACTGCCCTTTTGTGCATTTTTAATACAAAAATTAATGTTTACTTCTTATGTTATTATTTCAGATCTAGCTTTGGGAAATATAGCGTATCTTCACATTTGGAAATTGTAGGACTAGCCCTGTAATGCCTATTTCTTCTGAGACATTGCTTCTGTAATCCATATCTTTTTCTCCAGATGAAAGGTGACGTCTTAAACTGTGACTTAGCAAGCCACCTATGCATTTGCCTTGCATGTAAATATAAATAATAGGGGTAACATTCTATTTTTCTTCCGAACTATAATTCTAGAAAACTTCTCTCTAATTGCTACTCATAAGCACCCTTTGAAAAGTTTTTAAAATCACCTTTACACTTTAAGTGAATGCTGCCAAACTTCAACAGTTAGCTATTGTAATGTAATCTAATATTGGAATTCATTTAGTGCTTACTGGTAAATTTTCTCTCCTACCTGGGACTAACTCTTCCAAGCCTTGTCAATAGATCTGGGTCACTTAGCCACAGCACTCTTTGTCACAATCAGAGCATGCCGTGACTTCTAACAAGCCTTTCTTTCCCCCAACGTAGTCTCGCAACTTTTCCTTTGAGATTACAAAAGGAAAGATGAAAGAAGAACAGATTATTGATGGCAATGATTTAAAAAGCTATCATGATATGTTAACTTGTCATGTAACTGTATGTGTAAACTTCAAATAATTTTTGAAACAGATATGATATGAGCTAGTTGTTTTAGGTCTTTTAAAAACATTCTTAAAAGAAATGCCTTTCCATTGCATATTTTAAATATATTTGAACAGAACTGATTAGCTTTTAAACAAAAAGTCATTTCCTCTCAGTTGTCTGTGATTTCTCTCTTTGGGCTATTGACCTTCCCTCCTTTTTGGAAGGTAAATGCTCAACTTTCTACCTTTATCCGATACATGTTAAAGTATTGTTTGTTTTGGCTTTGCTGTGTATATGTCCTATTTGTCTGAATCAGCATTTTTGCTTTACACCATATGCCCATAGAATTCAGGACCTCTTGTTTTTACAGTGCAGTGTCATCATGCTGTAAAAGAAAATGCATTTAATAAATGTTTTTTAACATCAGTTAATGAAGTATGTATGTTTCAGCTTTCTTCTTGTAATGTTTTAGATTTAGGTTATTTTTATGATCTAGATCCTTATGAAAAGAACACACGATCCTACTAATAGCAACGGAAAGATCAGGTCGTCCTACCAGTCGATAATTATTTGGGGTTATTTGCAATTATAAAGCTAGTATATATTTATGAGGAGATGGAGAAAGAAAACAAAAGTTCAGAGCCATGAAAAGGAAAAGTCTGCCCCCTACCCATTACCCACATATAACCACTATTAATAATTTTTTGTATCTAATTACTCATTAAATCTCTTGAAAATGTGCTTTCGAAGACTTCATTGCTGGATGTTGGATTGTGATGTCACATCATCTTTCAGCTTTGTAATATGGAGCAGTTTTTCATTTCATTTATTTTAAATTTAAAAATTTTTGAAAATAATTTTAACTTTTATTTTACATTCAGGAGGTAATTGTGCAGGTTTGTAACATGGGGTATATTGTGTGATGCTGAGGTTTGGGGTATAATTGATCTTGTCACCCAGGTACTGAGCATAGTACTCAACAGTTTTGCATCCCTTTCCCCTCTTTCTCCCTTCCCTTGAGTCCCCCATTGTCTATGGTTACCATCTTTATGTCCATGAGTACCCAGTGTTTAGCTCCCACTTATAAGTGAGAACACGTGGTATTCGGTTTTCTGTTCTCACATTTAGAATAATGGCCTTCAGCAATATCCATGTCGCTGCAAAGGACATGATTTCCTTCTTTTTTATGGCTGCGTAGTATTCCATGGTGTATGTGTACCACATTTTCTTTATCGAATCCACTGTTGATGGGCACCTATGTCGATTCCATGTCATTGTTATTGTGAATAGTGCCACGATGAACAAGTGAGTGCATGTGTCTTTTTGGTAAAACAATGTCTTTTCTTTAGATATATACCCAGTAAGGGGATTGCTGGGTCAAATGATGATTCTGTTTTAAGTTCTTTCAGAAATCTCCAAACTATTTTCCATGATGGTCAAACTAATTTACGTTCTCATCAACAGTGTACAAGTGTTCCATTTTCTCTGCAGCCTAACCAGCATCTCATACCAGTCAGAATGGCTATTACTAAAAAGTCATTTCATTTCTTTTTTTTAAAAATTTTACTTTAAGTTCCGGAATGCGTGTGCAGAACGTGCAGGTTTGTTACATAGGTATATGTGTGCCATGGTAGTTTGCAGCACCTATTGACCCATCCTTGCCTACGTTCCCTCCCCTCGTCCTCCACCCCTCAACAGGCCTTGGTGTGTGTTGTTCCCCTCCTTGTGTCCATGTGTTCTCATTGTTCACCTTCCACTTATGAGTGAGAACATGCAGTGTTTGGTTTTCTGTTCCTGTGTTAGTTTGCTGAGGGTGATGGCTTCCAGCTTCATCCATGTCCCTGCAAAGGACATGATCTCATTCATTTTTATGGCTGCATCTTATTCTTATTCTTTTCTTTTTTCTCTTTCTTTCCTTTCTTGTTTTTTTGTTTTTTTGAGACAGGGTGTCTGTTACCCAGGCTGGAGTGCAGTGATTTGATCACAGCTCACTGCAGCCTTGACCTCCCAGACTCAAGTGATCCTCTTTACCTCAGCCTCTCGAGTAGCTGGGACCACAGGTGTGTGCTACTATGCTTGGCTAATTTTTTAATTTTTTGTAGAGACGAGGTCTTACTATGTTGTCCATGCTGGTCTCAAATTCTGGGCTCAAGCGATTCTCCTGCCTCGGCCCCCCCAAAGTGCTAGGATTAAAGGCATGAGCCACCATGCCTGATCCCGTTTTCATTTTTTGATCGCTTTTAATTCTGCTGTTCCCTTTCTGAGCAGGTGTAAACTCTAGAGTAGCCCTCTTGCTTTCTCCTGAGTATTCTTTCCTACTTGTTTCACAGAATTCCTTTACTTTCTTCTCTTAGAATTTTCTCTTCCTGCTTCTGAAAAAGGAACATTGTGATTTTAGGAAAAATTTGTTTCTCTGGAAGAAGAGTAGGATGATATCTTTGGTGTCAGCAGAATGGAAGATAACTGATAAATGAATTTTATTGATTCCTCTAAGATGGTATTAATTAGTAGACATATTTTATGTATTACTTTAAAAAATTAATTCTGCTATTCCATAAATTATATCTAAAGGATAAATCCTCATGGGAGCTTCATATAGTAGTTCAAATTTTCTATTTGCTTGGTATAATAAAATTAAACAATGTTAGTTTAGATAAATGGAGCATGTGTTAACATATATATATATATATATATATATATATATATATATATATATATATATATATAATTTTTTTCACACCAGTTACACGGGAGAAATATATCCTAATTCCAAAGTGTGAAATTTGAACTGACAGAATTATAAACATTTTTAACATTTTAAAGTATTTTCAATCTGTTCTGTATGTGATGAGATATTTTTTGAGCCTGTCTTTGTCACATGTTAGAAAATAGTTCCTAAAAGCAAAAGCTCTCTAATTACTTTCTTGTTTTCATACATAAACATAAGTTTACTTAAAATTTTTCTGCTCTATTATTCCAGTGATGTTTTTCTGTGTTTCTGTATTTATTTAATGATGCTTTTGAATTTCTTTAGTGTTACAGGAAAGCTGTTTTCTCTTAGTTTTGCCTTCTCCCTTTGTTCTTCATTTCCCTTGCTTGCCTCAAAAAAACACTTACCAGCTGGAAGTGTTTAAACTGTGAATTGCTGGGTATTGGCCCAACATGAAGAATCCTCTAATTTAATAAGCTTCTTAGAAGAGTTCTTGGTTCCATAAATTTGCTTCACCTTTTGTCTTACCAGCTTGTTAATAATAAGAATAGTATCATTTGTGTGTTTAATGCTTCTAATATGCTTGATTTCCCTTGTATGTAGTTTATATACATTATCTCATTTAATCAAGCTTTTTAATGATTTCTGTTGGCTACAGTGAAAATTTGAGAAAGTTTTTTTATCTTCTTTATATAATTGCATCACATACATTAATAACATAAAGTATAAATTGGTGTCAGTTTTCTAAAGTAAGGAATAATTTTAAGATATAATTATTTTACATTAAGAATTTTAATTTAGTAATTATTTATACATCATTCATTTTAAAATTTCTTTTATGTGAATGCATTATTTCTTCCTGTTTTGGAAGGGGTGTGTGTGTGTGTGTGTGTGTGTGTGTGTATTTTATTTATAGACTTTAGTTTCCAGAACAGTTTTAAATTTACAGAAAAATTGAGTAGATATTAATAGAACAGAAAGTTCCCATATACACCTCTTGGGCCCCCCACAAACAGTGTACCCTATTATTAACATGGCACATTTATTACAATTAATGAACCAATATTGGTATGTTATTATTTATTTATTTATGTTTTGAGACGGGGTCTCACTCTGTCACCCAGGCTGGAGTACAGTGGTGCCATCTTGGCTCACTGCAACCTCTGCCTGCCAGGTTCAAGAGATTCTCTTGCCTCAGCCTTCTGAGTAGCTAGGACTTACAGGCATGTGCCACCATGCCCAGCTAATTTTTGTATTATTTGGTAGAGACAGGGTTTCACATGTTTGCCAGACTTGGTGTGTTATTTTTAACTAAGGTCTGTAGCTTATTCAGATTTCCTTAGTTTTTACTTGATGTCCTTTTTCTTTTCCAGGATCCCATCTAGAATACTGCATTACATTTAGTTGTCATATCTCCTTAGGGTACTCTTGGCTGTGACATTTTCTCATACTTTCCGCGTTTTTAATGACATTGCCAGTTGTGAGAAGCACTGCTCAAATGTATTATAGGATGCTCCTCATTTAGAATTTGTCTCTTGTTTTTCTCATAATCAGACTTGGGGTATGGGTTTAGGGAAAGAAGATCACAGATGAAGTGCGATTTCTATCACACTGTATCAAGAGTACATACTATGAACATGATTTTATGATTTTTGATGTTGACCTTGACCACCTGGCTAAAGTAGGGTTTGTGAGTTTTCTCCATTTTAAAGATAACCCATTTCTTCCTCCTTTTCATACTGTACTCTTTGGAAGGAAATCACTATGTGAAGCCTACACTTAAACACTGAAAAGTTACACTCTCCCCTTCTTAGGGTACTGTACAATTCTTTTTATACATTGTTGGATTTAACATTGGTAATAATTTGTTGAGGATATTTGCATTCATGTTTGTCTTAGTCTCCTTGAGCTACCATAACAAAATACCATAGACTGGGTGCCTTAAACAACAGAAATCTATTTTCTTATAGTTCTAGAGACTGAAATTTCAAGATTACAGCAGGGTTGGTGTTTGGCAAGGGTTCTGCCCCTTGAGTCGCGGATGCTCTCTTCTTACTGTGTATTCACATGGCACAAGGGGAGGAGGAAAACACTCTCTGCTGTCTTTTCTTATAAGACTTCTAATCCTATTGTATCAGGACCCCACCCTTGTGACCTCATTTACTCTTAATTACTTCGTAAGAGGCCGTATTTTCAAATATAGCTAAGGGCGTTAGGGCTTCAACATATGAATTTGGGGAGGGGGGACAGACATTCAGCCCTGCCTCCCTTCCCCCAATTTATATCGTTCTCACATGAAAAATACATTCATTTTATCCCAAGTCTTAATTCATTCCAGCATCAACCCTAAAGTTCAAAGTCTCATCTAAATATCATCTAAAGTGGAAAGGGGTAAGACTCGAGGTATGATTCGTCCTGAGACAAAATTCTCTCTAGCTGTGAATCTGTGAAACTAGCAAGTACTACTAAAATATGGTGGTGGGACAGGCATAGGATAAACATTCCCATTCTAAGAAGGAGAAATCAGTCTATGGCCATACCACCCTGAAGTGCCTAATCTCGTCTAAGAAGGAGAAATCAGAAGGAAGAAAGGGGTGTTATGTCCCAAACAAGTCCAAAACCTATCGAGGAAATTCCATTAGATCTTGAGGTTTGAAAATAATCTCTTTGATTTCATGCTGTGCCTTTCAGAACAACTGGCTTTGCCTTCTGGATCCACTGGGATGGCAGCCCCACCTCCATAGACTCCTGCCTCCAAGGCTCCTGGGTAGCAATAACCTAGCTTGTTGAAACCATGAAGGAAATCATCCTTGCCCTTTAAGACTGTGGTGAGAATGGCAGCTCTCTGATGATCTCTAAATCACATTTGGTGTTGTTACTTTTTCTTGAAGGATAATGCATGTTCACCACCTGATGGTTGTATGTTTCCATCTTGTAGAATCCATGAAGTCTGCCTTCCTTCATTCAGTCCTTTACAGTTCACACTGGCAGTGTATCTGCTCAGATAATTTCGTAGTCTCTTTACTGAGTGGTAGTACAGGCACAACCTTGGTGTTCTCCTCAGAAAGCCCTCATCTTTTGAAATATGAACAGACAGAATTTGCCACATCTTTAAGTTCTGGTTCTTTTTTGCCTAACAGTAGCTTTATTTCTCTTTCTCTTGCATTTTACTATAAGCCATAAGGAGTAACCAAGCTTCTCTTTTAATACTTTGTTTAGGTATCTCCTCTTAAATGATGGAGACACCTAAACAAAGTATTAGAGAAGTTAGTTATCATTCTCCTGAGTGAATATCCAATTTCATTGACTGCGAGTTCTACATTGCACACATTCAGTTTATGACAATGTTCTTGAGAGACACTCATCTGTAGTTTTGCTTTATCATGTTTATCTGATTTTGGTATTAAGGTAATGTTCTCATAGAATGAGTTAGGAAGTATCCTCTCTGCTTCTATTTTCTGAAACAGATTATAGAAAATTGATGTCATTTCTTAAATGTTTGTATAATACACCCAGTGAAAATATCTGGGCCTAGTGCTTTATTTTTGGAAAGGTTAATTATAGGTTCAATTTTTAAAATAAATATTGGCCTTGTTAGATTATCTGTTTCTCCTTCTATGACTTTTGGTAGCTTGTGCCTTTCAAAGAATTGATCCACTTTATCTAAATTATCAAATTAGTGAGCATAGAGTGTTCTTAGTGTTCTTTTATTATCCTTTTAATATCCATGTGATTAATAGTGATGTCCCTTCTTTCACTTATGGTATTGGTAAATGTATGCCTTCTGTTTTTTTCTTCTTGATTAGTCTGGCTAGAGATTTATCAATTTATAAAAATCTTTTCAAATAACCAAGGCTTTGGTTTTATTGATATTCTCTGTTGTTCCTGTTTTCAAGTTCATTGATTTCTGCCCTAATTTTTATTATTTCTTTTTTTCTGAGTGCTTTAAGGTTAAATTGCTCGTTCTCTAGAATTTTCAAAAATAGAAGCTTGTTTCTGGTTTTAGATCTTTTCAAATAAATGCCTTCAATGCTGTAAATTTCCCTGAAATCACTGCTTTGACTGCATCCCACAAATTTTGGCAAGTTTGTATTTTCATTTTAATTTAGTTCAAAATATTTTAACATTTCTCTTGACTGCTTTTTCTTTTTCTTTCTTTCTTTTTTTTTTTTTTTAACACTCGTGTTATTCTGAAGTAAGTTGTTTAATCTCCAAATATTCTGGGATTTTCCAGCGTCTTTCTGTTACTGACTTCTAGTTGAATTCCATTATCATCTGAAAAAAACCTTAAATTTGTTATGGTGTATTTTGTGGCCCAGAATGTGTCTGTCTTTTAGAATGTTCCATGAGAGTTTGAGAAAAATATTTATTCTGCTATTGTTGGATGAATTATTCTATAAATGTCAGCTGAATTCAGTCGATTAGTGTTGCTCATCAACTCAACAACATTTTTACTGCTTTCCTGCCTGTTAGATCTATCAGTTACTAAAAAGGGGATGTTGAGATTTCTAGCTACATAACAGTGGATTTGCTTCTCTTTTAATTCCATTAGTTTTTGCCTCATATATTTTGATGTTCTATTTTTAGGCACATGCATATTAAGGATTGTTATGTCTTCTTGGAGAATTGACCCGTTTATCATTAAGTAATACTCCACTTTATCCCTGGTTATTTCCTATTCTGAAGTCTATTTCATTTGAAATTAATAAATACAGATGCTCCTCAGCTTATGGTGGGGTTACTTCCCAATATACTTATTGTAAGTTGAAAATACTGTTAAGTCAAAAATGCATTTAATACACCTAACCTGTGTAACCACCACAGCTTAGCCTAGCCTGCCTTAAATGTGTTCAGAGCACTTGCATTAGCTTATGGTCAAAATCATCTAACACAAAAGCCTGTTTTATAATGTGTCGACTATTTCATGTAGCTTATTGAATACTGTAGTGAAAGTGAAACACAGAATGGTTGTATAGGTACTCAAAGTATACTTTCTGCTGAATGCATGTTGCTTGTACGTCACCATAGTGTTGAAAAATTGTCATTTCAACTGTCGTTAAGTCAGGAACCATCTGTACTCCAACCTTCTTTTGGTTAGTTTTAACTTGGTACGTATTTCTCCATCTCTTTTCACTTACCTGCATCTTTATGTCTAAAATGGGTTTCTTATAGAAAATATTAGTTGGGTCTTTTTAAAAAAAATCTTCTCTGACAGTCTCTGTTTTTTAATTAATATGTTTAGGTCCTTAACAGTTGAAGTGAATTTTGATATCGTTGGATTAATATCAACCATGTTTATATCTGTTTTTTATTTGTTGTACTTGTTCTTTTCATTTTTAAAATCTTCTCTTTTTCTGACATCTCTGGTTGAAATTGAACATTTTATATTATTCCATTTTCTCTCTTCTCTTAATATATAAATTATACTTCAGTTTTTTTTAAGTGGTTGTCCTAGGGTTTGCAATATACATTTACAAGTAATCTATATCTGCTTTCTAATAACAATACAGTGCTTTGTGGGTAGTGCTTGTGCCTTGTAACAGAGTATCTCAGTTCCTCCCTTTCATCCCTTATAACATTATTGTCATTTATTTCACTGAACTATATGCTGTAATTGCCCCATACATTATCACTGTTATTACTTTGAATAGACAGTTATTTACTTCTGACTAAGAATAAGAAAAGCAAAATATTTTATATTACCGTCATTTATTCCTTCTTTAACATTCTGTTTCATTATGTAGATTTGAGTTTCTGACCTGTATCTTTTTTTTCTCTCTGTTAAGAACTTCTTTTTAATACTTTTTTCAGGACAGGTCTTCTGGTAAGGAATTCCTTCAGTTTTTGTCTGAGAAAATTTTTGTCCTTTTGAAGGTTAATTTTGCTGGATACAGAATTCAAGGTTGTTGGGTTTTTTTTTTTCCTTTCAACACTTTGAATTTTAAGACACTGTCTTCTTGTTTGCATGATTTCTGAGAAGTCTGATGCGATTCTTGTTATGTACTCTTACCCTCTATAGGTGAGAGGAGTTTTTCCTCTGGTTTCCTTTAAGGTTTTCTCTTTGTCTTTGATTTTTTGTAGTTTAAATATAATGTGCCTGTGTGTAGATTTTTTCAGTTTTTATCCTGCTCGGTGATTGTTTTTTTTCTTTTTTAGCTTCCTGGATCTGTAGTTTGATATTTATCATTAATTTTGGAAAATTCTTGGCCATTATTACTTATATTTATTCTGCTTCAGTCGTTTTTCTTCTCCTTTTGGTATTCTAGTTACATTTTTAAACCTTTTAAAATCATCCCACAGTTCTTGGAATATGCTATTCTTTTTTTTGCTCTTTGCATTTGGGACATTTCTTTTTTCTTTTTTTTGGAGGGGGGGTGGGGGGTGAAGACAGAGTCTCTCTCTGTTGCTCAAGCTTCAGTGGCACAGATTAGGTTCACTGCAGCCTCAACCTCCTGGGCTCAAACAATCCTTCCACCTCAGCCTTCTTCCAAGTAGCTGGGACTACAGGGATGCACCACAACACCTGGCTGATTTTTGTATTTTTCGTAGAGATGGGGTTTTGCCATGTTGCCCAGGCTGATCTCAAACTCCTGAGGTCAAGCCATCCCCACCCAGCTTGGCCTTCCAAAGTGCTGGGATTACAGGTGTGAACTGCTGCACCCTGCCAAGTTCTGTTTTCAACCTACTGATGAGCCTATCATAGGCATTCTTCATTTCTCTTGCAGTGAATTTGACTTACTGTATTTCCTTTCTTCATTTTTTTGTTAGTGTGGTAAAATATAAAAACTGTAAAATTTAGTATCTTAATCATTTTTAAGTGTACAATTCAGTAGTAGTATAAATACATTCCTAATATTATGCCACCATCACAACCATCCATCTCTAGAACTTTTTTTATCCTGTGAAACTGAAACTCTGTAACCCATTAAACATTGACTTCCCATTGCTTCCTCCTCCAGCCCCTGGCTTTCTACTTTCCATCTATGATTTTGAATTGGCTTATTTCATTTAGCATAATATCCTCAAGGTTCATTCATGATGTGGTATATGTCAGAATTTCCTTCCTTTTTAAGGCCAAATAATATTCAATTATATCTATATACCACATTTTACTTATTCATTTGTCAATGCACACTCAGGCTGCTTCCACATTTTAGCTATTGTGAATAATGCTATTATGAGCATGGGTTTACAAATATGTCTTTAACACACAGTTTTTAGTTATTTTGGGTAAATACCCAGAAGTGGAATCTGGATCATAAGCCAATTCTATTTTTAATTTTTTAAGGAACTGCCATACTGTTTTTTGCAGTGGCTGTACCATTGTACATTCCCAGCAGCAGTGCCCATATCCTTGCCAACATGGTTTTCTGTTCTTTTGATAATAGCCATCCTAATGGGTGTAAACTGGGATCTCATTGTAGTTTGGATTTGCATTTCCATAATGGTAGTGATTTTGAACACTTTTCATGTGCTTCTTGGCAATTTGTATGTCTTTTTTGGAGAAATGTTTATTCACATCCTTTGTCCATTTTTGGATCAGGTTTTTTGTTATTGCTGTTGAGTTTTAAATGTCTCTATACAGTTGATCCTTGAGCAACACAGGTTTGAACTGTGTGAGTCTACTTAACTTGGATTTTCTCCTGCCTCTGCCACCCCTGAGACAGCAAGACCAACCCTCCTCTTCTTCCATCTCCTCAGCCTACTTGACATGAAGATGATGAGGATGAAGACCTTTATGATGACTCACTTCCACTTAGTGAATAGTAAATATATATATATGTTCTCTTCCTTATGATTTTTTAACATTTTCTTTCCTTTAGCCTACTTTATTTTAAGAATATAGTATATAATACATATACAAAATATATGTTAATTGATTATGTTATTGGTAAGGCTTCTGGTCAACAGCAGGCTATTAGTAGTTAAGTTTTGGGGGAATCAAAAGTTACATGTGGATTTTCAGCTGCATGGGAGGTCAGTGCCCCTGACATTGTTCAAAGGTCAGCTGTATTCTTGATGTTAAACCTTTATTGGATATATGATTTGCAATTTTTTTTCCATCTGTAGGTTGCCTTTTGCCCTGTCGATGGTATCTTTTGGTGAATACATCTTAAAATCTTTCTGTGAAGTCCAGTTTGTTTATTTTTTATTGTTGTATATTTTCTTTTCATTCATTCTTAGAGTTTCCATCTCTCTGCTGACATTAACAATTTGTTCTTGCATACTATCTATCCATTAGAGTTCTTGACATATTAATTGTTGTTACTTTAAAATCACTATCTCATTCCATAATTTATGTTATATCTGAGTCTGGTTCAGGTGTTTGCTTTGTCTCTTCAGACTGTGGTTTTTCCTGCCTGTTAGCATACATTGTGATTATTTTGTTGAATGCTGGACATAGTGTATAATATTTTGGATAATAGGAAGTGAAGTAGATTGGCCTTTAGTTTGAGGTTTCTTTTAGTCTAGCTAAGACCTGTGGGCTGTGTTTACTGTTTTGCTGCACATGTAGATGCCATCAGCTTTTTGTTTTTTGTTTTGTCCTTGTTTTTATGTTTTTTTGGGGGGGCTTTTATTCTTTCCTTTGTTGTTTTTGGGTTCTCTAAGAACTTTTTCTTAAATAGAGTCTCTGTGTTGTAGCTCTTTCATTTGTAATCTATTTTAATTCTTCTGGAGCCCTTTTGGTGTAGTGGTAAGGTGTCAGGGAGGGGAGGGGAAGTGTTCTACAATCCTATGACAAAATATCAGTCTTTTAGGAGGCTTGCATTCCTGGGCTGTGACCTTAGTGTTTCTTAGGTTTTTTGTTTGTTTGTTTTGGCCTCTTAGATGAGACAGAAGACTAGACAGGGCTGGAGGTGGTTACTTTCCCTTCCCTCAGATCAGATAAGCCATTGTTATATTAGTTTCCCTTGAGGGCAGGCCTTTGTTATGTTGAATGATCTGGGCACATTTGTAAATACAGTCATGCTGGTGGGATGTCCTTAGGAGATTTCTCCTTGTGTGAACATTATAGAGTGTCCTAGATGAGGGATCCCCAACTCCCAGGCCACAGACCCGTACCAGTCCATGGCCTGTTAGGAACTGGGCTGCGCAGCAGGAGGTGAGCATTACCGCCTGAGCTCCGCCTGCTGTCAGATCAGTGGCAGCCTTAGATTCTTGTTGTAAGTAAAGTTTTGGTGCCGCAAGAGAAATAACACTTGAATATAAAATTTTCTTTTTAATTCTGAGCAAGGCAAGGTACTTCTATAGAAGGGTGCGCCCTTACAGATGGAGCAATGGTGAGCACACAGTTGGACAAGGGATGGGAAGAGGTTCTTATCCCTGACTCATGTGGCCCCTGCTGCTGTGTCATTCACCTATTGGCTAGGGTTAGATGGCACAGACTAAACTAATTCCAATTGGCTAATTTAAAGAGAGTGACAGGGTGAGTGGTTTGGCGGGAAAAATGGTTATTACAGAGCAGGTAATGGGAATGAGTCAGGGTGGAGCAGGTAATCCAAAAAGGTTGCTTTTTGAGGAAGTTAAGTTTAAAAGTAGAAGGCAAAGAATTTTACATATTGACATATTGATTATTTGAAAAGAAATTTGGAACTCATATCTAACAACCCCTCCTCTTGCATTTCCTAACAAACTTTTTAACATGTCTTGGCTTAGTTGTTCTGCTTGATTTTCCAAAAGAAGCTTCTCTGGATAAGGTGGAGGACAGTTAAGGAAGGTTTTAGTAAGTGCCATTTTTATGAGCCTCTGCACCAACCCACAGATGCATGGTGTGACACAGCACCTGACAAGAATAAATACACCCATTACAGCTGCGAGGGAAGGAAGAATTGAGGATATTATTCTTTTCCATTTACCAAACCACTTTTCTAGCCATTCTGTAAAGGGGTCATTTACCCCTGAGTTGTTGGCTAACTCATTGGACAGAGCAGTCAGACCTTGCAATGCCTTTGTTATACTTCCATCAGGGGCGGTGTTGTTTGGGATGACGGTATAACATTGAGTTTTAATCATGACACAAACTCCTCTTTTTGCTAATATCATGTCTAAGCCTATCACAATTTTCCCAAGCCATCTGGCTAGTATCCCCTAATTGCTCAGCTATTCTTTAACAACATCTCTAGTGTAGTTAATAAATCGCTGTTGGTTATAATAGATGTAGTTTATCCAATCTACATTTTTATTAATTGTCACCCACCAAGATATTGACTCAAATCCTGCAGCTATTTGATTTCGGGCTTTAAATTGATCTGGTACTCCCCTTGGGACTCTAATTGTGTCTAAATAGATGTGAGAGTCAAAAGACCCATAAGGGGCTTCTTTTGCTTTATGATGTCTTTTTTTTTTTTTTTTTCTTTTTCTGGTTGATGAAATGCCAGGGTAAAAGGGATAGCCAATTGGACTAAAGCATAAGTGCCACTTTAGTTACTTGACAGTGTCCAGTAAAGGTCCATCATAATACCACTACACATCTACTCAGGGATGAATAAGGACTGATTGGTAAGCTTTTGAAAATTTTTAAGCTCACTGCATCCCTTCAGGTCTCCAAGGAACTCTAAGTTTCCTGCCTGTCGTGAGAGACACAAAGTGAGCTTAGTGTTGGGAGATGGAAGCTGGATGGCCCTCAGGGCTGACCCGCAGGGTGTCGGACTTTGACATATAGCAGAGAGCGAGCTTGGCATGATGTGTTACTCCAGGCGGTAGAATCCTGGAAAAGAGCTACCATGCAGCCCACGCCCGGTCGACTGGAGGACCACCCTAGTGGAAAGGGGACAATCTGGGCCTCTGGCCTGCCATGCATACAAGCATAACAATTGCTTTTGTTTAACGTGCGGAGGGAATATTTGATCTATTTCAACCAGGCATTTGCATCTTAGTATTGTCTCAATTGCCAAAGTTTGTTTTAAGTCTTTAACTTCTACAATAGCTATTTTGGTCTTGTTGTTAGACAGAGGAGGAGAAATTCTTCCGTTGTAAAAGGTTTTGGAAGAAGGCTTAGAGGAAGGTACAGGCAGCGGGGGATTAAAGAAACACATTTCAAAGAATCTAATAGGGTCTGTCCCTGAAACCTCAGCCCCCATATCATAAAACTGGCTTAAAGAAGGGAACCAACTTAGAAAAGGGGAAGAACTTTGAGGGTTTAAGATAATAACCTGTATAGGATTACACTGGTTTAGCTTACAGTTGGGGGATAGCTGTCCCTCTAGTAAAATGAATGTATGGTTTTAGGAAATTACAAAAACCAGTTGGAGCAGTCTATTCTTGCTCTTTAGTGGTCCACAGAACTTTGGACCAGCTACAGCATAAAAGCTCTACATTGGTGGGACAAGACTCCTGGTTGACACTGGGGTCTTTATCAAAATCTCCCCGGATTAAATGGTCCCAATTCTCTAATGCCCAGTCTGACGAGAGTCAGGAGGGACAGAGGTACTTTTCTGAAGTAGAGAGCTGTCTTTGCCTTGGCAAGTCCCCACAGGGTATAACAAGGCAAGCATTAAATGCAAAAGTTTGAAGCAAAATTGACTTGGTTATGTTAATAACTAGATGGTCAGCAATAGAGTGAGGAAAGAAGAAAGAGTATTAGAATAGAAGAAAGAGAGAGAGTTAAATTTTTCTTAGCTTTAGTTTGGTAGGGTTTTCCCTTGGGACTATGGCCCATGACCCTGGAGGGGACGGTGCTTTCTTGACTCGGGTGTGATGAGTCCATCCCCTTTCCACTATAGGAACAGCATTATCGGTGGTTAGCAGCACAAGGTAGGGTCCTTCCCGGGCTGACTCGAGTTTTCCTTCTTTCCACCCTTTGATGAGAACGTGATCCTCAGGCTGGTGCTAGTTTACCGGAAATTCTAGGGGTGGTACCTCTGCTAAAAGATTTTTAGTTTTGAGGTAAAGGCCAAGTGGCAGATAAACCAAGTATATAATTTCTAAGAAACTGACCTTTTGTTTTAAATGTGGGGACATCAGCAGTGGACTTTATAGTCCTTGGTGCCTTCTTACTGAGAAATTTCCTTTAGCACCTATTTTTATTAGTTTTTAGACCAAAAAAAGCCAAACACCATTTTATATTTGACAATGCTTCCTGTATGATTTTTATACCAGATAAGCTAAATTTCACCTTTATATTAGTGTGTTATTAATGTTAAACTCAATTTTAATAAAACCTTGTAGACCTATTTATCCAATTTTAATGTCTGACCATAAAGTAAGATTTTTATAGACTCCTTTTAACCTTTTATAATTTTTGTTAAAGAGCAGGTTAGTGCTTTAAGAAAAACCTGTTGTGCTTTTATTTTAATGTCCAGTTCACAGAAAAACTGGATGATACACCTTTAACTTTAGCCAATATGTTTACACACAGAATTACCTTCACAATTAACATTTCAAAACTTGCTTAAACCTTTAAAAGAAAAAATTTTTTAACCTTTTAATGTATGTAAAAATCCACATTCTTATGCCTACTTATAATCCTTTTACCAAAGATGTATTTTACTTTCCTTATACACCTTGCACATTCACTGTTTCTTCAATAGTTTTACATTCAGGAGGCCTAATTACTTTTAAATTATGCAACATTTTTTGCATAAATTCCGTTTTATAACTTTTTTTTCACGACTTTTACAATTCTTTGACATGCCTCAACTTTCTGACTTGTTGCAAACATCCCTTTCTTTAAACAACCAGTTATTTTAGGACAAAAATTTACCATATAACATTCCTTTTTACATAAATTCTCCCCCCCCACCCCTTTTTTTCCCCAGAGATGATAATCATTCTTTTCCAAAGTGAACTTCCTTCATGTCTGTGGACTAGACCGTCTAAGGCCACAAGATTAGAAGTTAGGATAATGCATGTTACACTGTTAACTTTTAGCAAACTTTACTTTTGTTGAAAACCTTGTAAGTTTGGGATTTCAATTATTCTTTGCTTTTAATAAGACCTCATTCAGTCCATATTAACTTAGAATTGGTATAGATGGGTCTTTCCTGATTCTGTAGTACTTTAAGGCTTGGCTGAGTGCAAATATGCCACACATTTGAGCAGACTAATTATTAGGCACTTTTCCTAACTCTGCTTCTACAAGAGTTTCCTTATCACTTACTGAATACCCATTGTGTCTTTTTCCTTCAGTCACCCAGGAGGAACCATCTATCCTCCTGTCCTGAAGGGAGTTCCTCCTAGGTTTGGTCGGACCTTTGTATGGTAATTAAGATTTAGATCCCATGTTAGGAAACCTGCTGGGTTAAGGGAATTTTCAGTGGTTAATGTTAAATCATCTTTTTCTAATGGAATAGCCTTATACTTTAAAGTTCTTAAGTCAGTAAGCTACCTTTTTGCTTTTTTTTTTTTTTTTTTGGACTTAGGATAGTTCTGACCTGATGTGGTGTGCTCACAATGAGGTTTCCTCTAAAAGTTGTTTTTCTACTTTCTTCTGTTAGGAGAGCAGTTGCCGGTACAGATTGAATGCATTTAGGCCATCCGTGGGTTACTGGGTTAAGGATTTTTGATAGGAAGGCTATGGATTGTCAGTGGCCTCAGTGCTTTCGGGCTATGCCCTTATTTACACTGACAACAAGGTGGTATTGGAGTGTTACAGGGTCATAGAGAAGACCTTCAATTATCAATTATAGGTTTTAAATTTACCCTGGCTTTTAAAGGAATAGGATACACTCTTTTCTCTTTACTACTTCTATCTCTCTATCTCTCTTTGACTCTCTGTCTCTCTCTCTCTCTCTGATTTCCTCTTTGTCTTTCTCTTTATCTCTCCGCCTGTCTCTCTCTTTCTCTCTCTCTCTCCCTCTGACTCTCTGTCTCTTTCTCTCTGTTTCTCTCTGATTTCCTCTCCCAGTTTCTCTTTCCTCTTTGCTGGTCTTTCCCTGCCTGTGCCAGCCGCTTATGCTGCTGTTCTCCCCTCTCCTTCCCCTTCCCCTAGGGGAGGGACTGGCTGGAGTGGAGCTACTCTTTCTTCCCCTGAGAAGAAAGGAAAGGGGGGTTCTGAATATTTTTCTTACTACCGGAGGTTTGTGTGAGGTTCAACCCCCACTCATGGGGATTTCTCACCTCTTTTTGAGATTCAACTCCCCCTCATGGGGATTTCTCACCTCTTTCTGAGGTTCAACACCCCGCCCCCCATGGGGATTTCTCACCTCTTTCTGAGTTTCAACCCCCTCCTGAATGGAGATCTCTCACCTCTTTTTAACCTCCAAGACATCCCAACTGAGGAATACTTCACCACCCCCTGTGGCTTTCTTTCCCTAGTCCTGACTAAGGAATGCTTTACCGCCCCTGCGGTTTCTCTCTCCTTGGTATGTCTTAACCAAGGAATGCTTTACCACCCTGCAGCTTTTTCCTCAGTCCCAACCACCAAGGAAATACTTCACCATCTGCAACATCCTTCCTTGGTCTGTACACAGAATCATCATGGCAGTATATGAGGATCCTTTAAGCTAGGTTTCTGGCCAGTTTCTTTCCACGTTGCTGAGGGCTTGGGTTATTCCTCACACTGGGTGGGTCCTGATTTCTCACCCCTGAGGCTGCCACAAGGGGGCGGGCCACGCCTCCTCACGAGAGACAACCAGAGACCGCCCCGGGAAGGGAATGTAATCCCCGGCCAGCCCCGGAATTGTTATAAGTGAAGTTTTGGTGCCACAAAAGAAATAGCACTTGAATATAAAATTTTCTTTTTAATTCTCAGCAAGGCAAGGTACTTCTATAGAAGGGTGTGCCCTTACACATGGAGCAATGGTGAGCGCACACTTGGGCAAGGGAGGGGAAGGGGTTCTTATCCGTGACCATGTGGCCCCTGCTGCTGTGTCCTTCCCCTATTGGTTAGGGTTAGATGGCACAGGCTAAAGTGATTCTGATTGGCTAATTTAAAAAGAGTGACAGGATGAGTGGTTTGGCGGGAAAAATGGTTATGACAGAGCAGGTAATGGGAATGAGTCAGGGTGGAGCAGGTAATCGAAAAAGGTTGCTTTACGAGGAAGTTAAGTTTAAAAGTAGAAGACGAGGAATTGAACATACTGACATATTGATTCTTTGAAAAGAAATTTAGAACTCATGCCTGACAATTCTCAAAAGAGCAGGAACTCTATTATGAACTGCACGTGTGAGGGATCTAGGTCATGTGCTCCTTATGATCTGAGGTGGAAGAGTTTCATCCAGAAACCATCTCCCCCTTCCCCTGTCTGTGGAAAAATTTTCTTCCATGAAACTAGTGCCTGGTGCCAAAAAGGTTGGGGATCACTGTCCTAGATGGTATAACCTACCACACACCTAGGCTATATGGCATAGCGGATTGCTCCTAGGCTACAAATGTGTACAGCATATTACTATACTAAATATTGTAGGCAATTGTAACACAATTGTATTTACATATTATAACATATCTAAACAAGAAATCGTACAGTAAAAATAAGGTACAAAAGATTTTTTAAAATGGTACACCTGTATCAGGCACCTAATAGAACTTGCAGGACTGGAAGTTGCTCTGGGTAAGTCAGTGAGTGGTGAGTGAGTGTGAAGGCCTATGACATTACTACATACTCCTGTAGATTTTATAAACACAGCACACTTCGGCTACACTAAATTTATTTAAAAGTTTTCTTCAACAATAAATTAACCTTAGCTCACTATAACTTTTTTACTTTACAAACTTTTAGGATTTTTTTTTAAACCTTTTGACTCTTTTGTAAAAAGAGTTAGGTTAAAACCCAAACACGGCTGAGCGCGGTGGCTCACGCCTGTAATCTTATCACTTTGGGAGGCTGAGGCAGGCGGATCACCTGAGGCCAGGAGCTTGAGACCAGCCTGGCCAACATGGTGAAATCCCGTCTCTACTAAAAATACAAAAATTAGCCGGGCATGGTGGGGCGTGCTTGTAATCCCAGCTACTGGGGAGGCTGAGGCAGGAGAATCGCTTGAACCTGGGAGGCGGAGGTTGCAATGAGCCCACATTGCACCACTGCACTCCAGTCTGGGTGACAGAGCGAGACTCTGCCTCAAAAGACAAAAAACAAAACCCAAACACATTGTAGAACTGTATAAAAATATTTTCTTTCTTGATATCCTTATTCTATAAGATTTTTATATTTTCAAAATTTTTAATTTTTAATGCTTTTTAATTTTTCAATTTTACTTTTTTGTTAAAAACTAAGATGTTGCAGGTAGTGACTATCTGGGGCTGGTGACACAGGTGGTAAAGGAATTTATCAGGACAACTGTAGGTAAAGAAAGGTAGATTTATTAGAGAAAGTATGAAAATAATGTTGCAAAGTAGCAACGGGCAGCACAGCAGAGAAGGGGCTGTCTGCAAAGAGGCAGGGGCTGTAGAGAAGTTTTATAGGGTTGTACTGAGGGGGCTGCATGGGTCATTGAGTTATCAGGTTGTTTGTGATTAGCCATCTGTCAGAAGAATTGTTCGTTGTTCTTTCCTACCTGGGGCTCCTTCCTCATTGTTGCTTACTTATCAGAACTCCACATAAGACACAAACACACACATTAGCCTAGGCTATATAGGGTCAGGATAATCAGTTTCACTGTTTGTCACCTCCACATCATGTTTGGTTTGGAGGTCTTCAGGGCCAGTAACACACGTGGAACTGAAATCTATAACAATGCCATGTTCTGGAATACCTCCTGAAGGACCTGTCTGAGTTAATCTCTAAGTTAACTTTTTGTTGTTGCTGTTAAATAAGTAGAAGGAATACATTCTAAAATAACAATACAAATACACTATTGTAAATACAAAAGCTAGTAACATTTTCATTACTATCAAGTGTTAGGTACTGTACATAATTATATATGCTGTACTTTTGTACAGCTGGCAGCCCAGTAGGTTTGTTTATACCAGCGTTACCACAAACATGTGAATAATGCATTGCACTATGATGTTATGATGTCACTAGATGATAGGAATTTTTCAGCTTCATTATAATCTTATGGGACCACCTTTGATAACCGTATATCGTTGTTCCAAACATTGTTATGAGGCTCATGACTATAGTTACTTTTCTTCTCCCACTTTCTTATATGTGAGGGGATTTTTCTTGGATCTTTCATGTGAAAACCTTGTCAAAAGCCTGGAAATAAAACCCGTCAAAATATTAAGGTTGCCCTAAGACTAGGTCACCAGCAACTTTTTACTACCAAGTAATCCATACTCACTTCCAGTAATTTGTCAAAATTATCATGTAAGTGTTCTTACCATTTATTATGACTCCAGCAGCTTTTGTTCAAGATACGCTGATCTGTGCTGTTCTTGGCTATGATTCTTTCTCTTCTCCTGTGTCTTTAGATTTTAGGGTGACAGTGTGCCCTGTGATCTGAATTCTCTGATGAGTCTTAGAAAAGTCATGTATTTTTGGTTTATCTTTTTTTCTTGTTTTAGAGTGGGAATGATGACTTGCACACTCTGTTACATGTTGTAGCTGAAAACCAAAGTCTGTGTTCTTAAAATTTGTATATATTTGTTCTGTATTTCCTAATGATCACCTCTTTAATTGCTTAATGAAAAAATACAAGTGACTAGATGGTAGATCTGAGTTTTACAATAACTTGAATTTACTCTAAACATTTTGCTAATGACATTGGCCTATTTAAACGCAGTCTTAGAATTGTTTTTTCCTTGGTATAATCTAGTATGATAGATACTAGGTGATGGAATTCTTGTGAATCCATTTTAAGTATATAATTTAATAAATATTTTTGAGGCATGTGTATGCCAACCTTTGTGCTAGGTGCTTAGGATACAAGGTGGCTTAGACATAGCCAATGTCTTAGTTGTTCCTAAGTCTAATAGAGAGAAAACAAGATTTAAAAAGGTAGCATTGTAGAAATGATAATGATAGAAAACTCCACTTTAGTGTGGAGAAGGAAGCATTAGAGAATATTTACATGAGAGCTGAATTTTGAAGGAGAAATAGGAATTTATCAGACAGACTTGGTAGGAAGGTATGTCCAGGCAGACTAGAATATTTAAAGGCAGTGGAGACTTGAAACAACATGGAGTAATTTGAAGATTGTAGGTGGCTTGTTATTTTTGGACCTTAGACTGTAAGGAAGGTTGTTATAATGAGATATAAACAGTAGGTAGAGGCCAGATCATTCTGAAGAGTTTAGCCATTATCTTTTAGATTTGGGGGATTCAGTGAAAGATTTGAGCAGGTAAGGAAAGCAATCAGATTTGTGTACAGTCAAGTTAAGGACATTGTAGAGTGTGGGCTGAAAGCATGATAAAGCAAAGGACAGAGAAGGGATGATGAGAACTTGGAAAAAATGTTACTATATATAAAAAAAGAGGATGAATTTGGAAGACCAAAAACAAACAAAAAATTAGATTTAGTGGTTAGTTGTGGGGGCAAGGAGGAACCCCAGCTTCCTTCTTTAGAGAGGCTGGGATCATCAACCAAAATGTAATAAATATTATAAGAGTAGATTACTAATTTGATTTTTGACAGGAATGTATCAGTACAATTGCCCACCAAGTGGTGGAATGTATTAATCTGGAATCGAGAGTGTAGTTTGGATTTAAGGTAGAGATTTGGAAGTGATCAATTCATATGTGTTAAAACCATACCAGTGAATTAAATTGCTTAGGATAAATATAAAAATTAGGTACCTTTCTAGATAAAACTCTGGGTAACACCTATATTTAAGGGGTGTTAGGAGAAGAACAGCCAATAAAATGCCTATATTGAATGGAAACTTCCAAAGAGGGAAAGAGGTTCAGAAGAGAATGTGTCTTGGGACCACAAGAGAGGAAAGAAGTAGAGAAGTAATTTTTTAAAATACCATCCAAAGTTTGAACTAACATAAAAAACATGGTTTGACGTCATTATTTGTGTGATGATTTCCTTAACATTTGCAATTTTTTATCCAACAGTTTTTACCACTCCAGAAGCTTTTCTCAGCTAGAACGTGCCTTAACCCTTAATGAATGTTAAATACTCATCATATACTCAGATTTACCTTTTTTTCCTTATAAATAGTACTTTTGTATTTGCATAAGTGGTAGACCAGATTCCTAATCTGTTCGATAGTACTTTTCTTTAAAAGTGATCAGAAAAATTCTTTTTTTGAAATTATAATTTCATTAATGACATAGCAAATACCATATTCACAACCTGGGCAATTAACATCTCTGGAGCTTTAGGGATCAAATTTAATGAAACAGTAATAAGTACTAGGTAATTAAGGATGATTGGGAGGGTAAGTTTTTTGTCGTTCTTTCTAATTAAGTCCAGGGTTTGGATGAGAACACTAGACTCAGGAGAATGTTCCCAGAGAGGTGGTATAACTTGTATGAAAAATTAGAGTCTGATGTGTGTATTGTGGTGTGTGTTTAGGTGAGGGTAAAGGGATTGTGGCTAGAAAATAATAAAAGGCTGAAGACTATAGAAATTTGTTATCATTGTAAAGTTTAGGTAGGGCAGAAAAAATATGTGAAGGTCTTGAAATCTGAAAAGTATAGATTTAATAATAATTTTATCTCATAGGAACTGTAACATATTGATAATGCCCAAAGTCTTTAATAGGTAGTGGAAAAGTTTAACTTTTTTACTTAGGATATTCTATCTAATTAATGGCACCATTAAATATTACTAGCATGCACCATTGGAGAATGAATGCTTTGTAAGTGAATTCTGACTATAACCAATGCAATGGAAACATGTTAGACTAGGAGTTGAGCTCAACCAAGGTTTTAGTTCTCCTCTAAACCGCTAGCCACAGAGTAGGGATGTGTTTTTATTCTTTACTGTGCACCAAATGCCAGCCTGGAGATGCTCAACACTTCTTGGACGATGAAATGAGTAGATGTACTGACAGGTGAATCATTAAACACGAATGGCTTTTTGTTTCTTCATATGTAAAGTAAGAAAGATGACAAGGAATTCTGTTAGGTCATCTTTGAATTTCTTACCTATTTTTATGATAATATGTACTTTGGTACAAGTACCCTGAGAACTTCAAATTAAATTCTTTTGAAAGAAATAAAACATTTTGTTAAATACACATCTTTTAAATGCAAATTGAAAACCAAGTGTCCTTGTATTTCAGAGGCTTTTTAATATAGATAAAATTTAAATTGAGTTCTTTAGCCAAGCTGAATAAATGTACAAGGTAAAAATGCAATCTCTTCATAAGTTTCACAGAGTAAACACTGGAAGTTGCAATAATAAATATGTAAAGTATTTGTTTTTATTACAAATGTAAAGGATTAGAGGTAGTTTAACATTTGGAATGCAGGTATTAAAGTACTGTAATCAAGTTGGAAGAAGCAGTATAAATCTGAAATTTTCTCAGTAACCAGTTGAATACATTTAGACTAGAGAGTGAATCATTTATTTCAGTTCAAAGTTGCAGTGTCTGAGTTGAACCACAGAAGGAATAAAAAAGTCCACATTTGTTTAAGAATAGCAGATAACTGAATTCCAAGTGATAGCCTGTGATTTTCGAGGCAGTCAGAAAAGTTTCACGGAAGCTAAGTGAAGGGAAAGCCAAATGTCAAATGTGGCATTCCTTCATTAAGTAAGCATTTATTGATACCTTGCAGTATTCTAGGCAGAGGGATTGAAGAAGGCTAACCATGATGACCTCTCTAAGGCTATTGAATTTGCCAGTAATACACTTACACTAAGTGGTCCTAGTGAACCTAAATCTCAAGTCTGCTATTTTCTTAATGCCCATTTTCTTATCCAAATAACTTGTACATTAGGCTTGAAACTGCTTTACTTAGATGTTTATTTTTTGTAACTCTAAATATGTATCATTGCTTTTAACCATTTTTATACTATGAAAAGGGATAGCCTTCTGTTGCAATGAGATTTGTGAACGTATATTTTAAAAGAAATATATCAACTAAACATCTGGTTTTGGATACTCTGTATCCTCTCTTCCACTAATTTTTAAAGGTTTTCCTCATATAATCTACTTCTTCGCTGTGGTTCATTTATTTTTTTCCTAATTGGAAGATAGCAAAAGAGTTGGCAGCATACATTTCTATGTGACTTTAAGCATATACAGAAATGTTGCAACTTCAGTCTGATTAGGAATAATAATAAAATAATATAAATACAAATAAGAAATAAAATAGAAGGGGCTCCAAACCTCTTTAAAGTATTTTTCTTTTGTTATACCCATTTTTTTCTTATATGAACTCATTTTTATGATATAGTCTTGTCATTAGGGCAAATCATAGGCTTGAATTAAAAGATCAGTAGACACTACTTTATTTTTTTTAATTTTTGTCAGCCCCCATCTATTAACATATCTTTCCTTCCATTTCTCCAGCCTAGTGCCTTGTAACAATAGGAGCTCTATAAACAGTACTTTTTTTTCCTTTCTTTTTTTTTTTTTTTGAGAGACAGTCTCACTCTGTTGCCTAGGCCGGAGTGCAGTGGCACAATCTTGGCTCACTATAACCTCCACCTCCTGGGTTCAAGTGATTCTCGTGCCTCAGCCTCCTAAGTAGCTAGGATTACAGGCATGTGCCACTACGCCCGGCTGATTTTTGTGTTTTTAGTAGAGATGAGGTTTCCCCATGTTGGCTAGGCTGGTCTCGAACTCCTGGCCTCAAGTAATCCGCCTGCCTCCCAAAGTGCTAAGATTACAGGCATGAGTCACCACACCTAGCTATAAACAGTACTTAAATGGCGAGTTAGCACTTTCTTGTGAATTTCTGTAATACACTCTATTCTTGCCCTACTTTGCCTCCTGGCCAGATTAATTCAGTAGCAGCTACTATTGAAGAGAATTAACCTAGGAGTGAAGTTGAATGGTCTCCTCTTGGTCTTCACTGATATCTTTGTGGGTGGCTCCCCCACTCAGCCTTCTCTGTTTCTACCCCAGCAGAAGATTGGGACTTCTTTTTACAGCCTACAGAGGATGGACATCTAGCTTCACCACTTGGCCTTTGCTGGCAGGGTTGGTGGGGGTGGGCTGCTGTTTTTTTCTGTGGTGGTTAGCTAGAGTGGAGTGGTTATTGTCGAAAAGCTTCTGTCTTGCTAGGCTGCCCGCTTCCTGGATAGAGAGGGCATGCTTTTCTTGGGGCTTTTCTTTTCTGGGTCTCCTCCATTGGCGTTTTTGCGTTGCTGGTGTCTCCAGTATCCAGTCTGAAATACATGAGACAAAAAGAAAACCCAAAGTATTGATCATCATTTTGTTCCTTGGATCCTGAGCTCCCTTGTCAGACTGCCACCTTCTCTCCTTCTTCTGAAAACAGTTTTGCAGGAACATATAATTTAATTTACAAAAGTTATATTATGCATAACCTAAGAAGAGTTGACACTGTAGTTGCTCACTAATTACTTGTTGAATTGAAATCAAAAATAGGTGCGTATTTCTTGAGATATTTGTATCCATCTGAGATCTTTGTGATTTGAGAAAGGAAGAGGTGAGTAAAATAAACACCTAAAGCAGTTCTACCAAATTAATTTTCAAATCAACAATTTCTACACCTTTAGTAAACAATTTATAATTTAGAGGAGGAAAGATAAAAAGTATTATATTGAACAATAACCTCAGTCTTTTAGGATTGTTACATGAAATTCATTTTGGATGATCATTTATCTTTTAATTCTTCTAGTGCTGTAGATTAAATGAGTCTGGTGTTGTATTACTACACTATAGCTCCTTTGTGGAGCCAGTGGAGGCTTTCTATTCTAAACCATAAGTTCTCACTTATTTTGAGGCTGTCCCACACCCTGAAAGATAAAGTTTCAAATGAGTCAGGTGATCTTTTCACAAATGGAATGAGTGCTCAGTTTACATTTTTTTTAATTATACTTTAAGTTTTAGGGTACATGTGCACAACATGCAGGTTAGTTACATATGTATACATGTGCCAAGTTGGTGTGCTGCACCCAGTAACTCGTCATTTAACATTAGGTATATCTCCTAATGCTGTCCCTCCCTGCTCCCCCCACCCCACAACAGGCCTCGGTGTGTGATGTTCCCCTTCCTGTGTCCATGTGTTCTCATTGTTCAGTTCCCATCTATGAGTGAGAACATGCAGTGTTTGGTTTTTTGTCCTTGCGATAGTTTGCTGAGAATGATGGTTTCCAGCTTCATCCATGTCCCTACAAAGGACATGAACTCATCATTTTTTATGGCTGCATAGTATTCCATGGTGTATATGTGCCACATTTTCTTAATCCAGTCTATCATTGTTGGACTTTTGGCTTGGTTCCAAGTCTTTGCTATTGTAAATAGTGCTGCAATAAACATAGGTGTGCATGTGTCTTTATAGCAGCATGATTTATAGTCATTTGGGTATGTACCCAGTAATGGGATGACTGGGTCAAATGGTATTTCTAGTTCTAGATCCCTGAGGAATCACCACACTGACTTCCACAATGGTTGAACGAGTTTACAGTCCCACCAACAGTGTAAAAGTGTTCCTATTTCTCCACATCCTCTCCAGCACCTGTTGTTTCCTGACTTTTTAATGATTGCCATTCTAACTGGTGTGAGATGGTATCTCATTGTGGTTTTGATTTGCATTTCTCTGATGGCCAGTGATGATGAGCATTTTTTCATGTGTCTTTTGGCTGCATAAATGTCTTCTTTTGAGAAATGTCTGTTCATATCCTTTGCCCACTTTTTGATGGGGTTGTTTGTTTTTTTCTTGTAAATTTGTTTGAGTTCATTGTAGATTCTGGATATTAGCCCTTTGTCAGATGAGTAGGTTACGAAAATTTTCTCCCATTTTGTAGGTTGCCTGTTCACTCTGATGGTAGTTTCTTTTGCCGTGCAGAAGCTCTTTAGTTTAATTAGATCCCATTTGTCAATTTTGGCTTTTGTTGCCATTGCTTTTTGTGTTTTAGACATGAAGTCCTTGCCCATGCCTATGTCCTGAATGGTAATGCCTAGGTTTTCTTCTAGGGTTTTTATGGTTTCAGGTCTAACATGTAAGTCTTTAATCCATCTTGAATTAATTTATGTATAAGGTGTAAGGAAGGGATCCAGTTTCAGCTTTTTACATATGGCTAGCCAGTTTTTCCAGCACCATTTATTAAATAGGGAATCCTTTCCCCATTTCTTGTTTTTGTCAGGTTTGTGAAAGATCAGATGGTTGTAGATATGCGGCATTATTTCTGAGGGCTCTGTTGTGTTCCATTGGTCTATTTCTCTGTTTTGGTACCAGTACTATGCTGTTTTGGTTACTGTAGCCTTGTAACATGGTTTGAAGTCAAGTAGTGTGATGCCTCCAGCTTTGTTCTTTTGGCTTAGGATTGACTTGGCAATGCGGGCTCTTTTTTGGTTCCATATGAACTTTAAAGTAGTTTTTTCCAATTCTGTGAAGAAAGTCATTGGTAGCTTGATGGGGATGGCATTGAATCTATAAATTACCTTGGGCAGTATGGCCATTTTCACGATATTGATTCTTCCTACCCATGAGCATGGAATGTTCTTCCATTTGTTTGTATCCTCTTTTATTTCATTGAGCAGTGGTTTGTAGTTGTTCTTGAAGAGGTCCTTCACATCCCTTGTAAGTTGGATTCCTGGGTATTTTATTCTTTTTGAAGCAATTGTGAATGGGATTTCACTCATGATTTGGCTCTCTGTTTGTCTATTATTGGTGTATAAGAATGCTTATGATTTTTGTACATTGATTTTGTATCCTGAGACTTTGCTGAAGTTGCCTGTCAGCTTAAGGAGATTTTGGGCTGAGACAATGGGGTTTTCTAGATATACAGTCATGTCATCTGCAAACAGGGACAATTTGACTTCTTCTTTTCCTAATTGAATACCCTTTATTTCCTTCTCCTGGCTAATTGCCCTGGCCAGAACTTCAACACTATGTTGAATAGGAGTGGTGAGAGAGGGCATCCCTGTCTTGTGCCAGTTTTCAAAGGGAATGCTTCCAGTTTTTGCCCATTCAGTATGATATTGGCTGTGGGTTTGTCATAGATAGCTCTTATTGTTTTGAGATACGTCATTTCACAAATGCAATTGGAGTGTTCAGTTTACATTTTTAAAAGTACTTTTAAAAAGTACTTTTAGGCCGGGCGCGGTGGCTCACGCCTGTAATCCCAGCACTTTGGGAGGCCGAGGCGGGCGGATCACGAGGTCAGGAGATCGAGACCATCCCGGCTAAAACGGTGAAACCCCGTCTCTACTAAAAATACAAAAAATTAGCCGGGCGTAGTGGCGGGCGCCTGTAGTCCCAGCTACTTGGGAGGCTGAGGCAGGAGAATGGCGTGAACCCGGGAGGCGGAGCTTGCAGTGAGCCGAGATCCCGCCACTGCACTCCAGCCTGGGCGACAGAGCGAGACTCCGTCTCAAAAAAAAAAAAAAAAAAGTACTTTTACTTTCAGCTTGAGTCACTCTTCCCAGGCTTTATCCAGGTGGCTTAGGTTAGCTAGGGCTGTGTCCCGTGATGTACAGTCCCTTTACACAATGTTGGAGATAAAACTTGGCCTCATGTCTTGCTTCATATTCCCACAGCCTCTCAGAGTCCTGTGGACAATGACTAGGGAGACAAACCATGCAAGCAACATATTTTTTAAAAGGTCAGTTTCAATAATGACTTAATTTTAAGTTATAATTTCATGGAACACTTTCATCACTTTCTTTTTCACAGTATTTTACCCAGTTATTAATTAATCTAAGTAGTGTATCTTCGGGAGGTAAGACAGTTATTTCCATTTTATAGATGAGGAAATCAAGAAAAGTCATTTAGTTTATGACTTATCCAAGAGCATTCAGTGCATTGAGATTGGAAGTGGAACAACAGACCAAGATTGGAACTCTAAATGTTTTCTTTAACCACCATCCTGTGCTTAGCCCAATAGACCGTGCCCGTAACCAAATTAAATTTATATATCTTTCACAATGAGAGCAAGGGGGAAGAAAAGATTATCCAATTAGAATTTTGTTATAGACATGGTCTGTAAATATCTAATTTTTCAGTCTGATGCATCAAGAATGTTAAATCATTATCATATCTCCTGTTTCATATGTAGCGTAATAAAAAGCCCGTAATACAAGACAATAATTTTAAAAAAATATTTTCTTGTTAAGAAATATGGCGGTTATTTGAAAATAAACAATTCCATTTAATTTTTTACAATGTAAAGAAAAATGTGATACGTATATAACAAACATAAATATAGTACATATACTTGTCATTAGATATATTCTATATCTGCACTTTATATATACATACACAATATAAGACACTGAAAATTTGGGATAGGTTTATAAACTATCGATGCTACCATGTGAAAGAATACTGTTGTGTGAAATAATTGGAATTTGGGAACAGGCTTATTTAATTTTCATTTCATCTTTGCCTTCCCCCTTAGTTTAAATGCATTTAAATATTTATCTAAATACAGTGTCAGATTGGGCTGCTATAATAAGAATACCATAGACTGGGTAACTTAAACAACAGATACCTACTTTTCATAGTTTTAGAGGATGGGAAGTTCAAAATTAGGGTGCCAGCATGGTCAGGTTCTGGTCCTGGTTTCCATATGGCAGCCTTCTTGTTGTACCCTCACATGGCAGAGAGAAAGGAAGCAAGTGTTATTGAGTCTCATATAAAGGCATTAATCCCATCATGAGGATTCTACTCTCATGACTTAATTGCATCACAAAGGCCCCACCACCTCATACCATCTCTTTGAGGGTTAGGGTTTGAACACATGACTTGAGGGAACACAAACATGC
The DNA here is from genome assembly GCF_000001405.40 of Homo sapiens. NCBI lineage: Eukaryota > Metazoa > Chordata > Mammalia > Primates > Hominidae > Homo > Homo sapiens. The sequence goes on along the minus strand of NC_000006.12, from coordinate 88,713,069 downwards.
AGCCCATAACATATAGATATAGTTTCTTTTTAGAGTAGTTTGTTATATGTTGGGGAAAAGTTACCACTCAAAATTAAGGGCCTGAATTCTAGATTCATCTCTTATTCTGCTAAATATGTTGATTATGGAAGCACATTTGCAGGATTGTCTTTGAGAGTTAGCATCCTGATGTAGCAATTCATTTGTATTGTAACATCATGGAGATTTCTTTTGTGATTTTTCTTTTTCACACTTTCTCCTATTCCTGAGATTCTCTTTTTGCACTCTATTAAAATTCAAGTCAACATCAGATAAAGCTGGGTCATAATGTATTGCTTTTTCAGTCAGCGGCTTCTGTTTTTCACATTGAGTATTTTCTTTAAAATGACTCAGTTTGAGGTGATACTAAAGAAGTTTAAAATTAGAGACCATAGCTCAGTTATCTAAGATTAGCAATGCCTATAATAAAACTAAAGTATTATCAGGCACACCAGCTTGTGCTTACAGTCCTAGCATTTTGGGAGGCCAAGGTAGGAGGATCACATGAGGACAGGAATTTGAGGCCAGCCTGGTGGGCAACATGGTGAGACCCTATCTCTACAAAAAGTAACCAGAAAATTAGCTGGACATGGTGATATGTGCCTGTAGTCCTAGCTACTTGGAAGGCTGAGGTGGGAGGATCGCTGGAGTCCAGGAATTCAAAGCTGCAGTGAGCTATGATCACACCACTGCATTCCAGTCTGGATGACAGAGTGGGACTCTATTTTTAAAAAACAACACAACCTATTTATTATACCTTTTATTTCCCGAGTCCAAATTAATTCTTCCTATGTTTGAAGTCCCATAGTATTTGATTATTAGCATTTATTTTATTTTGCCTTATATGAGCTGTTTACTTGATCCTCACAGTGTGTAATGAAGTGTTTTACACTTTGCCTATTCTCAAGTACATATTTTAGATTAAATTTATCCCCCTAAAGGAAAGATCAACATGTGACCCCTTTCTGATATCTGGTCCTTTGGTGTGGATATGTTGATTTTGTTTTTATTCCAGCTTGCTTCTCTTTAGACTATCAAATTATAGATTCATTTTTAGTTTTACTTTCTATTAATAGTGTACTTCACCTAGTTAGATTGTTTTCCCAGTAGTCTTAATTTCTCATGGTAAAAATAGATTATCATTTCTCAATTACTTCTAAATATAAATTCCATTCTAATAAATGCCATTTAGATATCCAATCCAACTATAACAGTGCCTACCACACAATAGGTGCTCAAAAAATGAGTAAATGGGTGAATGAGTGAACTAACAAATGCTCCTTACTGCCTGTCCATTTAATAGTTTATCCGTGTAGGTATTTATCAGTATGGTTGCTATGTTCATGTATTTGCAGTTACTAAAAATTCTTAAACTCCTTAGCGGTAAAGGCTGACTCTCTGCAAGTGGGCGTGAACATGCTACCTCAAACCTATTAATTTAAGATGTAGCAAGTTAATATTATCCAAAGTACATTGATAGTCTAAGACCCACTAAGCAGAATTGCATGGAATTGTTATATAGATTAAATGAGGTATAATGTGTGTTTGTAAAGGGAGTCTATATAACTGTAAAGTACTACACCAAGATTAGTTTGGTTAAGAACACTTTTATTAATATGGAACTAATAATACATGTTATATAATATTACTGAACAGTAACTACATTTCTTAGAATATGCAGTGTATGTTTGAGCAAATAGACTGGATTGTATAAATTGTCAAGATTGGAACTAAGCTCTTCACTAGTATCTAATTCTTGGTAAGGTGTCTTCAGGTGTTCCTAAATAATTGGAAGATGTAATTATGAGAAAAGTTATAAATGAATAATAACTAAGTATGTACTGTTGACAGATCATTATTGAAAAGCAAATTTCTAGATGTCAGCACTACAATTTAAAAGTGAAGCTTTTTATTTTGAATGAAATATTAGTAGTTTGGGTTTATTTGCACAAAATATTCAAAGACTGGATGTTGAAAGATTAAATTTGTCTCTAGAGATTATTTAAGAACAAGACTAGATTTTCTGTTCATTTGAAATTAGAAATGAAGGAAACAAGTAAAATGGTTTATAGTTGAAAACATATTGTGAATTGGAAAGGATTTCCAGTTCCACTCAAGAAAACATTTAAGTCCATTAGTAATGTCTGGCCTTTTAATTTTAAGCCAAGAACAATTTACTAAAGATAGTCTAACTTTAAAAAAAATCACTGTGAAATATGTTTCTTGGTTTACAATTTTGAGTGTTTGGAAAGCTATATAATTTTTTTCTTACCTCATACAAAAAGAGAGCATTTGTCATTTTTCTATAAAATTTTATTTTCACTGATGTCATTTTGTTATGCTCCTTACATTTGTACAATAGGATAGTACAAAGTACTGTGGTCTTATTATTCAATGGAAATGTGGCCTTTCAGGGATCATTTGCTTTCTAGAACTCTATTTACCAGTAGTTATGAACAGGTTGTGCTTCACCGTTAGGTTGATGTGGTTGCAAGGCAGCATTTTAAAAAGAGAAGAGTTTTAAATATCATGCTTGGAAAAGATCTGAAGGACAGTTAAAATCTAATGTCTAATAAATAACCATTTTAATGCAGATATCATTTTTAAATTGTTATATTTCGTTCCCTTTCTTTAGTATAATAAGTCCATTAGTCATGATTTCTTTTAAGAACTACTTAGGATTTTAGGCAGATAAAGGCAATTGTCTTAACTGCTAGACAACATACAGTATATTTAAATACATATGTATGATAAAACCTTACACTTTTAGATCAGACCCTTTTGGAAGTCCAAATGTGGTGTGCACACTGGTTGAATAGAAATTCACTATTTTTTGTTTGTTTGTTTGAGAGACAGGGACTTGCTATGTTGCCCAGGGATCCTCCAGCCTCAGCTTCCGGAGTAGCTGGGACTATAGGTGCACTCTACTGCACCCAGCTCCAAAGTTCACCTCTGTATTGACTTTGTGGAGCAACTTGCTTAACAAATCAATAATTATACATACATTTCAAAAAATATGTTTAGCCTTGCTAAGAGAAAAACAAAATCTTTCAAAGAATCATTAAGCAATTTCAATTGCATTTGTTTATATACAAACAATACACTACTTACAGTTTCTAGCATAACTTCTTTGTATATGCTCATTTCTGTAACAGTACAAGGCTGAATGAGGGAAACATATAATAGAGAAATGGCAAGCTGACTGAAAGATAGAGTTAAAATAGTTTCTTAATTCTGTTTGTACTTTCCAATATGGTAGCCACTAATGATGTGTAGCTGTTGAGCACTTGAAATGTGACTAGACTGTAGTGAGATGTGCTGTAAGCATAAAATAACACACCACATTTTGAAGATTTGATGCAAAAAGAAAGAATGTAAAATATCTCACTGATAACTGATATGTATTGCTATGTTGAAATAATGTTTTAGAACATACAGTTAAATACAATGTATTATTAAAATTCATCTTTTTTAATATGACTACTACAAAATCTAAAATTATATATGTGCTTGTATTTCTAGATAGCACTATTAAACAGCACTGATCTGTATGATCTTAAACATTACAATACAATTATATATTGGATAACTGCAGCTTTAGCTTGCGTTCTAAAAGGAGTTCAGATGTTGTACCTGTTTTGGCCTCATTTTCCTTCTTTATATTCTCTCTCTCAGCCTCGGTCCAGTTTGAGAGCTGTTAGTGTTCCAGCATAAGATTCTTTTCTTAATCCTCCTTTTTTTTTTTTGAAGACTGAGTCTCACTCTGTCACCCAGGCTGGAATGCAGTGGTGCAATCTTGGCTCACTGCAACCTCCTCCTTCCGGGTTCAAGTGGTTCTCCTGCCTCAGCCTCCTCAGTAGCTGGGATTACAGGCGCATGCCAGCATGCCTGGCTACTTTTTGTATTTTTAGAGACAGGGTTTCACCATGTTCGTCAGACTGGTCTCGAACTCCTGACCTCATGATCCCTCCGCCTCAGCCTCCCAAAGTGCTGGGATTACAGGTGTGAGCCACTGCACCTGGCCAATCCTCATAATATTTTAAGATGATTTCATCTTCCTTCCTCTAGAGGTCACAGACATTGGAAAGTCATTCCCTAAGTGAATATGAATAATACTATGTGTTTCGAAGAGGTGAAATGTGTGGTCTAGCTACCTTTCAGATTCTCCTTTTCTCTCAGAGGAAGGCTTTTGCCTGCATGGTTGTATTGTCACAATCTGTAACTTATAGTTCAGATTCAAAAACCCCTTTTCTTACTGGAAAACGTATACAACAACAGGGAAAATTAAAAAATTAAAAAAAATAGCATAAATGCCATTTTTAGAAGGCAGAAAAAAGTCTGCAAACCCCAAAGTGCTACTTAAAGTGATTGAAACCCAGCAGAGCCATGGGTAAAACAGCACTGCCGGGCAGAGAGCTGAGAGGCCAGCGTGGTGACAGATTTCAGAAAGCACCAGCACTAAGGGACTACCTAAAGGCCTGGCACCAGCCCTAAAGACCAAAGGCTGGAGCTGGAGCTACCATGGTCAAAGCTGAGATCTGGCATTAGGCAATAGCCACTTAGTCAGGGGAAGGAGGAGAGAGAAACAGAAGGTGTGGGAAAGTATCTAGTAGGATCAGACTTCAGCCAGCAAACAGAGATACATTTTCTGAAGTTCAGGGGTCATCTTGTAGAGTAGGGCTGTTACTCTTGGGACAATGGTCAGTGAGCTAACTAGGCAACCCCGGGGAGCTAAGCTGGCTGCAGAAGCCCTCCTGGACCTAGTGATGCAAAAAACTAATTTGAAAAAGATAGTTTCACCTGTGGCATGGAAAAGAGAGCCCTTGAAGATTGGAAAAGGCTGCCTTTATCCCTCCTTTCCCCAGCCCTTCCCTCTCTGGAACCTCCTACCTGGTCCAGGAAAATCTAATCTTTTCAGCCAGCTTTGTAACCATAAGTTACAAAGTGTATTCATATGGCATCAGTTCAAGCATACTATTAAAACAGAAGAAAAACACATGAGAAAGAAGCATACTGGCAGATGAATTCTTCTCTGGTCCACTCCTCGAAACTGAGTGCGCTAGTGCTTCTGCTTGTCTACTTAGATCTTGATTTTTTTGGTTTCTTTTATTAAAACATAATATTTTGAAGAGTAGAATCTGTTGTTCCAGCACAAAATGTAGTATCTACATCCTAGAAGGCCTTTTGTACTTTAGAGATCGTGTGAATGCTTTGGGTAATAGCATTTATCATGATTGGAAAAGGATTGCCATCAGTCTCTCTAGATTAGGAAAAAGTGGTCTCAGAATGGTGGATTTTTTACAGTTTGCCTTTTTTTTTTTTTTTTAATGTTAGGGAAGCTATGAAGTGTGCTTATTATTGCCAAATTCACCTACTCAAGGCTACTTTATGCATAGTGTGTGGCATTCACCCATGAGTTTCAGGCAGGGAAACAGGCACTGACATTAAGGATCCCAGACAGTTTGCTACTTTGAAGCATTAAATGGGTAGTTACCTGTTCAATTTTTTCTGCCTTTTTACTTAGGAGACTTTTCATATGTTGAAAGCACAAAGAACCAAGTGTAATAGTGTTCACATCTTTTCTAGATAGCATGTTCCTTTCAGGTGAAGGCTCAAGACCTGTATACTCCCTCCCCCGCCCCACCCCTCCACCCCCAAAAGAATAAAAACATACTCCAAATTGCATGTGATTTTAGGTGGTTTGAAGATCCTTTAAAGCTTCTCCATGGGCCCTGAGTTAATAGCTCCCATTTTAAAGAGTATACTTTTTTTTTCTTCACACAGTGGAATCTTTTGGACTTCTTGTTTCTAGAGGGTCAGAAAGGCAGGCTCTGGATTTCTGATGTCATCTTTTCAGTTAGTTGTTATATTTAAAATTGGATTTACAATTTACTCATCTTATTGACTGATACAATAAAATGTAAATGATTATTAGTGTTTTGCTTATAAATTGCTTGACTAATTTTTGCCTACTATCTAAAACATTTGCCAAAATTTCTCAAATAATCAATGCTAAGCTTAATTCATCACTGTTAAGTTTAATTCATCACCTTCTTCCTCTTTAAAGGAATTGACTTCTCTTTGTGTAGTCATATTAACAACAGGTATTTTAATGTCTTCGTCGTTTGATGAAGGATTGGCAGACCTAAATATATACCAGTTTGGTATTATTTAGTTTTAAAGTAATGATTCGTGTGATAGGTTCTTGCTGGTTTTTAAAGTGTGTATCTAAAACCATTTATGAGTAAATTTTTATATAGGTAATTTAATTCCAAAAACTATGTCAAGCTAAGTTAAAGAAGTTATAAAACATTTATTTGTGTCTTTTAGACATAGAAAGTTGTTTCACTTTATTTTAAGCTTCCTTGATATTTGCTTAAGTTACATTTTTACCTTGTGAAATAGTTGGAAACAAGCATGCCATTTTCAGGTATTACAGTAGAATTCTATTTGAAAAAGTGCTAGTCGAAAGAGTTTTTTTTCTAACTTTCAGATTGCTGCTTGGAACCCTTTAAATTACAGAATCATATTAATGTGCCTATGTTACCTGATATCTGACAAGGAATCTATTAGTGCTCTTCCTTATAGTGCCAGTTCTTTGTATCCCTAAGTTATTTATATAAAATAGATAAATTTACAGTGTCTTTTTTTCTTCCCACTAGTCATGTGTTTTATCTAATAGTAAAGATTATACCTTGAAAAATAAAATACAGAGGGACCTCTATTTTCTTGTAAAATTTATCTGATCTCAGAGACAACACCTTGCTTTACCTCATTTTACCACCAAATACAGAGTTATTTCTTTTCTACCAAAAAAAAGCACTTCAATGCATTGATGACATACTTATCTCATTGATGCATATTCATTCTAAGACTTGTCTCATGATGCTTGCTTGCTGCTGCTGATTTGCTTATCTTAATTTTTTCTTAAAGTCATGAGAACAATTTTTGTGTTTTTGGACTCAAGGAATATTGGCAAATTCAGTTTTTGCTTGGCTTCTTAACTGAAGTCTCTTTATTGTTGGGATCTCTTATGGTATTCTACTCATTTCTCTTTCCTTCTCTACTCTCCATTCTTCCTACTGCCCCAAATAATTCACATATAATCACATTAGACTCCTGACACAGAAGTGTTAGTCTTAGAGAGGCTCTTTTACATATCAACCCCATTTTGAGTATCACCTGCTAGAAAGTGAAAGGAGGCTCTGAGTTTTTGAGTTCCATAATAATAACAACCAAACTTCAGAAAATGAAGTGGAAAATTTCAGTTTGACCACAGCAATAAATTCACTTTATCTGTGCTGACCATAGTCAGAACATTTGCAAAGTGATGTTTCTTGACTCTTATACCACAGATGACTTCAGATGTGTTAGTACCAGCTAAGGATGTAATACCACAGCATTTAAAAATTTTGCATGAATACCTCTGGTTTCTTTTTCTTGAACTAAATTAAGGAAGAATTTTAGGAAGCTGTTAAGCTTCTTCATTACATATTTCTATTTATGCTTCATCTGTCATCTCATTTATAGGAATCCTTCCTTAAATTTCCCTAAGACCAGGTAATCTTTATCTTGTTCAGATCATGTCAGAACTTTAGCTGTCAGTTTTGGTTTTGCATACCAAAATATTTTAGGGAAAAGTAATCTACATATAAGTTTGCTTCATATTCTTTCACTAAAAAATCTGTATTACATTTCTCAAGTATGTTTTAGACTGACATTATACCACTGGTTAGTTTTTCTACAAGGAGATATGTGTCATTTTTTGTTTGTGTTGCTTTTTCTTATCTACCGAGCAACCATTGATCACCTGCCATGTGTCACACACTATGCTTAGAGGCTTGGGATTATGATATAAAATGTCTTATGATGACACTTGACAGCTTTTGATAAGAGACTCTTAAAATATGAAATTTTTATCAGTGGTTTCAATGTTGAGTCATAGTGCATCTAAAGGAATTCCATAAAACCAGCAATTTAGTGTTAGGGTTGAGAAGTCTTTAGTAATGAGAAGACTACTTTACTACATGGTTCATGTGAGCCTGTAATCAAATTTACCAGTTTTTTTTTTTAGGTTTCTTCAAACTTGCTGCCCTTTAAGATGATGAGCTCCCATGAGTTGGGGGAGCTCTACCTGGTCCAGAGTCTGACATATCCTATAAGTAATATATAATATGATCAATTAATGGATGACTCAAAGAGGGTGAAGATGGGAAAGAGCCAAGATGAATAGAAGTTTGGCCTAGTTTTCCTCCCCTGTTGTTGCCTTTCTCTTTTTTTCTCTATTTCCCTTTTTGAGAAGCAGACCATGTTGAATGAAGATACCCTCTGAAGAGGTTGGATAGAGCTTTTCAGGCCCAAACTGATTTTATCACTTAGATTTGATTATGTTCTGGGAGATTATCCTTAACCAAACTTCTTAATTATTATTTGTTAATGAATTTGGGGAGTATCCATGATTTATTAAGTGGAAAAAAATTAAGATGCTAAATGAAACATTTCATATCTTCTCATTAGGTTAACACACACTTAGATAAAAGTTTCATGTCTCTTTGATCATAAAGGAGAGTGAAATGATTCACTCCTGTCTTGATCATATTGAATATCATAGGAAGGAAAAAGAGAAGATTATTAATAGTTGCATGACATACCTTTTATTGTTTGGCTTGTTATGGGCAGGTATTACTCTGGTAATTAAACAAAATCAATAAAATACATAAAATTTAAACAAATCACAGCAACAAAACAAAGGATTGAAGTCTGTCTTTTTTTTTTTTTTTTTTTTTTTTTTTGAGACAGAGTCTCGCTCTGTCACCCAGGGTAAAGTGCAGTGGTGCTATCTCGGCTCACTGCAAGCTCCACCTCCTGGGTTCATGCCATTCTCCTGCCTCAGCCTCCCGAGTAGCTGGGATTACAGGCGCCCGCCACCACGCCTGGCTAATTTTTTTGTATTTTTAGTAGAGTCGGAGTTTCACCACGTTAGCCAGCATGGTCTTGATCTCCTGACCTCGTGATCCGCCCGCCTAAGCCTCCCAAAGTGCTGGGATTACAGGCGTGAGCCACCGCACCCGGCCTGAAGTCTCTCTTTTAATATAAGCAGTCACACTGGCCTCTATGCAAGTTTGCCTATGTACAACACAATATTAGATATATTAGAAAGAGGCCAAAGCTTGCCAAGCTTAAGGTGGGTCCTGGTATATCCTTCCTTGAAACAAGGTACCTAATAATCTACATTAGCTAAACTGAGAGATACCACATTAGTGATTCTTTCCAGATAAAGTGGTTCATCAGCTTCCCCTGGAAAGAATTGTGGCATTACTCATGCTTGTTTACTTATTTATTTATATTTTATTTTTCAAACTTTTATTTTAGATTCAGGATGTACATGTGTAGGTTTATTACCTGGGTATATTGTATGATGCTGAGGTTTGAGATATGGACAATCCCATCACCCAGGTACTGAGCATAGTACCCAACAGTTTTTCAACCCTTGCCTGCCTCCCTTCCTCCTTCCTTTAGTAGTCCCCGTTGTCTGTTGTTGCCATCTTTATGTCTATGAGTACCCAGTGTTTAGCTCTCACTTAGGAGAACCTGCGTTTTCTGTTCCTGCGTTAATTCTCATAGGACAATGGCCTCCAGCTATATCCATATTGCTACAAAGGACATGATTTTGTCCTTTTTATGGCTGTGTAGTATTCCATGGTGTATGTGTACCACATGTTCTTTATCTAGTCCACCATTGATGGACACCTAGGTTGATTCCATGTCTTTGGTATTGTGAATAGTGTCACAGTGAACATGCAAGTATGTGTGTCTTTTTGGTAGAATGATTTGTTTTCTTTGGATACATCCCCAGTAATGGGATTGCTGGATCAAATGGTAGTTCTGTTTTACGTTCTTTGAGAAATTGCCAAACTGCTTCCTACAGTGGCTGAGCTACTTTACATTCCTCCCAAGTGTAGAAGCATTTCCTTTTCTCCATAGACTTGCCAGTATCTGTTGTTTTTTGACTTTTTAAATAATAGTTGTTCTTACTGGTGTGAGATGGTATTTCATTTTGGTTTTGATTTGCATTTCCCTGATGAGTAGTGATGTGGAGCATTTTTTCATATGTTTGTTGGCTGTTTATGTGTCGAATTTTGAGAGATCTCTACTCATATCTTTTGCCTATTTCTTAATGGGATTATTTGGTTTTTGCTTGTTCAGTTGTTTCAGTTACTGATAGATTCCGGATATTAGACCTTTGTTGGATGCATAGTTTGCAATATATTCTTCTATTCTGTAGGTTGTTTACTCTGTTGATAATTTCTTTTGCTTTGCAGAAGCTCTTTAATTAGGTCCCGCTTGTCAATTTTTGTTTTTGTTGCAATTGCTTTTGAGGACTTAATCATAAATTCTTTCCCAAGGCCAGTATCTAGAATTGTGTTTCCTAGGTTTTCTTCTAGGATTCTTATAGTTTGAGGTCTTACATTTAAGTCTTTAATTCATCTCGAGTTAATTTTTGTTTATGGTAAAAGATAGGGGTCTAGTTTCATTCTTCTGCATATGGCTAGCCAGCTATCCCAGGACAATATATTGAATAGGGAGTCCTTTCCTCATTGCTTATTTTTGTCAACTTTGTCAAAGATTAGATGGCTGTAGGTGTGCAGCTTTATTTGAGTTTTCTATTCTGTTTCACCAGTTTATGTGTCTGTTTTTGTACCAGTATCATGTGGTTTGGCTACTGTAGCCTTGTAGTATAGTTTGAAGTTGGATAATGTAAAGCCTTCATCTTTGTTCTTTTGCCTAGGATTGCTTTAGCTATTCAGGTTCTTTTTTGGTTCCATATGAAGTTTAGAATAGTTTTTTTCTAATTCTGTGAAAAATGATGGTAGTTTGATAGGAATAGCATTGAATCTGTAGATTATTTTGGGCAGTATGGCCATTTTAATGATATTGATTCTTTCAACCTGTGAGCATGGAATGTTTTCTATTTGTTTGTGTCATCTGTGATTTCTTTTAGTCATGTTTTATAGATCTCCTTGTAAAGACCTGTCACCTCCTTAGTTAGATGTATTCATAGGTTTTTTTGTGTGTGTTTTTTGTGGCTATCGTAAATGAGATTTTGTTCTTGATTTGGCTCTCATCTCGAGCATTGTTGGTGTATAGAAATGCTACTGATTTTAATACCTTGATTTGTATCCTGAAACTTCACTGAAGCCCAAACTTATTAAAACAATGTCTCTACAGCATGAGAATTAGAAACAAAGAGCCAGAGAAAGTGAAGTTTGATTACCAGTTGTACTTACAATCTGTGTGCCTTTAGATAAATTGGTCATTTCCATTAGCTTCCATATCTATTAAATGAATATAATCATGGGACCTAATTCATGGCATTCTTTAAAAAGATTAAATGACAATCCTAAATTCATAATACTAAAAGAATATTCAAATTAAATTAATAGCAGAGAGAAAAGCAATGTAATATAAAATTATACTTAACACAGAGCCTTGCATATTGAAATTCTCAATAAATAATTTTTTGTTGTTGCATTTGTAATTATCAGTACTAATTTACAGAAACATATGCTTACTAATATATGCTATATATATAAATATACACACGCATATATAGGATAAAGTACACACATACACATACATGCTCAGGGCTGCCATTTAGACCATCTTATTTGTAATCTAACTACTCAGGAAACTTAATTAGTTATCAGAAGTTGGCTTTGTGAAAATGTGATCAAAGAAAAAGAGTTAGATGATCCTGGAGGATAGTTCATCCAGGCTTTAGTAGAGCTTGGAAAATTAGGCCTTCCACATTACTACATACCTTTCCAGCATTCATGTTACTCATCTTTGCTAATTATATCAGTGAGTCTCTGCCTTCCCCTCTATCCATCTACCTTCTTCTTCTTCTTCTTTATTCTTTCTTCTTCTTCTCTTCTTTCTTCTTCTTCTTCCACTTCTTCCTCTTCTTCCATACGTAACATTCATACATACATTCTTCTTTCATGCATATACCATTTGAACTCTGACAGATTTATATTTTTGAACTCTTGTTTGTCATTAACCATGAACTTCAATATTTCATGCAAGGCAATTAATTTTTGCTTCCCTTTTTAATATCATGTATTTTCCAAATATGTATACCATGGTTTTTTAATGCATGCAACTAATTTAAACATCAAGTAAGCATGTATATTATTTCATTTAATCTTCAAAACATCTTTGTGAAATAAGTCATATCTATTCATCCAACAAAAATACTGAGGCTAAATAGGAGTTAAATGAGTTGCCTGAAGTTACATAGTTAATAAGCACCACAGTTAGGAATCCTGTCTACTCCATGATTTCAGGCCCACCTTTCCACAGCTTCACCACAACCTGAACAGAAAGGTCCTAGAAATCCCCATTTATGAATCATCTCTCTTAGGATGGATTACTTCTATAAATATGTTCATTTTGTAGTGGTTTTTACTTGACTCAACTTCATAATAACCTTTCCTGACCTTGTAACTGCCCCCCCTTATTAACTGGCATAATGGAAGAAAATAAGAGATTACAGATCCTTGAGAAAAGAAAGAAAAAAGAATGTCGCAGGTGGGACGGTATCTAATAATTGGAGGACAGCTTTAGCAAGGAGGAGATGAGGAAGGAAAACTGAGAATATATGTCTAGAAATAACAGGTGAATTAAGGGTGGAAAAACCTGGAGATCAAGATTGGATGTTCTCCATTCAATTAGAAATGAAAGTTTGGGGAATAAAGAAAGGGATGAATATGAGAGATAAGGAAACTTGGAGGAAGGAGGCAGTCTGTAACAATTTCTGTGGGAACCTCAGCATTGAATCAAGCAGAGAAGTGTGTTTGAAGTTGTTGATAACCTTGTGCTTTAGGAATAGATTTTTCTGGCCATTTTTTTATTGTGATAAGATCCGTGAACCATGAAATTTACCATTTTAACCACCTTTTTTCTGTCATGACAGCCTACTATTCAGCATTGAAACCATTTTCAAATGTACAAATCAGTGGCATTAAGTGCATTATTAATTTCCTGCCACTATTTTCACTTTCCATTTCCAGAACTTTCTCATCATCCCAAACAGAAACTCTGTAGCCATTAAACAGTAACTCCTCATTCCTCTCTCTTCTTCACCCCTGGTAACCACTATTCTATTTTCTGAATTTGTGAGTTTGCATATTCTGTATACCTTATATGATTCAAACCATACAATATTTGTCTTTTTGTGTCTGACTTATGTCACTTAGCATAATGTTTTCAAGTTTTATCCATATTATAACATGTCAGAATGTCATTCCTTTTAAGGCTGAATAATGTTCCATTGTAGGTGCATACCACGTTAAAAAAATCCATTGTGTTTTTTTGTTTGTTTGTTGAGACAGGGCCTTGCTCTGTTGCCCAGACCTGAGTACAGTGGCACTATCATGGCTCACTGCAGCCTCAGCCTCCTAGGCTCAAGTGATCCTTTTACTGGGACTACAGGCGTGTGCCACCATGCCTGGGTAATTTTTTATTTTTTGTAGAGACGAGGTCTCACTGTGTTATCAGGCTGAACTTAAACTCCTGGCCTCAAGCAATCTTCTTAATTCAGCCTCCAAAAATGTTAGGATTACAGGCATGAGCCACCGTGAAAAATTTATTATTGATGGGCATATGGGTTGTTTCTGCCTTTTGGCTACTGTGAATAATGCTACAGTGAACATTGGTGTACAAAATAATCAATTTTAAAACTACAGTAAAAATCTTTTATGAAATTGCTGTTTTAATTATTGTTTCATACTATTTAAGTCATTCGGAAAGTCTGATAAATTTGTGTGAGGAAAAGAGAGTATTATATGACTACTTTTCACATTTTTGCTGAGCATATTCTAAGGTTGTGATGACCATAAACTGCTTCAGAAGTTCATCATCTAATAGAATGGAAAAATATTATTATTATTAGATCTCTGTCTCACTTTTTGGGAATAATCTAATTAATTTCACCACGAGGGTAAGTGAGACTTTAAGTCACTTATAAAGAGTGATCCTAGTCAGCTATGTAATTGTTTATACTCATCATTTTAAGACATTTTAGAGTTATGCGTACTACATAACATTGCCAGCGCTGTGCACTGAGAGTTACTTTATTAATGGACATCTCATGCTTTCTCCTGTTATCAGCTCAGCACATGAGATTCTAGAACTTTGCCTTGAATGCTTAGAATAGAACTTAGTCATGCTACGGAGGTTGAACTCCCTCATACTTTATGTTAACTTTTAACTTTTAGTTGAACAATGCATATATCTAGGATAAGTGTAGTTATTTATAAACAAAAAACTTAAGACTGACAATATAGCCTTCTAGTTAATCGCTTTTAAATTTGAAGTTATTAAAATAGTTTTAGTATATATTATTAGTATAAATGTGTTTAGAGCTGATATCAAAAGAAAAGATAAAATAAATTGTAATAGCTGAAATTATTTTACATGAGATACTCAGCTAAGTAAAAAGTTTGTTCAAGGCCTTTTACAAATGATAGCTAGCCAGTAGTTACTCTGTTTGAACACAAGAATATAATGACTCAGTTAAGGTAAGTACTGTCTGTTAAACTAACTCAGTAGGCTGATTCATATTTATACAGTCATGAAAATGATAAGGAATTAATTACTTAAAAATCAAGATAGCTAGCAATTTTTCATTTCTAATAATGATAATTCAATACCTACCAAAATTCATATATATTTCATATATATATTTCATATATATATGATATATATGAAATATATATATCATATATATTTATATATATATTTCATATATATATTTCATATATATATGATATATATATTTCATATATATCATATATATTTCATATATATATCATATATATGTCATATATATCATATGTATTTCATATATATATCATATATATGTATTTCATATATATATCATATATATGTATTTCATATATATATCATATATATGTATTTCATATATATATCATATATATGTATTTCATATATATATCATATATATGTATTTCATATATATATCATATATGTATTTCATATATATATCATATATATGTATTTCATATATATATATCATATATATGTATTTCATATATATATCATATATATGTATTTCATATATATATCATATATATATATCATATATATATTTTTTTCCAAGACAGGGTCTCACTCTGTCACCCAGGCTGGAGTGCAGTGGTGCAGTCTCGGCTTACTGCAACCTCTGCCCCCTGGGCTCAAGTTATCCTTCCACCTCAGCCTCCTGAGTAGCTGAGACCACAGGCATGCACCACCACACCTGGCTTGTTTTGTTTTGTTTTTTGTATTTTTAGTAGAGACAGTGTCTCATCATGGTGCCCAGGCTGATGTCAAACTCCTGAGCTCAATCTGCCGACTTCGACCTCCAAAGTGCTGGGATTACAGGTGTGAGCCACAGCACCCAGCCCAGAATTCATATTTATTTTTATTTTATTTTTTTTGAGACAGTCTTGCTTTGTCACCCATGCTGGAGTGCAGTGGCATAATCTCTGCTCACTACAAGCTCCGCCTCCCAGGTTCATGCCATTCTCCTGCCTCAGCCTCCTGAGCAGCTGGGACTATAGGTGCCCGCCACCACGCCTGGCTAATTTTTTTTATTTTTAGTAGAGACAGGGTTTCACCGTGTTAGCCAGGATGGTCTTGATCTCCTGACCTCGTGATCCACCCACCGCGGCCTCCCAAAGTGCTGGGATTACAGGGGCAAAATTCATATTTTAATAAAAGGGATGCATATCTAATGTTTACTAATGAATTATTCAAGTTAAAATTAATAGTCACTATAGTAAAGACCAATTTAACTTATATTCTGTAAGTGAGACTGAGGTGATTCTTTGTATTTTGATTATAGTTCATGTTTCTGTCAGCATTTTGTAGAGAGTTCTATGAAGCTGAACTCATCCTTGAAATTTAGAATTGCCATAATTCTTTTTAATGTGGAATATAACAGTCAGTCTTTCTGGGATCTGTAATTTCAAAAACAACAACATTTTTCTTTTTGATTGATCATAGCTATTATTGGAACAGCTGGTAACATGTGACATAGTACTATAATTTAGACTGAAAAAAATTGATTTGTGAATTATATCCACTCAGCTTAAATTTCTCTGTTTCTAGTCTCCAGAGCATCTTTTGTACTTCTTTTTCTGCAGAAACGGCTTCCTAACATAATGTTCTTACATTTTCCCAGGGGAAGAGGAAAACTCCATAGTCAATTTTCTTACTTGTCTGAAGTATAAAAAAAGAAACTCTTTACACAAAAATAGAGGGAAAAACAAAGTAAGATTCAGAATTTCCCAACACAGGAAATAAAAGATTTATTCCATTTAACCTTTTAACAAATGCACTTTACACATTTTGTGTGTGTGTGTGTGTGTGTGTGTGTGTGTGTACTTCAGGATTTCTGTTCATCCTGCAGTCAATGTCAAGGAGATGAGAATTTATGAATATGATGATTCAGATGATTTCAGATTTGAGACTAATTCCCACATAAATCATTCTCCCCTCTCATCTTTTGTAGGTAAAAGTAAGCCATAGAATAGTTTGTAGGATCATTAGATAACAAGTTAGGTAGGGAACTATTTTGTATTTAATGATTTCCCTGTTAAAATTCACTTTTCAACTATTTACTTAAGTATTCAAATAATAAATCAACTATCCATTTAGAATGATCAGGAAGGATCAATTTAGAGATTTTTTTATTGTAAATTGACAAATTGTCATTACGATTACAATATTTATGAGGTACAAAGTGATGTTATATGTATACAAAGTAGAATTATTAAACCAAGCTAATTGACATTCTTCACTTCACATAATTACACTTTTTTGTGGTGAGCACGTTTGAAATTTGCTGTCTTAGCAATTTTGAAGTGTAGACTACACTGTTATTAACTGTAGTCATTATGCTGTGCAGTGTATCCCAAAAACCTTTTTCTTCTTGTCTAATTGAAACTGTACGCTTTGATCAACATCTCCCTGTTTCCCCCATCCCCTAACCTTTGGTCACCACCAACCATTCAACTCTCGTCTATAAGTTAGATTCTTTTCAATTTCACATGTAAGTGAGAACATCATGCAGTATTTGTCTTTCTGTGCCTGTGTTATTTCACTTAGCATAACATCCTCAAGATTCTTCCATGTTGTCACAAATGACAGAATATCTTTCTTTAAAGGCTAAATAGTATTCCATTTGTTTATGTATACCACATTTTCTTTATCCATTCATCTGTCAATGAACATTTAGGTTGATTCCATAACTTGGCTATTGTGAATAGTGCTGCAGTAAACACAAGAGTGCAGATATCTCTTTGTCATACTGATTTCAAATCCTTTAGATATATACCCAGAAGTGGGATTGCTGGATCATATCATAATTCTACTTTTAGTTTTTGGAGGAACCTCTATATAGTTTTCCATATGGATGTACTAACTTACATTCCCACCAATAGTATACAAAAGGTTTCTTTTTTCCTTGCAAAAACTGGTTATCTTTTGTCATTTTGAAAATGTGGTGGTAGGTATGAGGTGGTATCTCATTGTGATTCTAATTTACATTTCCCTAATGCTTAGTGATATTGAACAATTTTTCATATACCTGTTGGCCATTTGTATGTTGTCTTTTGAGAAATGTCTATTCAAGTTCTTTGCCCATTTTTCAATCAGATTGTTTTCTTGCTTTTGAGTTTTTTTGAGTTCCTTATATATTTTGGGTATTAATCCCTTATCAAATGTCTCGCTTACAGATATTTTCTCCAAATCTGTAGGTTGTCTCTTCACTTTGTTGTTTTTTTGCTGTGCAGAAGGTTTTTAGTTTGATGTAAATCCATTTGTCTATTTTTGCTTTTGTTGCCTGAACTTTTAGGGTCAAATTCAAAAAATCATTGCCCAGACCAATGTTATGTAGTTTTTGATCTATTTTTTTTCCAGTAGTTTTACAGTTTCAGATCTTACATTTAAGTCTTTGTCTTAGTTTGTTTGTGCGCTATAACAAAATACCACAGACTGGGCAATTTATAATGAACACAAATGTATTTCTCAGAGTTCCAGAGGCTGAGAAGTCCAGAGCAGGGGGCTGGTGTGTTAATCAAGGGGCTAGTATGTGATTAGGGCCTTTGTGCTGGGCCATGCTGTGGTGGAAGGTGGAAGGGAGGAGAGAGAGGGAGAGAACCTCTGTCAAAAATCAATTGACCATAAATATGTGGATTCATTTCTGAGCTGTCTATTCTCTTCCATTGGTCAGCGTATCTATTTTTATGGCAGTACCATGCTGTTTTAATTACTATAGCTTTGTAATACAGTTTGAAATTAGTAGTAGTGTGATACCTCCCACTTTATTCTTTTTGCTCAAAATTGCCTTGGCTATTCAGGGTTTTTTGTAGTCCCATAGGAATTTTAGAATTTTTTTTTCTATTTTTGTGAAAAATGTCATTGTAATTTCGATAGGGATTGTATTGAATCTGTAATCACTGGGTAGTATGGACTTTTTAACAATATTAATTCTTCTAATCCATGAACAAGGAGTATCTTTCCATTTACTTGTGTCTTCTGTTTCTTTCATCAGTGTTTTATAATTTTTCGTGTGTAGGCCTTTCACTTTCTAAATTTATTTCTAAGCATTTTATTCATTTTTTAACTATTATAAATGGGATTGTTGATTTCATTTTTGGATAGTTTGTTGTTAGGATATAGAAATGCTACTGATTTTTGTGTGTTGATTTTATATTCTACAACTTGACTGTATTTGTTTATTAGTTCTAATAGGTTTTTGTTTTTGTTTTTGTTTGGTAGAATCTTTATAGCTCTCTCCATATAAGATCAGCAAGTATCGACAATTTCACTACTTCCTTTCCTATTTGGATGCCTTTTCTTTCTTTCTCTTGCCTACTTGCTCCAGCAAGGACTTCCAGTACTGTGTTGAAGAGAAGTGGTGAGAGTAGTGGTCTTTGCTTTGTTCCTGATCTTAGAAGAGAAGGTTTCAACTTTTTATTGTTGAATATAATGTTATCTGTTGGCCTGTCATATGTGGTCTTTAGTATGTTGAGGTACATTTTATTCGTACCTATTTGAGAATTTTTTCTATCATGAAAGGATGTTGAATTTTGTCAGATTCTTTTGCCATAGCTAATGAGATGATCACTTGAGTTTTGTTCTTCATTTTGTTAATGTGGCTTATCACATTTATAGACTTGTGTATGTTTAACTGTCCTTTCATTCCGGGGATAAATCCTACTGATTGTGGTGTATGATCCTTTTAATGTGCTATTGAATTTGATTTGCTAGTATTTCATTGAGGAGCTTTGCATTTACGTTCATCAAGGATATTGGTCCATAGTTTTCTTGTAATGTTCTGTCTGGCATTGGTATCAGGGTAATGCTGGCTTTGTTAAAAGAATTTGGAAGTATTTTCTCCTCTTGGATTTTTGGGAAGAGTTTGGTGGTATTATTAGTTCTTTAAATGTTTGGTCAAAATCAGCCTGAAGCCATCAGGTTCTGGGATTTTCTTTGATGAGAGACTTTTTATTACAGATTCAATCTCCTTACTTGTAATTGGTTTGTTCTAATTTTCTATTTCGTTATGATTCAGTTCTGATAGGTTATGTATGTCCAGGAATTTACCCGTTTCTTCTATTATCTAATTTATTGGCATATAGTTGTTCATAATAATCTCTTATGATCCTTTGTATTTCTAAGGTATCCGTTGTAATATCTCTTCTTTCATTTCTGATTTCATTTATTTGAATCTTTTTTTCTCAGTCTAGGTAAGGGTTTGCCAATTTTGTTTATCTTTTCAGAAAATCAATTCTTAGTTTCATTGATTTATTCTTCTATTTTCTAGTCACTAATTTTTAAATTTCTGCTTTGATCTTTATTGTTTCCTTCTTTCTGCTAACTTTGGGCTTTTTCTTTTTCTGTTTCCTTAAGATGTAATATTAGGTTGTTTGAGATCTTTTTTGCTCTAGGTGTTTATTGTGTTTATTTGTATAAATTTCCCTCTTAGAACTGCTTTTGCTGCATCTCATCAGTTTTGGTGTGTTGCTTTTTGTTTGTCTCAAGGTAATTTTTTGATTGCCCTTTTTATTTAGAATTATTTGCAGACTTATTTCGCTGTATGGTCTGTGAACAGCTGTAGATTTTCTTTTATATATATATATTTTAAACAAAATTTGAGAGATGAAGTCTGTATTGTTTACAGGTTTGAGGAATAATTGATTTATAATAAACTGCACATATTTAAAGTTTGCAAGTTAATCAGTTTTTACATATGAAATCACTGTTCCCAGGATAAGATGATAAACATGTCCATCACCCCCAAAATTTTCCTTCTGTCTTTTTCTAATCCTTCCCTCTTTTCCTTCTTCCCTTTTTTCATATCCTCACTCCCTTCTCTGGCAATCATCTGCTGTTTAGTATTCATTTTCTATAAATTTATATCAGTGGAAACATACAATATGTGTTTTATTGAGGTAGTGTGTCTGGCTTCTTTCAATATTACATTCATCCATGCTGTCACATTTATCAATAGCCCTTTTTTTTTTTGCTGAGTATTATTTTGTTGTATGACTATATCACCATTTACTTATCCATTTACTAGTTGATGGACATTTGAGATATTTCTAATTTTTGGCTATTATGAATAAATTGCTTTGAAACTTGGGTACAGCCTCTTTGTGGACATACAATTTCATTTATTTAGGGCAGGGGCTGGCAAATAACCAGAGAGCAAATATTTTAGGGTGTATAGGCTTGCATTCTTCTTTCTTGCACTGTGGTCTGAAAGCTCCAGGTAGTAAGCCAGAGTAGTCATGGGCTGCACTTCATTTGCCTCCTCTCTTTCAGTTATCACTGGCTTGCTCTACCTGTTGTTCAGTTTCTGAAAACCATCATTTTGTTGTGTTTGTGGTCTTGTAACTCTATCTTGGCTGAGTCTGTACATTTTAATGTAGTTATGTTTCTTTTTAAAAGTTTAATGTATTTGTATTTAAAATCATTATGCCAAGATTATGTGAGATTTTTGTTTCTATATTATGTTTATGCAGTTCTTTACTAAGAAAGGGATGAATGACTTCAGGGTTTCCTGGAAGCTCATCTCTTAAAATATTCATCTATCACTATTAAAATATGTTAATATATCAATTAATATTATACCCCTTGTTTAGGAGTCAATCTGTCTCTCTTACTGATTGCTTATGTTGGTTTTTTCTTTGTGCTTTTTGTATTATGTATTACAACCTTTTATATTATGAAATACAATACCCATGTAGGAAGTTCATAAAACATAAATATACAGCTTAATGAAATTTTATGTAACTAACACCCATTTAATAACTACTTAGGGCAATAAAAATAATATTGCCAGCATCCTAGAGGCCCTAACATGCCTTTTTTCAATCACAGCTTTCTCCCACCCAAAGATAGCCAGTATCCCAACCTCTGTGGTTTTTACTTCTTTGCTCTTCTTTACACTTTTACTACTTAGGTAGTCATCTGTAAAATTAGTGTTTGCTGTTGCGTGATTTTGATCCTTACATAAATATAACTGTATTAGTTTGTTCTTGCACTTAACTGTATTGGTTCATTCTTGCATTGCTATAAAGAACTACCTAAGACTGGGTAATTTATAAAGAGGTGTAATTGACTCACAGTTGTGCAGACGGTACAGGAAGCATGCCTAAGGAGGGCTCAGAAAACTTACAATCATGGTGGAAGGCAAACAGGAAGGAGGCACATCTTACATGGCCAGAGCAGGAGGAAGAGAGCGCAAAGGGGGAGGTGCTACACACTTTTAAACAACCATGTCTCGTGAGAACTCATTCACTATTATGAGAACAGCAAGGGGGAAATCCATTCCCATGAGCTGGTCACCTCCCACCAGGCCCCTCCTCCAACATTGGGGATTACAATTTGACATGAGATTTGGGCGGGGACACAAATCCAAACCACACTTTGCTCTTTGACATGTAGCTTCTTTTGTTCAGTATTAGGATTTTGAAATTCATTCATGATGTTGTATGGAATTCATTCCTTTTCATTGGTGTATAATATTATATATAGGCACTTGATGGATAGCAGTTTGAGGTGCTTACCAGTAATAGTCAAACATAATGCACATGTACTTTAGGACACATGTATTCACACAAAATTGGAATTGCCAGATCCTAGAGTAGTCATATGTTCAACTTAGGAGATAATGTGTGTTATAAATTTCATCTACTCAGTGGCTTCTTTCAGTCTCTAAATGATCTCATTTTAACTTTTTAAAATGTTATTTATTTATTTTTGAGATGGGGTGTCTCACTCTGTCACCGAGGCTGGACTGCAGTAGTGTGATCATAGCTTATTGCAGTCTCAAATTCCTGGGATCAAGCAATCCTCTCACCTCAGCCTCAGGTAGCTGAGACTACAGGTACGTGCCACCATACCTGACTAACTTAAAAAAAAAAATCATTGTAGACATAAGGTCTTGCTACATTGCCCAGGCCAGTCTTGAGCTCCTGGCTTCAAGTGATCCTCCCACCTTGGTCTCCTCAAGCGCTAGGATTATAGGTGTGAGCCACTGCCCTCGACCAATTTTTTTTTTTAATTTTAAAATAATTCTAGACTTACAGAAAAGTTGCAAAAATATTTCATAGAGTATTCCTGTATATCTTTCACGTGGTTTCCCCCATTTTTAATATCTTACATAACCATAGGACATTTATTAAAATCTGAAAATAAACATTGGTACAATGCTATCAACTTATGTACATTTATTGTTCTAATTTTGCCAGTTTCCCCAATAATATACTTTTTCTCATCTAGGATCCACTCTAAGATCCTATATTACATTTAGTTGTCATGGCTCTTTCATCCAATCTGTGATAATACTTTCTTCTTGTTTTTCATGACCTTGATACTTTTAAAAGAATACTGGTCAGTTATTTTGTAGACTGTCACTTAGTTGGGTCTTTTGCATTTTTTGGCAAGAACTTATGAAAATAGTGCTTTTCTCAGTGCATTATATGTTGGTAGTGAAGGGGGTGTGTTGATAAGCTTTAATACTGGTGATAGTTAACCATAATTACTTGGTTAAGGTTATTTGCAGTGTTTCTCTAAAGTTGCTATTTTTTTTTTTTTTGTAATTGTTACGTGTTTTTCTGGGGAGAAACTTTGAGACTATGCAATATAATGTTTCTCACTAAACTTTCATTTTCTAATTTTAATACCTTTTGATGTTTTTTGCTTGCAACAATTATTACTGTGGTGGTTTTAAATTTCAGTTTGGTAAATATTTTAAATATTGGTGAATTTAAATTTTTCTCATTATTTTTTCATGTATTAAGATAAATTTTACTGTAAACAAGAACTGTCTCTTCTCATAAATTTATTTATATTGGTATAGACTTTTTTTTTTTTTTTGAGACAGAGTCTCACTCTGTTGCCCCAGGCTGGAGTGCAATGGCGCGATCTCGGCTCACTGCAACCTCCGCCTCCTGGGTTCAAGTGATTCTCCTGCTTCAACTTCCTGAGTAACTGGGATTACAGGCACCTGCCACCATGCCTGGCTAATTTTTGTATTTTTAGTAGAGACGGGGTTTCGCCACATCGGTCAGGCTGGTCTCGAACCGCTGACCTTAGGTGATCTGCCCACCTCCCAAAGTGCTGGGATTATAGGTGTGAGCCACCACACCTGGCCTGGTATAGACTTTTTAAAAAATGTACTTGTTTATTTTTTATAGAGACAAGTTCTCACTATGTTGACTAGGCTGGTCTTGAACTCCTGGCCTCAAGCAGTCCTCCTGCCTTGGCCTCCCAAAGTGCTGGGATTATAGATGTGAGCCACCACACCTGGCCTATTGGTATGGACTTAAGAATAAAGATGACCCATGAACAATGCAAGGGCACTGACTCCCTTGCAGTAGAAAATCTGCATATAATTTTTGACTCCCCCCCAAACCTAACTACTAATAGCTTACTGTTGACTGGAAGCCTTACCAATAACATACACAGTCAATTAACATGTATTTTGTAGTTACATGTGTTATACACTATATTCTTATAATAAAGCTAGAGAAAAGAAAATATTAAGAAAATAACAAGGAAGAGAAAATAAATATGCTATTCATTAGACTTGAGTGGATCATCCTAAAAGTCTTCATCCTTGTCATCATTGTGAAGGCTGAGGAAGAGGAGGGGTTGTTCTTGCTGTCTCAGTGAGGACAGAGGTGGAAGAAATCTGCGTATAAGTGGACCTACGTGGTTCAAACCCATGTTATTCAAGGGTCAGAGCTGTATTTTATTTTATGGGTTATAATCCAATACTATAATTTTATTTTAGTGTTTTGATTTTGACCATTGGGAACTCTTTCAAGTTGGCTTCTGTGTCTTTTTGACATGCTTTCCATCATTTTTCAGTACTTCCTTACTTTCTAGTACCATAAGATGTTACAGAATCTTCTATTTTCTTTCCTCGGCCCAGGAATTAGCTGTTTCTCTAAGGAGCCCTGGTTTCTTTTATTGGTGAATGATAGTTAGAAATAAAAATCTAATCCTAGGTGTGGTCATTGCTTCTGGTTGTCATTCTAAGCCCTCTCTGTTGACAGAGCTAGGAATGTATCATATACTAACAAGCACCTACGTGTATATTTGTATTTATTTCTTCTTCCATCTGTCAGTATATTAAAAGGCATGAGGCCTTACTGATAGTCCTTATCCAACATCAAAATGTTAATTCTGTCCTTTCTCCTTTTCTTATTTGTAACTCTTTGTACAGTGAGAAACCTGCATCTCTTTATCCATGATATATTTGTTTGTTAAATCCTAGTATATATTTTCATAATTACTAACCAGTACCCATATGAGAAACAAGTTTATTGACTTAAGTACAGTGTTTGTCTACATTTCTTTTTGTTGGTAGCCTTAGAGAATATAGTCAAAATACTATTTTCTGAAGTTACTTAAATTAGCTCCTTTTCGTCCCCATCCCCCTTCATGTGTATTATTCATTTGTAAATATAATTATTTTCATTCCTTTTTAGGTTCTCTCAACATACTGATTGATTTTAATTGATCGTTTGGTATATGAAACATTGTAATGGTTCTAAGTCCTAACTGTATAAAAAGATACTCTCATAGATATGTCACTCTTCACTCATCCTGCTGCCCTATTTTTATTCCCCCATGATTTCTACCTGTTTTCACCTATCCCTCATGGGAAACCAGTCTCTTTAGTTTCTGTTTTAGCCTTCCTGTAATTCCTTTGTACAAAGAAACAGACACATGAATGTTTTGTACTTTTTCTTTACCAAAGGATAGCATACTATATATCCTCTCTTGCGCCTTCTTTTTTTCACTTAACACAGTAAATATATCCTGGAAATCATTTCCTATTGGTAAGTAGAGATTGTCCTCATTTTTTACCGCTGCATATTATTCCACTGTGTGGATTTAACCGTAGCTTATTTAACCACTCTGCCATGTCTGAGCGTTTGGGTTGTCCTTAACATTTTGCAACTGCAAACAGTGCTGCAATAAATAGCCTTGTGTATATGTATTTTTTAGTTTTTGGAGGTACATCTTCAAGGACATTGTCAGAAGGAAGATGACTGGGTCAAAAGCTAAGTGCATGTGTAGTTTTGCCAAATTTCCCTCCAGACGGGTTATACTAGTTTGCATTTCCAATAGTAGTATACGAGAGTGTCTGTTTTCCACAGCCTGGCCAGCAGAATGTGTGGTCCATACCTTTTAATTTTGCCAATCTGGTAAGTGGGAATTGTATCTCAGTGTTGTTTTAATTTGCATTTTTCTAGTTACAAGTGAGTTTGAATATTTTTACATACGCTTAATGTCCATGTTTTATATTTTTGAATTATCTTTTTAATGTGTTTTTCCCATTTCTTCTCAATGTTTAAGAGTTCTTTATATATTAAAGTTAGTAGTCCCTTTTCTGTGGTATATGTTACAAATATTTTCTCCCAGTTTGTCAGTTATCTTTTGACTTTGTTTATGGTGTTTTTTTGCCATGCCATTTAAAAAAATTTTTACATAGTATGATTTACCAACATTTTCTCTTATTTCCTTGTTATATCAAGATTGAAGAGGAATTTACTCAGGTTTTCTTTTAATACTTGTAAGGTTTCTCCTTTTTTTGTACTTAGATTCCCAATCCATTTGGAGTTTATTCTTGTGACTTGTGCGAAGTTTGGATCTTAGTCTATCTCTTGATAAACATAAATTATTAATTTTAATGTAGACAGATATACCAGTATTTTCCTGTATGGCATTATTTTCATCTGTGTGGATAGCCAGTTATCCCTGCACTATTTATTAGAAAGATTATCCTTTCACTTCTGCTCTGCAGTGCCACCTTTGTTATAAATTCAGTGCCTATGCGTAGGTCTGTTTCTAGGTTCTCTGTTCTATTCTACTGACGTACTTGTTTGTCCTTACGTCAATCACATTTTCATTATTGCTAAAGCTTCATGAGAAGAAGTCTTGATATCTAGTAAGCAAGTCCTCCTACTTTGTTCTTCTTTAGGATGATTTTTAATATTTTTGTTGTTTTGCTTTTCCTCATATATTTTCGAATGAGCTTATAAAGTTTCTCATACAAATTCTGTCAGGAGTTTTTAGATTGCATTTAATATATAAATTGGGTTGTGAACATTTTATGTGGTAACAGTGTTGTAATTTCCTACCTATGAACATGTTGTATTCTTTCATTTACTTAGGTTTTCTTAAATTTCTTGCAATAATGTTTGATACTTTTATTAATTAAGGTCTTTCACTTCTTTTGTTAGTTTTATTCCTAGATTAAAAATATTTTTTATCATTTCATTTTGAATTGGATCATCCATAGTTTCATTTTTTAACTGCATGTTGCTGGTAATACAACTGCTATTTTTCTCTAATTGATCTAGTATCCAGGAATCTTATTATAAATTCATTGATTAATCCTAATAATTTTTCTGCATTTTGGGGGGAATACATATGTATATATATTATGTTTATGAATAATGTGAGCTTTTTTCCCTCTAAACCTTAGATCATGTTTTTCCTTGCCTTAATAGACTGGCTAGGACCTCTAGTACATTGTTAAACAAAAATGGTGATAGAAGGTGTTTTTGCATTCTTCTCCATCTAAAATTTTAAAATTTCCCCATTAAGTGTGTTTCCTCTAGGATTTGATTTATTTATTTACTTAGATCATTTAGATAAAATTGAAAAAGTTAGCTTCTCTTCCTTATTTGCTGAGAGTACTTATACAAGGGTGTTTAGTTTTTTCAAATACCTTTTCTGCCATTATAACAATACAGTCTTTCCCCCCATCCTGTTTCTCAGGTAGTTACAATGGTGAGTTATTTAATATTAAATGATTTTTAGAATAAACCCAATTTGATGGTTTTCTTTGCTTCTTTTTTCTTCCCTTTCCCCTTCCCTTCCCTCTTTCCTCCTTTTCCCTCCTCATCCTCCCCCCTTCTCCCCTCTCCTCTCTGAAGTTGGCCTATATTGTATGTTTCCTTTCTTTTACTTCAACATTGCATTTTTTAAAAAAATTAATGACATTTTCATAGGTCTTTTTCCACATTTATGGAAAATTAAACAAAGTGCAGAGATTTCCTAGATACCCTTTCTCTTTCGGCATACAGTTTCCCTTATCATGTTGCACTAGTGTGGTACATTTGTTACAATTGATGGACAAATTGGTTATATTACTAACTAAAGTCCATAGTTTCCATTGGGTTTAGCTGTGTTTTATAGTGCTATGGATTTAGACAGATTCATGATGTACAGATGATATCAACCATTACAGTATTATACAGACTAGTTTTCTGCTCTGAAAATTTCCTGTGCAACATCCATTTGTTCCTTTTTTCCTCCCCCTGATCTCCTGGCAATCACTGATCTTGCCGCTATAGTTTTGCCTCTTCCGAATGTCATATAGCTAGAATCATATAGTATGTAGTCTTTTTAGATAGGCTTCATTCACTTAGTGATATTCATTTAGATTTCTTCCGTGTCTTTCTGTAGCTTCATAGGTCATTTCTTTCTTTAAATAGACTTGATCTTTTAGAGCAGTTTTAGGTTCATAGCAAAAGTTGAGCAGAAAGTACAGACAGTTCTCATATGCTACCTGCCCCACACATGCATGGCCCTCCCCCACTATCAGTACTCTGCATCAGAGTGCTACATTTATTAGAGTTGATGAACCTATGTTGACATGTAATTATCACTAAAGTCTGTAGTTTGCATTAAGGTTTACTCTTGGTGGTGTTTTGACAAATGTATAATGACATATATCTAGCATTATAGTATACAGAATGGTTTCACTGCCTTAAAAAAATCCTTTTGCCTTTCTCAGAATATCATATAGTTGGATCATACAATGTTTAGGCTTTTAAGATTGACTTCTTATACTGTTACTTTCCTCTGTGTCTTTTCGTGGCTTGATAGCTCATTTATTTTTGGCATTGAATAATATTGCATTGCCTGTGTGTACCATCATTTATTTTCACCTATTCAAGGACATCTTGGTTGCTTCCAAGTTTTGGCAATAATGAATAAAGCCGCTATAAACACCCATGTGCAGGTTTTTTGTATGGACATACATTTTCTATTTATTTGAGTAAATACCAAGGAAGATGATTATTGGGTCATGTGGTAAGGGTATATTCAGTTTTGTAAGAAACCACTAAACTGTCTTCCAAAGGGGCTATGCTATTTTGCATTCCCACCAGCAATGCTCGCGAGTTCCTGTTGCTCCACATCCTTGCCGGCATTGGTGGTGTCAGTGTTCTGGATTTTGGCCATTCTCATAGGTGTGTTGTAGTATCTTAGTGTTACTTCAGTTTGTATTTCCCTAATGACATATGAGACTTGAGCATCTTTTCATATAACCACTTGCTATCTGCATATCTTCTTTTGTGAGGTTTCTGTTCCAGTCTTTTGCTCATTTTTAAATCAGATTATTATTTTTTTCTTTTTCTAAATTTTTGTTTTTAGAGACGGGTTTTTGCTGTCACTCAGGCTGGAGTACAGTGGTGCATTCATGACTCACTGTAACCTTTAACTCATGGACTCATGAGATCCTCCTGCATCAGCTTCCTGAGTAGCTGGGACTACAGACACATGCCACCGTGCCCAGCTACTTTTTATACTTTTTGTAGAGACGAAGTCTTGCTATGTTGCCCAGGCTGGTCTGGAACTCTTGGCCTCAAGTGATCCTCCAACCTTGTCCTCTCAGAGTGCTGGGATTACAGGCATGAGCCACCATGCCAAGCAAACTTGTTTATTTTCTTACTGTTAAGTTTTAATAGTTTGTTGAATATTTTGGATGAAACTTATTTTTCACATGTCTTTTGAAAATATTTTTTTCCCAGTCTGTGGCTTGTTTTCTTATTCTCTGAATCCACATTGCATTTTGTGTCCATGTCAAAGTTATGCTAACTTTATAAAATTAATTGGGAAATATTCTTTTCTATTTTCTGGAAAAATTTGTGTGTAATTAGAATTAATTTTGGTAGAATTTGCTGGTGAATTTGCTAGACCTTTTGCTTGCTTTGTGGAGTAATTTAAAATTGTTTATGGGAGACATCTAAGATTTTCTATTTTTTTCTTGTGTCAGTTTTAGTGCATTATATTTTTCTAGGAGTGTCTCTATTCTGACTTTTGAAACTTGTTGGGATAAAAGTATTTATAATATCCTCTTATTATTTATTACTACATTTAGGCTGTTTTCTTTTTTCTTTGTCCTACTGATTATTTGTGTGTTTTCTTTGTCAGCCTCATTCAGAATCAATTCAATTATTGTCTTAGAAGGAATAGTTTTTAGTGTTTTTGATACTCTCCAGTGTGTTTTCCGTTTCATGAATTTCTGCTAATTGTTATCTCTTTGCTTCTATTTTTGTTGGGTTTCAGTTACTGTCATTTTTCTAATTTCTTGAGGTGGATACTTAACTCATCAATTTCTATAAAGCATTTCTTCTTTTTCATATATATATTTTGGATTGTAAATTTCTTTATAACTTGGATTTAACTGCAACCTACAAGTTTTGATATATTGTTATTTTGCTATTTGGTTGAAGACATTTCATAATTTCAATTATGATTTTACCTCTGATCTATGGGTTATTTATAAGTACACTTCTGTCTTTACAGACATGGAGATTTTTCTGGTTACTTATATGTTATTGATTTCTAGCTGAGTTATGTTCTGAGGCTATGATCTGCATTATTTTATTTGTTCAAAATTTGCTTTATGTGGGAGGAAGGAGAGGATCAGGAAGAGTAGCTAGTGGATGCTGGGCTTAATACCTGGGTGATGGGATGATCTTTGCAGCACACCATCATGGCACATGTGTACTGATGTAACAAACTTGCACATTCTGCACACGTACCCCGGAACTTAAAATAAAAGTTGGAAATTTTAAAAAAAGGAAAAAAAATGTGCTTTATGGAATACACTTTTTAAATTTACATCCCACTAGAAGATTCAAAGAGTAATGTAGACCTTATCAATGATATGCATTTTCTTAAGTTGAAGATGGCACTACTGATCCTATATTCAGTGTATTTGCTTTCTATTTGTTTGGTTGTTTGTTTTCTAATAGTAGATGTATTGGATGTAGTCTGGTCTTTGGATAACTTCCTAAGCAGTGGAATTTTATGTAAGTCAGTATTCAAGGTGCTATAAGTTGTTTCAAGGTATTTTGTTGCAATTTAAAAATATATCTGATAACGGGTACTATAGTTATGGCTTGTAGATAGAACAGTTAATTTTGAGTTATTTAGCTTATTTTTAGAAAGAATCCCTTGCTCCTTTTAAACTTTTAATTTGAAATAATTACAGACTCAATTTACTTTTAAAGCAGTTTTTCTGTGTTTGATGTATCATCAATATTGGGTGAGTGAAGTTCTTTTAAATGTTTATTCTATTACCTGACAAGTTCTACTTTCTTTTATGAGAAACTTTTCTGGAAACAATTTTGGGGCTTTCTTTTCAGAATACATATTGGTTAATGTTTGTGTTTGGAAAATTGAAAGCAAAATGGATATTAGTCTTGCCTATTAACTTCTAAAGCTGTGATAAATTGTTTTTGTCCAACAATGCCTCCTTATTGCTACTTTCCAAAACATCCTCTTTGGTAGCCACAGTATAGAAGTATTTAGTTGCAAGCAAATATCTTACAGTTGTTAGCATTTGTATAAAGGTTATGGTAATGTTCGCCTAACTTAAGGGCAAAACAATTACCTGGTACCAAGTGAGTCAGGGTTTCTATTTTAAAATATACATATAAATGTGTTTATTAGTGCTGAATTAATGCTTTACTCTGGGAATTTAAAATGTGTGATTGCTATATTGTATATAAGCACCGTGCATGATGAAGTGTTACATATTACTTGACTATAATTACATATACAATTTGTTAAAATAATTTTTGAAAGTTAAAAGTATTTAAAGAAATCCATTTTAAAAGTGAGAATTTGTGTTCTCAAAGTATTATCTTATGCATAGCAGGCCTTTAAATTATGACACATGTTAAAATCCACTCAAACAAAGGTGGTAATATAATATATGGTAAGGGATAATGAATAAGAAAGAAGTATATGAATAAGAAAGAACAGTGTTTTTTAAAAGTGAAATATACATACATACATATATATGTGCCAACTGATATATTTAAGAAATTTCTTATTTAGGGAAAGGTAGTTATTAGGCAAGTTGGAGGGAGGGACACACTAAATAGTATATTGGCAAACTTCCTGAAATGCATATGCATAGTAATTTAGAGGCATATTGATTTTTAAATATCAGGCAGCTTTTATTCTTTTCCTTTTCTAGCATCTATTTGTATGAACAGTGACTGTTCCTGCTGCTAAAGGAGGTTTTATCAAGCTTTCTGTGAACATTTGTTATATAGGAAATAAATTAAACTACTGCTATATATAACTAACATTCAATTTATGATACCAGCAATGATTTGGGAGCGATTTAAAGTTTTGTTGGTTAATTTCTTATTTGTCAAATGATGGGCCAAGAAATTCTCCATTTCTTAGATTAGGGGACATTTCCTATTTGAATCTACTAAACAAATGCCTTTAGTCGTGTTTGTAACCATCAACAGTATGTTTCAAATTATGATGTCATCACTTACATTCCAAATGTAAGAAAAACTTTTTGCTAAGTTGGCTTAATTCAGAATTGTATTTAGCAGCTATTAATATTCTCTTAGTGACCCTTTAATACTTTGTAGGCTTTTTTTTTTTTTTTTGAGATAGAGTTTTGCTCTTCTTGCCCGGGCTGGAGTGCAATGGCGTGATCTCGGCTCACTGCAACCTCTGCCTCCTGAGTTCAAGCGATTCTTCTGCCTAAGCCTCCTGAGTAGCTGGGATTACAAGCATGCGCCACCACGCCTGGCTAATTTTTGTATTTTTAGTAGAGACGGGGTTTCTCCATGTTGGTCAGGCTGGTCTCAAACTCCTGACCTCAGGTGATCCCCCCTCCTCGGCTTCCCAAAGTGCTGGGATTACAGGTGTGAGCCACCACGCCTGGCCTGTAGGCTCTTATAGAACGTAGGGGACAGGGGATATTCCCAGGAGACTAAATATCTACCTTATTTCATAGAATCTAAGTTGCTTTGAGACTGCTTTCGTGGTCTTAGTAGACCATGTCAATGAAGGGTAATCACACAACTACCTCACAACAATCACCTGGTTATTATTATTATACCACCTAGCATCACAGACATTTCAATTTCAGAGAAGTTAAATTATGAATAAATGTATATCCTGGAATTGTTGAAGTAGGGTTTTGAAATCACTAACAGAATTTAAAAGAGATGGTTACGATAATCTTGTGTTCTAATTTTCTATGATTATATCAGTATGGCATGCCGAGAACTTTTTGATTGTTTTGAGTTTGCAGTTGTTGTTTAGTTTTTTGTTTTGACTCTAGATACCACACAGTGTTCCATTCTCAGATTCATGCAATGGAATTTATAGTCATCCTAGAGATCATTAGAATTCTATTATGTTAAAAGGCCATTAACTTTTAATGTTGAGACTCTGAGAAGTGACGTTGCATAGTTCCTCTGGGCAAGGAATATGGGCAGTTTTTTTCTTCTTCTTTATGTGTAATCGTGTTCAGACTGGAGTTGTATCCATTTATTCACAATGTCCATTATGAAAAGATTTGTGATAAAAGAAAGATGAGATATATCTACATTTAGGTCAGTTAAACACAAGAATATTTAATTATGTCCTTCCTATACCCTGTACCACTACCAGTTCCTTACATACTCCACAAGCACAGTTATAATGATAGTATTTCTTCATTCTCAATGTTTCATTGCATTTAAGAGAGATGGGCATATTAGAACTGTGGGAATAAGAAGGAAGGGATAATGCAGAGACCATAACCATTACCATTTTTTTATATTAGACCTCTATTTGGTTTGATTTTTATTTTCATGTTTATTGTTTTATAAGAAATAAGTACATCTTTTAATATGACTCCATATTGCGTGCAAAATAAAATATATGCCATTTGAAATTCTTCATGGTTAATTTGAAACTTCGAGTTCTCATCTCCAACTAAATTATTTCTTACTCTGTCCATACTTGTGCCCTCTTTATCTCAAATCTTTTTCTCAGGACATTGTGTAAGTTTCTCCCTTTGTGTACCCACTCTTTGAGTGAGGCTAATCCCAAATCCCATCTATTCAAACTTTTCCAGATCCCTTCATAGCAAATACCTTTATTCCGCTACTTTCCAATGGTGAGTTTCTCTGTTATACCCCTTATTGGAGGGTACCTTTTGTTAAGGTTATAGGTATTTGTCAGGTTTTCCTGTTAGATTTTGGTACGATATATTTAGGTTTATATTATCTCCTGTACAGTGCATAGTGGTGGTGCATCATCATACAGGTCTTCATCCTTGTTATCTTCACGTTGACTAGGCTGAGAAGGAGGAGGAAGAGGGGTTAGTCTTGCTGTCTCCGTGGTGGCAGAGGCAGAAGAGGTGGAAGAGGTGGAAGGGGAGGCAGGAGAGGCAGGCACACTCAGTGTAACTTTTATTGAAAAACGATCCCTGTATAAGTGGACTCATGCTGTTCAAACTTGTGTTATTCAAGGGCCCTCTGTAATTTTGTTAGAATTACTAATATATTAGAGTGTTCTACATTTTTCATTCTCAACATTTTACTGATCATTATTATTATTTGAGATGGGGTCTCGTTATATTGCCCAGACTAAAGGGAGTGGCTATTCACAGGTGCAGTCATAGCACACTACAACCTTGGACTCCTGGAGTCAAGCAATCCTCCTGCTTCAGTCTGTCGAGGTACTAGGACTATAGGCACACACAACCACACTTGGCTCCCATTATTTTCTGAAATATAAAATTATTTATTTTCTGGTTACTATCTCATAGTGTGAAAGATAAGAATAATTACACAGTTATTACTTTTCTCACAGCATCCATCTAATATATTTTATAGTATATCTATATTATATCTATTATTCAAATTTTGATAATTATACAACCTTATTTATAAGAAGGAGTATTTTATAAATAATGCTTTTTTTTCTTTGTAGGTTACTTCCTCAGAATGTTGGCCTCCTGTATGTTGGAGGTTATGAAAGACCCTTTGCACAAATCAAGGTATGTTTGTTCATTTTCAGTGTACTTTTCCTGGATGTTCTCTTATCTAGAATCCATCAAAACCTTGCTAATAATAATCAACATATAAAAATATCGTGTTCCAGCACTTTGGGAGGCTAAGACAGGTGGATCACTTGAGCCCAGGAGGTTGAGACCATGCTGGGAACCCTGTCTCTACAAAAAGAAAAATTTTTTGTCATTAGCCAAGTTCAGTGGCATGTGCCTATAGTCCCAGCTACTCTGGAGGCTGAGGTGGGAAGATCACTTAAGCCCCATGAGTTTGAGGCTGCAGTGAGCCGTGATCACACCACTGTACTCCAGCCTGGGTGACAGAGTGAGACCCTGTCTCAAAAAAAAAAAAAAAAAAAAAAAAGTGAATGTGAGGTGATAATTTCATAAGCTTTTGCATATTTCTGCTGAAGAAATCTTTCAGCTTTTCAAAGGAATTGATTATTTTAATATTCTTGCCATAGTAAAATTGACTTTGACCGAAACAGTTCAGTGATTCATTTAGAAGAGTACATTTAGAGATTAATCTTTGAGATCATCCCTTTTGCCATTAAAAAAATGTTTACAAGTCGGGTACGGTGGCTCATGCCTGCACTACCAGTGCTTTTTGAGGCCGAGGTGGGAGGGTCAGGGCTGGAAGATTGCTTGGGCCCAGAAGTTCGAGACTAGCCTGGGCAACATAGTGAAACCTCATCTCTACAAAATAGTAAAAAAAAAAATTTCGCTGGCCATGGCAGTTGTCCCAGGTTTTTGGAAGGCTGAGGCAAGAGGATCGCCTGAACCTGGGAGGTCAAGGTTGCAGTGAGCCATGATCACACCACTGCATTCCAGCCTGGGTGACAGAGTGAGACTCTGCCTTGAAAAACAAAAATGTTTTTAACAGCTTTTTTGAGATCTAATTGAAGAACAATAAACTGTACAATTTGATAAATTATGACATGCTTGTAGTTGTGAAACCATCACTGCAATCAAGATAATTAACATTCATCACTTCAGAAAGTTTCCTTGTGCCCCTTTGAAATTTCCCCCTCCTGCCCTTCCTTTTTTTTTTTTTTTTTCCTGGTCTCCAGGCAACCAGTAATCTGATTTTTGTTATTATAGATTAATTTGCATTTTCTAGAGCTTTATATAAGTGAAATCATATAGTGTATATTCACTTGTTCTGTTTTTTGCCTTCGTTCACTCAGCATAATTATTTTGAGATTCATCCACATTATTGCACTTATCGCTAGTTTATTATTTTTTGTTGCCAAGTATCAGGTTGGTGTAAAAGTAATTGTGTTTTTTTGCCATTAGTAGTATGGCTATAGCACTGTTTGATTATCCTTTCACCTGCTGATGGGCATTTGCGTTGTTTCTAGCTTGGGGCTATTACAAATAAAGCTGCTGTGAGCATTTGTGTACGAGTTTTGCATAGACTTATGCTTTCCTTTCTCTTGGGTAAATATCTAGGAGGGGAATGGCTGGGTCATGTGGTAGTTGTATTACATTTCCGTAATGACTGAGATTCTTCGTGTACTTTTTTTCCATCTGAATCTAGTGAAATGGATGTTCATATCTTCTCTAGTGAAGTATTTCTTCAAATCTTGTTATTTTAAAATTGGGTTTTTTGTTTTCTTACTGAGTTTTGAACATTTTTTATATCTTCTGGATATAAGTCCTTTATCAGATTTGTGATTTGCAGTTATTTTCTCCCAGCTATCGTTGTCTTTTCATCTCTTAACAGTGTCCTCAAAGAGCAGTTCTTAGTATTGATGAAGTTCAGTTGATTTTTCTTTCATGGCTCATGCTTTTGTTGTTGTATCTAAGAAATATTTTCCTAACCCAAAGTCACAAAGATTTTTCTCGTATGTATTCTGCTAGAAGTTTTATACTTTTAAGTTATACATTTAGGTTTATTGTCCATTTGAGGTAATTTTTATAGAAGAGTCAAGTATGGATTGATGTTCTTTTTTTTTGTCATCTTTTTTTTCCAGAATGTTACTCTCAAACATATTTTTTTCCAAGACGTGGATATATAGATGTTCCAAAAAGCACTTTCGAAAAGAATAAAGACCTTACAGCTTTGTTGAAAATCAGTTTATCCATATATGTGTGAATCTATTTCTGGACTCTTCCATTCCATTGACCTATGTGTTTATTCCTCTACCAATAACCACACTATATTGATTACTGTAGCTTTATAACAAATCATGAAGTCAAGTAGTATAAATCCTCCAACTTTGTTCTTTTTCTATGTTGTTTGGCTAATCTAGGTTCCTTTCATTTCCATATGAATTTTTATAATCATCTTGTCAGTTTCTATAAAAATGCCTGTTCGGATTGTGATTGGGATTGTGTTGAATGTATAGATCAGTTTGCAGAGAACTGAAATTTTAGCAATATCGAATATTCCAATTCATTAAGGCCACATTGCTCTCTAGTTATTTAGGTCTCCCAGCAATATTTCGTTGCTTTCAGTATATTGGTCTTAGACATTTTCCAAGCAAATTTATCTATTTTGTATTTTTTATGCTATTATAAAAGTTTTCTTTTAAATTTTTTTTTACTCACCCTGACACTTGGGCAGGATTTAATTTTAATTTCTGATTGTTTAATGGTAGTTGCTAGTCTGTAAAAAGCTGATTGTTTTTTTTTTCTTTTCATGTATTGGCTTTAAACTCTATGATCTTATACTCGATTATTAGTTCAGTAGCTTTTATGTAGATTTCATAGGATTATCTACATAAATGATTGTTCTCTACTAATAAGGACAGTTCTCCTTTCTGATCTTGATGCCTTTTATTGCTTTTCCTTTTTTAAAATTTTCTTTTTTATACAGACAGGGTCTTGCTCTGTTGGCCAGGTTGGTCTTGAACTCCTGGCCTCAAGCAATCCTCCCGCCTTGGCCTCCCAAAGTAGTAGGATTACAGGCATGAGCCACCACCCCTGGCCTGCTTTTTCTTTATTGCACTGACTAAATCCTACAATACAGAGTTGAGTAGAAATGGCAAGAACAGACATACTTGTCTTGCTTCTTATCTTAGTGGGAAAGCATTATTTAATCTTTTATCAAAAATTGTTTTTATAGTAATATTAGTTGAGGGTTGGTTAATTGATTCCATTAAGCTTTGTTATAAGAAATGAAAAAATATTAGCATTCAAGGCAATTTATAAAAAGGAAAGAGTTGAGACACTCAGTTTTTTTTTGTAACTTTCTGTTAATGTTTTCTGAGAAACCTATAATTTTTTTTTTTTTTTTCTTCTGAGACGGAGTCTCACTCTGTCACCCAGGCTGGAGTGCAGTGGCACAATCTCGGCTCACTGCAACCTCTGCCTCCCGAGTTCAAGTGATTCTCCTGCCTCAGCCTCCCGAGTAGCTGAGATTACAGGCTCGCACCACCACGCCTGGCTAATTTTTTGTATTTTTAGTAGAGCTGTGGTTTCGCCATGTTGGCCAGACTGGTCTTGAACTCCTGACCTCAGGCAGTCCGCCCACTTCAGCCTCCCACAGTACTGGGATTACAGGCATGAGCCACTGCACCTGGCCAGAAGCCAATACATTTGTTTTGTGATTTTTTTGTTGTTGTTACATAGTTTTCTGATTTTTTTTTTCACATTTGTTTCTTGGCTCCATGTGTTATTTTTCTTCTATCCGTTTGAGAGTTGTGAGTTAAAACTCCTTTCCACCTGCTTATATGACATATTTTTATGTTTTGAAAAATAAGGATTTTTCAGAGTAGACTAAGGCTAAATAGAATATGCAAGATACTTAATACTGAAGATGTTCAGTCATCATATCAACATCTTTTTTTTGAGACAGAGTCTCACTCTGTTACCCAGGCTGGAGTGCAGTGGCACAATCACAACTCACTGCAGCTTACTGCAGCGTTGGCCTCTCAGGCTCAGGTGATCCTCTCACCTGAGTCTCCCAGGTAGCTGGAACTACAGGTGCATGCTACATGCCTGGCTAATTTTTTGTGGAGATGGGGTTTCACCATGTTGTCCAGGCTGGTCTCAAACTCCTGGACTCAAATGATCCACCCATCTCAGCCTCCGAAAGTGCCGGGATTACAGGTGTGAGCCACCATGCCTGGCCACCACAATATCAACATTTTTAAATGAAAAATCTTATCTTAGTTACCATAGCATTAGCACCTCTTTAAATAACTCCATTAATTTAACCTAAATCTAAACGTTCTCTAAAGTTCATCATTAGGATCTTGAATTATGGAACCTCTTGACTTTTCTAGTTCCTTAAATAATGACAAGTATTCAAGTACATTTTTGTCTTCCATTTTTAATATCCCTGTAACATGAGGGGAATTGGCAAGATTCTCTTCATAAACCCCCCTCGCTATCCCATTCACCGAATTCATCAGTATAGCCAGGAATCCTAATAGGTTTCAGCAGGAACATTTCTGACAGCTCAATATTTTTCTGTCCAATGATTTGGAAAATCCTGTTTCTCTTTATTAGAGCTGAAGTAACTAAAAAGAGAGAAGCTTATCTGATATATTTCAGTAAGGAGAGAATTTTTTGTGTGCATGGTGTGAGTTACATGGTGTCTCAAAAGCACAGTCTCAGAGTTATGTGTATCAGAGTGGTAGTTGCCCTACCACTTACCTGATTTATTAACATAACATTTTCTTTATCTGCACATTTCCTAACAAGCTCGGTGACAAAAGTCAATCTTTTGTCAATCCTTTATGCCTGGATAATCAATCCTGTAGAAAAAAGTTCATGATTTTAGGGTGTCCTTTTCTTTTGATGTTGTTGTGGGAAAGGTTTCTTTCATTCACTGTTAAAAGATTCTTATCCTTATTAATTGTTGAAGTTCTTTCATAATTCCTATGGCTCCACCAAATTACATGCATATTAATTAGAATGTAAGTTAATGGGATAACAATTTTAAAATCATAGTTCAAATGTTTGACATTAGATTATAAAAGTAAGGTTCATTTCCTATGTTGGCTTGTACCTGACTTGTGAATATGAAATACCAGTATTTGTTATGTTCACTTTTTTCCCATTAAGCTAAATGTGATGATAATATGTTGTGTCATAAATATGAGATATAACCTTTTAAAAATGGAGACTGCTTTGCTTTTCTTAAGAACATATTGGTTGTTGATTTTTAAAATTAAATCAGGATATGAAATTGTTCACTTGATCATGGAGGAAAAGACATTCTCATTCATTAACATCACAGGACTTAAGTTCCTCAGTGTGGGTGGCTTGGTGTTGGAGGCAGTGTTTGCTAGAGATATTTTACAACTATATTTCTAAAAACGAGCTCCATTTTATAAAGGTCAGAAAGAGAAAAGAAAGAACACAAAAAGATAATAGATATTTGGCCACATGTTAAATGAATTCAGAAATTTGCTATAGCATGCCAATAAGTATCTGTACATCTGTACTGTTAGTATTAAATATATAAAATGGAGCATTACAATTATTCCTACAGCTGAACACACACACACTCTTCCATTATTTACTCATCTTTTAGTTTTAGTTTTCTATCTAAGCCCTACATAAAGATATAAATATGTGTAAACTTGGGACTTCAGCATAGTCTTAGACTGGTGCATCTTCATGCTAGTTTCAGATTTCATTGTGGTTAGGGGAAGTTATTTCAACTTTTTTTGAAAAATTATTACTTTAATAGGTTTTGGGAAACAGGTGGTGTTTAGTTACATAGATAAGTTCTTTAGTGGTGATTTCTGAAATTTTGGTGGACCCCATCACCAGAGCAGTGTACAATGTACCCAATGTGTAGTCTTTTATCCCTCACCCTCATCCCACACTTCCCCCTGAGTCCCCAGAGTCCATTATATCATTCTTATGGCTTTGCATTCTCACAGCTTAGCTCCTACTTATGAGTGAGAACATACAGTGTTTGGTTTTCCATTCCTGAGTTACTTCACTTAGAATAATGGTCTCCAACTTCATCCAGGTTGCTGCAAATGCCATTATTTTGTTCCTTTTTATAGCTGAGTAGTATTTCATCATATACATATATATGGAGCATTACATTTATACATATATGTGTATACATTTATATATATGTGTATATATATGTGTATACATTTATATATATGTGTGTGTATATATGTGTGTGTGTGTATATATATGTGTGTGTGTGTATATATATATATATATGTATATACATTTTCTCCTACTCTGTGGGTTGTCTGTTAATTCTGTTGATTATTTCTTTTGTTGTACAGAAACTTTTTAGTTTAATTAAGTTCCTTCTGTTTATTTTTGTTTTTGTTGCATTTGCTTTTGGGTTCCTGGTCATGAACTCTACCTAAACCAATGTCTAGAAGAGTTTTTCCAGTGTTATTTTTTAGAATGTTTATGGTTTCAGGTCTTAAATTTAAGTCTTTAATCTGTCTTGAGTTGATTTTTTTATAAGGTGAGAGAAGAGGATCCAGTTTCATTTTTCTACCTGTGGCTTGCCAATTATCCCAGCACTGTTTGTTGAATTAGGTGAATCTCAGCACTTTTTCCCACTCTGTTTTCATTTGTTTTGTCAAAGATCAGTTGGCAGTAAGTATGTGGCGTTATTTCTAGGTTCTCTGTTCTGTTCCATTGGTCTACCTGCCTGTTTTTATACCAGGACCATGCTGTTTTGGCAACTATATCCTTGTAGTATAGTTTGCCGTTGGGTAATGTGATGCCTCCAGATTTGTTGTTTTTGCTTAGGCTTGCTTTGGCTTTGCAGGCTCTTTTTTTTATTCCATATGACTTTTAGGATTGGCTTTTCTAGTTCTGTGAAGAATGATGATGGTATTTTTATGGGAATTGCATTGAATTTATAGATTGCTTTTGGCAGTGTGGTCATTTTCACAGTATTGATTCTACTCATCCATGATCATGGGATGTGTTTCCATTTGTTTTTGTCATGTGTGATTTCTTTCAGCAATGTTTTGTAGTTTTCCTTGTAGAGGTCTTTCACCTCCTTTGTTAGGTATATTCCTAAGTATTTTATTTTATTTGCAGCTGTTTTAAAAGGGTTGACTTCTTTATTTGATTCTCAGCTTGGTCACTGTTGGTGTATAGCAGTGCTACTGATTTGTGTACATTAGTTTTGTATCCTGAAACTTTACTGAATTCATTTATCAGATCTAGGAGCTTTTTGGATAAGTCTTTAGGGTTTTCTAGGTATACAATCATATCATCAGCAAAAAGTGACAGTTTGACTTCCTCTTTACTGATTTGGATGCCCTTTATTTATTTCCCATGTCTGATTGCCCTGGCTAGGACTTCCATTACTGTAATGAATAGAAGTGGTGAAAGTGGGCATCATTGTCTTATTCCAGTTCTCAGGGGGAATGTTTTCAACTTTTCCCTGTTCAGTATAATGTTGGCTGTGGGTTTGTCATTGATGGCTTTTAGTACCTGAAGGTGTAGCAGGAACAGTCACAGACAAAACCTCTTAGACACCGGTTC
The DNA here is from genome assembly GCF_000001405.40 of Homo sapiens. Lineage (NCBI taxonomy): Eukaryota > Metazoa > Chordata > Mammalia > Primates > Hominidae > Homo > Homo sapiens. The sequence continues at coordinate 88,670,906 of NC_000006.12, read as the reverse complement.
TATGAAGGAAGAGGCTTTAATCAGCTGGGAGCATTGGTAGACTCGCGTCTCAAGATCCGAGCTCCCCAAAGTAAAGATTCCTGTCCCTTTTAAGAGCTTACAACTCTGAGGGGTCCACGTGAAAGGGTCATGATACATTGTGCAAGTGGGGGCTACATGACTGAGAGCTACATGCATCAGTGATGGGGGCTAGCAGAACAGAACAGAAAGTTTCACAAGTCTTCCTCATACAATATCTGGAATCTATGGATAGCACAAGCGGTTAGGTCAGGAGTTGATGTTTAACTACCAGGCCTGGTTCTTGGCACTAAACCATCTGGCCATTGATCTCACTTCTGCTTCTTTTTTTAACTTTTTGCTTTCTCATGAAACAGGAGACAATGGGAGAGGTGGTCTCCTTCCTTATTCCCCCCTTTTAGAATCTCACTTATTAGTGGGAATTTTCACTTTCATCCTCACTATCTAGGTCTTTTTGCGAGACAGACCGATAGTGATTCATGTAATACACTTGTGCTGAACTATTTTGGTGAATTAAAGTAGTGACAAAGCTTCTCATTATTTGAAGGAGCAAAGGCAGCAAGCAGGGGAGCAACAAGCAGGTTCCTAATACTGTTATTACTCCTATTATAAGAGTTTTAAATCCTAATGCTGGGAACCATTTTCCAAATACAGACCCAGGATCAAATCCATGCCAAACCTGCACAGGCATATGTGCTAGCTTTGTCATGTCTCTGACGATGTTTTCGACTACTTGGCCTTGGTCATCTATATGCAGACAGCAATTGGTCAGGTTGAATTTTCCACAGACCCCTCTTTCCACTGCTAGCAAGTAGTCTAGGGCCAATCTATTTTGATAAATAGCATTTCTTATCTGGGTTTCTTGCCGGGCTAACAGTCAAAGTTCTGCCAGTTTCATTAGTGATTATTTCTAAGACAGCTTGGAACCATATAATCCAGTTGAGCATGTAAATGGGGGTTTGGTATCCCCACGAACCATCTTGTGCCCAGTTGGCAGGCCCATAGTACTATATGATTCTTTCACGGGACCACTCATCATCTTTCCAATTGCCTATGGCTATGCTTCTGTTTTCTCAGGAAGCATAGACAGGGAAGCCTAGGAGCTCATCACCTGTTTTTATGGGCAGCAGGAAAAAGGATGGCTTAATGGTGCCAATGACACAACTGCCTGCCCATTGATCAGGTAGCTTGGCATAGGCTCTATGTCCACATATCCAGTATAGTCTAGCTGGAGCCGTCCAGTCCTGGTGAGACTCTGGATGGGCCCAAACAGTTTGCAACTTAGTAAACTTACTAAATGGGTTCTTCTCAATATGGTTTAGACCCCACCAGGTGACTGTTCTTCTTGTGCCGTTATACAGCTTTTGCCCTAGGCAATTGAGCTTCCTACGGGGATGGTGAAGTCTTTTCCTTCTCTAGCTAAGCAGTATTGCCCAATAATTGAGGTTTTTAAGACCCAAAAGTTACCAGTGTGGGCCTTCTGGACTGGAATTATATCAGGAACTGGATCCATGGGCACTAATTCTCGGGCCTCCCAAGGCCATTGGTCTCCCATAGTAGTTCCCCTGCATACATAACAGGAAGTAATGTTGAGGGAATGGGCTATATTTTCTGCTAACTGCAGGAACAAATCTTTTGTCTTCCCTGGCAGTTCTGGTATTGGCACATTTAGTTCATCATAAAAGGTCTGGAACACTGGTTTGGGGGAGCGCTTGTGGATCTCCCCTTGGATTAAAAGGTTGACTCGGGGGTCAAGCCCAGTTCCATCAATTCCTAGGTTTACATTTTCTCCTGTCTTCCAGTGGGGATCCTGGGGGTTAGTAATTATTAATTCTAATGGGTTACAGTTACCGGAGGTGCAAGATGAATTACTTTTTCCTTTTTGTAGGCAAACAGGGTCTTTTTCATCCTTTTTCCAGGTGGCCCAAATGACATAGGACCAATAACTACATTCAATAATACCATATAGTCCTAATTCATGACAAATGTACTTATTTTCTGCCATATATAGCTTTTTTTTTCACCCCGACTGAGAGAACCACATCCCATCCCTAGCTTGTTACTATTAATGACTGCACAGGCATCAAATCTTAAGGTGACTTGTTTGGGAGCTCCTTTTTCTTCTGTTCTGGTATTACTTTACTTGTATCTTTCATGAGTCCCCACCAGTCCTCAGTTCTTAATCTTATTTCAAAAACTGTGGTCATAGGAGGCTCAGACAGGTTGTAAGACACATGAGGTTGGTCATTCCCTGGGCTACACACATTATACTGAGTGGCATTATATAAGCAGATCCCTTTCAAAATTCCTAGACATTCATAATAACTATAAAACAGAAAGGTTATTTTAACTTGTTGCCCTACCTCTGTAACCTGATGAATACACTGGGTACAGTCCTCCATGTGGGGAAAATCAGCTGAAGTTCTTATTGAACAAGTCCAAATTTTGAGAAAAATGAGTCCCACGATGAGTTTCCTTATGCTTTGGCTGTGCATAGACCAGTCAGCTTCCAGGTGTGACTGGAGCAGGGCTTGTTGTCTTTTTCAGAGTCACTTTGTAGGGATTGTCCGGGCTTGGTCTCACCTCCCAGGTCTCAGGTGCTGTGGGTTTCACGTGGCTGTGGTGGATCCAGGCCGGAATTCCTTCTACCTTCATGGTGGTGGGAGTGGTCAGGATGATGGTCTGGCATCCTTTCCACCGTGGCCACAAAGGGGCTATGTTCCAGTCTTTGATCCACACTCGATCACCTGGGGAGAAAGGGTAAACTGGGGAGAATAAGCTAATGGGGCATCTCTCATTTACCCAAGCTGAAATTGTTTGTGTAACTTTTTCTAAAGCCTGTAGCTGTCATTGCAGCTCAATTTCTCCTAGCTCCTGAGGAGTGCCTGGAAGTCCTCGTAATATGGGAGGGGGTCTATGATACAATATCTCATAAGGGGAATATCCTGTTCTTTTAGAAGGAGTACACCTGATTTTAAACAATACTGTGGGGAGAGCCTGTACCCATTTCTTGACACACTTTCCCTAAGCCTAATCCTGTTTCTTGACACACTTTCCCTAAGCTATTTTTTATAGTCCGATTCATTCACTCCACCTTTCCGGAACTCCAAGGTTGGTAGTTGGCATGCAGTTTCCATGTGATCCCCAATACCTTTGCCGTCTTCTGTACCAAGTCAGCCACAAATGCCGGCCCATTGTCTGAGCCAATCCGTAAGGGCAGTCCAAACCTAGGGATGAGATCTCGAAGAAGCACACGGGTTACTTCACGAGCTTTCTCAGTTCGTGTTGGATAAGCCTCTACCCACCCAGAGTATGTACACACTAGAACCAGCAGATACTTGTTACCTCCACATTTGGGCATCTCGGTGAAGTCTACTTGGAGATCTTCAAAGGGGGCTGCTCCATAAGCTTGTATGCTGAGCGGGATGGTTGGACCCTGCCTAGCATTTTGCTGCTGGCAGGTGACACATTGCTGTTACTGTTTTGGCAAGGGCCGACAAGACATGAAATGTAGAAGTGCCAGCCTAACAACTTTTCAAGTGACTCTTGGCCTAGATGGGTGGTCTCATGCACAGCCAGCACAACTGTGGCCCCTAGTAGCTGTGGCATGGCTACTCTTCTGTCTGGTAACCAGATCCATCCTTCCTTTATCACTTGCCCCCCTTCTGCCTTGAAAAAGTCTCTTTCCTCTTTAGAATAAGTAGGCACTAGATGCGGTGCCTGAGAGAGCAGAGGGGCCGTGACTGATGCTCGGAAGGGAGTGGATGCTGCTCTGCGAGCTTAGGAGTCTGCTCCAGAATTCCCTAAGGCAACAGAAGTGGTGACTCACTGATGTCCTTTACAATGCATTACTGCCACCCTCCGAGGCTTCCATACTGCTTCTAATAACTGTAAAATTTCTTGCTGATACTAAATGTCCTTTCCCCCTGAGTTCAATAGGCCTTTTTCTTTGTATAATGCCCCATGCACTTGGAGGGTTAAAAAGGCATACCGAGAGTCAGTATAAATGTTTACAGTCTTACCTTCACTTAGCTCTAAGGCCTGAGTTAAAGCAATGAGTTCGGCCTTCTGGGCTGAAGTTCCCTGAGGCAGCGATTTGGCTTCAATAACAGTGTCCAAGGTTTACCACTGCATATCCAGCGGACATCTCTCTCTGTGGGTTAATGAAGCTGCTTCCGTCCACATACAGCTCCCAGTCTACAGACATCCAAGGTTTGTCCCGGAGGTCCGGTCTGCTAGAATAAACTTAGTCCAACACCTCTACACAGTTATGTTCAACTGGGCTCTCTGATACCAGAAGCAGTGGCGGGGTTCATTGTTACAAACTTCAGTGGTTATATGGGGATTTTCACAGAGCAGGCTTTGGTACTTGGTTAGTCTGGCATTTGTCAGCCAGTGATGTCCTTTGGTATTCATTAAAGTCACCACTGCATGAGGGGCCTTTATGTTTAAGTTTTGCCTAAGAGTTAGTTTATCCACTTCTTGTGTTAGCAGGGCAGTTGGTGCTAAGACCCTCAAACACGGGGGCCAACCTTTAGAAACTCTGTCTAGCTGTTTAGAGAGGTAGGCCACAGGCCTCAGCCACGGCCTTACGTCTTGGGTTAAAACTCCGACTGCTATTTTTTTTCTTTCTGACACATACAATGTAAATGGCTTTGTCAGGTCAGGTAGACCCAGGGCTGGGGCTGACATGAGTTTTTCTTTTAACTCATGAAAAGCCTGTTGCTGTTGGGACCCCCATTCAAATGGTTCCATGTCACCCCCCTTTGTAACTTGGTACCAGAGGTTTGGCCAGTACTGCAAAATTTGGGATCCATAACCTGCAGAACCCCACAGCTCCTAATAATTCTCTCAACTGCCTTCTGGTCTTAGGCTCCAGTAGGTTGCAAATGACCTGCTTTCTTTCTGATCCTAGGCTGCACTCCCGCTGTCGGATAGTAAATCCCAGGTAGCGTACCTGCTGTCTGCAGATCTGAGCTTTCTTCTTGGACACCTTATACCCATAGTCCTCCAGGTGCTGAAGCAGGGCGTCTGTTCCTTTGACGCACCCGACTGCCATGGGGCGTCCCAGCAGGAGGTTGTCGATGTACTGGAACAACACGCAGCCTAGGTCTCTGGCAGGAAACTTTTGGAGGTCTCGAGCCAGTGCCTCCCCAAAGATGGTGGGGGAAGTTCTTGAACCCCTGGGGAAGCCGGGTCCAAGTGTAATGAGTGGTGACACCTGACCCCGGATCCTCCCACTGAAAGGCAAACAGTTTCTGGCTCTCTGGAGCTAATCTGATGCTAAAGAAGGCGTCCTTCAGGTCTAGGCAGGTGAACCAGCTGTCCTTAGCTGGCAATAACCCCAACAATGTGTACGGGTTAGGTACTGTTGGATGGAAAGTCACTGTGGCTTGATTGACCAATCGCAAGTCCTGTACTGGCCTGTAGTCCTTGGTCCCTGGCTTGGGAACAGGTAGGAGGGGGGTGTTCCATGGAGACTGACAAGGCACTATAATTCCAAAAGTCCTCAGGTGCTTAAGATGAACCTGGATACCTTCCAGGGCTTCTCTGGGGACTGGATACTGGTTTTGCCTGACTGGCTGGGCCTCTGGCTTAACTTCCCTGAGTACAGGAGCTTGATTGACTGCCAATCCAGGAGGGTTGTCTTCTGCGCATACTTTTGGCCACCACTGGGCCAGAGCTGGCCCTATCTCTTTGCCTGGTTTGGTTAGGAAGAGTCGCTACTCTTCCTCTCGGGGAACTGTCAGGGCCATGATAACTCCTGTTCCAGGCAACTTCAGTTGTAAAGAGCCTTGCTTGGTAAAGGAAGATAGCTCTCAGCTTGCTAAGCAGGTCCCTTCCTAACAAAGGCAAGGGGCAGTCAGGGATGTACAGGAACTGGTGAATCACTTCATGTCCCCCCACCGAGCAGGTCCGGGGCAAACAGAAAGCCTGCTTTGTCAAAACTCCTGTTGCTCCAATTATATCAATAGCCTTTTTAGACAAGGGGGCGACCGGGGTGGTCACTACTGAATGTTCAGCACCAGTATTGACCAGAAACTTAATGTCCTTGCCCCCAACTGTCATTCTGACCATGGGCTCCTTGGGGGCACGTGAGCCTGGTCCCCTTCGGTCCAATAACCCCTCAGCCAGATTGAACAAGGCTCCTTCGTCCTTGTCTGGGGTCTTTTGCTCTGAACCACCTTGCTTTTCTTTCAGCTGAGGGCACTTATCTTTCCAATGTCCTGTCTCTTTACAATAGGCGCACTGGTTACGTTGCAAGCGTGGACGGTCAGACTGGGTATTTTTCCTGGAGCCCCCATTCCCTTGTCCTTTCAGGGGGACCCCTCTAATAGCTGCAGCTAGTAGGTCAGCATTTCACCGGGTTGGCATTCACCTTCTTTGCGGCTCTCTCTGCGGCTTGCTGCATCTGTATTTACAAACACTTGGTTGGCTATTTCCAGTAATTGGCGACGTATTCATACCTGCAAACCCAGCCCGTTTCTTCAGCTTTCTCCTAATATCCTCTGCGCTTTGACTAACTAAGGCCATGTTAATCATGCGCTGATTTTCAGGGCTGTCTGGGTCAAAGGGAGTGTACATGCGATAGGCCTCACACAGTCTCTCATAAAATTGCACTGGACTTTCTTGCTTTCCTTGGATAACCTCGGAGACCTTGTTTACGTTTGTGGCCTTTTGGGCTCCTCTCCTCAACCCTTCTAAGAGTGCTTCCCTATACCGCATTAGCCTTTGCATACCCTCTGTCTCGTTTGGATCCTATTAAGGGTCAGTTCCTGGTAGCTGGATCCTCACATACTCTTGGGGGTTCTGATAATCAGCTGGAACATGCTCTTCCAGCCACTTAGTTGCTACCTCGAGCACTCTCCTCCCTCATCCGTGTTAAAGAGGTACATGAGCAACTGGTGGCAATCAGCCCAAGTGGGGTTATGAGTTTGGATAATAGTTTGGAGCAAGTCAATCAGAGCTTGCAGCTTTTCTGTATAGGATGGGATGTTATTTTTCCAGTTGAGGAGATCGGCAGAGGTAAAAGGTTGGTACACAAAGGCACCCCTACCATATGCCCCTCCTCATTTACCCCAGTATACCGTTGCTCTCTTAGGGGCATTTGTGTCCCAGTTTTAGGTTGCAAGCAAGCTGCCAAGGGAGGGGTTTCTCCCAAGCTTCATATCCTCTTTTGTCTATTTTAGGTGGCCTTGGGGTGTGCACACCTTGCAGAGGCTCAGGGGCTGTGGGCTTCGATGTGGGGAGCCTCTCTTCTTGGTAAGGAGGGGCACCATTGGTGCCATTTCTGCCATGCATCCTCTGATGTGGGGTCGGACAGAACCGTAGGAGCTGACTTCCCTCGGCGGGTGGAGCAAGACTTTTCCTTGGCTATCTGTCCCTTTGCTACTAGTACTGCTGCAGCCTGTCCTCTTAGCCACTGTGAGGGGTCTAAAACTAGCTGCAACCAAGTATCTATGTATGGTAACTGGTCTGGGTGTCCTGATTTATCAGTTACTTTGTGCCATACCTTTGAAACTAGGGACCTGTCTAGGCTTCCTTCTGATGGCCATCTCACCTCTAATGCTGGATAGTCTATCTCACATAAAGCCTTAAGCTTTCCAGGTGTCATAGCAATTCCATAGTCCCCATTGAATCCTTTCTTGAAATTCTTTAACATAGTTCCTAACAGGGTAGGCTTACTTTGTATTTTACACATTTTCCTCTCTCAGGAGACAAAACAACACTCTTACCACAAAGGGGGAAGGGAAAAAGGGGCAAAAGGTCACTCACTCACCAAGCAATTCACACTAAAATCAAAGTATGGATAAGGAATTACTCATTCATCAAGCAATTTGAGCCAAGTCAGAGCCGAAATCATAGCCAGAACAGTTCAAATCCAAAAGTCAATAGTGAAATCTAAACCAAAACAGTTCAAATCTAGTCAAAATGAAAACCAAAACCAAAGTGCCAAGAAAGCCATGCTGTGGGTGATCAGCCCACACTTCCACTCAGATGGAGTGGGCCAGTTCCAAGGCCAGTCTTACCATGTTCCAGATGTCCAGACTCCAATCGCCGATTCCTTCCCGGTGTTCAACCGCTGTGTTAATTCTCCACGGGGGTCTGCCGCACACTGCTGTGGCAAGGCATTTGACCAGGGCAATTGCCTACGCGAGAGTGCTCCCAGGATCTGCTTTGCTTAAGCTCGCCGGAGTCCTCCCCAGGGATGCTCCACAGGGCAGGCCTAAGCCGCCTAAGAGGCTGCCTCAACTGTCCACTAATCACCTCGCTTCCAGGTCAGGGAACCAAGAAATGTAGCAGGAATGGTTGCAGACAAAACCTCTCGGACACTGGTTTTATGAAGGAAGAGGCTTTAATCAGCTGGGAGCATTGGTAGACTCGCATCTCATGATCTGAGCTCCCCAAAGTAAAGATTCCTGTCCCTTTTAAGGGCTTACAACTCTGAGGGGTCCATGTGAAAGGGTCATGATACATTGTGCAAGTGGGGGCTACGTGACTGAGAGCTACATGCATCAGTGATGGGGGCTAGCAGAACAGAACAGAAAGTTTCAGAAGTCTTCCTCATACAATGTCTGGAATCCACAAGCGGTTAGGTCAGGAGTTGATGTTTAACTACCAGGCACGGTTCTTGGCACCAAGCCATCTGGCTATTGATCTCACTTCTTCTTTTAACCTTTTGCTTTCTCATGAAATAGGAGACAATGGGAGAGGTGGTCTACTTCCTTAAAGGTGTGTTTCCTCTATGCCGATTTTGCCTAGGGTTGTAATCACAAGGAATGCTAGATTTTGTCAAATGCTTTTTCTGGATCCATTGATATGGTTTTTGTTTTTAATTCTGTTTATGTGGTGTATCACATTTATTAACTTGCATATGTTAAACCAACCCTGCATCTCTGGTATGAAAGCCACTTGAAAGTGATGTATTACCTTTTAAATATGCTGTTGGATTCAGTTACACAGTATTTTGTTGAGGATTTTTTGCATCTGTGTTCATCAGAGATATTGGTCTATAGTTTTCTTTTTTGTTATGTCCTTCCCTGGTTTTAATATTAGGGCAATAATGGTTTCAGGGAATGATTTAGGGAGGATTCCCTCTTTATCTTTTGGAATAGTTTCAGTAGGATTGGTACCAACTCTTTGAATATGTGATAGAATTTAGCTGTGAATCCATCTGGTCCTGGACTTTTTTTGTTGGCAATTTTTTTTATTACTATATCAATCTCACTACTTGTTATTGGTCTGTTCAGAGTTTCTGTTTCTTCCTGGTTTAATCTAGGAGGGTTGTATATTTCCAGGAATTTATCCCTCTCCTCTAGGTTTTCTAGTTTGTGTGCCTGAAGTTATTCATAGTAGCATTGAATGATTTTTTTGTATTTCTGTGGTATCAGTTGTAGTATCTCCCATTTCATTTCTACTTGAGCTTGTTTGATTCTTCTCTCTTTCTTCTTTTTTGGTTAATCTCACTAACGGTCTGTCAATTTTTTTTAACCTTTTCAAGGAACCAGCATTTCGTTTTATTTATCTTTTGTATTGCTTTTTGTTTGTTTCAATTTCGTTTAGTTCTGCTCTGATCTTTGTTATTTCTTTTCTGCAGGGTTTGGGTTTGGTTTGTTGTTGTTTCTCTAGTTTCTTGGGGTGCGAGTTTAGATTGTCTGTTTGTGCTCTTTCAGACTTTTTGATGTAGGCGTTTAATGCTATGAACTTTCCTCTTAGTACCGCTTTTGCTGTATCCCAGAGGTTTTGATAGGTTGTGTCACTATCATCATTCAATTCAAAGAACTTTTTAATTTCCATCTTGATTTCATTGTTGACCCAAAGATCATTCAGGAGTAGATAATTTAATTTCTATGTATTTGTATGGTTTGGAGGGTTCCTTTTGGAGTTAATTTTCAATTTTATTCCACTGTGGTCTGAGAAAGTACTTGATATAATTTCAGTTATCTTAAATTTATTGAGACTTGTTTTGTGACCTATCTTATGGTCTGTCTTGGAGAATGTTACATGTGCTGATGAAAAGAATGTATATTCTGCAGTTGTTGGGTAGAATGTTGTGTAAATATCTGTTAAGTCCATTTGTTCTAGGGTATAGTTTAAGTCCATTGTTTCTTTGTTGACTTTCTGTCTTGATGACCTGTCCAGTGCTGTCAATGGAGTATTGAAGTCCCCCACTATTATGGTGTTGCCATCTATCTCGTTTCTTAGGTCTAGTAGTAATTGTTGTATAAATTTGGGAGCTCCAGTGCTAGGTGCATGTATTTAGGATTGTGATATTTTCCTGTTGGAGACTAATCCTTTTATCATTGTATAATGTCTCTCCTTTTCTTTCTTTTTTTTTACCATTGTTGCTTTAAAGTCTGTTTTGTCTAATATAAGAATAGCCACTCCTGCTCACTTTTGGTGTTCATTTGCATGGAATATCTTTTTTCACCTCTTTACCTGGAGTTTATTTGAGTCCTTATGTGTTAGTTGAGTCTCTTGAAGACAACAGATAGGATACTTGGTTGGTGGATTTTTATCCATTCTGCTATTCTGTATCTTTTAAGTGGAGCATTTTGGCCATTTACATTCAATGTTAGTACTGAGATGTGAGGTACTGTTCTATTCATCATGCTAGTTGTTGCCTGAATACCTTGGGCTTTTGTTTTGTTTTCATTGTGTTGTTTTATAGGCCCTGTGAGATTTATGCTTTAAGGAGGTTCTATTTTGGTGCATTTCGAGGTTTTAAGATTTAGAACTTTTTTAGCATTTCTTGTAGTGCTGGCTTAGTAGTGGCAAATTATCTCAGCATTTGTTTGTCTAAAACAGACTATCTCGCCTTCATTTATGAAGCTTAATTTTGCTGGATACAAACTTTTTTCCTGACAGTTATTTTGTTTCAGGAGAGTAAAGATAGGACCCCAATGCCTGCTGGTTTGTAAGGTTTCTGCTGAGAAATGAGCTGTTAATCTGATAGGTTTTCCTTTATAGGTTACCTGATGCTTTTGTCTCATAGCTGTTAAGATTATTTCCTTTATCTTGACTTTAGATAACCTGATGACTATGTGCCTAGGCAATCATCTTTTTGTGATGAACTTCCCGGGTGTTCTTTGAGCGTCCTGTATTTGGATGTCTAGATCTCTAGCAAGACCAGGGAAGTTTTTATTGACTATTCCCTCAAATAAGTTTTCTAAATTTCTAGATTTCTCTTCTTCCTCAGGAACACCAGTTATTCTTATGTTTGGTCATTTTAACATAATCCCAAATTTCTTGGAGGCTTTGTTCATTTTTTTTTTTTAATTCTTTTTCTCTTTGTCTTTGTCTGATTGGGTTAATTCAAAAGCCTGTCTTCAAGCTCTGAAATTCTTTCTTCTACTTGTTCTAGTCTATTGTTGAAACTTTCCAGTGTATTTTGCATTTCTCTAAGTGTGTCTTTTACTTCCAGAAGTTGTAATTGTCCTTTCTTTGTGGTACCTATTTCTGTGGAGACTTTTTCAACCATATCCTGTATTTTTAAAAAATTTCTTTAAGTTGATTTTTACCTTTCTCTGGTACCTCCTTGAGTAGCTTAATAATCAACCTTCTAAATTCTTTATCAGACAATTCAGATTTCTTCTTGGCTTGGATCCATTGCTGGGGAGCTAGTGTGATCTTTAGTGGGTGTTATAAGAACCTTGTTTCATCATACCAGAATCACTTTTTTGGTTCCTTCTCATTTGAGTAGACTGTTTCAGTGGATAGATCTGGACTTCAAGGGCTGCTGTTCAGATTCTTTTATCCCACAGAGTAATCCCTTGATGTGTTGCTCTCCCCCTGTATGTCAGGGTTCTCTAGATGGACAGAACTCATAGGATAGATGTATATATGAAGGGGAGTTTATTAGGAGAATTGACTCACACGATCACAGTGAAGTCCCACAATAGGCCGTCTGCAAGCTGAGGAACCAGGAAGCCAGTCTGAGTTCTAAAACCTCAAAAGTAGGGAAGCTGACAGTGCAGCCTTCAGTCTGTGGCCGAAGGCCCGAGAGCCCCTGACAAATCACTGGTGTAAGTCCAAGAGTCTAAAAGCTGAAGAATCTGGGAGTCTGATGTTTGAGGGCAGGAAGCATCCAGCACAGGAGAAACATGGAGGCCAGAAGACTTAGCCTGTCTAGTCTTTCCATGTTCCTCTGCCTGCTTTTATTCTGGTTGTGCTGGCAGCTGATTAGATTGTGCCCACTTGAATTGAGGGTAGGTCTGCCTTTCCCAGTCCACAGACTCAAATGTTAATGTCCTTTGGCAACACCTTCACAGATACACCCAGGAACAATACTTTGCATCCTTCAATCCAATCAAGTTGACACTCAATATTAACCATCACACCATCATCCCCAAGGGATTGGGCTTCCTGAGAGCCAGATTGCAATGATTACTATTGCCCTTCTAGGTCTAGCCACCCAGCGGGGCTACCTGGCCCCTGGCTAGTGCTGGGGAGTGTCTACAAAGAGTCCTGTGATGTGAACCATCTTCAGATCTTCCAGCTGTGGATACCAGCACCTGCCCCGGTGAAGGTGACAGGGGACTGAAGTGAACTCTGTAGGAATCATTGGTTGTTGTTTTGTTTAGTGTGCTGGTTTTCTTGAATGTGGTTATGCTAGTGGTGACGTTGTCATATGGACAGACTCTGGACTTCTGGTTGGCCAAGGTGTTGCAGGTGGTGGAATTAGCTGTTGTTTTCTGCTTCCTCAGTACAGGATTGTTCTGCTATGAGCTGCTGTAATGGCTTGAGTTGGCTGGCCTCCAGACAGGAGGTGGCGCTTTCAAGAGACCAGCTGTGGTAGTAGGAGGGGAATATAATCTTGCCCTACATTGGCCAGGATAAGTACTTGGGTTTCTCAGGTGATCGCGGGGTCATAGAGGTCCCAAGAGTTTATGTCTTTTGTCTTTGCCTACCAGGGCGGGTAGAGAAAAACCATCAGATGGGGCAGGATTGGGCAGATCTGAGCTCAGACTCTCCTTGAGCAGGGCTTAATGCAGACACTGTGGGACATAGCAGGTGATTCTTAGGCCAGTGGATTTATGTTCCAAGGGGAATTATGGCTGCCTCTGCTGCATCATACAGGTCACCAGGCAAGTGGGGAAAGCTGGCAGTGACAGGCTTTATCCAGTTCCCATGCAGCCAGCAATGCCAGTCTTCCTCCCACTGTGCCCCACCGACAGCACCAAGTTTATATTCATGGAGCGGGAAGCAGAACTGAGATCTTGACCCAAGCTACAAGTCTCTCCACTGAGAAAGCAAGCAGGGCTCTCAGGCCTCACCCCTTCCCACCTGCCTGCACCATCAGCTGCAGTTTCTGTGCTCATATCTGTATTTTCCATTTGCCTCCCCACCCCCTGATTCTGTTTAGGAAAACTTGTGCTCATTTGAAATTATTACAGAGTTCATCTAGGAGCTTCTTTCACTCTGTGGCTCCTTCCCAATTCTGCTGGCTGCCTTCCCCAAGGACCTCTCTCAGATAAGGCTAACAATGGCTTCCCTGGGCTCAAGCTGGAGACCAGGAGTGCCTACAGGGCTCTTCCTGCTGCTTCTTCTACTTTAGTATTTTCCTCAGCTCTCTAAATCCATTTCAGCTCTAAGTGAGGTTAAATCCTTCTCCCATGATCTGGATTTTCAGGTTTTCCAGTGGGGATATATGTTCAGAAGCAGACTTTTCCCCTGTCATACTTTGGGAACTCACAGTTTTTTGGCTGTCTCATGGAGTTTGCAGCAGCAAGCCACTTCTTTCAAAGGGTCTGTGACTTCTTTTGGTTTTCCTGGTATGTTTCTTTGGTGGTTCTTGAAGCAAGAGTTCACAGTGTGAGTCTTCACACACTGTTCTGTTCATCCAAGTGGGAGATACACATAAGTCCTGTCTCCTAGCCACCATTTTCTGCAGCTCAGCCTCTCGAGTAGCTGGGATTACAGGCATGTTGCCACCATGTTCAGCTAATTTTTAAATTTTTTATAGAGATGAGGTCTCACATTGTTGCCCAGGCTGGTCTGGAACTCCTGGGCTCAAGCAAGTCTCCTGCCTCAGCCTCCCAAAGTGTTGGGATTACAGATATGAGCCACTGTGCCTGGCCTTCCTCAACTTACTTTTTTTTTTTTTTTAATCTCTTAACATCTTCAGTAAGTCATGGGGAAGGTTCTTTTTCAAAGAAGCTCAGTCCTCAACTTTCACCCAAGGCAGAGACTCTACTCCCAGATGACTGACCCCTTTCAAAATCCTGTGAAAACCATGAACCCTCTCCCTAGAAAAGTTTACATACATAGACATACTTTTGCTTATAATTTCAGAGGTTTCATGAACCCCACTGGAGTGCATTCAAGGACCCCAAATTGTGAACCATAATAAGTGAATAAAATGTTCTCTCAAGTTTTCTATTAACCAAAGAGATACTAGATTCATAAAAAATTAAGTTTTCAGAGAAAATTTTTTATTTGAACTTGATTTTAAACATGCTTGATTATCCTCTTGTTTATCCTAAAATATAAGCTACATAAAACACCAATCATTTTATAATGAGTGGTAACATGGAGTAAGAAAGGACATGCTTAACATATCCACAACTGTAGTTTTATACTATAAATGAAGCAGATTTCATCCTCATCCAAGACGGTAACTCCTTTGACTTTATTGAGATTAAATTTCTAAATGTACTGGGATGTATGCCACTTAGGATTTTATTAAGTAAGCGATATAGTTCATTATACCTTTATATGCAGTCTTTGAAATTAAAAAGGGAAGTTTTTCAGAAGTCCTTTATGTGAGGATTGGGGACTGGGTATTTCTATATATCTTTTCATAATACCTTTATCTTAATATATATATTCTATTTTTCACATCTTATTTTTGTAGATATGTTCTAGTTTAATAGTTTACATTTTACACCAGTTACTCTGTGTTGTTTTCTAGAGCATGTCAAAGTCTAGTAAAAATCTTAATGCTAATTCTTTAGGTTTCTCATTATGAAAGCTTCACTTACCAGCCAGAATCCATAAAAACCAAGAAGGATTGAAGCCTCTCAAGATCACATTTAATCAGCCAAAGGGTTGTTAATGGAGAGACACAAAGCTACAGGGCCATCTCTTGATATTAGTTGTCTTTTCCAGTTCTGATAGTCCAAGAATTGTGAGTGGCTGTAAGGCTGAGTCAGACCCAAGTTTCCACTTTGACACTGCAGAAAGGCTTGAAAAAAGTCTTCTATATTTTAAGTAGGAATTTTTTGCAGCAACCATATGTGGAAAGTAAGGACTATAACCATTATATGGGATTTTTTTTTAAGGCAGTTATTTTTCAGTCAGTACAGCAACATTATTCCCTGCCTCAGTCTGGTTCTGTCCCTGCTGAGTAACTGGGTGCCATTAGTCACAGTCAGATACTCTAAGCTTTCTGAACTTGAATTTTAAAAAATCTCTACCACCAAGGAAACGTAAGAGTGATGTTTGTATTCGTGTGCATATGCAATAGATGCAAAGAAATACTTATCTCTTCATTTTTGAAGTCAAAATTGAAAATCTATCAAACCATCCACTTGGACATCATTTCTATTTTTTTTAAAGTAGCATATTTTTCCTTTAAGGTATTTCAAGCTCAGATTGTTATTTGATATGTTAAAAATATTTTTAAGATTATTAACAAGTAAATGTTAATATTTAGCCTAAATTAAATTTAAGAGTAAAGTATTTATTTGGAATCTTTCTATTATAAAAGACTGAAATATGCTAGGAAACCTATTAGTAATGATTTGGTTTGTTTGCTGACTGATGATCTTTTAGAAAATATCTGGCTTATTAGATCAATACTTATTTTTACTAAAAGAAACTAACGTTCATATTTTAAACCTCTAAAATATCTGAAGAATAACTGAATGTTCTAGTTCGATGACTTCCAAACTTTTGTTCATAACCTGCACAAAATATATTTCCTTCAGGTTCTAGTATATGCACACATACGTGTATTTATATACATGTAATGTGAGCTGAAGTTTCAAAATATGTGTGATGCCATTTTGTTTTGTTTCTTTTTCTTTTGATTTAGTTTTTAGATGCTGGTCTCAACCCACTAAATTAATTTCTGTATTGGAAAATGGGTCACGACTCACAGTTTGGCAAACACTGCTTCAGGGTAGGACTTGTCCAGCTAATGCTGCCATATGCTTCTGGCAGGAGAGTGCCACATTTTGTGATACAGATGATAGGGAGGAGGCTTACCTGTCCCTGAACTCATGATTACCCTCAGAATGTCTTTGGAGGGGAAGAAAAGATGAGATCTCATAGTTACTGGGAAGAGGGAGGAAGGAAAAGATGAATGAGAAATGAATTTAAATGTTTTATGGAGCCAAGTAAAACCATTTTCTGTTTCAAAAGTACGAATTCTCAAGAACAGAGGGGAGCCTTGCACATCTACTCTGTCTCCCAAGTGATTTCATGTTTTTTGAGGATAGAGAAAGAAATAAAGGTAAGATCTTCCTTAGATGAAAAAATTAGAAAGAAAAGGAGGTAGGTGAAAACTTGAGAGAAAGGAATGAAATCAGGTCTAGATCTGTGTGACATAGTCGTTGAATAATGGCTAAATTTTCTGTAATACTCTTAATGATGAGGAAAATTTTCAGTGTTTCATATTACAGTAATAAAAGATGAAGTATTTATCCCTTTGTTGAAAATAGCTTCAAAAAGTAAACGAAGGTTAAAGGAAAACCTTATGGATACTAAATTCTCCCTACTTCCATGCAATAGCTATTAAGTTGCTGACAGAGCATTTTGGGATTACTGCTGAGTGTCGAGCAACCCTACACTGTAACTTTCTGGATGTTAAAAATCATGCAGTGATTACTAACGAGTCATACAGTAGTTGTAGATAAAAGTTCTAAAAGATAGTCTATAATGGTTGTTCTCCTACCCAGGTGCTTTTGGTAGCATTATTGACAAAACAGAATGCCACATAAGTCCTAAAATACACACGTTTCAATCTCAATATTATCTTTATGTCCTTAGACAACTTATCAAAAGACTAAGCCCTATGAGGCTGAGCTGTTTCTTGTCCACTTCTGTATCCTCAGCATTTAGCCCAGTTGCTGGTATATGAAAGCACTAATAAATATTTCTTAACATTATAATTGAAGAATGACTGGAAAGCCAAGTGGGCTTTGTTTTTTGTTTTCTGTTGTTTTTAACATTAAGTATATACCATGGAGTTCATCAAACTATTTAAAAGCTCTGGTTCTAATTACATACATATTTACTGCATTGAAAATTTTAATTTCTAATCTCTGTTACATCTTGGGCTTAGTATATCTTTGTGGCAATATAAATCAATTTTATTTTCTAATTTAAATTGTGGTTGTAAGTTATTATTAACATCAACTTTATTTGGAATGTAGATTTTGTGAATACATTCTTCTGAGAACACTTTAAATATAGCCCTCAAATTGTTTTTCAATTAAGAAATTTAGCATTTTTCTTAGCTGGAAATTTCGATGACTTTTGAGCTAGACATTTTGTAGAAAACTGTGGGAAATATTTTGGCATATTCTAGTGTTTTTTAAAACATTATACCACTATATTAAGGTGAGTTCTTGTTAAACATGGCTTGAACAAAGAATAAACAATTTTATTTTGTATCTTTGAAAAGTTTTCCAAAAAAGGAAATGCAATACTTTACCTACTTAGGTATTTACAGTGCAGTCAGTGGACCTCCTATTTTGATGAAAGGAACTAGCATGGTACTTCTTATCCTGTTGTTTTCTTTAACCAGTATTTTGCTTCTAAAAAGAAGTAGTTCTCTTACTTGAATTTCAGAGACACTAATAACCATGTAAATATAAAAGATTATGTAAAAATCCCTATTGCTGAAGTCATGTCTGATAAATAATGCCACAGTTTCGGATCTAGATTCATATTAAATGTCTAGAAGTTATGCATTTTACTTATTACAGAAAGGAGAAAAATCATTCCTTCAGCGAATACTAATCCATTATAAAAGAGTGTTCTCTTGTCCTCTTGCCTAATAAAGTCTCAAAAAACAAAATAACTCTCCCTCCATCCTTACCCTAAATGCAGGCACAACAGTAAAGACCCATTTCAAGTGGTGTGTGGTTGTAATTCATGCATTTAGGAAAGCTCCAGACCTGCGCTTGTTTTGGTTGACTCTTCTTACAACATGCACATTGTGAACAACCCCAAGCAAAACAAGACCCATTTTCCTGATAATTCTCTCTCCGCCTCCACCCCAAAGAGCACTAACAAACTCCAAGTCTAGATCATAGAAATCCACACGTTCCCCAAATTTGTAATAGGAAGTATTAACTTGGTATGTGAGCACCTTCAGAAGTTTGAGATTGCTGCTGTAAGTGACATCTTGTCATTAATGTTGTGGTGTGTGGATTGGAGGGATCTTTAATTTTCTAAAACAGGAATAAAGAGATGTATTCCAGTAAATCTAATAATCTCTTAAAATAGTTTTTTTTCTAAATTGTGAACTAAATATTTGTCTTCTCCATGTCCTCAAATTTTATTATCTACAGAATTAATTGCCTATAAATAAAATGACAAGTTTGCAGTTCAGAAGATTTGCAAACTATGCTAAATGCAATGAAGTATGAGATTTGGAGAAACTTGTAAATTTGTAACATTGAAAATAGAAGTCAGCATTAAGTTACCATTTGGATATTGACAGTTTTACTAAAATATGTTAAATATTTAACTGTATATTTAAATTATTTTTACAGTGTCACAAGATCAGAGCATTTCCAGTACTCAGGAAATAGCTTCACAAGTGATCATTCATCTGCTAAAATAATATGTTGCTTCTGATTAGTTGACTCAGTTAATAATAGTGAAAAATTATAAGATATTTAAGTTTTTTGCTGAGATTTAAGTTTGGTAATTTGCAAAATATTAACAGTGAACACACATTTTATTTACATGTATATATACATATTTACATACATACTCTTTTAAAAATTAATCTATCCACCGCCTATGTGCACAGACATAAAATGACATTTTAGGTTGTTTGATGATCCATAATTTCTTCTTAATAGATTTTAGTATTTTACATCAGATTTGCTTTCTAAGTGTTATTAGCCAGTAAAAGCAATTATCTAGTGGAAATTTGGTTTAAAATAAAAATTTGGGGGGGCAAGAAGGCTGAAACATAGGGAAATGAATAATATAAAAGGATATTTAAATTTAATGTATTTATATATAGTAATTTTTACATCTTATTGTGAAATGTTACAACCATATTGATATATTTTTGGAAATCTGATCCTTTTTTTCTTTGTCAGCATTTTATAACTTTAATATGAAAAAGAAAAACAGGATAATTTATTTGTTTAAAGCCAAAAACATGAATAATTATGTTTTTAACTTTTAAAGTTAGTGCTTTTATCAAATAGAAAAATAGCCAACATTTGTTGAGTATTATATGCCCAGCAGGCACTATTCTAATTAATTCTCAAACAACCTGTAAAAGTGTAGGTACTTTAAACATTCCAGTTACAGATGGGGAAGATGACAACATAGTTACATTATGTTGCCTTGTATGCAGAGTTATTTTTCTGTATACTATTTTGAAGTAATTAGTTACTGTTTCTATTGCATTATTGTCATATATAGTATATTATTATAGTTCTTGAACCCTTTCTGAGTTCTGCTTGTATGCCAAAATTATCCTAGTCCACTGACTGGACTAAGTGACTTGACCAAAGGGATGTGGTTTTAACAACAAAGACCAAAATAGAGAATCGTTGTGTTGTTGTTGTTGTTTTTTTTTTAACATAAAAAGAGATGGGAGTATAAAGAGAGCTCAAAGTTATAATCTCACCTCTGCTGCTCATTTAGTCATGTTGAGTGTTTATCTTCCTTAGTTGTTAATAGCAAAAGCTGAGAATTCTTGCATTGGGAATAATTGTGAATCTCTGAGATATTAAAGGGCTTCTTATTATAATATTATCTGATATCACTATGAAGTATTTTCTGTTCCCAGAGCATCCTGTTTGGAAGTTTACTATGTCATGTATTTCTCCTACCTGTCATTTTTAGAAGGGTCAGCCCTACTTGTTGTTTTTCTTTTACTTTTAGTTGATTACTTCTTCATGTCCACAAGATTTGGGTAACAGTATTATATAGTTATTAATTTGAAATAGTCTCTAGAAGTCTATTTTATTTCTTTAAGAACTAGCTGGTAGGAGATCACTTATGTAAATAAATCACCTATGCATTTTGAGTGCCCTGATTAGCTCAGAAAGATAAAGATAATATCTCATTTTCACGATTTTTTTTCAAGTAGGTTTTGCCATCACGCTAGATTCAGTGAAAACAGTTTCTCATTTTTTTGCCCAAAGTTGAGTATGCCTTGTGTGAGCATAGCTGGAATTAAAACATTCTAATGTTTTTCAAGATCAGTCTTTCTTGGAGGCATTTTGATGACTCAGGGCTGATTTCAGCTGCAAAAAGAATTGTAGCAGAATTGCAGGGAGAAGGAACAGATGTTTTTAAGTTTCGGAATGAGTAGGTTGGTTGCATAGCACATGGTTAATTGGGTGATGTAAAAGGCAGTGACTGTGAGAATAATCAAGAAAAGGTTCCCAGGGTGGTTATAGTTTAGCAAAAGAATGAATGAAGTAAAGTAACATGCACGTAATATAGGTCATTAGATGTCACTAAATGGAGATATGCAGAGAGGAATAGCCACACAAGGAAAAAGTAGAAATTATATTAGTGAGGAAAAGTTACTATTAGTGATGAACTCTTCCATGCTATTCCGTGCAGGCTCCCAGACCCTTTTAGGAGTCATTCTTATCCATAATAAGTAAAAATCTTAAGCAAAGTCTGACAATGATTTTCAGGTGCTTTTACTGGTTTGAACGATCTAATCAGTAAAATCATGAAAAATTATAGTTTGGGAGAAAAAAAGTAAAGACAATTCTGTTCATTTGAATTCTATTCATTCGTGTTAGAGTACTAGGAATACCCTTACTTGGTCCACTCTCCTTGAGGCCTGGTCTCTCCTTCAGTCAGCACTGTTGGCCAGGACAGTTAACATCCACCTCTTCTGAATGCCCTGGGCTGGGTCCACATCACTTTCCTCCTGAAAACCTTACACTCTATAGTCTTTATTTTGGGTATCTTGATACTCTAGCACAAATTCATTCTCCTATTTATGGCTTTTAGAACCTTTTTTTTTTTGAGACTTAGTCTCGCTCTTTCACCCAGGCGGGAGTGCAGTGGCGCGATCTCGGCTCACTGCAAGCTCCACCTCCCGGGTTCACGCCATTCTCCTGCCTCAGCCTCCCGAGTAGCTGGGACTACAGGTGCCCGCCACCACGCCCAGCTAATTTTTTGTATTTTTATTAAAGACGTGGTTTCACCGTGTTAGCCAGGCTGGTCTCGATCTCCTGACCTCGTGATCCACCGCCTCGGCCTCCCAAAGTGCTGGGATTACAGGCGTGAGCCACCGCGCCCGGCTAGAACCTTTTTATGCTGCATTAATTCGATTTTGGCCACTTTTACATTAAAATGAACTGTTGCCCACTGTAGCAAACATAAATTCCTTTCATCATGTTTTCCCCTCCCATCATACCCTTATTTTACCTAACACCCACTTCTGTCTAATGCATGAAATGTGTTTACAGTCCCTCTTTCTGTGACTATACATACTATTTTCTTGTCTGTTACATGTCTCAAAATTTACCTGCTAGTCAAAAACAAACATACAAACATTAAATATACAGTAAGTCCTCACTTAACATCGATGATAGGTTCTTGGAAACTGTGACTTTAAGAGAAATGACATATAACAAAGCCAAGTTTTTTTCCTTGCCCACATTTTAACAAAATGATGTTATTCAAGGACCTGCTGTACATTGCTTTGCTTAAGGTCGCAGTTTCCAAGAACCTATTGATGGTAAGTTAGGACTTACTGCATATGTACAAGACACTTTGGTGGAGACTGGGCATATAAAGATTAGTAACATTTTATCTGCCTTCAACTTACTCATAGCTGATTTACAAAGAAATCGCTCTGTAAAAAGGTAATTATAACACAAAGTTGGATGTGATGTGTCAGATGCCTAGAATTGGTTATAAATGTCAAAAGCTGAGGAAAACCTGTGGACTGAGGCAGTTGAGGTAGGATTCACAAAGGAAGCAAGAACTGTTTTGCACTACCAATTAGGAGAATGGTAGGTTGTGAGTGAATGCATGCATGCGTGTTTTTATCTTTCTCTGCCTCTGTAGAAATAAAAGGATGGACAGATAATTTAGGAAAATAGAAAGCAAAGTGTGGAGCTTTGTTCGCCTGGGGTACAAGAGGCATAGTTGGGTAGGTGCAGAGGTTTGTATAGGGAGATAATAGGATGTGAAGAGGTAAATTGGTGTTAGAATTTTTTATTATTATTATTATTATTATTATAATACTTTAAGTTTTAGGGTACATGTGCACAATGTGCAAGTTTGTTACATATGTATACATGTGCCATGTTGGTGTACTGCATCCATTAACTCGTCATTTAATATGTTGACAACAATGCAGACTGCCATAAGAATTTCTAAATTAATATTGGGGGTACTGATATTTTCTTGGTAATTCATACCAATAATTCAGATGGCTTCTTTAGGCCCCAGCTTAAAAAACTAGTAATAAATGGTCATTGCCATGGATGATAACAGAAGGGTCCTGGATTCCTAAGTCTTACAGTCTTACTACCTGTCAGGTAGCAAAATATTTTTATATCTTCTTCACATTATTTGAAGTAATGGTTCCTAAGAGAAAGAAATGGAACTCATATAAAAATAGTTGAAGTTAGTGTTTCTGTTTGTTGTTTCTGATGTTCTGTTACTGCTCAAGTTGAGCTATTATTTGTGACAGGAAGTGAATGCAAACGTAGAGATCCTTTCTTAATGTGACTGATTATATCTTTGAATCTGACAGGTCAAGCCATGGAAGATTCTTCTTTTCCGTAGTTGTTATTTCAGGTATTTTCATCGTTGTTTTGTGTCTTAAGAGTTTAAAATCAAGCCTAAGTCTGTTAGACTTACTTTTCATAAGAGGATTTGATTCAGGAAAAATAGAACAGATTGATTGGTTAAGTTTGTTCAGGGCATGTTTTTCGTTCCCTCCCCTCCTCCCTCTCTCCCTTCCTCCCTTCCTTCTTTTCTTCTTCTTCTTTTTTTTTTTTTTTTAACAGGGTGTCGGTTCTGTCACCCAGGCTGGAGTGCAGGTACAATCACTGCAGCCTCAAACTTTCAGGCTCAAGTGATCCTCCTACCTCAGCCTCCTGAGTAGCTGGGACTACAGGTGCATGCCACCATGCCCAGCTAATTTTTATAGAGACAGGACCTCCCTATGTTGCCCAGGCTGGTCTCAAATTCCTGGCTTCAAGTGTCACCTGTCTTGGCCTCCCAAAGTGCTGGCATTACAGGCATGAGCCACTGTACCCATCTTGTTCAGTACATATTTTCATTGTGAAAGAGAAATCAGATCATTGCACCCTTTTCCCCATTGAAGATGGTAATTACCCTTTGTTATTACATTCACAGCTTTTTCAGAAACTTCACAATTTTGAAAACATAGCATCAAGAGTTTGTGTTGAAAATAAATAATTATTATTTATAAACTATAAGTAACATATAAATCTAAAAGTCGAGCTTCTGTAGCATACTATTACCATTAAACACTTCTTTCAGTGTGTCTCCATGTTAATCTGGAAGAAGAAACCTGTACTCTGGTGTTAGCTGCCCTATAATAGAATTTGCATATATCTGGTTCAATATATAATACTGATGGTCCCCGGCCTCAATGGTTCAACTTATGATTTTTCAATTTATTTATTTATTTACTTTATTTTCATATATATATTTTTATTATGCTTTAAGTTCTAGGGTACATGTGCACAACGTGCAGGTTTGTTACATATGTATACATGTGCCATGTTGGTGCACATTAACTCCTCATTTACATTAGGTATATCTGCACCCATTAACTCCTCATTTACATTAGGTATATCTCCTAATGCTATCCCTCCCCACTCCCCCCACCCCACAACAGGCCCTGGTGTGTGATGTTCCCCTTCCTGTGTCCAAGTGTTCTCATTGTTCGATTCCCAGCTATGAGTGAGAACATGCGGTGTTTGGTTTTTTGTCCTTGTGATAGTTTGCTGAGAATGATGGTTTCCAGCTTCAACCATGTCCCTACAAAGGACATGAACTCATCATTTTTTATGGCTGCATAGTATTCCATGGTGTATATGTGCCACATTTTCTTAATCCAGTCTATCATTGGTGGACATTTGGGTTGGTTCCAAGTCTTTGCTACTGTGAGTAGTGCCACAATAAACATAGGTGTGCATGTGTCTTTATAGCAGCATGATTTATATTCCTTTGGGTATATACCCAGTAATGGGATGGCTGGGTCAAATGGTATTTTTAGTTCTAGATCCCTGAGGAATCACCACACTGACTTCCACAATGGTTGAACTAGTTTACAGTCCCACCAACAGTGTAAAAATGTTCCTGTTTCTCCACATCCTCTCCAGCACCTATTGTTTCCTGACTTTTTAATGATCGCCATTCTAACTGGTGTGAGATGATATATCATTGTGGTTTTGATTTGCATTTCTCTGATTGCCAGTGATGAGCATGTTTCCATGTGTCTGCTGGCTGCATAAATGTCTTCTTTTGAGAAGTGTCTGTTCATATCCTTTGCCCACTTTTTGATGGGGTTGTTTGTTTTTTTCTTGTAAATTTGTTTGAGTTCTTTGTAGATTCTGGATATTAGCCCTTTGTCAGATGAGTAGATTGCAAAAATTTTCTTTAGGTTGCCTGTTCGCTCTGATGGTAGTTTCTTTTGCTGTGCAGAAGCTCTTTAGTTTAATTAGATCCCATTTGTCAATTTTGGCTTTTGTTGCCATTGCTTTTGGTGTTTTAGACGTGAAGTCCTTGCCCATGCCTATGTCCTGAATGGCAATGCCTAGGTTTTCTTCTAGGGTTTTTATGGTTTTAGGTCTAACGTTTAAGTCTTTAATCCATCTTGACTAATTTTTGTATAAGGTGTAAGGAAGGGATCCAGTTTCAGCTTTCTACATATGGCTAGCCAGTTTTCCCAGCACCATTTGTTAAATAGGGAATCCTTTCCTCATTTCTTGTTTTTGTCAGGTTTGTCAAAGATCAGATGGTTGTAGATGTGTGGTATTATTTCTGAGGGCTCTGTTCTGTTCCATTGGTCTGTATCTCTGTTTTGGTACCAGTACCATGCTGTTTTGGTTACTGTAGCCTTGTAGTATACTTTGGAGTCAGGTAGCGTGATGCCTCCAGCTTTGTTCTTTTGGCTGAGGATTGTCTTGACAATGCAGGCTCTTTTTTGGTTCCATATGAACTTTAAAGTAGTTTTTTCCAATTCTGTGAAGAAAGTCATTGGTAGCTTGATGGGGATGGCATTGAATCTATAAATTACTTTGGGCAGTATGGCCATTTTCACGATATTGATTCTTCCTACCCATGAGCATGGAATGTTCTTCCATTTGTTTGTATCCTCTTTTATTTCATTGAAGAGTGGTTTGTAGTTCTCCTTTAAGAGGTCCTTCACATCCCTTGTAAGTTGGATTCCTAGGTATTTTATTCTCTTGAAGCAATTGTGAATGGGAGTTCACTCATGATTTGGCTCTCTGTTTGTCTGTTATTGGTGTATAAGAATGCTTGTGATTTTTGCACGTTGATTTTGTATCCTGAGACTTTGCTGAAGTTGCCTGTCAGCTTAAGGAGATTTTGGGCTGAAGACAATGGGGTTTTCTAGATATACAATCATGTCATCTGCAAACAGGGACAATTTGACTTCCTCTTTTCCTAATTGAATACCCTTTATTTCTTTCTCCTGCCTGATTGCCCTGGCCAGAACTTCCAACACTATGTTGAATAGGAGTGGTGAGAGAGGGCATCCCTGTCTTGTGCCAGTTTTCAAAGGGAATGCTTCCAGTTTTTGCCCATTCAGTATGATATTGGCTGTGGCTTTGTCATAAATAGCTCTTATTGTTTTGAGATACGCCCCATCAATAGCTAATTTATTGAGAATTTTTAGCATGAAGCGCTGTTGAATTTTGTCAAAGGCCTTTTCTGCATCTATTGAGATAATCATGTGGTTTTTGTCTTTGGTTCTGTTTATATGCTGGATTATGTTTATTGATTAGCGTATGTTGAACCAGCCTTGCATCCCAGGGATGAAGCCCACTTGATCATGATGGATAAGCTTTTTGATGTGCTGCTGGATTCAGTTTGCCAGTATTTTATTGAGGATTTTTGCATCAGTGTTCATCAGGGATATTGGTCTAAAATTCTCTTTTTTTGTTGTGTCTCTGCCAGGCTTTGGTATGAGGATGATGCTGGCCTCATAAAATGAGTTAGGGAGGATTCCCTCTTTTTCTATTGATTGGAATAGTTTCAGAAGGAATGGTACCAGCTCCTCCTTGTACCTCTGGTAGAATTCGGCTGTGAATCCATCTGGTCCTGGACTTTTTTTGGTTGGTAAGCTATTAATTATTGCCTCAATTTCAGAGCCTGTTATTGGTCTATTCAGAGATTCAACTTCTTCCTGGTTTAGTCTTGGGAGAGTGTATGTGTCGAGGAATTTATCCATTTCTTCTAGATTTTCTAGTTTATTTTCATAGAGGTATTTATAGTATTTTCTGATGGTAGTTTGTATTTCTGTGGGATCGGTGGTGATATCCCCTTTGTCATTTTTTATTGTGTCTATTTGATTCTTCTCTCTTTTCTTCTTTATTAGTCTTCCTAGTGGTCTGTCAATTTTGTTGATCTTTTCAAAAAACCAGCTCCTGGATTCATTGATTTTTTTGAAGGGTTTTTTGTCTCTATCTCCTTCAGTTCTGCTCTGATCTTACTTATTTCTTGCCTTCTGCTAGCTTTTGAATGTGTTTGCTCTTGCTTCTCTAGTTCTTTTAATTGTGATGTTAGGGTGTCAATTTTAGATCTTTCCTGCTTTCTCTTGTGGGCATTTAGTGCCATACATTTCCCTCTACACACCGCTTTAAATGTGTCCCAGAGATTCTGGTATGTTGTGTCTTTGTTCGCGTTGGTTTCAAAGAACATCTTTATTTCTGCCTTCATTTCGTTATGTACCCAGTAGTCATTCAGGAGCAGGTTGTTCAGTTTCCATGTAGTTGAGCAGTTTTGAGTGAGTTTCTTAATCCTGAGTTCTAGTTTGATTGCACTGTGGTCTGAGAGACAGGTTGTTATAATTTCTGTTCTTTTACATTTGCTGAGGAGTGCTTTACTTCCAACTATGTGGCCAATTTTGGAATAGGTGTGGTGTGGTGATGAGAAGAATGTATATTCTGTTGATTTGGGGTGGAGAGTTATGTAGATGTCTATTAGGTCCACTTGGTGCAGAGCTGAATTCAATTCCTGGACATCCTTGTTAACTTTCTGTCTCGTTGATCTGTCTAATGTTGACAGTGGGGTGTTAAAGTCTCCCATTATTATTGTGTGGAGATTTTTCAGTTTGTGATGGTGTGAAAGTAATATACATTCAGTAGAACTGTGCTTTCCGTGCCCATACAATCGTTCTTTCCCTTTCAGTACTATATTCAGTAAACTATATGAGACATTCAACACTTTGTTATAAAATAGGATTTATGCTCTCTTTTGTGTGTGTCCTTTTTTTTTCAGACCTGGTCAACAGGAAGTATAAATTAGGGTTTATATTAGATGATTTTTTTTCCCAAATGTAAGCTAATGTAAGTGTCTTAAGCACACTTAAGGTAGGCTATGCTAAGCTGTGAGGTTAGGTAGGTTAGGTGTATTAAATGCATTTTTGACTTAATGATATTTTCAACTTACAGTGGGCTAAGCAGGATGTAACTGTATTGTAAGTCAAGGCGCATTTGTACTTCCCTTTTGGAAATAATAATCTTTGACATTATTTTCAAGGTTAGACATTTGCGTTGAGATCAAAGATAATTTTTTCAAACTTAGCTCTGGCATAAACAATTACATGACTTTAATTGTACTAGGTATAGAAGAAAAAGTATTTTTATAAATAGGCAAAATAAATCATTTTTATTGAGCACATATTATGTGCCTAAGACATATTATACCTTCTAGTGTTTATAGCAGTCTTACTAAGTAAATATTGCTTTTATTTTCATGTGAGAAAATGGAAACTCAGAGAGGTTAAATAACTTGCCCATGGTCATAAATTCAGCAAATGATGGAATTGAGATTAGAACTCAGGTTTTTCTGCCTTTCCAACCCCACCCTTTTTGTTCTTATGACACTGTTCTTGTATAAATATTGCTGACTTACATTTGAGAATGTCAGGTATTTCACGGGAGCCAGCACATGCAAGAGTGCATTTTAAAGAAGAACCTCTATAGAAATGTCAGACTGTATATACTTACTTCAGTTATCCAACATCATCATTTAATGAAGTATTTTCCCTGTAGCTTTTTAAAGCAAGCATTTATGTAAAATTTTCCCTTTGATATGTTAGAAGTATCCCTACCTTCTTAAAGTGTTCTGTAATTTATATAACATTTATTTGGGGTATCATATTAGGCTCTTGCTGTGTGCTTTAATAAGGCAGTGGCCTCAGGATTTGTTAAATGTCCTTAAGTCAGTTACTGCCTTGAAAAGTGGTCCATGATTAGTATATTTTTGTAGTTAGTGATTTGCTGTCAGCTGTCATTTCTCAAGGTCAAATTCTGGCAGTTCCTTGCATCCTATTATATACATCCATAAGCTTTGACCTGTGAGCCTAAAGGTATCTCTACACCCTCCTGGAGAAAGATATAGTACTTTGATTCACTGACATTACATTCCTATTTTCTCTCTCTCTCTCTCTCTCTCAAATGACAAGGTAGCTAATTCTTCTGTGTGTTCCTTAAGGCACTATTAACACTCTAGTAGTGCCAGTGTTTGTATGTTTAAAAGACCTACAGACTTACTTTTTATTTCTTTTAAATACATATACTTCTCCTGTGATCGTAAATATTTGAATGTGATGCTACTGTATACTGGCTGTGTATGTGTGAATACAGCCAAGATGACAAAAAGCAGCTGCAGTTATGCTCAGAAAGAGTGTTGTTTCATTTACAGTGGTTTCTTTTCTTCAATGAGTCTGCTGCCTTTACTCAAAAATCTCCCTTTCTTCACTGTGGCAGCAGCTGGAGTCTTTGTTACTGTCACTCACAGCCATACCAAGTGATGAAAAACAGGTTTGAAACTTAAAATACTTCTCTTTCCAACTTAGCTTGTACTCATTGTAAATTCAAGTCTCTCCACCCAAATGACTGAATCAGTTCTGCTTTCTATTTTGTCTGTCAGTGCTTTACTGGAATTTTCACTTTTGTCTTAGCAGTAATAGTGTAGTGTGATTTATAATCCACATTCCTCTATTAAGTCATTCTGCAGATTTAGATCCTTTGCTTGTCTCTACAGCACGGAGCTCATCTGTGGTACCTGAGTGTTTATGGTATATAATCATGCTTACAGTATATTTCAGCTTCACCATGGTTATTTTTTTTTTTTTTTTTTTTTAAGACAGAGTCTCACTCTGTTGCCCAAGCTAGAGTGCAGTGGCGCCATCTCAGCTCACTGCAACCTCCGCCTCATGGGTTCAAGTGATTCTCCTGCCTCAGCTTCCTGAGTAGCTGGGATTACAGGCGCCCGCCACCGTGCCTGGCTAATTTTTGTATTTTTAGTAGAGACAGGGTTTCACTATCTTGGCCACTCTGGTCTCAGACTCCTGACCTTGTGATCCACCCGCCTTGGCCTCCCAAAGTACTGGGATTACAGGCATGAGCCACCGCACCCGGCCGGTCGTCTTAACACAGCAGTATTAATATGAACTGGGAGCTTTTTATCCAACTGGAAACATGGTAATGGCAGATTCTAGGGAGTCTCATAGAAGAAATACATTATTAGGTATGAAAATAACCCAAGCAGCTTATTATACTATGCAGAGGAATCTCTTAAAGAATAGTTTCATCTACTTCTTTCCATTAATAGGGACCTTATCCAAATTTTTATTTTGGGAGCTTACAACATAAATATATAGTGTTAAGTTCTCCTGAATATACATGTAATACATATTCAGAAATAGGTGAACTGTAATGTCACAGCTTTGTCATGGTCATTTGTAACTGGAATAATAATATGCAGATGACTCTTAATTCTTCACCTCTAATCCTCAATCCTCATTCTTTTTTAAAACCTCAGTTTTGAATCTTCAGCTGCCTACTGGGCAGTTAAATTGACAATTTCAACATCACCTCAGATCCAGTTATTTTTGTTGCTCTTTTTTTTTTTTCTTTTCTTTTTTTTTTTTTTGAGACAAGGTCTCACTCTGTCACCCAGGCTGGAGTGCAGTGGTGTGATCATAGTTCACTGCACTATCTCCCAGGCTCAAGAGATCTTCCTACCTTAGCCTCTCGAGTAGCTGGGACTACAGGCACATGCCACCATGCCTGGATTTTTTTTTTTTTTTTTTGTAGAGACAGGGTCTCGGTATGCTGCCTATGTTGGTCTCAAACTCCTGAGCTGAAGTTATCCTCCCACCTTGGCCTCCCAAAGTGCTGGGATTACAGGCATGAGCCACTGCACTGGCCTTTATTGCTCGATAAATGACATTTAATTAATACCTACCACATGTTATGCATCATTCACTCATTAAACTGACATTCATTAAGCATCTTTATGTGCCAAGTACTTTGATAGGCACTGGGATTCAAGTGGTGAATAAGACTGAAATGGTCCCTGCCTTTATGGAGTTTAATGTCTACAGCATAGGGGCTGCTAATTGAATAAATACTTCAGGATTGACTAATACAATGATAAGGAAAATAAGGGGACTCTTCAGATGGAGAGCAAGGGTAGCTAGCCCTGTCTAATGAGTCACAGAAGGCCTCCCTGATTGAAGTCATTTTTAAGCCACGAATTGAAGGGTGTGAAGGAGTTAGATGATTGGGGGCAAACTATTTTTTTCTCTCTATGCCTTAGTTTCCTCATTTGTAGAGATAAAAAGAGAAAACAAATGAATAAATTCCTTAATGCATGTGAAGGTACTTAGAACAGTACCTGGCTCTGAGTGTGGCTGCTGTCTTCATCATCTGTATCGTCATCATTAATCATTCATTCAGGTTTTCAAATAAACATCTATTGAGCACTTACAAAGTACTAGGCATTTTTCAGTATTGTGGTGGGATTCAGAAATGAAAATCATAAAAATCTATCCTTCCAAGGAGATATGTATACAAATAGCTACAAAGCAGAGAGTAATACAGCAAGAACTATAAGGGAAGTATGAGCCAATTTCTGGGCAGGAGCATTCCTTTTTATTTGGGAGTGGTGTATGATTTGTGCCACTTACTTGGCAAGTGCTTGTAAACTGCCTGTGAAATCTTATTTTTTCTTGTTTTCTTATTTACTTTTTGAGATTTTGCCTGTGTATATCTTTACTTGCCACTGAAATTTTTCATGTTGAAGTGAGGAAGTATATATCTCACAGACTGAGATATATGAATAGTAGGTGCTCTGTATGCTGATGAGTAGTCTTAAAAGCCTATTAAACTTTTAATAGTAACCCAGTACCATTTAATAGTAAAATAAGTAACCCAAAAGGGTTACTTACTTTAAAAGCCTCGTAACTGCTTAAGGCCTTTATTATAATAGTGTCACATGCTTTAGAGGGACTCAGTGTAGATGAAGAAATAGACGTTACCTCCTCTAAAATAAAAAAAGTTATTCATGGATGCATCATCTGTTGATTCTACCAAATGTCTGTTCTAATATTTGCTGTAGTAAAGTGACATCTTTGACATCATTTTTGAAATGTATTACCATATTTAACTGAAAAAAACAGAGTAACAGTCAAAATTGGTAATAATTTTAAATTTTGTTTAACATTACCAAAAGTCGTATAATTCAGTTTGGCTGATACAAAATATGAGGCTTAGCAGACAGTTACATATTTCAACAAATTGAAGTTTTCAAATGTTGCTTACATTTCTGTCTTGAGAGAAAACAGTTATTGTGTGGCAAATAACTTATTGCAGTTTTTGAGGAAAGTGTATATTAAAAACATCTGTAAAGATAGTAAAGTACCTCTGTTTAACTGGTAAGAGATCAGAGTTAACGTCTCACTTTTTGTAGCCAATAATATTCTAGCTCTGATTTACTAAAAGAAAATAAAAATAACGAATATTTTATTTTCTAGAATCTTTTGTTTTATGTCTTAATGTGTTACATTCATGATTAAGATGCCAGCTTTGTTTTCGTCTAAACTTTAAAGCATAAAACTGTTCTTTCTAAATTTTCTTTACAATTAGGTAGAACATTGAACTTATCACAACAAAGATACCTTCTGTCTTAGAGATAATAGATCATCCATAAAAGCTAATTAATGGATTTCTTAGTTAAGAGTAGACTTCAGAAATGCCATGGTAATAGGTCTTTGTAGTGGCTTTTAATCTCTTAAAACATGAGGCTTGCATGGGATGAGGCATGAATTAATTTTCCAGCTTTTGACGGAATTGAATTCTAAAACCATCCACATACATATGACAATCACGTCTAAAAAGTAATTAGCTTGCTATAAATACAAGAGATTTCCTGTGAGAAAATTGCTCATACTATCTAACCAATAGAGAAATTTGGCAGATTAGAGAAAAACTATATGTTATCTGAAAGAATAGAACCCTTCAGTTTTTTAGTTTGTTTTGGCTCTTGTGCTTTTTTGCTTAGATTCCATTGTGAGAGAGGTGGCAGGCTGGTTTGACACAGGTTTATGTCCAAAATCTTCATGGAAATTTTCTAATGAATCTATTAAAATGCACAAGGGTGATTTGTCATCCAATTGAAAAGCAGTCTAATCCTTAGGACAAACTTTAGAACTAGAAAAACCTGGTGGGGTTCTCATTCAACTAAGTAGTAGTGGGTATGCCTTGGCTTTTTGTCCATAATGGGAATGGCAATATGCACTTCTTAGAATTACTTTTTGAATTGTATGGAGTTGTGTGGATAAAGCACCTAGCACAATACCAGGCTCATAAAAGTCATTTTTAAAAATAGTATTTCTTTACCACAATCATCCCTCTCCCCTAAAGCAGTTACAAACCATTGCAGATGGGGCCTTATTTTATCATCTTGGGATTCAGATCATTAGGATTCTCAGATGCACTTTCTTTTTACGTGTTTCTTTCCCATGAGAAATTATGACATGACACGAGAAACCGAGCAAGCAAATAACTAAAACCATAGGGTGTTCCTTTGAATATTTGTTTCAGGGACTCTGGCTCTCTGGAATTTGGTATACATTTCCAGAAAGCGTAGGTTGCATGGGGCACTGCTCAGGAGTTACATCTGTGACACAGATATCTAACTTGAGACATTTTGAGATCAAAGCGTTCTGTTTCAAAGCCATGTTTTACTTTGGTTTTAGTTCATAAGTAACCTCATGGAAAAGCCAGCCTTTTCCAATTCAGTCTGAACTGGAACAACAGAATGAAAATAAACCAAATAGTTTATTATTTTTCTTCATTTACTGCCATTAATAGTTTTATGCTAAAGAATATATTGAATAAGAGTGAACCGAATGGCATTTATTTCTTCAGTTTAGTTCTGTTTTCTTGTTGTTTAGTTGAAGGAGAGGGAATGGAAGAAAATTCTTCTGTTTATGTGATATATCATCATACTTTTCTACATAAATTGAGTGCAGAATAACTCCAGGAAATAACAGGAAAGCAAACTAACCAAGTTGAGACCCCCCATGTCTACCAAATGGTTTGTATGTGTTAACTCATTCAGTCCCAGCAGCCACCATCTGGCAGATTCTGAGCACTGTGCTTCAGGTTACATTGCTTAAAAATTGAATAACATAAGGATTGTGAAGTATGGAGCCCAGTGCACATTTATCAAAAGCATCTGATTCAAGATTTTAATCTAGTTCCACCTTTTTCAAAGTTCTTTATATTCTCTTGTAGTATTCTTTCCTAAATTTTCTCAGTAATGTAGCAAGATGAGGAAGATACTAGATAGAATTGTCCTTAAACTGCCTGCTATATAGTTATCTGTGAAGAAGCAAAAGGGAAGCAGTGTGGTATGTTGAAAGGAACTCAGGATTGGAGGTGAGATTTGGGGTTCTTGTCTTTGTCTTAAAAAAAAAAAGTTGTGTTTTTGTTTTTTATAATTAATAATGTGTTTTTTCATTAAATCATGTCCAGGATCCTTTCTAGTTTTTTTTTTTCCCCTTAAACCAAAACCATAATACCATCATTAATAATTATTTGACCTTAAAGATCTATAAAAGAAAGGTGAAAATATTTAAAGCCAAATTAAATTATTGCTTTGAGAATACTATTCAGATTATATGGATAAGAGCTTTGGAGTAAGCTTTGGAGTAAGAGGAAGTAAGTTTGAAACCTTCCATGACTAGCTGCCTGAGTTATACAAACACTATCTGTGACCTCCTGGTAATATATATCTGCTCATTTTTATAGGTTTGATCTAGTTTACTACAAGGGTGATATATTAGCAAAAATAAATTGGAATTACTCTAAAACAGCCTTCCTTATACCACAGAATTCAGAATAAGTTAAATCTGCAGGAGGCTATAACCAAACTGGTTTTCCTAAAGGAACTGCATCAAATCCAAGGTACTCAACAAATGTATGTATCAGAGAGAGCTTTCCAATGAAGTTCCAGGGGTGGGCCTTCCTGCTCATTCAACAGGGAGGTGCTGGAGATATTCTTAATGGTAGAAGAATTGTAGTTGGTTTCTTTCTGATATAAATGCACTCCCAGGTGGTGGTAAGGGAGGTTCTGTTGATTCATCAGAATATGACTGCACAGTAGCAGGAGCTGAAGAAATACTTGTTGTATAAATGACCTATATCTCTTAAAAAGGAGGATATGCTCCCATTTCTGTACCAAAGAAGAGAAGGCTGAGAACCCTCCATGACTAGCAAACACTATCTGTGATCTCATGGTAGCATATATCTGCTCATTTTTACAAGTTTGATCTAGTTTATCATAGGAGTGATATATTAAGTAGCAAAAATAAATTGGAATTACTCTAAAACAGCCTTCCTTATACCACAGAATTCAGAACAAGTTAAATCCACAGGAGACTACAACCAAACTGGCTTCCCTAAAAGAACTGCATCAACTCCAAGGTACTCAACAAATGTATGAATCTATGAGCATTTTCAGATGCCAGAGTAAATATTAGAAACCACGATTATAAATCTACATATCTGGAAATTAAGAATAATCACATACATACAAATGATGAAATTAAGTATGTGTTGGGCAGTGTGATATAGAGGAGAGACTGCAGGACAATAATCAAGAATGCCAGATTCTGTTCCTGAATCTGTCATATTTTGACTGTAAGGGCAATTGTATATATGTGCATTGAGGGACTGGGAGTTGTTCATCTTTCTAGGACTTGGAAGGTTAAAAGATGAAAGATGAGTTTTCTGTTCCTGTCCACTCCTCAGTTGGAAGGCCTGATTTATTCCTCTGTGTAAATTTTAGAATGTTCGTGTAACCAAATAACAGCTACATGTTTTCTAAAATCTCTGGATTTTGTATTTTCAAATATGTGTGAACACACATAAACATCGCATATACATGTTTATCATATACATAATACATATACTTGTAAGCATACATACATAAGCACACACACAGCCCAAACACAGAAAACAATACAAAGGAATGATTGCTTCTGTGTTTATTTTTGCCCTGTTATTTTATCTAGGCATTTTATAGTTTTCTGAGTGAATAAAAAGAATGGAAAAAGGAGTGAGCCTAGCAAACCACTACTCAAATGTAACCTCAATTCTCCATCCACAATTATTAGCTCATTCAGGAATGTTTTTTCATCCCTTAAGAGTCTTTCCTCCAAAATTCGGTATCCCATTAGAGTAACATAACTCTCTCTGTTAAAAAAGAAAGAACTATTAATAATAACAATAATGTATAATACTTCATTTTAACCTTGTTTGGATTTTCTATCATTTTTCTCTCCACATTGATTACAACATTTCCATTTTCACTCACATATTAAATATTTACTAGTACTTCATCTTTTATATTTTTTAAGTTATATTTTATTTTCTGCAGTTATTTTTTGCAAAAATATCTCCTCTAAGATTCTTTCGTTGTAGTACTTATTCTAATGAAGATTCAAAAGAACCTCCGAATTTGAATTTTGGTCTTATCAGTAGGCTATTCGTTAAGTCATCTATTGGATGATTAATAAAATGATGAATTTTAAGGGACTCGAAGCCAACCCTTTATACACTCAGGGCAGACTCACAGAGGTTTGTCATATGTCTTTTCTCTGTCTGTAGCCTTTTAGCCCTATGCATTCTTAGTGAATATTATTACTGAGGCCAATTTGAACTAATTTGGCAAGTCATATTTCATGAGACAATTTGCTGATCCTTCTCTTTGTAGATTTGGTGGAAAATTATTATGGAGATATTTCTTAAGATTTTTATTGTGGGAAATACATGGAAAATTATTTTAAGAAGGAAATTTAGGCTCATTTTAGACTGGCAGACAGGGAGGCAGAAACTTACTTTAAATCCATCCTTATTTACATGTATCCTAGGTCCACTGTTTAAAATAAGAATCTTGTAAAACTAGCTTATAAAAATGTGAAGAGTTAATATTTATAAAACCTTTGAGTTCCTATTAGTTGTGTTGTATAAATGCATTTCTTATTTAAAATTTGCATGTTTAAAGTATATATTATCCAGTGCACTGGATACAAAAGGGAATGATGCATTTATCTTTTTTCTATCATAAACAATATTGATAAGTGCTGGATGGATGAGTCATTATCTTTCATATTTTAGGAAGCAGAAAATTATTGGTATGTGATGAATATGATGCAATAGGATGCCTTAGCTATTTTGGTTGTTTGTTTCCCATCTGACATAAAAACACGTGTGAGATGGTTTGCTTGCTTACTTTCTTCTCTCTGTTCCTCCGCTCCCCTCTCCCCAGTAGATGATATTGTATGTCCTAATTTTATGTGGCAGCATGGTTTTAAGGGACTTCTTAAAAACAAAAACAAAAACGTGCAGTTGATCCAACTACTAATTACCCTTATGATTTGGCCATTAGGTTGGGCTGATTCTGTTTTGATTTGGTTTTCAGTCCTAAGTGTGTAACTTTTTATTAATATATATATGCAGAATTGGAAAGAGACTGTATTTTTTAAATGTTAAAAAAAAACATTTTAGTTGAGCACTTACTGTGCCAGGCCATTTATTAAAGTTCCATCCCGATTGAGCTTATTGTCAGGTTGGAGATAAAGCGCATTCAACATACCATCTTTCCAAGATGTGGGAAGAATAAGATATTCTTATCAATGAAGCACAAGAACCTGTGGAATCAGAAAGGGCTTTCCAGAGAAAGTGATCCTGGTGGAAGAACTGGCTATCCAGAGGGGAGGATGCAATGCCATTCAGGGGGAAGAGTAAGAACAGAGTCCTAGAGCAAGAGACCCTGGTCCAAGGATGAAAGCCATGTAATGTTTTAAAATCTGATGTCATTTCTATAATTCCTTTGTATAATGTTCATCAAGCTTTTTTTTTTCTACACATACTTATTGAGCACCTTTTATGTATTCAGTGGGGGGATCTGGCAATGAACAAAATGACTTGTTTTGTTCACTCAAGGAGCTTACCATCTAATGGGGGTGCATGTAAATGAAAGGAAGGGATTATACCCTGCAATAATATGTCATGATATTTCAGGATTTGACAAAACAGACTCAGTTCTGTAGAGAAAAATGCTATCTGAAATTTAAATTAAAGCCAAGCATCAACTATGCTTTGGTAGCAATGTTATACCAGAAGGACTACAGAAGAAATGGGTGAGAGCATTTGCCCAGCCAGGACAGCCTCTTTACAGTGTAGTCATTGTTCGAAAAGAGACAATATGTGGGAAAGGAAGGTGGCAGAAGCCATGAGACGGGGTCTGATTTAGCATTCTGAGTACCAAGACTCCTGTCCTGAGAGTTGTCTACCTTTATTGTTTATAAAATTCAAGATTAGAATTATACTAGACTAGAATTAACTTCCATGCTAGTTGCTTGAAATCAATCCATTATTCTGTTTGATATTCTGTGAGATTTTTTTCCCCCCTGACTTTGATGGTTGGTTTCGAAATCCATTAAGTGGATCTCAATCAGGTTTGTTTGTTTGTTTTTGTTTTAATGAAATAAAGTAGAAGAGAAAATAGCACAAAGAAAGGAAATAAATTGCTTTATGAAATGTACGTGTGTGTGTGTGTGTGTGTGTGTGTGTGTGTGTGTCTGTGTGTCTGTGTGTCTGTAGTTGGTTGCTATATAAACTGTTTTTCTTGCATTAGATAAACTGGATCAAACTTAAATGACTGTAAGTAAACATTTGCCCTGCAAAGTTATACCTTTTGTTTATGAAGGATTGTCTTATAGATGACTCCATAGTCAGTGTGCTGGACTGGGATGCTGCAAGTCTGGACCCTGGTGCTAGTTCTGCACCCAAAGAGGCATATGCTTTGGATAAGTTATAGGCTTTCTGTGAACCTTAGTGTTTTCCATCTAAAAAGAGAGTTGGGGCTGAGCATGGTGGCTTATGTCTGTAATCACAGCACTTTGGGAGGCTAAGGCAGATGGGTTGCTTCAGCCCGGGTGTTTGAGACCAGCCTGGGCAACATGGTGAAACTCCCATCTCTACAAAAAATACAAAAATTAGCCAAGTGTGGTGGCACACGCCTGTAGTTCCAGCTGCTAGCAAAGCTGAGGTGGGAGTATCACTTGAGCCTGGGAGGTTGAGGCTGCAGTGAGCTGTGAGCGTCCCACACCACTCTAGCTTGGGCGACAGAGCAAGACCTTGTCTCAAAATAATAAATAAAGAGTTGGCCTAGGTGGACTTGGTACTCTTTCAGAAGCAGTTGGCTATAAAAAATCAGTTGTCTTAAAGTTGATTGGACATTTTCACAGTTCTCTGTTACTAACTCAGAGAAGTGTTTCTAGGAGGTTAAAAAAAAACTTGAAACAAAAAATATATATAGCCTACTATCACATGATTCTGGTTCCTGACGGATGCTTTTCTCCCAACCTCCATCCAAAAGTATATGGTCCACTGCAGGCAAACAGATCTTCTGAATGAAATAAGGGGCATAAAAACACATGGGATGGTACCTGCATCATAGGGCCTTAAAAAAAAAATGTAGAGTTGAGAAAATGTTGCTCAAGATCTCAGCTCCTGCACTGGCCACCATCATATGGGCTACTTGTCACAAAAGCGAGGAAGTCATGAGAGGGAGGGAGGGACACCTCTAGAGCCTTTATTCATTTCCATTTATCGGATCTGCATATAAGTGCTCCCTTACTCCTTTGTGAGATGTCAAGGTGATAGAAGGCATCTTCCAGGTACCTTTTCACCACTGCATGCAGTAGGGAACATCAAATACCAGAGGGATTCTGCAGTCTCAACCCCTTTGGTGTAAAGACTACCTAAAAAGACAATCCAGCCATATAAAAAGTAACAGCCCATTTATCTCATTCATATGTTTAAGGTCAGTTTTCCTGTAGGAGATCTCTGAGACAGTAGCAATTAAACTGAGCTGTATGTAGCAACATAGTACATGCTACAAACTAAGTTAAAATTGTCAAAGAACTTTTCGTTTGTAGCAGTTTCTTAATGTTATGAGGCACAGAACTGTGTGGCCATCAGAAAGACAGAGCTGCTAACAACTCCATTTGGGGCATTGTTAGGCAGTTCTGTTGACACATGAATACATTTCATATGATTATCATAAAATTGTGGCCTGGAAATTGAGCAGCCATGGTGCTGCATTTTAGACTTCACATTTATAATAAGCTGTAATAAAGTAAACATTTTAAATGGATATAAGAATAGACATTACTTGCAATCACAAATGTATGTTCAATTGAAGTGCTTTTGAAGCTCAATTTAACAAAGCAAACAAATTTCCTGGCATTATTAACATAATTGTTCTCATTGTTGGGTTTTGATTTCTAAAAAAATATTTAAGCAAAAAAACAAGTTACTAAAAAACAAAATTCACAGAAGGAAATGTAACTAAGAATGAGTTACTTTGCCTTTATCATGTCGGATTAAAGTTAAAAAAAAAAAAAGTCTCAGATGTTCATTCTGTCACCCCCTCCCCACCGACTTGCTGAACTATTGCTTGGCCTGTTTAACTCAGAGCTGTTTAACTCAGAGCTCATATATCAGGATTAATTTAAGGTTAAATTCAGCTATTTGCTCTGCCATCAGTAAGCTTTGCAGTGGGCCTACTCAACATTTATCTACTAGTGAAACTCCAGGCTGTGTGATAGTTAAAACACGGAGCTTACAGAAGAGGACTAGAATATCCATTTTACACCAGAGTGGAGGAAGCATGACTATATGCAAATTTAGCACCAATTAGATGGTAGGATTTGAAGGACTGTGGTCCCTGGAATATTCCAAAAGCAAAAATGGAAATGATAGTGATAACATCTGAAGTGTGGTGGCAAGACAGTTAAAACAGTGCTAATTTGGAGCCTCTGGGCACAGAACAGTACCAGGAGGCGATCCACTGTGTCTTCTTTGGCAGCTGGCAGCTGGCAGACAAAGCAAATAATGAGTCTTTGGCTTGTTACTTTTCACCATTCCATAGTTTTCTCCAATTTTGAATAAACCCCCAAAACAAACATCCTTCCTGCATTGTCGTTTTACTGTAGCAGACCCTCATATAGCAAGTGTGCTACTGGCCCAACAGTCTACCACAGTGGAAACCACAGGAACTCAGGGTTGCCGGTGTACTTGCTTAAAGGTTAGCGTAGGCACAGCATGGCATTGGTAGGGGGCGCATTCTTCAAAGACTCACATGGTGATTTCTTATAGTCAGGGAGTTGAGCTGACTTAATCAAGATTAGAAGGAGGCATGCTAGTGTGAGAATATCCTGTAAAATACTCACCACTTGAAAGCATTCCTGGCAAGCATATCATTTACCTGATATATAATTTCATTAAGCACCAAGATTGTGCTGGTTACTTTCTAGAGAAAAGATGAAAAGCTACCTACCTTAATTATCCTCAGACTTAATTTCATATACCCAGAAAACAACTTTCCAGAAAATAGTGGTAACCACAGCTACCTAATTTAGAATAGATCCTCTGAAAACTTGCTAAGAGCAGTTGAGTGGTGAACGTCCAAAAATGTACAACTTTTTTCTTTGCCTGCGTAATTTTGTTTTTTTTCTTTATTCCCACTAGAACACATTCTCCTTACCCTCACTGGAACAACTGTAGAACAGAAACCTAAGGAAATATAGGAAGTGGGGAAGGAGGGAACAAAATGAGAAATTTAATGTGATTCCAAATGTAATCTTTAAGAACGTGAATTGTGAAAATTCTGATCTCCCAAAGATCAGGCAATCAGATACTTCTAAATGTAGAAATCTTTAGATAATAGCACGTATTTTACCTGCAGGCTGAATTTTATGTTTGCATCTTTTTTCCCCCTGCATCTTTGAAAGTGAAAGCCGGTAAACCAGTTGCCAGAACGGAAAAGACTGTTTTAATCACTGGAGCCTGCTAAAAAT
The DNA here is from genome assembly GCF_000001405.40 of Homo sapiens. Lineage (NCBI taxonomy): Eukaryota > Metazoa > Chordata > Mammalia > Primates > Hominidae > Homo > Homo sapiens. The sequence goes on along the minus strand of NC_000006.12, from coordinate 88,629,259 downwards.
GTAAATAATGCTGATAAATCAGTAAAATTTTTGTATATTACTCAACCGAATTGCACTTAATCCCCATTTCACAGACCCAGTTTAGGACACTTAGAACTTTCTTCGTCTTCTTGTCCACACCTTTTCCCTACCCACTTTTGAGATTTCTCCTACTTTGTTTGTCCTATCTTCTTTCCAGACCCCTTTTCTCCAAACTAGTATTGACCAACACATGGCACTTGAGGCTCATGGTTTTGGGATTTTTTTTCTTCACATGCAGCCTATGTTTCTTATTTCTATTCTAGAAGATTATATTACATTAAACTCAGCATGACCTATGAGAGTTCACATGTCTCTCCTTTAGTTTATGGTGACTGCAAAGGATGCTCCATTAGCTGAACTCCCTTAGCTCTTTAACTGTTAGTCATTTCTTGATTTGGAGTAAACAATAATAAAATTTTCCTTTTCCTCTAGTGTGTTGAATTTCCCAGTTAGTACCAAGAGGTAGTGCGATGTAGAGCTCTAGATCCAAATGCTGTCTTGAAGAAACTATTTAAATATTCTCATTCTTAATTTCCTCATTATTATAAAAAGGATAACAGTGTATGTAAAGTGCTCAGCTACATCACAGGTAGTTAATAAATGTTAGTCTCTCCCCTTCCTTTCCCTATGAAGGAAAAAATCTTAGTCAATAATTTAAAAAGTAAATATCTATGATGAATATAAATATATTGGCTATAAACCTTAAATTAATTTTGAGTACAAGTTACCAAAGTAATGAATTTGCTATTTCCTCTGGTTTTATAACACCCCAATATGTGAATGTTCACACATACACACCAATTAATACAGATAATTGGGGAGGGCACTTTAGTACTTGAATATTTCAGAATAAAAGGGTTTTATTTGATGATTTTAAAGTTTCCTGCTTGGAGTTTCAGCTCTAAAATGTTTATCAGAGAGAAGTTATTGTGGTGTTTTTGGGTTTTAGGGGAGAAGATATTTAGGGAATGTGATACTTGATGCAGATAATTTATTGTAATCATTTTCAGATTTTCAACATTTTCTGAGTGGCTTTTTAAATAGCCGCTATACCTGGAGCTGATGAGGAAAATTTAAATAAATCCATCATGAATGTTTTTCAAGGAGTGCATAGAGACACAAAATGAAACTCTAGGGCTCTGAGCAATGTGATTATCACTCTGTACTTACGTAATGCCTTTGTCAATAACTTCAAGATTTCTTTCTCAAAGTAGAAGAAATATAGTTGTTGAGAAAGCATATATAAAATTGCAATGATCTATGCATGGCAAACAGTAAAATACCCAATTGGACATATCAAAGGCAGGTTATAGCTGCAAGTTACAGTTGGTCAGAAGGTCTCAGTGAGACTTTGCATTGACTTGAGGTACAGACTTGTAAGAAAGGAATCCTAGAAGTTTGTTTGCTCAGGTGAGTCCAGATCACCACGAGAACATTTTTTGCTAAACTAAAGAGTTCTGTGTTTTTAGTCTAATGGTTCAAGGCTGTGTGAGTCTGTGGTCTTCGGTGCCTGTAAGTGCCACTAAGGCAAATTGAGTGATTTTAAAGGAGAAAGAGTTTAGAAGATTAAAAGGAGAAAACCTCAACATTATTGTTGGTGTTCTAAGTGACAGGCTGAATAAGAAGGGAATCTTTATTTATTTTTTCAGCATTTTGGTTTACTCCCACATAACCACATTAGATCTATCCAGAGGACAGTTCTCTTGAGGTCTCTCTGTCCTGTAAGAAAGGCAGAGGTGAATAGTTGAGTTTAAAATGGGTGAGAAAGGAGATAGTTATATGTAACCAGCACACATTTCTAAAAGAATGATAAAAAAAGAGAACACTATTGGATCCAAATTGTTAGCATGTCCTTGAAAGTAAATGTAAGGACTCCTTGAAGTAATCTGAACTATACATTGACATCTTAATGAATTGCCTAGTTCAAATATTATTAGGTCTAATACATTGTGAACTTTGTTAAACATGGATATTTAATAATCATTAAAATAAACTTAGTTATTTGTTACTGCCAGAAGTAGGTAGACCATTTATTAAATTCAATGTGAAAAATATACTTTATGAAATATTTGCATTAGTTGTGTAACAGACATCTTAAAAAATGGGCAACATCAAATAAGCCAGTCATTGTATGTATAACTATAAAGAAAAAAGTGTTAGACATGCATATTGCATTTTTTAGCCTCCTCCTCATGTTAATGGTGGATGTTAAAGCTTTCCTTGGTTGTATATCGATTTTATTATCCCAAGCATGTATTGAATCCATGATCTGCTTATAATTCTCATCATGCTTGGTATTAGTACTAAACAGAGAACCAATATATTATGCCGTAGAGTTTGGCACTCTGTTTAGTAAGTCATTACCACTACCTCACCTTACCTGGCAGAGCTGCTTGTTTTGTCCATGTGACTTCTTATTTTTGCTAGTTATGCCTATAGAAAGGTCATTCAACCCAATAATGGCTTCTCATTTAGTCTAGAAATCAGACAAAAGCTTTGCAGCTGTGAAATGCAGCCCATTTAAAAATTAACCTATTGTAAATTCTTAATGATTGAGAAATTCTGCAATTTGCTGTGATTTGTGGTTTGTGCTGCAATTAGAATAGCAAACAGCAGAGATGATGCAGTCAGAATGACGTGCATTTGGGAAGTGAAGAGAAAGAAACTTTAGCAGATACTGTGCTGGGTTCAAGCCAATGTATTATGCCCTTCTGCCCTCATCAGTCATATATCACTTTGTCTCCCACCTTTAGACTCTTCCAAGTGAAATGTAATCCTTGGAAATAATTACATAAATTACTGTTTTAAATACTTAAATACTCAAGAGGTAAAATTGTCCATAAGTGTAGTCTACCTTTTCCTCCTTTAATATTTTCTCACCCTAGAGCCTAGATTCTTAGCGGAAAGAAGGACATAGATTTTTGATTCATGAAGACCTAGAATTCAAATTTTGTTAATAAAACAAATCAGCTCTGTATCCTCATGCAAATTACTTAAACTCTCTGGCTTCAGCTTCTACATCTGCGTATCTCACTGGACTCTTGTACAGATTAAATTAGATACTGTTTTACTTAGTAGGGATACAATATGCTTCTTCACCATTTACTGTCTATTAACCCCTGATCAAATTATATAACTCCTCTATGCCTCTGTTTCCCTCTGTGAAATGGGGATATTAATACCTACTTCATAGGGTTGTTGTGAGCATTAAATAAATAATGCAGAACCCTTAGAACAGTACTCTACATCTAGTTAGTATTCCATAATTATTAACCAGTGGATTGACAAATCAATAATCAACAAATAACTTACAATGATAGATAATGTAAATGAAACATGTAGGGTACACTAAGACAATTTATTAGAGCTAGAAAAATAAGCAGGGCTATGTCATTTAGTGCTTTGTAATGGGAAGCCACTGACAAGGATGACGTGATTGAAATTACTTTTTTTTTAACTGACCTGTTTCTTGTTTTTTTTGTATTATTTTTGTTTTTATTCACCTTCTACATACAGTAATTCACTCCTTTTGGTGTTTGAGCTTAGACAAGTGCATATAGGCATAGAGCCACTACTAGAATCAAGACAAAATAGTTCCATCACCAGCCCCCACCACCGCCATTAAAAAAGAGCCCCACATGACAACCCCTTTGTAATAAATTGCTTTCCCCACTCCTAAATCTTAGTCTGCTTTCTGTTGATATAGTTTTGCGTTTTCCAGTATGTCATGTAAATGGAATCACATACTCTATAGCTTTTAAAGTCAAGCTTCTTCAGTTCAGCTCAAAGCATTTGGAATTCAACCATATTGTTGTATTTATCAATAGTTTACTAATAGTTCTTATTCCTGAGTAGTATTTCATTTTATGGCTATACTGCAATGTGTTTATTCACCATTTGAAGGGCATTTAAGTTATTCCCAGTTTTGGATGGTCACAAATAAATATACTGTAAACATTTTTATTCAAGTTTCTGTGTGAACAAATGTTTTCATTTATCTTGGGTAAAATATCTAGGAGTAAAATTGCCGGCTCTTATGGTAAATGTATGTTTGACTTTATAAAGAAACTGCCAAACTGTTTTCCAACATGGTTATACAATTTTACATTTCCACTAGCAATATATGAGAGTTCAGTTGCCTTGCATTGTTGTCAACACTTTGATATTGTCAATATATTTTATTTTAGACATTCTAATAGGTATATATAGTATCTCAGTGTGATTTTAATTTGCATTTTCCTAATGACTAAAATGATTTTGAACATACAGTATTTTTATTTGCTTATTTGTCATCTATATAGCTTCTTTGGTAAAGTGTCTGTTCAAATCTTTTGCCCATTTTTTAAATTTAGTTGTTTGTTTCTTACTGAGTTTTAAGATTTTTTTCATGTGTTCTGGTACAAATTCTCTGTCAGATATGTGATTTGCAAATATTTTATTATAATCTATGCTTTGTCTTTTCATTCTCTTAACAATATATTTAGAGAGCATAAGTTTTAAATTTTGATGCAGTTTATCAGTTTTTTATTTTATGAATCATGTTTTTGGTGTCATTTCTAAGAAATTTTGCCTAACCCTAGGTCACAAAGATTTTCTTTTATGTTTTCTTTTAGAAGTTTTATAATTTTCAGTTCTATATTTATTTAGGTGTACTTTACACTTTGATTTTTGTGTAATGTGAATGATGTAGATTGAGATGCGTATTTTATGTATGAATATCCAATTTTTCCAGTACCATTTATTGAAAAGACTATCATTTCTTCATTGCATTGCCTTTGTGCCTTGGTCAAATATCAATTGACCTTATATTTGTGGATTTATTTGTGAGCTCTCTATTCTGTTTCACTGATCCATGTGTCTCTCTGCTTACCAATAATACCACACTGTCTTGATAACTATAGCTTTATACTAAGTTTTGAGATCAGTTAGTATCACTTCTTCAAATTTGTTCTTTTTCAAAATTGTTCTAGTTTCTTTGGCTTTCCACATAAATCAGGTTGTTGATATCCATTAAAAAATCCTTTGGGGATTTTGCTTGTGATTATGTTAAATCTATAGATCACTTTGGGAAGAATTGACATCTTTACAATATTGAATCTTTCAATCCATGAACATGGTGTATATCTCTTTTTATTTAGGTTCTCCTTGATTTCTTTCTTTCATCAGTATTTTGTAGTTGTCAACATGCAGATCCTGCACAGATTATTTTTAGATTTATACCTATTTCATGTTTTTTAGTTGTGTTACTATAAATTATACTTTAAAATTTTAAATTTCCAACTGTTCATTGTTGGTATATAGAAATTCAATTGGTTTTAGTATTCTTATAGTCTGCATCCGTTTATGTATGTATTTAACATCTTTGGATTCTGCAGCCTTGTTAAACTTATTGGTTCTAGGAGCCTCTTTGTATATCCTTCTATGTAAGTAATCATGTTGTCTGTGAATAAAGACAGTCCTATTTCTTCCTTTTCAACCGGTAGGTCTTTTATTTGTTTTTCTTTTAAGCAAGAGAATGACTTGATTGGATTAACATTTTTCAAAAGTAATTGTGGCTTCAGTATAAGGAATTTATGGGATGGAAAAATACAAAAGAGACCAGTTTGGAAGCTGTCACAAGAATCTGAGACACTGTGATAGGTTGGACTATGATGATGACAGTAAGAGAAGAAACACATATACTAAGATTATATTTTGGTTGTAGAATTAATAGGCCTGAGTAATGGATTGAATATTAGGGGAAAGAAGAGGAAGGGATCAGGAGGACACCAAGATCTCTGTCACAAGGAATTGGGTGGATGGAGTTGCCATTTACTGCATTGGAGAAGACAAGAGAAGAAACAGATTTGGAAGCAGGTGAAAAGTTGAGTTTTGAAAAAACATATATTTACCGATATAGTTAATTATAGGATATAAGAAGAAGAGCTTGGAAATGAGTTAGATCTATGTGGGACCCCATTCAAAGGCTTGTAGAGACATTATTTCCATTGCATTGCCTTTGTAGCTTCAGCATCCAAGATCATAAGATCTTTTTTACCTCAGGCCTTTGGACACGTTGTTAATCACTGTCTTAAGTGTGTGTGTCTCCCCTCCCCTTGGCACTCCCACTTGCTTTTGCTTCCTTTCTACTGCCTTCCCTCCCTCCTTTCTTTCCTTCTTTAGGCTGGGGTCTTATCATCCTATGGGTCTTAGCTTAAATATCATCTCCTTAGAACCCACCTAAAGCCAGATATTTTTCTCTCTGCATTAGTCTCTGTTACACAATATTTTCTCCATAGGCATTATCATTTTGTAAACATTTTGTAGTTGTTTTCTTGTTTGTTGTCTGCCTTTCACACTAGACTACATTCCAAAGATCAGAGACTGTGTCTACCTTGTTTACCATTATGTCACCAGTCCACAACACCTTACCGGGCACATGGTTGATCAGTATTTGTCAGGTGGGAGGAATGATGGTTCTAGAGCTCAGGAACTGTGGCAAGAAAGAACATTTGGGAGTTATTCACATGTAGATGGTATTTAAAACTATGGAGGTAAATAAGATTGCTAGAGAAAGAAAAGAATCCAGTACCAGCCCCTAGGGACTTGTCAACTTTAAAAGAGAAGTAGTTAGCAAAGAAGCCTGAGAAGGAGTAGCAAAGGATAGAGGAGGAAAACCAGATTTTGTTTCCTGGAAGCCTAGAAAAGAGAAATGTTTTTAAAGAGGCAGAATTTAAATGTGTAAGACAATGCTAAGGGGTCAAATAAGATGAGTCCATTTGATTTAGCAACAGAGGTCATTGACAAACCCAGCCAGAGTTTTGCTAGAGTGGAAAAAGTAGAAGCCACATGAGAGTAGATGAAAGAATGATAGTCATCATAGTAAATACAAACTAGATGGATATTTGACTGTAAATTTTGTGTATGAGTATCCACAAAATATTTGCCATCCATCAAAACTATCTTTTGGGTTAGCTCTGTATATCAGCTAACACTCATTTGCCTATATAGGTGTTTAATACTTGAGTATATTTTATAAACTTGGTGTTTAACTGAAACATTTGCTTTCATTTTGATTTGTCAAAAGACAAAATTACAACAAATTTAAAGATCTTAATTGTCTTTAATTTGCAATTCTAGAATCGGGCAACACTGTATTCCATAAAATAGAATAAGTGTTCTGAGGAGCTGAGCAAGGGAGGTTAGTTTTATATACAGAAAAAGGCTGAAGAAAGCAGAAACAAATGACAAAAAGTAGATTGGTCATTTAAAGTTACTGTCCTTGTGAGATGGGAACAGGGAAACACAACAACAGAAAAATAACTGGTTAACATCAGGTTATTTCAGGTTACTTTTTCTGGGATAAGGATTAAAGCAGAGGGAACTTTATTATCATGCCAACTGAAACTGGCCTGTTTCAGAATTTTGGCTATTATCTCCCTCTGATTTCTCAGGTCAGGTAACAACTAAGTTTCAGTTTGGTGCTGTGGGGCTTCAGTATAAGTGACTCCATTTTGGTTTTTAATCTGGTCTGTTGGGGCTTAGTGTAGGAGCTTAGTCCAAACTAATGGCCTCGCATACTTTTTATTTAACAGATTGTGGTGCTGGAATAGATGCCACCTTAGACACCGAGAAACAAGAATAGATGCCATCTTAGTCACTCAGAAATAGAGTACAAATGCATGATATTCATTCTTGTGTCAAAGGGAGGATATTTAAGTCTTAAAACCTTTTATTTTGTTTTTGGGGAGGTGGGGAAGGAGTAAGAAGGAGAAAGGGAGGCAGAGAAAAGCTTAGAGATAATACTAGCCTCCTTTACTTAACCAGCTATCAACAGTACAAGCTGGTTGATAAGCTGAGGCACATGATTCTGGAATTTAAGGAAATGTCTTTCCTGAGGATCTCCTCTACTCTAAACTGGTACAACCAATGAAGAGCACATATTTTATTGATCTAGATCAGAGTTAATGAAATTAACTTCATAGAAATTCTGTTTTGTACCATGATCTGGTTTCTGCATCTCCAGCAAAGTTCTTCATACTCTGGTTGATTTCCACTAAGTGCTAGACATAAATCTGTGTGTAGGTTTTAGAGATAGGATCAGAAAGGATGAATGAAAAGGACTTAGGCCAGAGGCTAGCAAATGTGCTTGGTTCATGTTGCCTCATACACAGCACCTCCAAGCCAAAAGAAATACCTAACAATTCCATTTATTAAGCAGATAGATCCAAATAACTAAGTGTTTATGTCCAAACAACTTAGCATGTGTTAAAGAGCATACAACTTCTCAAACCTTGGAATCAGATTGGACACCACAACTACATGTCCTGTTACACCTTGATTTTTTTGCACAATATGTGGTTTTAATCAAAATAACTGCCCCAGACCCAGCTTTACAAAGACATAATGTCGTCTAAAGGAATTCTGTATTAAAACTGTGAACTCGCTTCAACTAGTAATTTTTATGGTGTCCAACTCCTGTCACTGTCTTTCCCTAAAAATGTAAAATATTCCACAATGCTCTTGTGAATTTGCTGTAGCTCTCTGGGGTGCCTCATTGCAGTTTGCAAGCTGTGGACTCAGAGCATTATTCCAAGACTTTTTGTTTTCCATTTAAATATTTATTTCTTACGTTTTGTACCTCTACATTAAAAACCAACCTGATGTTTATCATCATTGGTGAAACGTAGTTTATTTTAGGATTTTTTGTTTCAAAAAAAGTATGATAGTTAAACATGCATATGTTGAAAGTTTGGAAAATACAGCAAAACATGGAGAAGAAAATAAAAGTCACTTCTAATTCCACCATCCACCAATAACCACTACTAACATGTTTTTGTTTATATCTGTCCAGTTATTTTCTATGAAATAATAGCTATGACTAACTCTGATTTTATTGGATGGTAGAAATATGTAGTTTAGTGTGAATTTCATACCCTTTAGTTGTGACTTGTCTATAATAACTTGGGATAAGTAAATAAGGTAGAGTTATAGCTGCTTCTTTCCTAAGTAACTGCTTTCATTAGTTGCGTATCTGACTGAAGGGCATGAAGACACCACCATTCATGAAGGAGAAACTTCCTGTTGCTGGGTTTCTAACCTAGCAAATGCAAGATGTGCCATTTACACAGTGGTTCCTCATTATAGAGGCACAAACACCAATAGATTTCAGCAGAGGAACGTTTTTTGAAGTACTAGTCTAACGTGTTTTAAAAAGGTAACGTGACACGTATTTTACTTCTTTTAGTAGGCGGACACACTTTCTTAAAGTAATAATACGTCATGGCCCTGCTATAAGGTAGTAGTTCTAGAAGACTGTTTATCTAATAATTCAGACTAAAGCTATTTATATTGCTGTGACACCACGTGGAAAACTTTTATAATTCCATCTTATTTCTGATGTATATGTTTTATTTTCTCTGCCTTCATAAGAACTAAAAACCAAAGTTATTTACGTGAAAACAAGATTTTTGTTTGAGTTCATTTACTTGAGATATGTTTAAAAAATCCACCTTCTGTCACACTATAGAAGTAGATTTTGAATTATCAAAAGGTAGAATTATAACTTCAGAAAAGAAAAAAATGGTCAATTTAGTTTAACTCTATGTACAAAAATTTATTTATAGTCTCATATATTCATTCCACACCCCCGTTCTTCTTTCCTTCTTTCTCCCTCTGTCCTTCTTCTTAATAATAATTTTTAATTCTGACCAAAATAAGTTGTGGCAGTACTTTCTTAGCATAACCTGGACTGTTGAAGAGTAATTCTGTTCTTTAAAAAAATCCCCAATGGGCTGGGTGCAGTGGCTCACCCATGTAATCCCAGCACTTTGGGAGGCCAAGGCCAGAGGATTGCTTAAGCCCAGGAGTTTGAGACCATCCTGAACAACATGGGGATACCCCATCTCTACAAAAAAAATTGCAATATTAGCCAGGTGTGGTAGTGCACAACTGTGGTCTCAACTGCTTGGGAGGCTGAGGCGGGAGGATGACTTGAGCCAAGGAAGTTGAGGCTGCAGTGAGCTGTGACCGCACCACTGCACTCCAACCTGGGTGACAGACTGAGACTTTGTCTCAGAAAAAAAAAAAGAAAAATCTGTGGTAGGGAGCCCCATGGAGAAAAGGTGGAAGCAAGATAAAAAGACATGGAAGCCAACCTGAGAGTTTTCAGTGGCCAAAACTAGAACAATTTGAGCAATGAAATAAGTGACGAGTATTTTATTATAAACCAAATAATAAAATAAATATCCATGAGTCCATACCAATACAGATAAGCAATTAAATGAATAAATAGGGGAGAAGGGACAAATCTTTCTTATGGAAGAACTCTAGATAATAGATGTAGAAGGAATGGAGGATACAGAAAAATCCCATTAGAACACCGCAGGAATAATTGCTCAGGCAAGAGTTACAGATGAATGCCAAAATTAATAAGTGAAACTTTTCTTTGAGCTGCTAATTTAAAATCTTGAGAAGTACTAGATCCGTTTTCATCTGATAGTTTCTTAACCCCAGATTATTTATAGATTCAAATAGTATAAAAGTGTGGTATGCAATCAGATGGATACAGGCAACAAATTTTTTTCAACATAAAATATATGGTGTGTTGCTCTGTTTTTTTCAGAAACAGTAAAACCTCATCAGTTCAATGTAATTTGGGGTACAGATGTGAAATCTTGTTTTATAAATATTTTATTCTTTTTACTTTCAAGGTCTCATTAACTCAAACTAGGATAACAGTTGATTAGAAGACCTGATGGGGTCCTGTTTTAGTAAATAATAATATGTAATTGGCTGAGGATGATTATTGTCATAGTAACAAATTAGATCTAAAATTAAACTCCTCTCCCTTATACCGGTCATTCTTTTGATCCGACCATTATTGGAAACTGTTTTTAGTTTGTATACATGTGGGAGATATTATTTTTATTAGTTAAATATATTTTACCACCTAACCAAATGAGTAACTTGTAGTGCATCTATCTTGGGACTATAACTGGTGTGATCAATGAAGAATGATGTATTGTTCTTAAATACGGAAATACGTTTAGGTTAGTAGTGGCAGGTACGTGCATTTTCTGGAAAGCTCTGTTTACCAGATTTTTAGTGGCCAAGGAGATACACAGATAGTTAATAGTACTGCTTAATTGTTACAGTCAGATTGAGTAACATAATTTATAGCAATTCTGAAACTGAGAACACAAGAATGATAAGCTATATGATAAAGACCACAGTTGCTAGTCAGCAAAAGTGCAGACTACACATTGTTGACTAGCAAGCCATTCTTGTAAAGTACATATGATAAAATTTTCTTGACAGCTGTTTTCAAAGTCAGCCTTCCTATGTCATCATGGTTCCTTTAGTAAATTTACTTCTAAGGTTTTTTTTTTTTAATTAAGCAGTGTTTCTTGCTGAAAGAAATCAAAGAAGATACAAATAAATAGAAAGACATTGGTGCTTGTGGATTGGAAGACTTAATATTGTTAAAACATCTATACTACTAAAATGCATTCCACCCCTATCAAAATCCCAATAGTATTTTTTGCAGAAATTAAAAAACTATCTTAAAATTCATACAGAATCTCAATAGACCCCAAAAGGCCAAAACAATCTTGAGAAAGAACAAAGTTGGAGGCCTCACACTTCCTGATTTCAAAACATACTTCAAAGCATCTAATTTAGATGGCATACTTAATTACTGGCATAAAGATAGAGATACAAATCAATGGAGCAGAATAGAGAGCCCAGAAATAAATCATTGCATATATGGCCAAATGATTTGCCACAAGGGCGCCAATACTACACAATGGGAAGGGACAATCAATATCTTCAACTAACAGTGTTGGGAAAGCAATATCCACATGCAAAAGAATGAAGTTGAACCCCTACCTTACACCATATACAAAAATTAACACAAAAATAAAGACCAAAACATAAGACCTTAAACTATTAAACTTGTAAAAGATAACATAGGAGAAATCTTTTTTTTGGAGATGGAGTCTCCCTCTCTTGCCCAGGCTGGAGTGCAGTGGCACGATCTCAGCTCACTGCAAGCTCCGCCTCCCAGGTTCATGCCATTATCCTGCCTCAGCCTCCCGAGTAGCTGGGACTGCAGGCACCTGCCACCACGCCCGGCTAATCTTTTTGTATTTTTAGTAGAGACAGGGTTTCACTGTGTTAGCCAGGATGGTCTCGATCTGACCTCATGATCTGCCCACCTCGGCCTCCCAAAGTGCTGGGATTACAGGCGTGAGCCACTGTGCCCGGCCAGGACAAATCTTTAGGACATTGGATTAGGCAATGATTTCTTGTGTGCAACACCAAAATCATAGGCAACAAAATAAAAAATAGACAAAGAGGACTACATCAAAGTTAAAAACTTATGTACATCAAAGGAATCAATCAGCAGTGTGAAAAGGCAGCCTACAGAATGGGAGAAAATAATTGCAAATTGTACATCTGATAAGAAGTTAATGTCCAGAATATATAAGGAACTCCTACATCTCAACAACAATAAACAACCCAATTAAAAAAATTGACAAAGTTTCTTGTATACTGAAGAAAGTATACTGAAGAAAGTATACAGCCAATAAGCACATGGAAAGATTCTCAGTCATTAGTGAAATGCAAATCAAGACCACAATGAGATAGCACCTGACACCATCAGGATGGCCACTATGAAAGAACAAAAAGTTTAAATTAGAGCACAGTAAACAATGGGCGTCAATTTTTTTTAAAAAAAAAAGGAACAAAAACTAACAGGTGTTAAGGATGTGACATTGGAACCCTTGCATACTGTTAGTGAGAATGTAAATTGATGCAGCCATTATGGAAAACAAAGGGGTCCTCAAAAGATTAAAAATAAAATTATGATCCAGTGATACTGCCTCTGGGTGTATAGCCAAAATAATTTAAAACCGGATCTCAAAGAGATATTTTCACACCCACGTTCTTTGCAACATTATCCAAAATAGCCAAGAGGTAGAAGCAGCCCACGTGTCCATTGACAGATGAATGGCTAAAGAAAATGTGGTGTATACATACAGTGGAATATTATTCTACCTTTAAAAAGAAAGAATTTCTGTCACATGCTACAACATGAATAAACCTCAAGGACATTATGCTAAGTGAAACAAGCCAATCACAAAAGGACAAATAGTGTGTGATTCTGTTAATACTCGTATGAAGTATCTAAAGTAGTCAAAATCATAGAAACAGAAAGTAGAAAGGCAGTTATCAAGGTCTGGGTAGAGGGGAAGGGGGGCAATTAGTGTTTAGGGAGTATAGCATTTCAGTGTTGCAAGATGGAAAAGTTCTAGACATACACTTAGCATTGCTGAACTGTACACTTAAAAATGGTTAAGATGGAAAATTCAATGTTTTTTTACCACAGATTTTAAAAAGCAATGTTTCATTGCCTAATTTTATATTTGGTTAACAATTTTACTGATTGTTCTATGTCCCAGGCACTTTCAATTATTATTCTTTCAGTGACCCAGTAAATTAGGAACTTGTTCCCCATTTTAGAAATTAGGAAATAGACACTGAAAGGTTTAGAAACTTATTTCTGTTAGACCTTACATGTGGTATAGCAAAACTGTGTTTACCTAACTGAATGAGTTGTCCAATACTTGCATATACACAGTGTTTCCAAAATAAAAGAATGGGTCCCTAGAAAGCAAGGCAAGAGAATTGAGACTAAAATAATGAATATTTGAGGATAAATTTGGCAAGTTTGCTACTTGGAATATCACTTTTTTGGGCATGTCTAGTTCCAAAACCACTGAGTGTATTGCACCTGTTGGATTTGTTGAAAATGCAGATGGTACAATCAAATGTAAAGGGAAAGGAATATAGTTTGAAAGTTTTTATGAAGACATGTGCTGCCTAATCTGCGAATTGAAAGCATCTTTTAAAAACTTACTTCTCGTCATATTCCTAGGTGGTAGTGAATATGTGGGTAGAAAAATGAGAATGTTTCAGATAATGCTAATGAAGTTAAATGATTGCAGTCTACCATATTGTGAGGAAAAGTTGTTAGCCATGAAAGATGAGGACAGAATTAAAATATTACCATGACTGGCATTTGATTTGAAAACTACAAAGATAAGCTTAGGTTCCTATTTATGAAAACCATTCTCACAGCCCAGTGAAATATCTTTTAAAAGGTTCGTAGTTACCATGGATACTTGTTAGCTTTGATAGAGTATCCATATTCAGTCATCTGAGGTGAAGAAGCCAAAAAACCCATCAACTAATGTCACAAATAGCTTCATCTGTAAATTTGTACTAGTTTGGGGATGGAAAGGCTAAGTTTCCTGAAGATTAGATTGTTGGTTAATTGTCACTGCTTGGAAAGCAAAATATTTAGGATGTACATTGCCTGAATTTGATCCTAGTATTCACTATTGATATGTAACTTTTTCATTTAACTAGTACACGGCATTTCTTAGATTTTAACATAGGAATTTAGATGGTTAGACCTTTCTGAAAGTTGATGAAACCTAGGCAGTATACTCAATTTCTGAAAGCCGTAGAGACACAGACAATATTGAAGGTATTGGTCCCCATGGTAACATATTTGCATTTGGCCCAGCATGGCTGGTTTCTGCCTAGCTTCTTTTAATTGCTATATATTGACAGCCATTTTCACAATTATTTATAAAATGTCGGATAAGTGAGCATGTGTACAAGGGAGTGCACACCATACCTTAAGCTTGATTAGATACTTCAGATGACAAAGAGCTCTCTGCATGAAGAGTTACTGAGGTATTTTTATCATTTCCTAATGTGCCTGTCACATAGTAGAAGCAAAAAGCCTTTCAAGTTATTTAAATATTTTCCTCAATTCTCTTTCAAAACAGGTGACAAAAGAGCTGAAACAGTATGACAACAAAATTATAGAATGCAAATTTGAGAACAACAGCTGGGTCTTCATGAGACAGAGAACAGACAAAAGTTTTCCTAATGCCTACAACACTGCCATGGGTGAGTATGACAACTTACCAGTGCTTATTATATTTAAAACAAAAATTAAGGTGTTAGACCCAAAGTGTGCTGCCTTTGTTGTTTTGCTTAATGGGGCATAGTCATTTGGACTTCATCCTTGTTTGATGGGAAAGATACGTCAAGTCTGTATTCTGTTTGGCTCCAGTTGGCTTGTAGGTTCTACTCTCTAAACTGGTGATCTTGTGCCCATGCACCCAAAAGAGAAGTTTAAAGGGCAGGATACTGGGCTGTATACAAGTTGAATTTATTGAACAACAACAACAACAGAAACCATGATAATTTCAGATCTATTCAAAACTATAAAAACCATTGTTTGCCAGATGGTAAAAGACAAAATTATCAGGGGAAAATGTAATTTCCAGCTCTTAAAATAGCTTTATAAACAATGGAGAACAAAGTAAACGAAAACCATTTAAAAAGACAAAATCTGCTATGCTATTCTTCAGAGTGTTCTTTGGGTACAATATGAATGCTTTGGGAATTCAGAATAGTAAGTTTCTTTCATGGGGAACAACACAAATTAATTGAAGTTTATAAGGTATACCACTACCAGTAGCAGTTGTTGTTCTGGATTGCATTTTTAGTGGAGTTGAAAAAAGGTAAAAACCAAGATAACAGGTTAATCAAACTTTACTTTTAGAATGTGCAGTTGATGAGGAGGATGATGATGATGATATGATAAGCTAATGAGAAAATATTGAAATTGCCAATTTCAGCTTTGCAGTTTAAAAGTTACTGTTGTACATTTAGGAGTTCTCATTGGAACTAGCATCCATGTTCAGACAAGATGAGTTAATTTCAAAAGTCAGGATGATTAAGCCAATGTCTTTTCTTCTAAGACCAAATAGGTAAATAAAATGAAAAGGACTGGCACTAAATTTTGATAAGAGAAGATAATATGGTCTGCTAGCTACAATGAAACCACCTATTCAACAGGAATGGTGGCTGGTGCCATGTTTTATGTTTCGTAGAGTAGACTTCTTTCTGAGAGAAAGATTGAAGGACTATAGTGCACGTTTTCTGTAGAAGTTTTAGTTGAATACAGACTATGGTGCAATGTGTTGTGTTAGATTAAAATCCCATAAAAACTGGTTTGGGAGGGATAGAAAACCGTGGGGAAGACATGCTTATAGCCCAAACATTTAAAGTTTTGGTTTAAAATTAATACTGCAGTAAAGAGTAGCCATTAGACAAGCACATATTTTGGGTGTAGGGTAGGGAGGAGATAGTTCAATGTGAAGCACATCACTCAAATGGGTAAAATGGAAAGTATTTAGTATATTGGGATGAAAACCTTTCTCATAAGCCTGTGGTGAGTCAGCTGCCTTAATTAACCCTCACATGAGACCTGTCTCCCTTTGTCCACAGCTGTGTGTAACAGCATCTCAAACCCTGTCACCAAGGAGATGCTGTTTGAGTTCATCGACAGATGTACTGCAGCTTCTCAAGGACAGAAGCGAAAACATCATCTGGACCCTGACACGGAGCTCATGCCACCACCACCTCCCAAAAGACCACGCCCTTTAACCTAAGACCTGCCTGTGACTTGAGGGTTAAGAAGAAAGAGGAATGAGGAAAAAACGCTGTTGCCCATTTTTGTAGCCAGAGAAATTGAAAAACGACTGTGGCTTGATGTTGATACACATTTGAATTTTTTTTAAAAAAAGAAAGTTATCGTAGCCAGCCTGTAAATACTTGATGCATTCGTTTCCTCAGTGCTGCAATACATCGTGGACTTAAACATCTTATTTATCTGATAAACTCAGCCTTACCTTGTGGAATCTGAAGATTGAAATATCCAAAGGTTTAAACAAGATGGAAATCAATGAAAAAGAGGCCTTGTTTATATATGGGTAGCTTCACATTTAATTTATAAAGTTAACAATCTGGAAACTGTGAGCCCATAAAACAGTATTTTTTAGAAGTTGTGTTACAACTGTAGCAAATTTTCCTTTTAAAAAATCCAGGCAATGGCATTAAACATTCTTGCTATCATTTACCATGGATTTCCTACATTTCTGAGATCCCTGTATTCAAAAACAAATGACAGGGTTGTTAAGTTGTACTATATTAAACAACTTGGTCTGGTTTATATCATTTTAACAAGTTTTTTGGAAATGTAAAAGAAAAAAGTAAAGCTCCATTTTTGTGAATTGCATTGTTTCTAAAGGAAGTATTTTGAGTATTTTCATCTGTTTGTATTGTTTCGACTATGATATCAGATATCCAGTGTGTCCATTCTGGCAGTGGTTTTGAGTTACTTCATGGAACTTGGACATACACCACCAGGTCCTTTATGTGTTGTTCTCCTGGGAGACTTCTTTTTTTAAATGCCAGGGCTACTTCTGCTTTACCTCAGTGGTATCAGCACATTGTAAATTACGTTAAAACACACAACTCACTGTGATCTATGGGAGTGATATCAAATACAAACGATGTTGTGTTCCTTCTCTCGAACAAAACAGCAAAGGGAATGCCAGCTAACTTCTTTGATTAGAAGGTAATGTCATGGAATAGAATGCTGTCACCAGAAAATGCTCTCCCACTGCTAGATAAATGCAGAGGCAAAGTGTAGACATCTGTAGGAACTAAATATCAAGGAAATCAAGACATTTATTTTCAAAGCGAGAATTCTATCTACATTCTATTCTGCGGATGTTATTTCTGTTATACATCTGAATTTTAAAATGTTTACTGATAGATAATGGATTTAAAGGGCGGCTAATTGATTGTCTGCCATTGTTGATAAACTGTTCTAATTGGTTTGTGAAAGAACTCTGAGAATTAGCTAAATGGAGGCTAGTGTATTTATTTTTAGAGGTACATGTTTTAAGTAAATGTATTTAAAACAAATTTTCATGGTCTGAATTGTATATGTAAATGCATATCTGTGTAAGTATATGCAAGTGTATATTCTTCTACTGATTCAGTCAGACACGAAATCCAACTGAATTACCCGGTAGACTGAATATCTGACGGGATTTCTATATGGACATAGCACAGATGAACCAAAAATGTATTTATATTCACCTGAGTTTTAATGTTTTTAAACAAAGTTTTCTCCTGCAGTGCTTTTCTATATGAAATAGTTGAGTCAAGCTTGGGCTTTTTTCTTCGTTGTTCCCAAGTCATGTAATGTATAGTGAATTTATCCAAAACGCCATTGTAACGTTTTTTACTAGAGTGTTTTTGCACATTTGGGCGCTAAAGGGATTAAAACAACTGATGCCACAATGACTATTGAAGGAGGGAAAATTCTCAAGGTTCCATAGTATCTTTTACAAAATGGATTAAAAAAAAAATGCCTATGCAACTTCAAATAGTCTGATGCCTGCTTCCCCAGGACGAGTGACTCTTCCACGGTGTGCTGCTTTCCCTCCGAGCCTGTGGAAAGGCAGAGCCCTTTTGCAGATACGAAAGCAAGCTTTTGCCAATGATCTTTAATGGAGTTAAAATGTTTATGGTAATTGTAACCTTTCAAATGAGTTACGTGAAAAGAGCATCTCACTTTTAATACACCCAGATATTTTCTTCAAGTCTTTGTGCATTTTAGCAGGACTTAATTTTCTTAATTTATTCTTTCCTTTCAATTATAGTGACATAGAGTAGTTGGCCTTATAAGTAGATCCCATTTAGCCCCTGAACATAATACCATCTGCAGTATTATAAAAGTCATTTAGAAGGTCAGGGGGATAATCTAGAGGCAGGATTTTGGACATTGTGAAGGAAATGTGCTCCTTCTCAGCTCACTTCAATAACTATTTTCTGAGACTGAAGTTTTTTAGACAAGAATAAGAAAACTTTGCTTTCTTCAGTTATCACATGTGAAAGCTTTTGCTTTTTGTTAGGAAAAGGTGTGGATGACTCTACTGCGTGGATGGTTACATTTGCTTTCCGTGAAATGCTCAGAAAATGTCAGGACATTCCTTTTCCAATTGTGTGTCAGTGCGTATTGTAATAAAACTACTGATTTAAATTAGCATAAGTGTATCTACTTTGTTTTACTGGTGATACTCTTGTGTCCCTTCTATTGCTGGCATCACATCCTACTGCTGTCAGCCACACCCAGTGTAATCCATCTGGCTTTGTAGAGATTAGCATAAAGACTTGGAAAGCCTCTATTTTTCTTTCTGAGAAACTGAGAAATTTGATTGACACAGGGGGGTGTAGTTTGAACCTTTTATTTTTGAAGTGGAGAGGAATGGGAGAAAGCACATCTTTATATGATGTTTATATTATTTCTCTTCATCTAATCTTAGCAGTCTACTGTATGAGTAGATATTCTGTTACATTATTTTTAATGCATTTAAATTTTTTAGAATACTCAGCAATAGCAATAAATATTCTGAAATGATGAAGTCGTGAACTACCAAATTTTTTTTTGCATTGCATTTTTATAGTATGGAATTTGCCATCTTTAAATGTTTAAATAATACCACCATTTTGAACTCTGCATATAGTTTTTCCTGGCCAAAAAAATAACCTTGGAAGCCAAGAAGCAAATACTCCCAAGTGGGAGGACACATGTGGTGGAGAAAACTCTGGACTAGACTCACACAAGTCCAGGCTCTGCCTCCTGTTGGCTCTGTTCTGTCTAGATCCTCCCACACACACACCCCCATCCACCCCTGCCATTTTGTTCCATCTATAAAGTGGCAAATCCCATCTGTCACACTGGGCTAGATTATTTAAAAGCCTTTCCAGGTCTAACCATGATTCCTGTGTTAAAGACAGTACTTTGAAAATCTCCCATATTCACCATAATAGCAGTATAACCATTATTGATTATTCACCAACTACCAAGACTGTCCTAAACATAACCACTCTATGCAGGCAGGTACTGTTACCAACCCCACTTTTAGATGAGGAACCTGAGACTAAGTTGTGAGCTGAGATCCAGACATAGGTCTTTTTACTCCAGCACCTACATTTTTGCACAGTCCTCTCCCAAAGGCTTAGTTACATACAGTCCCTTTGTGGAAGACTGATTTCATGCCAGGGGGTCCCAAACTAAGACATTTTTTGGGTGCTAACAGGGTAATAGGCTTTAAGCACTTCTCTCTAATAAAGAAGGTGAAGTTGGGAGCACAGAAGTAAATACACTTTAGGGCCTTATTTAACTATTTATTTAACAATACTTAAATGTGAGTGACTAAGCAGCCATGAAGGGGAAGTTTAATGTTCTCATTAAGATGCTAAATTCTAAAGAGGTAATTAGGAAGAAATAAGTGATTAAATTACACACTGGGCTAACATTTTCCTGATTGTCTCATAGTTAGCTGTCAACTCTGCTGCTTTGGCAGGTCATTGTCAGCCTTGGTTAATGCAGATGGGCCCCTTCCCTCACCTGACTGATGTCAGGTGACCACTCTGCAGTATCAGGAAGGTGGTAGTGGAGCAGACTCTGAGCAGGGGCCACCTGGTCTCCAGATTTCACATTTCCCAAAACCAGGGCATGGATCCGGGGTTGCCAAATATTTTGCCATGTCAGGGCATTAAAAAAACAAATTATCTTGCCATTATTTAGTAAAACTAAGGAACTCTTAACACACAAAAAGGAAGTAGGACATATTTTAGAAGACAGGCCTTTATATAGAAGAAATTTTGTTTTATGAAAGATTCACTCCATTGTCCTTTGCTTGTATATTGCCTCCCTAGCTGATGAAAACTTTTTCATGAACTGGTGTTGGGAATCACTGCAGAGGTGGAATTCAGTTGGGGCTTTAAGTGGGAAGGGGATGTGGAAAGTAGCAGCAGCACTTGGTTTCAAAACTAAAGATCTATTCACAATAGCAAAGACTTGGAACTAACCCAAATGTCCAACAATGATAGACTGGATTAAGAAAATGTGGCACATATACACCATGGAATACTATGCAGCCATAAAAAATGATGAGTTCATGTCCTTTGTAGGGACATGGATGAAAGTGGAAATCATCATTCTCAGTAAACTATCGCAAGAACAAAAAACCAAACACCGCATATTCTCACTCATAGGTGGGAATTGAACAATGAGATCACATGGACACAGGAAGGGGAATATCACACTCTGGGGACTGTGGTGGGGTGGGGGGAGGGGGGAGAGATAGCATTGGGAGATATACCTAATGCTAGATGACGAGTTAGTGGGTGCAGCGCACCAGCATGGCACATGTATACATATGTAACTAACCTGCACAATGTGCACATGTACCCTAAAACTTAAAGTATAATAGTAAATAATTAATTAAAAAAAAAAACTAAAGATCATTTGCATAACCAGAGCTGTCCGTAGTAAGTTATTTCATGGTGGTTGATTCCAGGGGTTGATTACATTCTGTCCTTGTGATATAAGGTGTACAGATGAAAAGTGCAGTTATCCGAATGCTTATACATACCCGAATAGAATGAAACCTTCACTTGCTTGAGGTGCAGAAATAAGCAAAGCAAAATACAACACTGAAAATCAGCATTTGGCTTTGACAACAAATCAGACCAACAAAGTCACCGGTTTCCAAAACTTCGAGCTTGCTGCACAGTCTATTTTTCCTTTAGTTCGCTGCCACCAGAGTGATCTTTCAAAACTCAAACCTGCTCCTGTCATCCCCCATGAAGAGCTCCCTGGCACATGACAGAAAAGGCCCTTTGTGACCTGGCCTCAGCCTGTCTGTCCAGGGTCATTCTGCCTTATGGGACAGAGGTGTGACTCCTTGTTTTTCTCAGAACTCCGTGCCCCCTAAGCCCAGGAATCTTTGCACAGGCTGCTGCTGCTGCTGCCCGAAACCCCGGCCTCCCCTCATCTCAGGATCAAGGAAACTTTTTCTCATAGACAGACTCCTAAATCTCACACTATTATGGTAGCCTCCCTTGGTGTCCTCTCAAGACAAGGAGCTGTAGACATAGCACGGGGACTGTGCCATCTTGGACCCATAGCACAGAGCTTGGCAGTAGTGGGCACTTGGTAGTAATTAGGGCAGGAGGTGCTAATGCTCTTTTGCGCAATTGTCCTCCTCAGTTTAGCCATGTGTGAACATAATTTCCTGTCACTCCAGCCTTCTCACCATAATAGAAGGACTGTTAACATTTTTTGTTTCTTAAGAATTTCTCCCAGAGTCCATCTCTGACGTACCTTGATTTCATCCTGATTAAAAGTATCTTTTCTGTTCTTGCCCTTTGCACTGACAATGAGTGCTTCTGACAGAACCTTCTCAGCAGGAAAGATCTTTTAAAAAGTGCCCTGGTCTCCTTGCTGTGATACCCTCTGAGGGAGGTGTGAGGGGAAGAGTGTTTTTAATCATGTCTTATTTTTCTAGTGGTTTCACTGAACTTGCCAGTATCTTAAACTAGAAGGCTCCGTCTCCCTACCTACTCATTCTCACCTAATTTCTGAGGTATCCAAAGAGAAGAGAAATCTTTTGGTAACTGCTGAGGCTTTTCAGTTAGTTTTAAAAACAAATTTCAGTCCATGATCCCTTAGTATGAATTTGTGCTTCTAGCCTTGCCTTTGAAGTGGGAAAGGCAAGTGAAAGATATTCTTGTTGCTACTACTGAATGCTATTTTCCAGGATCTAAAGGAATAAGAAACTTTATAGTTTCTGTAGTTCTGCTTTCCTTCTGAAAGCCATCAGGGGAACACTGTGTAGTTTTGACCTGGAGTATAAACAGTGTGCTCTGATAAAGATAACACCTACAGAGACTGATTGAACACCACCACAACCAAAGCTCTTCTATAAAAAAGATTCTTGAAAATGTGACATGTGGATAAAAACTGTACACCAGGAGATATCACATACAATGGGGATGATGCAGAAGGTGGGAGGAGATTTAGGCATCGATGGATGGGGTGACTGGGGCAGGGGAGGTGTGGACGGTGACTGTGGGGCAGAGTTTGATGGAGGGGTTTGTCCAGAGCTGTGTGAAGGAGAGTAGTGGGAAGCAGAGCTGTAATCACTCCATCTTAGAACTACCAAACCAGCCAACCAACTGCCCTTGGTCCCTTGATATCCCTCTAGCTGCTGACCCATTTCTCTCTTCCTGTTTCCTACAACATTCTCTGAAGGAGTTGATTGCACTTGGTCACTCCCCATCCTTCCCTCCTAGGCTCTCTTGAGCCCACTGCCCACAGGCATTCAACTCCATGGAAACTCTTCTTGTCCCTACCACCAGTGCTCTCTACAAGGTCAAATCCACTCTCTTAACTCTCCTAATCAACCTCTCAGCAATATTTAACACAATTTGTCACTCCCTCTTTTTTTTTTTTGCTGTTTATAATGGGAAATTTCAAACATATACAAAAGTAAACAGTAAAATAAACTCCTATTTACAGACTCAGCAATGTTCAACCTATGACAGTTCTTTCTCTATATACTGATCGGTCTATGCACATATACACACGATTGTTTTAAAATAAGTCATAAACTACTCCCTCTTTGGTGAACCCCTTTTGCAGTTGGCTTCCAGGCCACTGTAGTCTCTTGGTTTTCTTTCATCCAACCTACAGGCCACTCCGTTCAGTCTCCCTTGCTGAGCCCTTGTCACCCTACCCATCTCTACGAGCAGTGACCCAGGCTCCATCCGCTGACCTCTCTCTAAGTGAACCCTGCTAATCTCTGAACACAAATACCCTCCAGACACAAACAACTTCCAAATATATTTCTAGCCTGGATTTCTCTCTTCAATGCTAGAGTCAAATTCCAACTGACAACTTGACATCTTCACTTGCATGTCTGATAGTCATCTTAAACTCAACACACCAAAAACGGAACTTCCCTCCTCCAACAGACTTCCTTCTCTTCCCACAGTCTCCTTATAAAGCTTAGTTAATGGCAATTGTATTTTTCCAGTTGCTTCTGAATCATCCTTGACTCTTTTCTTGACGTCCAATCCATCAGCAAGTGTTGTCAGCACTACCTTCAAAATATAACCAGAATTTGACAGCTCCTCCATCTCTCCAGCACCTCTCGTCTCATCCTTTGCCTAGACTGTTGCAGTAGCCTCCCAGTTTCCACTCTTGTCTCTCCATCCCCCTATCTATTCACACAGCCATCAGTGTGATATGTTTTAGAACTTTTCACCCTGCTATGCAGAACCTTTCAGTCCCTTCCACATCATTCACAATAAAATCCTAAATGCATACCACAGTCCACAGGTCCTCCATAACCTGACCCCGCTGCTGCTGCTTTGATCTCATCATCTTATCCTTCTCCTCATTCACTCTGCTCATCCACATTGGCTCTTTTTCTGCTTCTCCAGCTTGCCAAGCTAGTTCCCACTGAATTTTCTTTTCCTCTACCTAGAATGCTTTTCCCTCAGGTATCTGTAAAGCTCATTCTCTTACTTCATTTAAGACTCTGGACAAATGCCACAAATGCCTATATAAAATTACCACTCCCATTACCATCTACCCTCTTATCCTGCTTTATTTTTCTACAAGCATTTATGATCTGACATATATGTTGACTTGTTTGCCTATTGTCTGACTTTACTCTCTAGAATGTAAGTTTCATACGAACTGAGAATTTGATTTCACTCATTGCTGTATTTCCAGCACCTAGGCCAGTCTGGCATAAAGCATAGGGATTCAATAAATATTTCTACAATCTATGAAGTAGACCTACATGGACAGGCTGGGGACAGATTATGAAGGCCTTTGATGTCTGGCAAAGAGGTTGGGCTAAACATTATCAATAATAAGGAGCTATTGAAAGCTTTTAAACAAAGGAGTTTTCTTTGTGAGAGTAATCTAGTAATGATCTGTCTGAGGTGGGAGAAGGAAGGAAAACATAGGTGATAAGACACCTAGGAGGCTATTGTCATCAGATGAAAGGTAGAAAACCTAGAATAGGGTGGCATCTACAGAAATGGAAGAGATGGGTGTGACAGGCATTCAGTAGGGAGGCTTATCAAGATTCAACAATCAATTGAAAAGCCAAAGCTACCTTCCAGAGTTTGAGCCCAGGGAGGGAACTGGTAGTGCTCTTAACATAAACAGGGGAGTAAGAAGGAAGAGCTGATGTGGGGCTGGGAGGAATAAAGGGCTTCAGAGCGTGATGAACTGGAGATGCCTTCAGGAGCATCAGATGGAACTGTCGAGGGGAGAATTTAGAACTGGAGCTTAGGCAGTCAGACTGCTGGCAAGATTTCAAGTCTGTCCACACAACAGCAATGGTAAAAGCAGTCAGTAGGAGGTATGAAGTAAAAAGAGGACTAGGGACCCCCACATCTGTGGGTATAAGAAAAAAATATAACCAGCAAAGAAAAGGCATCCAGAAGTAAGGAAAAGAAATTAAAGTCAAGAAGTAAAATGACACTCAAGAAGGTGCCGGCCCCCAGAGCTACAAGACAAAAGTTTTTTGATAGTGGAGGCAGAAAATAGTTCTGACTGCTCCAGGGAAGTCCTGGAGAGCCAAGGACTGAGAAAAGGACCTCGAATTTGGTTTCTAGGTGACCTGCAGAAGCATGATAGGGATGGCTGAAGTCGAGTGTTGATGAAAAGAGTCAGACTCTGTAAAATATTTTTAAAGATCTATTCGGAGCCAAATATGAGTGACCATGGCCCGTGACATAGCCCTAGGAGGTCCTGAGAACATGTGCCCGAGGTGGTTGGGGCACAGCTTGGTTTTATATATTTTAGAGAGGCATGAGACGTCAATCAAATACATTTAAGAAATACATTGGTTTGGTTCAGAAAGGCGGGACAACTCAAAGTGGGGAGGGGCATCCAGGCTATAGGTAAATTTAAACATTTTCTGGTTGACGATTGATTGAGTTTATCTGAAGACCTGGGATCAATAGAAAGGAAATGTTCAGGTTAAGATAAAGGATCGTGGAGACCAAGTTTTATTGTGCAGAGGAAGCTCTTAGCAGACTTCAGAGAAACAGCAGGTTGTAAAATCTTTCTTATCAGACCTAAAACGGTGCCTGGCTCTTAGTTATCTCCTGGATCTGGAAGGGAAGGGAGGAAAACAAAGGGGAAAAGTGATTCTCCATAGAATGTGGATCTTTCCCACAAGAGACTTTGCAGTGCTGTTTCAAGGTATGGCAAGGAAACATATTTTGGGGTTGAATATTTTGATTTTTTTTCCCTGTCTCATAATGTTATGCCAGAGTCAGACTGGTAAGTAAGTCATGATATATAGAGTCAGATAAAACCCATCTGATGAGAATTTGTGGTTTGTAGGGCATGACTCCCTAGATCCCTTAGATAGGAATTTGGGCGAGATAAAAAAGTCAGAGCTTAGTCCTCACAAGAAAAATGAGAAAATAGGAGGAAATGGAGGTGATGGGGTTTGGAGTTAAATCTATGTCAACAGATGGATTAATACTCCCAAGGGTAGTGGGAGTATTGCCAGAGCTTTCCAACC
This sequence comes from Homo sapiens, assembly GCF_000001405.40. Classification (NCBI taxonomy): domain Eukaryota; kingdom Metazoa; phylum Chordata; class Mammalia; order Primates; family Hominidae; genus Homo; species Homo sapiens. The sequence continues at coordinate 88,602,908 of NC_000006.12, read as the reverse complement.
ACTGTCTCGAGACACCCTGCCATGTCGCCAGGGAGTTGTAGATGTCGATTTTCTCAGCCCACAGGGGTGGCCAGGATCTCTACCTACAGCCAAGGGATGCCTCTGGGCTCCCGACGGGGAGCACCCCGGGGCCCCTGGAGGCAAAAGCACAATGACCAACATCAGATACATAAAGTCTACATTTGTTCTCCACCATGGAGACTGGACGAGGCCAGCTGCAAGGCGTGACACTGCCCATTCTGGACAAGGGGCTCATAGAGCTACTGGGCACACGACCCAGGGTGTGGCTGATCAGAAAAGGGTGCCTGGGAGTCTGGGAAGGGCCCTAGAGGGTGGCACCAAGTCTCTGCCTTCACCTGTGACAGACCATTTTGGTGTCATTCATTTGGGTTACTGGGAGACTGACTGAACAATGCATGCACATGCTGCACATCCGGGCCTCATCATTATTTGGAAATAATTGATGTAAATAATATCGTTGGACTGGAAATCCATTTGTGTTATCACAAGAAATGTCAGTGAGAAATCACAAGAAATTTGTAGAAATGAGAAAAAGAAAAAGTAGATTCTTTAAATATAATTTCAACCATTGATATTTTTGAAAGGTTGCAAAAAATAGTTTTAATTTTTTCATCACCCACATGTGCAAGGTTTCTCATTGATAGTAACTACAAAGCATTTGAAGATACTATGATTCAGAAGTTTTGATTAGGATTTGAGGACAGCCATTTGAAGCATTAAGCCTGATGTTTAAAAAGGCATGTTCATGGACACAAGTTCAGGTTTCAGACTTAACATTTTAAAAATGTTTTATTTCAGAGTTTCCTACAAAGCCATATCTTCTCTGGGACTTTGTATTTTACTTTGTCTTATCACAATTATGTAAAGAAAATGTAATGAACCTTTTCCCCTCAACACTCACTTAGACACCCTAATTCTTTAGTTTACCCCAGGGTGGCATTCACATATTATCGTTTTCTATGTTTGCCATATTATGAAAAGGACTAAGAGGCATTGTTCTGATGGCTCAGGATTGAAGAATGGCAAGGTGAGAACAGAAGAAAGTTGAGAAGGTGAGGAACTTTACAACCCATACTGGGTAAGAAATCAAGTCGAGTCAGAAAGGGATGATAGCGGGGTGCATGGGATCTGATCCCAAGATCAGAAAGTACAGCTGGCTCCAAAAAGGTGAGGGAGAGTGGGGACTGAGATTGGCAAGGCACCTGTCTTAGTCCATTTTCTGTTGCTTATAACAGAACACCTGAAACAGGGTAATTTATAAGGAAAATGAATTTGTTTCTCACAGTTCTAGAGGCTGAGAAATCCAAGGTCAGGGGGCAGCATCGAATGAGTGCCTTCTTGCCTGTAGGACTCTTTGAAGAGTCCCAAGGCGATGAAGACTGTCATGTGCTGAGGGAGCTGAGTGTGCCAATGTCCTGGCTCAGGTCTCTCTTCCTTTTCTTATAAAGCTACCAGTCTCCTTCTCATGATAACCCATTAATCCATTAACACATTAATCCATGGATGAATTAATCCATTCATAAAGGCAGAACACTTATGATTCAGTTGCCTCTTAAAGGCCCCACCTCTCAATACTGGCACTTCGGGGATTAAGTTTCAACATGAGTTTTGGAGAGGATGAACAACCAAACCATAGCAGCCCCATTTTCCATCCCTCTTAAGTTTGACTTTCCTTTGCTGCCTTACCCTAGATATCAGGATTTTTTTTTTTACAAATGTCAGAAAAACAAACTCACCTACTCTAGGTAACTGAATAGTCCAGAAGGCAGGCATGGCTTCAGGAATGGCTTGATTCAGGAGCTCTCCATCTCTTAACTTCTAATGTTATTGACTTTCTTCTTGGGCTTTATAGGCTATTCATGAGACAGGAGAAAAGTAACAACAAGCAGAAGGCTGGCTGGCTGGATGGAGAAAGTATGGGGAGGAGGGAGCTACTTCTTTGATCAACCCCTGGGATCTTCCCAGAGTGAAGAAAAGCATGAGATTGGTTTCGAGCTGGAAATAGCCTTCAAGAGCATCTGATCCCCTTTTACAGGTGAGCAGAGTGAGACCTGGAAATGACAGGAAACTGTACCAAGGTCACACAGCTGGTCTTCTAACTTTCTGATTTCCAGCTCACTTGGCATTACTCTCTTTGGAAATAAAGGTGAGGATGAAAACAAATGTCTTCAATTAGGCGGTCGGTCCGCCCTTTGAGAAAGCCCATGTGTAGTCCAGAAATGACGGCTCTTTACCCTTTTCTCATCCTGGGGCTTGGGCCACCAGGGACACTCAGATCCCCGAGGGAACACTGGCACACAGTCACACCTCCAGGGCTTAGAAGTTGATCCCAGGTGAAGCAAAGACCCCAGGAAGCTCTCATATGTGCTCAGAGTTGTGTAACCCAAAAGTGCACATCTACTTAGAAAAGTTTGATTTTGATTGCCAAAGAAGGCAAAACATCTTAAAAAGAAGTTGAGCTATCTTTGGGTAGGATGCAAATCCGCCCATGAGTATATCACATCAGAAACGATGTGTGATTTCTTCCAGTCCCTCAACCCAAAAAAGACGAACAGATTTAACTGATGTGTTCTAAAAATAAATAAATAAATAAAATCTGCTTTGAGCTCAAAACCAAGTATAGAAGTTTCTGGGTTTTGAGAGGAGGGGTGTGGGGAGGAGTGGTGGAGGGATAGTGAGGTAAAGGATGGTGGGGAAAAGTTGTTTTTTCAGTGTAGAAACCAAGTTATAACAGTGCTACTGCTTTAGCTATGAACATTTCTGCTTGGGAATAACAAGATGACTAGAGGTCACAGAAACAAGGTTGGCTTGGAAAAAACTTATGAATGGTGGTTATAAATTTAAATCATCACACATATGGCTGAGGAGATTTCTTCCTCAGAGTTGGAAACCACGGTGAAAGTCTCAACACTCCTTTATACTTGCATTTTCCATAACAAAATAAGTCAAACTCACAGGTGACCCAACCCACAGGACTCAGATCTGGAGGCCTAGCATCTGCCTTCGTGAGGAACAGTATTCGGATGCAAACTGGTTGGCTTGGCCCCAGGTGTTCTCAAGCTCCTCCCCAGCCTGCCTCCCACCTCCCAGTGCCTCTGGTGGAGGAGGCGTCCCTGTGGTCCACCCCACACAGTCATGCACTCTGCTGGCTGGAAATGGCATCGGCTCACTTCTTCTTTGAGGCACGTCTGAGCTTGCGTTTATTATATAACAGGGTTTTCTGGATAGAAGCAAAATGTCCTTCACAAGTCACCCAGCATAAAATGGGCAACTTATTAAATTTATTTTGTTGTGTAAGTACCCCTCTGGTGCCCCCCCTTCCCGCCGCAACCACCACCACTACTCTCTGGAGTGAAGGTTGATTCTTTGAATTCTCTTTGTCTTTTTCAGAAAAAAAAGAATGTGTTACTGTGGTGCAGAAAATCAATGGTAATTTTTCAGGCTATTTAGAATTATTCACATGGCCAGCTAAGTCTAATGCTGATAGAAAAAGACAATTTTGTTGCAGAGGAAATCTTCAAGTTTGAAACATCACCACTGGTGTATCTGTGTAGCTTTTCTTCATAGAACTTGAATAGTTATCCCATAGCACTAAATGGGTTAATCCCGGCAGTGTTCATTTGATCCCAGTAGGTGCTGGGGATTGTGATGGGTGTAAGCTGAATTCCCTATCAACGGGGCCCTCAGAAGCTTATAAATGTGAATGTGTATCGGGGCCAAGGGTGGGCAGTGGGGACGGATAGCAAAATATATTGCACAGATGAGTAATAACTGATACAAGGCAGAAAAGTAGTGGGATGTGAAGGCTACAAATTGCTATGGAGTTTCAAAAGAAGCTGAGATGGTCTCCGGTTGACTTTAGGAAACCACTTCTTGGAAGAAGGGCCATCATCATGGGCAAGTATTCCTGGGAGGTTTAGAGTAAACAAACCACATCCAAGCCCTCACAGCCCCTCTGGACAGTAGACATCACTATTCCTATTGCTCAAGGGAGTAGTCTGGAGTGCAGAGAGTGTAAGTGATTGGCCCAAGGTCACATGACCAGGAAAGGGGCCGCTTGATCCTTGTTTCTTTCTCCACGTGGTCCTGTGGTGGCATTTGATGTAGGTGTCAGGGTGGGGAGAATTCTAATCACTTCAGATTTTGCTAGTGAACAGAGACGGACCTCAGGGGAACTCACGACTGCATGAGAAAAGGCATGGGCCCAGAGACGCTGAATGCTACAAGTTCAGGGCCAGGCGTGGCACTTGGCAGACCTTAAACAAATAGAAGACCCAGTTCTTCTAGAACTTACCCCAAGGTTGAGAAGATGAGATGCCCTGTATGAAAACCCTGATGAATGATTTGCCGCAACTTGTAAGCAGAAAAAAACTTGATTCTCATCTACCACCAACTCTAGTGTTCTGTCCTCTGAGAGGCCTGAGCACTTTTCATGCTAATCCAATGCCTTATCCCAAATACCAATGCTAAACAGATGCGTGGGCCCCGTCCTGTCTGTTCTTACCATAAAACCTCAGGCCTGGACAGCTGTCAGACAGGGACTCATTCCTGGGACCCTTCTCTTCCACCCCTGACCCACCTATCATCACACCTATGGATAAAGGGTGTTCCTAGGCCCTTCCTAACCCACATCGTGCCTTTGTGAGCATTAGTAAAAACCGCCTTCTCTGGGCAGATGCAACACCAAGATTGCAGAGCTTGTTGCTAAGCCAAGAGTGAGCTGGCTCTCACTCCTTCCTCCATCCTCAGCGGAGCACAAACTGCACATCATCGGGGGTGTACCTGGTCATCCCTTTCAGCTCTTCCTGGAGAGAAGCCATACCCTGCCAAGCAGCTTACTCTGTCCCTAGAGAAATGTTCCCCCAAAACTCAGCACTTACATGATTCCAGCGAAAAATTTGGATTGGATGGTGATTGCTAAAACACCTACGTCTAGTGACCACTCCTGACAGTGCATTTGGGGTACTGGGGAGGAAAAGGTGGTAACCACACACATGGAAAATGAGCCTGACTCCTGGAGTCTTATTTCAGCTGCAAGGTAACATATGCTTCAGCAGCACAAAATTATAGCCCAGCTAGTCGGTAATGAATCACACCAGGGTGAGAGAACTTTCACAAAAAACTCATTACTAACATTGTCACTAAACACACCTTGGACAAACGCTGCTCAGATAAATTATCAGAAGCAGACAAGACACTCAAGAAAATATCAGTGACACACTCCAACTCAGACAATCTCTTGAAGCAGTTGGGATTGCAGTTGACACACATTCTGGAGAAAACCAGTTCCTTCCAGCCTTCTCCCTCAGAGACCACCTTGCTCCTTCACACCACAGGTGTATCTTGCTTTATTGGCAGAGATGTGCCTGGTAAGTTGTTGTAAATAATTTGGATTTTGGTTAAAACTGATCATTTACAAGGTATTCGTGGAGAACACAATAATTTGCACATTGCAGCAGAATCTTCTCCTTGGAGGGACTTCTTTGTCATCACCTAACACAGGATGCTAAACTGGAGGTTATAAGTGAGCTCCAAAGCTCCCTCCTTTCAGGGGAAATTATAGGCAAAACTTCTTTTTCTGGAATGAGGGTTCAGAATTTCTGCCTAATTAATACTCAAAAGATTCTACAATCCAAAAAGTTTCAGAATCCAGAAGCAAATTTTTTGGACAAGTTTGGAGTTGGAATGTTGGTGCACACCTGTTCCTGGAAGGGCAGGACTGTTTCTTACATGGACAATGGCTGTCAACTAAGTTTTGGTCAGGAGATTTCTTATTCTTGGCAAGTGGCAAGTTACCAAACCTTTTTGGGTGTATTTGTAAAGACAGCAGAGAAAGAATGCCAGACACAAAGCCAATCTTCCCTCCTGTTTCCAGATGGAATGGCTGACCTACATTCATGACACAGGGCTGCACCACTCGGAGCCTGCGCTTCTGTCAGTATGAACTCATATGTAGCTTTACTGGTTCAGGTGCCTCCGGTCCATGTTATGTCCTGGGTTTCCTGGAAGGGCACGGTCCAGGGTTGAGCTGTGCTGAGGAGTCTGTTTCAGGCTGTGGCTGCACTGTCCACTTGGGCCCATTCTCTGAGGTTGGAGTTGCAAGGCCTGGGCCGTCTTTCTCCCTCCTTTTTGTTTCTTCCATGCAGAGAATAGCATCTTCAGCAATGCTGAAGGTTTCCCCTGTTGTTAGCATCTGTGCTGGGATTTGTCATTAAGTGCTGATGGGCTGCTGGATTTTGACATCACATTGGACCTAAAAGACAATTTCCTGAGCCAATATCGTTGAGGCTGTTAGTATTAGAAAATGTCAGCTGGAGAATGGGGAAAGATTATTTTTGTTTCTCTGCCTTCTGGGCCAAGTGCTTATTCATGAACTTTGCCCAACAAGTCACTATTCCAGGGACCAGGGAGCATGAGGGAGAGAGTCAAGGCTCCAGGACCTTCCAAGGATTACTGGGCTCCAATCCTAGCCTCTCTGAAATGAAAAGCTGAGGCTCATATGTTTTTCTAGATTCTTAGGGGTGAGCTGGGGGTCTAGGACTGGGCTCTAAGACCCAGCTGTGAAGGCTGGTTTAATTCGTGAATGGTAATCAGACAGTGCATCGCTCTGTCATGCACTTTGAATATTTTCATTGCTGTTCCTTCTTCTCCTTTCCAAGACAGGGTGTGAACCCGACATGCTGGCCGTGTCTGCAGAGTGACTTGTAGGTAGGCAATTTGTCCTCTCCACCCTGACTTCCACATGAAGTAAATGCTGCCCAGGAAACCATAACTAATGTTTCAATTATCCAAAAACTCAGAGAGCAAACTTGCCTAAGCCAACCAGGCTCTACTGGTGTCTTTTAAACAACCCCACGACATAAAGCATTTTCCTTGCCAACGCACATGGGACACTGGTTTATTTTTGATGATTTCAGAGATTTAAAAATGTCAAATAGATTCTGGCTGTAAATGTCCCCACAGTGATTTTGTCATTTTGTAGAGAAAAGAAAGCAAGCTTCAACACCACCCCTTTCAGAATCGTCCAAGCTGTGGGCCCCAGCCCCTCCTTTCACAGCCCCTTCCTACCACACCCCCATCCTATTCATATTCTGATCTTCGACACACTTGAAAAGATGTTATTTCAAATGTTCCTACCAAAGAGAAATTTTTTCTCATGTTTTTAGAGTCTGCCATCAAAGGACTTAATCTGCATTGGGGGCCGGTGGCTGCAGATGTGGGGGCTGGAGGCAAGAGAATCATACACAATGCGGTGGAGCTGGAGAGCTTCATGGGGCTTCATGGGGGCAGGCCCCCTGCGCACACCGCAGAAGCCACTAAGTTTTGGTCACAGGAGATTCCTTATTCTTGGCATCTGGCAAGTTACCAAACATTTTGGGGTATATTTGTTGGGAGCCAGTTGGTCCAAGGTAGCACAACACAGAGATGGGTAGGTCCCAGACCTCCTGACTCGTCCTCCAGAGTGCTGTGTGCTTAGCTGGGGACAGCAATAAAACTAGACACAGCAATGCATTCAGGCTCCCTGATTCAGAATTCACAGTCAATTGATCAAGGTTAAGACAAAGGTTACCCTTGCATGCAGTGGGTAAGAGTCGGTTTGCCAAGCAAATTAATCAAATAAGAATGGATAGAGAACTTTTAAAAACAATCTGAGAAGACTAACTCTGGTATTCTCTTGACAAGTATTTGTTGATGGTCTACTGTGTGTCTGTTGATGAGGCAGCAACACACATTCCTGCTCTTAAGGAGTTAAACAGATACATCAACAGGCCAACTCTGAATGAGTGCTTAAATGTTACACGAGGACAAGCATGGGGGCTAAGTGAGTGGGCTGGAAGGGTGCTTATGGCAGACTTGGGTCTTGGACTTTTTCCCAGTGGAAGCCATGTTGAAACTGAGATCTGAAAGATTTAAAGTGAAGAGGTGATTTGGAAAAACCACACTGGCTGCAACACAAGAAATAGATGGGACTGCCAAGATAGAAGGTGGAGAGACCATGGGGAGGCCACCACCGCTCTCCCAGGAAGAGTGGCATGACCGGATTTAGGGAGGTGACGGTGCGTGGAAGAAGCCCCAGCAGCCTCAGAAATGGATGGGATTTTGGAGGAGATGGAGAGAGAGAGCAGAGTATGTGAGGAGGCGCAGGCTTCTGAGTGAGGTGACTACATGGATGGTGGTATATTCACTGACGAGGGGACCCTGCTAGAGAGGGTGGCGCAAGAGGGAAAGACAGGTCACCACTGAGGAGCAGATTTCTTAAAAGAGCCTTCAAGTATAGGGAGGGAACAGAACTTGAATTCAGTTGTAGACATGTCCTAGGTGCTTCTGGACTATAGAGAGGAGAGGTCCAACAGGCAGGCCGATGGGTGCCTGGGTGAGAGCGCAGAGGAGAATGAGGGCTGGAGGTGAGGTCTAGGGGTCCTCCGGTGGCTGGAGACTTGAGTGAGAATTACAGGCTTTCCCAAGCACTTTAGCAGCATCCTTAGCAATCAAGAATTTGGTGCTAATTACAGATAACAGCAGGCCTCATTTGCATATTAACAACTAAATGTACTAATTACAAATTAGCTTTATCTATTCATTAAAATAAGCCCAGGAGGCCTTTTTACTTGGAAAGGCTTTGATAGCATTTACTTAAATTACTGCATGTGCACCTGGAAGTAATAACAGCTGCATTTCTTGTATACCATGGTATAAATCAGGCTGGCAAAAGAGAGGCTTTAGTGGATTTAAAACCAAGAGGATTTGATTTTGCAACCTCAGAAAACCAATGCATGCATGTGGTTAAAAGTAGTTTCCAGGGTAATTAAAAGAAAAGTCTCAAATTATTCTAGCTTTGTTTTAAGTTTTGTATAGCTCCTTCTACCTGAGGAAGCAAGGTTCCCAAACTTTCCCCGAAAGGGCCTTTGAAGGCAAAGGGCTTCCAGGCTGAGAGCAGAGGCTTGCAGTGCTCAAAGGTATAGAAGGAGATTTGGAGCTCGGTTGGAGAGGTTGGGAATGAATCAGTGATAGTTACATGGAAAAATCGAACAAACTGACAATTACAAACTCCCAGAAAAACAAAAAGTGAACAAGAAGAAAACACTGTTCTAGTATGTGAGGGGGTGCAGCTGTGCTGCAAACACTCAACTAACCACTGATGTAGCTGAAAGTGGTGACGAAAATATTTCAAAAATAGAGAGATGGTGTGGTTTTCCACAATAAATCTAAAACCGAAAATATGAAAAAGCATCCTAAGTACACTGTTCACAAACATAAAGGTGAATACCAGAAGATGTTGTCTTTGAGGAAGAATTAGGAGGCAGACAGATGGGGCAAGAACGGCAGTCTTCTATTATACACCTTCTGGTCATGTTTGACTTCTTAAACCAATGTACACGTGCTATCTAACTTAAAAAATACAGCCTCTAAAGACATGTTCGTTTGGTTTCAATTGCTAAGCAAAGTCATGAACAAATAATGCTGCCTTGAGTCTACTAACTCACCAAAGCAGAAATGAACCAGCTGGATGTGTGATCATCCAAGACCACACATCTCCCAAGCACATGTTGCCAGGACAAGGGCAGTGTTGGCTGATCTAAGTTACAGTCCTGCTGTGGCACTTCCCATGGCCTACCTGAGGAAATGCACATCCTTCAGGGCCTCTCAAATATGGGCCCTGCCAACCTGTCCACTTCTTTTTTTTTAAACAGGTTCTCACTCTGCCACCCAAGCTGGAATGCAGTGGTGCAATCATGGCTCACTGCAGACTTTATCTCCTAGGCTCAAGCAATTCTTCCACCTCAGCCCTCCAAAGTGCTGAGACTACAGGCATGAAACACTGTGCTCAACCACCTCTCTACTTCTTAATGTTCCCTCCTCACACTTGCAACATCCCCTACACACACACACACACACACACACACATACACACAGTATTAGTCTGTTCTCACACTGCCATAAAGAACTGCTCAAGACTCAGTAATTTATAAAGGAAAGAGGCTTAATTGACTTACAGTTCCACAGGTCTGGGGAGGCCTCAAGAAACTTCCAATCATGACAGAAGGGGAAGCAAACATGTCCTTCTTCACATGGCAGCAGGAAGGAGACATACACAGTGAAGTGGGGAGGAGCCCCTTATAAAACTAAAACTATCAGATCTCATGAGAACTCACTATCACGAGAACAGTATGGGGGAAACCACCCCCATGATTCAATTATCTCAACCTGCTCCTCCAAGGACACGTTGGGAGTAAGAGAACAACAATTCAAGATGAGATTTGGGTGGGGGCACAGCCAAACCATATCACACACACACCATGGCAGTTGTGGACTGTCCTCCCACTACCCCATGACCTGGCTTACTCCTGGCTTCTGCTCACCCTCTGTGTCCTAGCCCAGACCCTTCCTTCTCCGGAAAGCCTTTCCTAACCCCTTGGGTGGCGTGCCTGTGGGCTCCCAGCAAGCCCAGTGCTTATCTACTGCATTATCTGTTGTCCTTCTCTCTCCCTCACAAAACCCTTAGAAGAGGAACTGTGCCCAATACAGATTGCACAAATGAGTATGATTACTCTGGAAAGTAGCTGAAGATCCTTCTTTTTGTCTTCCCTCCTTCCATCCTTCCAGTCCCCATTCACCAGCAAGTCCCCTGTCCTTACCAACACCACACTCAGCCTCTGCTTCTTCCCTCTCCTACAGAAAAGAGAAAAAATCCAGCTCTAATGATGGAAGGAGGGAGGGTCAGACAAGTCTCAAAAAGGATAGAGAAAGGCCTGGGATATTGGGCATTTTCATGTTTGTTCAAGCCCAGATACCAACCTCCAGTGCAGAGGGGAGCACTGAAAGTCCCGGCCATGCATTCCCAGTGCTGTGTGGTCCCTCATTGAATAATCCCTGTGGGCTCCCTGAGCCAAAGGCACTCAATCCTTCCAGGAAACGCAAGGCTTACATTTCCCTGATCCAGCATCTCCTGACCCACTAGCTCAGATTTAGCTTCCTGTGGGGTAAAGCCCAGAGATGAGCTCTGTCCTGCCTTCTCCCAGACCTCAGCTGGATCCAGCCCTGCTGTGGTTCAGAAAAGCTTTGTTTTTCTCACATCCTGGCCAAAGCAACCAAGCAAGCACACATTGTAGAGTCTCACACCTCTTGGGTAGTAAGAACACCCAACCCGGCCCAGCATCCCAACAGGAATCTAGCAGAGAGAGGAAAGGGAAAACTCAGCATCAGTTAGAGGCTCCGTGAGAAGGAGGCCTGGAGGCAGTATGAGCCCTATGATGGCGGTAATAAACATCATAATGATGGCAAACAGTTGCTTTTTTTTTTCATAGTGGAGTGCAGTGCAATTTCAGCTCACTGCAACCTCCACCTCCCAGGCTTAAGTGATCCTCCCACCTCAGCCTCCTGAGTAGCTGGGACTACAGACGCATGCCACCACACCTGGCTAATTTTTATATTTTCAGTAGAGATGGGGTTTCGCCATGTTGGCCAGGCTGGTTTCGAACTCCTAACCTCAAGTGATCCTCCTGCCTCAGTCTCCCAAAGTGCTGGGATTACAGGCGTGAGCCACCGCACCCAGCCAGCAAACAGTTTTTGAAACCTGACTTTGTGCCAGACATGTGCTATGTGCTTTACACACATCACCACGTCAATCCCATCAGCAATCCTGGGAGGCAGATGCTGTCTTCGCTGGCACTTGGCAGAGGTGGATCCCGAGGCTTGGAGGGGAGAACTCACTTTTCCAGGTCACCCCAAGATGGTTGAGTGAGAGGGAGTCCCCCACCCCAGGTCTTCCTGCCCTCAAGGAGTCTGAACTTTTAACATCACTATTATGCTGTTATGAACCAGGCTGGCAAAGGAGAGGAGATGTGGAGAAGAGAAAAGAGGTGACAGAATTTCTTTTTAAGGGAAGCTCAGCACATTTTGAGAACCAAGTTGTAAGGAAAATCTAGCTCTTGAGTGGGGTGTGGCCCCCAAACCCCATTCCTCTCAAACCCACAACCAGCGGCCCAGATACTTCAGGGGTTCTGAGGTCACTTTTTCTTCCTCAGTACCAAAGTTGAACCAAGTGTAAACAAGTAAACGCTTTAAATAATGCTCCCTGAGGTGAGTCCTTAATCTGCATCTCATCTGGACTTTCTAATGCCTCTGAGGAGCGCGTAGATCTTCTCAGTGTCTACATTTTTGACAAGCAATAAGCTCACTCCATCCAGGCTGATGGCTCCGGGTGCCTTTGGCAGTTAGTAATTTCAGATGTGGTGGGAGGAAGTTCTCAGTGGAAGAATCACACTTTCAATCCAAAATTAAAGCTCAATTTGGTCTAATTGTCCTTGATTTTATCAGTTGCATAAAATGGCTGATTCCATGTGCAAAAATAAATAAATAGTTGTGCAGCTTTGAAATCCCTTCTTATCCCTGGGGACAGAGCCCATCAAGTTCTGTGCTGTCTCTCGTGTTATTTTCGTCCACCAAACAGTGCTGATCTTTCTCTACCCTTTTCTATTTTCTCTCCCTTCTCTGCACTTCCCCCAGCCCTTTCCAAAAAAAGAAAAGCATAGTGTCTCTCTGTGTGTCTATCTCCTCTGTCTGTGGCTTGTATAATTTTAGAATGGAAGTTCCTTAAGAGCAAGAATAGTTCCTTTATGAGATGATGACGCCCAGAAATCTGGAAATGCCTATTTAAATGGTAAATTAGAATAAGGAAAATAATAAAAGTGGCTGTTTATTTCTCTCACAATAAATTCTTTGCAAAACCCAGCAATAGAGACCATACCAAGGGCCTAGAATGAAGAGGCTGAGAGACTGCCCCGGGCCTCTGGTGGGAGTATGCTTTCCAAGAACAACCAAAAATTTGCCCTCAAGCAGGTGAGGAAGGCACCCATCTCTAGTCACCAGAAGACCTGAGTTCTGGCCTGCCTGTGACTTCAGTTGGCTGTGGAATTTGGGGCAAGTCCCTTCACCTCTCTGGTACTCAGGTTCCCAATCAGCAAAGTGAAGAGCTGTGGTACGGTCTGAGGTGCCTTCCAATGGTGGCTGGAGTAACCTCTGGGAAGGAGGAAGGCTGACAGTGACCCAGAGGAGACGGTGGAAGAGGCACAACTTCGGCATTGGCAGGGGGATGGAGAAGCTGCGGTATTTGAGATAAATTTAGGGGGTGAAGTCAACAAACAGGACCTGTTACCCAGTGGGTTTGGGACAAGGAGACAGGAGTCTGTAAGAGACGCTGTATTCTGCCTGGGGGACCCAAGAGGGTGTGTGTGGATGACACGGATCAGGATGGTGATCAGAGAAGGTGTCAAACATCTTCCATCTGTGCTAGTTGTAAAATATATTCACAAATTCCCTAACACTGTTCTCATTAAGTGGTAGAGTCTAATTCTCTTCTTGACAATGGATGGCCTTGATTTAGTGATGAGCTTCTGATGAGTACGGTGCAACAGAAATAACTCTGTGTGGCTTTTTAAAGACTGGCTTGTGAAGACAATACAGCTTCCACGTGGCTCCTTCCCAGGACCTTGCCCTCAGAACCCAGCTGCCATGCTGTAAGGAAGCCATGGCCACAGGCAGATGCCCCAGTTGAGGGGCCAACAGATAGCCAGAGATGCAAGGGAGAAAGCCTGTGGGGGGGCTCCAGCCACAGCCCCTGTCTGACTGCAGCATCTTGAGCAACATTAAGCCAGAGCCACCTAATTGCTCTGGACCATGAGAAACAGCAGCAGTGCCTGGCTGCCACTGTGTCACGCCACTATGTTTGGGTGGTTTCCCAAACGCTTACAGACCAGCGGGACATGTGGAGAGGTGCCATATCCTTCTGGCTCCTGGCCAGAAACACACAGTAAATTCAGAAGAGTTGAGATCAGAAAGTTTGAAGAAGTGAGTATTTACAGGGGCAGGGGCAGGGTTAAGAGAACCAAAGAGGAAAGGTAAAGTACCTGGAAATCAACAGGAGGAGCCATTCCTGCCCCCAGGCCTGAAGGGACAATGGGGAGGGGACAGTGTGACTGGAAGCCTGGCCAAGGGGCCTGGGGAAAATGAGGGCCCACCAGAATCAGCAGAATCCCTCAGACCGTGAGGGAGTAAGATGGAGGGGTCATAACCCCCACCCTTTCTCCTCTCGCCCACCCATCTCCTGCAATGTCTCCCATTGGCTGACCCCAGCTTGACGCCAGAGGGCAAAGGAAGGCTGTAATGCAGTCTGTGGAGGCCAGCCTCCCAGAGCAGTGTGGAGAATAGATTTGGCAACAGCAAATAGAAAACAGCATAAATGAATAGAGTGAAAGGTGGAAAGGTGGAAAATGCAGCCTTTCAGGACAAGCAAAGCAGAGGTGAGAAGGAGCAGGTGAGATTGCATAGGCAGGAGAAGCAGCAGATGGGAAGGGTCTGCAGCCCATAGACCCAGCAAGGGAAGAATTCAAAATGGAAGCAAGGTGCCAGTACTGCCACGTTGACTTGGGAGGTGCTGACATTTGCAGACAGCTGGGCCCCTCCTGGGCTTTGCAAGAACAGAAACCTGGGAAGGAGACCAGGTGGAAAGATGCTGCTGCAGGCGGATCTGTCCCTCACAGTGACTGCTGTGTAAACTGGTCTTCTCGGCCTTCGATGCTCGGCTCCTCAAGGTCCGGGACAGTATGTGCTTCTTGTGTCCTTGCATTGTGCACACAGGGACTCGGGTGCCACCTGAGGACTGCTAGGGCCATGGCCCCGTGGGAAGTGTGAAATGGAGGTCAGAGGCCCCCTAATGGAGCCAACCAGTGGGTGGGTTGGGAAGCGGGGGCAGCCTCTGGTCCCAGCCCTCATTGGCTGGAAGAATCCTGAGAGCATATATCTTGCTCCACATTGGTATCCTGGAGGGAGAACTAGCGGGCTCCCAGCAGGCAGCACTGTGTTCTGGTGTGCGCCTGTCCTGGCCGAGTCCTTGAGTTTCTGGTGCACAGAGCAAGCTGGGGAAGCAGCCATTGGGTGAAGTCCTGTGACAGGGACAGGGGTGACCGTAGGGAGGGTGGCTGCTGAAAAGTTCGATATGGGGGTCATACTTAGGGACCTGGGAGGTCTTTCTCTGTCTGATTCACAGAGTGCTAACGTCTTCTCAGGAAGAGAGAGGATGCCGTGGGCATGCGGGTGCAGATCAGGATCGTGGGGACCATGTCTCCCTCTCCACATGTCAGGGCATTAGGCGGCCCTGGGACTCAGACCCTGCAGGGGCAGGACGGTCCGAGAGGGCTTTCTGCAATGGCAGCAATGTTTTTCTATGCCATTGCATATCGCAGCCACTACTAGCTGTGGCAGCTATGGCAGCAGCTAAAAGTGGCTAGTGCAACTGAAATACTGAATTTTAAGTTCTATGTCATTTAATGACTTCCTATTTAAATGTACAGAGCCACATGTGGCTGAGGCTACTGTGGTACCGGACAGTGCAGGTAGAGGCTGAGCTGCTTAGAAGGGCGGAGAGAAGGACTCTGCTCTGGAGATTGGGGAAGAAAATAACTCACCACTCTTTAAAGAAAATGCCTGGACTGCTAGGAAGCTTAGACAGCACCTGGCCGCAGCGCTTTACTTAACAGAGGAGGATGCAGGGGCTCAGCAGGCTCCCGGGAGGCGCTTGGGAGGATGGAGGGGGCGGGCAGCAGCAGAATCGTAGGGAAGATTTTCCCTTTCCCCACGGTCCAGCAGGCATGGTGTAAAGCGGGAAGGGTTTCGGACCAGAGCAAAGTCAAAGCGTAAAGTTTGGGACTGATGAGAAGAGGAGGGAAGGAAGAGGAAACAGACTTGTGGGATCCCCCGAAAAGAGCCCGGCTAGACTCCGTGGTTTAGTCCTCAGGCGGACGCACGCCCACCTCACATGCTAGCTCGGAGCCGGGGGCATGTGACAGTGATGGAGCGTTCCCTGGAAGGAGTCTGGAGGAGGAGCTGGTCCCCCTCCGCAGAAT
Source organism: Homo sapiens (assembly GCF_000001405.40). NCBI lineage: Eukaryota > Metazoa > Chordata > Mammalia > Primates > Hominidae > Homo > Homo sapiens. The sequence continues at coordinate 88,586,985 of NC_000006.12, read as the reverse complement.
CCTTAGTGCGCTAGGAGGGTAGGGAGTGCTGCCTAGAGCCCTGCGGTCCAGCCCTTTCCCTGAGTGGCTCCCTGGGAGCTCTTGCTGCTGGTGCCTCCAGAACCACAGACCTCAAGCTTAGGGCCTGGAAGCAGGTCCCAGACGCCAGCGAGACTGGTGCTTTTGAACAGGCAGCTGGGAAGGGCGGGGGCTCCTCTGCCTGGCACACTGTTTGACACTGGTGTTCCCGTTCCTGCTGGGATCAGGAGAGATACTACTGTGCCAGCACACACAGATTTTTTTTTTCCTGTCCTGATGAATCACTTTTTAAATAAGAACAGGACCTTGGCAGCTGGGTGATCTTGGCCTTGAAACTGAATAGCTCCAGGTCTTGGTGCTTGGCGAGGGCCTCTTCTATTCCTGTGGACCTTTCTCGGGAGAGACCGTGTACTTGCATCAGCCAAGGCAGAGACACAGATGTCAGTGTGGGCGAGAGTGCTCCAAGTCCTGCTCGTTACTTCTGCATTTGTCAGTCAGGGCCAGAGCCAGGAAGGAGCTGGGCTCTCCTACGGGACACCAAGGACAGCAAGGCTGACGGGTTCCCCACTGCCACTCAGTCCACTTAGTAGACAAGGCTTCAGGAGGCCTTGGAGCAGCCTACTTCTGCTTCCTTGTGCCTCTTCCATGTAGTCACCCACCCACCCACCAATTCAATAACTCTTTTTAGGAACCTTTTGTGGGCACGTGATTGAGAGGAAGAAACCCTGCTTCTGCATAAGTGATGGCATTGCTATGCGGTAGGTGTGTGGATGACAAGAAGCGCGGTGCTATAGAGTGGCGTCGAGGAGGAGACTACTGATTGCTGTGAGCCAGCATCCTGAGAAGGGATCTAGGGTCGGGGCGGCTTCCCTTTGAGGTGGGCTGGTCATTACTGCGGGAAAACCTCGGTTGCACTTTTACTTTAAGAGGGAATCTGATTTCACCGGGGTGGGGTGGGTGCCACTGGGAACATGGACAGCAAGAACCACAGTGATTTCTACCGAACTTGGGGTTGATTTTGAATAAAAATTCTCCAGGGTCCTGAGTTAATGCCTTCACCTTCAGGGATGTGAGCACCAAACACCACACAGGTGCATGTAGCACTTCTGCACGCACCTGCACTTCTTTCACTGATGAGGGTGCTGTCCTTTAAACCCGCGCCTAGTCCAACCATTTTCCTCAGGGGATCAGGCCATGAGAATGAAGAGAGGATGGGAAGAGGCATCAGGAATGCATGTGAGGAGCATGAACACCTCCTCAGTGACTGAAAGAGAAAAGTGCCTACGTTTCTTTGCACAGATTTTGCATTCCATTTGGATTTGGCTCTGCCCTTCTACCCTAAGCAAGTTTTGCTGTCAGTGGCCAGGGCAGGAAGCCCTCTTCGGGAGGAGGCAGAAAGGTGACACAGTCCCCCTGGACCATACAAACGTAGAGCCCAATGAACAAGTGAAGCTGGTGGGCGTTCTCTGCCTGTTGCTCACCCAGATCTAGCTCTATCTCTCACTGGGAGCTGAGGCTGGCTTTCACACTCCTGAAAAAGCTCGTCGGTTTTCTCATGTTCTGTTCCCTGAGCAGCCAGGCAATGTGTCATCTTAAATAACGACACTGTACAAATGGCAGTTCAGTCTCAAAGGAAATGCCTCGCCTAAGAAATAATCTCACCATGCCAATTGTGGGATGATCGTTTTCCCACCAAAAACACTAGGAAAATGTTGGCTTTTAAGACATATAAACAGCAGAAATGCGAATTCACTGGCTAACGCCATTAGAGAGGAGAGAAAGCAGCTTTCCTCGGGATGGCAAGCTGAGGACGCTCAGCTTCTGCCTCACATTTTCCCATGCAGAGTTTCCCACAGCTGCTTAGGAACAGCTACTTATGCTTTTCAGAGGCGGTGGCATCGTCAGCACTGTTTTGTAGGTGATGCTCCTGAGGCTCCCAAAGGTTGGGCGTCTTCACCATGCTACCCCACAGGGTTGCTTTTGGGGCGATCAGGCTCCCTGGTGACAGACTGCAGTTGTTCGTACCATTTTCACCCTCTCTTACAAATCTGCAGTGACAAAGGGACTGGCTTCCTCCTCTTATATTTTCTGCTTTTGCTTGTTTGGTTTTGCTTACTGCCTGTAGCAAGTTGCTGGAGCCAATTTGTATTCAAATTCAAAGCCAAGCTGACCTTGCTCAGCAGGAGTTGGCAAGTGTGTTCAATTTGTGACGCTGCTGCTCATGTCCTCTCTCTGGAGAAGGTCTGGTTGTGGCAAATGTGAACTAGAGCCACTGCTCCCTAACCAAAGAAAAATGCCTCAAGTTGCCTCTCAGCCCCTTCCCAGTATCACTGTTTGTTAAGCAGGAAGTTGCAAATGCCTCATTTATTGTTGCCTCCCTCATGTACCCTCCTCTTAACACATTGAAGGCTCTGTGGATTGGTTATTGTTTGTCTAGCTAATTGCATCACCCCCAAAATCTCAACAAATACTAGGCTGCACCCTAATGTTGTCTCACAATGAGAATTAACTTTTTTCTTATGTGATGTAAATAAATAAGAACAAAAACAGAACCTAGTGATCCTCTTCTGTGTTTGGTAGAGAAGTAAGAACAGATGCAATCATATTACCAAGATGTAATCCACAGACACCAGATATATCCCGTGTGACAGGGAGGCTACTCTAGTCCAGAGTCCATGGATCAAGGCTTACTTCAGGGAGCTTCTGTTTCCAAAGTTAAATTTACCTTGATGCCTGGGCACAGCACTTTATATTGAAACTATTAACATGGGGCTTCTGATTCCAGACAAAATGGAGTAAGTGCATTCTACCTATTCCTCCTGCTAATTGGACCTGAAAATCCTGGGCAAAATACATAGAGCACTAACTACTAGAGAACTCTGAAAGTTGGAGAAAAGAAGATGGATAGGTAGAGACTTTGTAATTTGAGAATAACCCAAGATGTGTTTCGTGCTGGGATGGGAAGGAGGGTGTTTTTCTCCCATATATCCTATTCTGGGCACTACAGAGCCCCCAAATCTGGAAATGCCAACTGGCTCAGACAATTGAAAAAAGAGCCCCAAGGAAAGCCTACCTTCTCTAGCTTAAGGACCAGGAAAAGCATGGTCCTATATAACAGAATCTTCTGACTATGCCTACCCTCTGCTAGGCAAAGATAAGAAAAAAATCTGCAACCCTCCACCTCCCCATTGGGTGCTGTGACTGTGGAGGCTGTGATCAGAGCCCCATGGGCCATCCTTCTCTGCATTAAGGAGGCAGCACATCATCCCCTCTCCACCTGTCATGGGGAGACTGTGAGGTGAGACCCTGCCCCCTATCCCCAATTGCACTAAGTGAATGTCAGCAAAGAGGAAACATCCCAGCCCTTCCCTAAAGTGGGCATTACAGAGAAGAGGAAGCCAAACAAAAGGGATTGGTAGGGGGGAAGATTACAGAAAAGATTCTGTAAACTTCTCTGAAGAAAGAGATTTTTAAAATCTATGAATAAAGTTGTGGGAAGATCCTCAAGTGGCCTGTGAGTGAAATTGGTTAGAATTAATGCAGCAATAGATTTGAGAACCAAATTAATACCTTGCAGGTTTCAGATTGACTTATGGGTAGTGTACAAGTGGGGCAGAGGAGAATAGCACTATAAAGTCTTCGAAAACAAAATTGACATTTAAACGACAAGCCCACAGAAGTAGGTCATGATGTGTGTTCTGAACCTAAACAGGTTGACTGATTAGTAAAAGATATTAAATAGGTATCTATTACGTCTCATGATGTAATACATAAAGTGTTTGAGAGATAATCCAAAATTATTCTTCACACTAAGAACCAGAAAAATGCCAACTCAAATAAGAAAATAAAATCAACAAATACAAACATTGAGATAACACAGATGTTAGGATGATCTTATAAGGATTTTTAAGTAGCCATCATAAAAGTTCTCCAACAAGCAATTATAAATACTCTTGAAACAAATAGAAAATTGCAAACTCTCAGCAAAAAATGGAAGCTATAAAGGAGAACTAAATGGAAATTTTAGACCGAAAAATATAATAACCAAAGTATTTTAATTTTTTTTTCTAGAGGCAGAGTCTTGCTCTTTCATCCAGGCTGAATTGCAGGGGTACAATCATAGCTCACTACAGCCTCAAACTCCTGGCTCAAGCAATCCTCCTGCCTCAACCTCCTGAGTAGCTAGGACTACAGATATGTGCCACCACACCCAGCTAATTAAAAAACAATTTTGTAGATATGGAGTCTTGCTTTGTTGCCCAGACTGGTCTTGAACTCCTGGGCTCAAGGGATCCTCTTGCCTTGATCTCCCAAAGTGCTGGGATTACAGGCATGAGCCACCCCTCCTGGCCCAATAACCAGAATTTTAAAACTCACAGGATGAGTTCAATAGCAGAATAGAAGTGACAGAGGAAAATGTTACTAAACTCAAAGATAACTCAATAGAACAATTCCTATTGAGTTATCTTTGAATAAGTCTAGATAATTATTTTATTGACTTATCTTTGAATAAGTCTAGATAATTATTCTGAATAGAATAATTTCTAGATAATAGAATATAAATACAATAGAATAAACAGAAATAAATTAGGTTAGCTCCTAATCTATTTAGAAAGAAAATAGATTTAAAAAAAAAATGATTCTCAAGGACCAGTGGGACAGTGACAGAAGATTTAGCATTCATATCATCAGAGTTCTAGAAAGAGATGAGAATAAATAAAAGTGAGCAAATATTTTATGAAATAATGACACGAAACTTCCCAGATTTTGTGAGAGACATAGACTTACAGATTCAAGAAGTGAAGCAAATCCAAGACAGGGTAAATTTAAAGAAATCCATAGACAGACAAATTTCTGAAAATTAAACACAAAGAAAGTATGTTAAAAGCAGTCATAGATAACGATATTAATGACAGTGAATTTCTCATCAGAAACCATGGAGGCCAGAAGGAAGAGTCAGAATGTTTTTCAAGTGCTGAAAGAAAATAACCATCAACCCAGAATTCTATATCTAGCAAACTTCTTCAGGAGCAAAAGTGAAATCAAAACATTCCCAAGTGAAGAGACACAGAGAATTGGTTGTCAGCAAACCTGCTTGAAAAGAATTGCTATAAGAAGTTCTTCAAACAGAAAGGAAATGATAACAGATGGAAACTTGTGGAACATCAGTTATGAAGAAAAAGCAATGAAAAGAGCAAATATCTAGATAAATATATATACTATCCTTCTTTTGAGTTTTAAATAACTTTTATGATTGGAAGCAGAAAATTACAACAGTCTGATGTGGTTCTCAACAAATGTAATAATATTTGAGACACTTCAATCATCAAGGGGAGTGGTAAAAAGCCTGCATGGAGGTAAGGTTTTAATATTCATTGCACTTGAAGTAGTAAGTTGTTATTATTGGTAGGATGTAATGTGTTATATGTGTATATATGTTGTAATCACTATAGCAAACACTTGAAAACTATGTAAAAAGATACACTCAAAAACATTATAGATAAATTAAAACAGAATACTAAAAATTGTTCTGGTAACCCAAAGGAAAGCAGGCAAAGGGAAACAAAGGAGGAAAAAAAGTGGGGAGGGAGAAACAAACTGAAAACAAATAATAAAGTAGCAGACTTAAATCCTAAAATAACAACAGTTACATTAAATGTAATGTCTAAGCACAGCAATTAAAAGACAGAAATTTGCAGAATGGATTAAAAACTGAACAAATGGCCGGGCATTGTGGCTCAGGCTTGTAATTCTAGCACTTTGGGAAGCAAAGGCAGGTGGATCACCTGAGGTCAGGAGTTTGAGACCAGCCTGGCCAACACGGCAAAAACCCATCTCTACTAAAAATACAAAAGTTAGGTGGACATGGGGGCGGGCGCCTATAATCCCAGCTACTCAGGAGGCTGAGGCAGGAGAACCGCTTGAACCCAGGGGCGGAGGTTGTAAGCTAAGGTCGCACTACTTCACTCCTGCCTGGGTGAAAGAGCGAAAGTTTTTCTCAAAAAAGACAAAAAACTGAACCAATTGTATGTGTTCTACAAGAAACTCACTTCAGATATTGTGATATAAGTGTTGAAATGTAAAAGTATGAAAAATATATACTCTGTAAAGCTGATTAAAAGACAGATGGAGTGTGTTCATATCAGACAATGTAGACTTGTGCAAAGGAAATTGCCAGGGAAAAAGAAGAACTGTACACAATGATAAGAGGGTGAATTCACCAAGAAGATGTAAAAATGTGATGCATCAAATAAGAGTTTCAAATATCTGAGATAAAAGCTGACATGATTGAAAGAAAATACACATATGGTCAGAGACTTCAACACTGCTCTTTCAGTAACTGAGAGACTACTAGACAGGATATCAAAAAGGATATGGAAGAACTTAACAACACCATGAACCAACATGATCTAATTAGCATCATAGTGCACTTCAGCCAACAATGGCAGAATACACAATTCTTGTCAAGTGCACATGGAATATTCACCAAGAAAGACCATATTTTGGATCATAAAACAAACTTTAACATTTAAGTGAATTAAAGTAGTATACAATATGCCATCTGACTATTAAGTCAATAACAAAAAATAGAAAAATCTCCAAACACATAAAATAACACACTTTTAAATAATCCAGGCATCAAAGGGTAAGCCTCAAGAGAAAATTAAAATATACTGAACTTAATGAAATGAAAATAAATACAACATATCAAAAGTATATAGGGTACAGCTAAAGCAGTGCTTAGAAGGAATTTTGTAGCACTAAATGCTTATATTGGAATAAGAAGAAAGAATTCAAGTCAATAATCTGAGCTTCTATTTCAAGATATTAGAAAAAGAAGAGGGGAAAAACCCAAAGTAAGCAGAAGATAAGAAGTAAAGCAGAAATCGATAAAATCGAAAACAAAATAATAGAGAACATTAATAAAACTAAAAGTTAGTTCTTTGAAAAGATCAATAAAATTGATTAACTTTTAACAAGACTGACAAAGAAAAATGATAGAAGACACAAATTACCAATGTCATGAACGAAAGAGAGGGCCAGGTGCGGTGCCTCATGTCTGTAATCCCAGCACCTTGGGAGGCTGATGTGGGTGGATCACTAGAGGTCAGGAGTTTGAAACTAGCCTGGCCAATGTGGTGAAACCCCATCTCTACCAAAAAAAAAAAAAAATTAGCTGGGTGTGGTTGAGCACACCTGTCATCCTAGCTACTCGGGAGGCTGTGGTGGGAGAATCACTTGAACCTGGGAGGTGGAGGTTGTACTAAGCTGAGATCTTGGCACTGCACTCCAGCCTGGGTGATAGAGCAAGACTCCATCTCAAAAAAAAAAAAAAAAAAGGATGTTACTACAGATTGCCTAGATACGTAAAGAATAAGGGAAAATTACAAACAACTCTATACACATAAATTTGACAACTTTGATCAAATAACCAATTTCTCAAAAACCACAAACTACTAAAACTCACCCGATATAAAACAGGTAATCTAAATAGTCCGATAACTACTAAGGAAATAGAATTCCTCATTTAAAAGTTTCTGGAAAAGAAATCTCCAGGCGTACTAGCAATTTCTTCCCATTTTAGGAAGAAATAACACCACTTTTTACATAATCTTTTGCAGAAGTAGAAGAAAAGGGAGTACTTCATAATTCACTTTAGGAGGCCAGTATTACCCTGATACCAAACCCAGATGAGGACAGAAAGAGAGAGAGAGAGACTATTGACTAGTGTTCTACATGACTATAGACACAAAATTCTGAATAAAATGCTAACAAATTGAATGTGGAAATATATGAAAGTAGTGATATACTATAAACAAGAAAAATGATGTTTTCCCTATTTGTAGACAACGTAATTGTGTATGTAGAAAATCCCATAATCTACACAAGAGCTCCTAGAACTAAAATGTGAGTTTACTAAGGTGCAGGATTCAAGGTCAATGCACAAAAATCAATTATATTTATTTAAATATGCTAGCAACAAACATCTGGAAACCAAAATTAAAAACAAAATGCCATTTATAACAGCTGCAGAAATTGAAATACTTAGGATACAGAATCTGTATGCTGAAAATTACAAAAGGCTAATGAAAGAAATCAAGGAACTCAATAAATGGAGAACATAAAACATTCAGGAATTGAAAGACAACGCAATAAAGACATCAGTTCTCTCAAAAATTGATCTATAGTTTTAATGCAGTTCCTATGAAAATCCCAGCAGGATTTTTGTAGATATATACAAGTTGACTCTAAAATGTGTATGTAAAAGCAGTAGAGAATAGCTGAAACCTTTTGAAGAAGAAAAATAAAGTTGGAGTAATCACATTATCTGTTTTTAAGACTAACTATATGGCCGCAGTAACGATGTGGATGGTCACACAGATCAATGGAACAGAACAGAGTCTAGAAATAGACCCATAAAAGTATAACCAACTGATTTTTGATAAAGGTACAAAAGCACTTCAAAGGGAAAGATGGTCTTTTCAACATGGCTATTGAACAAATTGGTGGGCATTCATAGGCAGAGGAAAAAAGGAACCTTAACCTATACTTCACACTTTATATAAAAATTAACTCAAAATTGATCATAGATCTAAATGTGAAATGTAAAACTAAAATTTATTCGCAATAAATATAGGAGAAAATCTTCGCAACTTCAGGTTAGGTAAAGATTTCTTTAGATAAGATGCCGAAAGCACAATCCATAAAAGAAAATTGTCAAATTGGGCTTCATCAAAATTCAAAACTTTTTCTAGGTAAAAGAGACTGTTAATAGAATAAAAAGACAAGCCACAGACTAGGAGAAAATATTTGCAAATTATATATCTGACAAATAATTTGCAGCAAGAATAAAAAGAGAATTCTTTAATCTTGACAGGAAAACAATGCAATCAATAAATGGGCAAAATATTTCAATGACAATTCATCAAATAGAATGAGTGGGTGACAAATAAGCATGTAAAAGGTGTTCAACATCACTGGCCATTAGAAAAATACAAATTAAAACCATGATGAGATACTACCGTACACCTATTATGAGGATTAAAATAAAAAAGATTGACCATACCTACTGCTGGCAAGAATGTGAAGCAGCTGGAACTCTCACATTTTGCTGTTGGGTTACAAAATGGCATGGCCACTCTGGAAAACAGTTTGGCAATTTCTTGAAAAGTTATACATACACTTACCACATGACCCAGCAATCGCACTCCTGGTTATTTATCCTAGATAAAGGAAAGCTTATATTCATAAAAACACCCATACACAAATGTTTATAGCAGTACATGAACATTTATAGTGCCTGTGTTTATAACATAAAAACTGGAGACAACCCAGGTGCCACTCAGTGCTAAATGGTTAAACAAACTGTGGCACATCCACACCCCAGAATCCTGCTTAGCAGTCACATAGAACAAGCTGTTGATACAAGAAGCAATATGGATCTTAAGGGCATTTTGGATCTCGGATGGACCTTAAGGGCATTTTGCTGAGTGAAAAAAAAAAAAAACAACTAAAAGGGTTACATACCATGTGACTTAATTTACATAACATTTAAAACATGACAAAATTATAGTAATATAGAGCAGATCTGTGTCTGGCGAGAGGACTGTAAAAGGTGGCACAGGGGATTTCACACTGGTGATGGCATTCTTCTCTATCCTGATTATAATGGTGTTTGCATAAGTAGGTCTGTGTGCTAAATTAGTGAGATCTAAATAAGATCTGTAGTTTGGGTATTGGTATTATACCAGTATCATTTTCCTGGTCTTGATAATGTGCTATAGTTATTTATGTAAGATGTTATAATTCATGGAGTTTGGGTGAAGAGTACATGGGAACTCTCTACTATTTTTACAACTTCTTGGAAGTCCAATGTAATTTCAAAATAAAAAGTGAAAAACAAAGCAAAACAAAAAACTGAACAGGAGCAATTTCTGATGGTTACTCTGCATATAGACCTGCAGTATCCCTGCCTCTCTTACTTTGAACCATCACATGTACCCATTTCCTCTAAGAACACCTTGAGAGCAGTGCAAGCAAACCCTGTTGTGCCCAAAACACCTGTGTGAGAGAAGCTGAGCCTCTCTTTTCCAGGTGCTGAAGAATCTTTAACCCTTCTTCATTCACCTGCTCCTCTCATTTACTTCACTGAAAGCCAGTGTTATGGAACTTTGTGGCTAATTTTGACCTATCAGCCCATGTTTACTAAGCATAGACAATATGTGTGGAAAAAAATGTAATTTGTTTATTATTTTGGTATCCATACCTGTATAAGTGTCCATAGATGTCAGGGCTATCCTTAGGAGGGTTGAAGGTCCAGGACAAACTCCTAGGGTCAGAATCGAGGGCAAATCTGTACCCCCTTCATTACCCTAAAAACTCTCCCCTCAGGGCTCCCACAGATGCTATTACACTGTGGTGTATTTGCTTGCTTTTTTCTATGTGTCCCTTCTCACTGGGATAAAGATCCTGTCTTCTAGGAAATTTTCATCAAATTCTGGAGCTGCCATTTGCTGGGTAAGCCTCAGTTTCCTCATCTTTGAGTGGTGATAAAGTAATCCCAGCACTTTGGGGGGCGAAGGTGTGTGGATTACTTGAGGTCAGGAGTTCAAGACCAGCCTGGTCAACATGGTGAAACCCAGTCTCTACTAAAAATACAAAAATTAGCTGGGTGTGGTGGTGTGCACTTGTAATCTCAGCTACTCAGGAGGCTGAGGCAGAAGAATTGCTTGAACCCGGGAGACGGAGGTTGTAGTGAGCCAAGATTGCGTCAGTGCACTCCAGCCTGGGCGATAGAGTGAGTGAAACTCCATCTCAAAAAAAAAAAAAAAAGGTGATAAAGACCAGGCGCAGTAGATCACACCTGTAATCCCAGCACTTTGGGAAGCTGAGGCAGGCAGATTGCTTGAGCTCAGAAGTTCAAGACTAGCCTGAGCAACATAGGGAAACCCCATCTCTCCAAAAGATTTAAAAATTAGGCGTATGTGCTGTCACACACCTGTGGTCTCAGCTACTTGAGAGGCTAAGATGGGAGGATTACTTGAGCCCAGGAGGTCGGATTGCTTGACCCTGGGAGGTCAAGGCTGCAGTGAGCCATGATCACGCCACTGCACTCCAGCCTGGGCAACAGAATGAGACCTTGTCTTTAAAAAAAGCAAAAGCATGGAAGTGCCTTTGGTCATCATGGTTGTTGCCCCTCCCTTCCCTCTACCTCCTGCCTGAAATCTGGATGTGATAGCTGGTGTTTCGTCAGTCTTTGCTCATGGGGCGACCTTCAGGCTGAAAGCCAGCAGCTAAAGATATAGAGCCAAAAGATCGAAGGCCCCTCATCCTGGATGCCTGTTGCCGTGCCAGCCCAGGACACCCACTGGGAAACTTTCATGTGAGAGGAAAATAAACTTCTATTTCCTCTTCATTTTACCTAGCAGTTGAACACAATTCCCAAAAGATACACTCCTGAGTTAGTTATTGCCCTAGGCTGTCAGCCTTGAAACCTACTTCAAAAGGGCATGAGGTGGCTCTGGCAGGTCTTGTTCCTAATGAACATATGCTGATTTCAAGGCAAACTTTGAAGAAGAACAAAGTTGGAATGCGTGCCTGAGAGGAATGTGTAGATAAGAAGGGACAGACTTGGCCTTGGGATGGATAAAGGGGTGATACTTGACTGAATGCATATGAACTTTAAGCCATACTCTTGGCATCAGCTGGTAGAGGGGTCGCCTTCTTCCACGGCTGCTCTCTGAGCCATTCTCCCTGCCCAATGGGGCCTGGGAACTGAGCTTCCTGTTACACCCCTGAGACCCTGCCCACACAGAAGCCACCCCTAGCCCTAGTGAAATAGAACCTAGGAGGAGGGCAACTGGGCTAGCCTATCCCCCTTGAAGGGTGTATCTGTGGTGACTCGTGGCTCAACTCCTGTATCTCCTTTTTCCAGACATGCACGTGCGATAGGAATAGGTTAAGCAATGGTCAGCTTCTCATCTGATGTCAGTCCAGGGCCCTGATTTTAAAAAGAAATGGGATGTGTAGGGAGGGGAGAATAAAGTCCATTCAGGCCTGGGTATTTGCCTTGGGAAACGCAAGGCTGTGCACAGCTCACAGTTCACAGCGGGAGGTGGAGAGCTTTCTTGAAGCTCTTGGCTTGTCTATGGGTTGCAATCTGTGTCTAGCTCTTTGTGTGAGGAAACAATGAGAAAGAAGCAGCTCTTGTTTTCCTGGGTGGCATCATGGCTCTGACTGTGACATTTCCATAGGACACGTTCTTCTCCCTGCCAGGCTCATTTGAGCTCTTGAGCATGGGTCCTGCCCTCTGCAGTCATGGGGATGGCCACTCTGGAGGTGTTGGTGGCCATTACGAGTTTTATGACTTCCAAATGGAATGAAGTTCTTTGGTTTTGTTTTATTTCTGTGAGGGTAGGAATGACATTTAATATCATTCCTTTCTTCCTCTACCTTCCTCCCGGCACTTTGGCTTGATTTTACAGCTCCCTCCTGTGGGGGCCATCACCCCCCAACAGGCGGCTATGGGACTCAGCTCCAGCCCATGCCAAACTGGCCTAGGCCTTGCTGTTGTGGATGCTACTGGAAGGCACAATGAGGCTCTTCTACCGGCTCCAGATACGAATTTAAATTAAGCCTCATTTAGCCAGGCGCTCCTTTTTGATTTATCGGCAGATGCCTCTTGCTGTTTGAGTCTTGTTAAATTGCTCACAAACACTTCACTGACCAGCTGTTCCTATTAAGCCGAAAGAGTGCTGCGGAGCAGGGGTCAATCCCCTTGCACTTTGGATGGTTCTTATGTGTCATCCCTGCGGAGTGACCACGGGGAGGGCATTGTCCCCTGCTCCCTGGGAGATGGCTGGTTAATAGGAATAAGGGATTCTTGTGCCTGTGGGTGGGAATGGGCGGGGTGCAGGCTGCCCTGTTCAGACCTGGCTCTGTTCTGCATGTGGGGTTCCTGCCACGTTAGGCTCTGGATGAAGGCAAAGGCCTGATGCCCAGTCTTTGGGCTATCAGGTAAGTACCTGCCCCATGGATTAACAAGCGTAGCACCTGTATAATGTTCTCCCCACTTGCCAACCAAGGATGTGGTTTCACTGAGCCAGAGCTGGCCTCCCAAGCCCAGGCACAGGCGCACATCACTGCAGGTAAACTGTGTGCTCTGGAGAAGGAGGGAAACTCATGTTCATTGGTTGTCTCCCAGTTGCCCCAGCAATATGTATTGAGTGCCCCCTGTGTGGAAGCTCAGGGCTGTCCAGTCATTCATGCTGCATCTCTGAGTGAATAAGAAAGAATCCCCATCCTCAGCGTAGGCACAGGCCTGCACTAGACCTGAAGGCTATGCTAGCAACCTCCACATGCAGCTTCTGCCTATGTGGGCAGCTTTGTGCAGTGTGGGAGCTGCACAACTGCATTGGGCCTCCTATCAGTCACTGCTGAGAGTGAGGGAGCATGACTGGCTGCCTAGCCTTTTTCTCCATAATTTGCCTTCCACACTCCCCAGTGTGCCCTTGTGCCCTCCTGTCTCATGCACTGATTCCCTTCTATTTCCCCAAACTGGAGCTCCACCAGGTCACAAGTGGTCTTTTCCCCAGGGACTGAGTACAGAGTATGAGGCCATCTACAGCAGAGTTCAGGGTGTGGCTCCTGGACCAGGGCTATTGGGGGCTCGTGTGCCAGACCCAGGGTCCAGGGAAAGCCTTGCTTCTAAGTGGTCAGTGACAAGGACAGTGGTGGTATTGACAAGTGGACTTGGGTAGAGGGAGTCCAGGAAGTCATGGCCTCCACTTCTGACCCTTCTGAGAACCTAAGAACTCTTCTGAGAATCATCCTCACCTGTGGCTCTTGCTCTAGTATCAGAGGAATCTTTGGATTTAGAAGTTCCAGCAAAATGTCTCAAAGGCAAATCCTGAGAATGGATCCACCCCACCCCAAGTTCAGCCTAGGACCACTCTCCCTGCAGCTGTGGACCTATGATCTGGAGCCAGTCGGCTGTGAATGGCTTGGGGGTTTTCATATGCCCTGGGTGACAGGCCACATCCTGGGCCAAGTCTGTCTCAGAGAGAAACTCCACAAAGATTCTTCAAGACTGAATATTAGTGTCTGAGAGTATCCACTTCAATCCCCTCCTCTTCTTGTCTGCTCAAACACAAGGATGAACGACATAAAATAAATCCCAGGCCAGAGGAGGGGCTCCTGGAGGTAACTCGTCCAAGGACACCCTGTATTCTCTGAACTCAGGCCCTCAAGGTGAGTGTTGTGCTGTGAAAATCCCAGGCTCTTGAACTAATAATTCTCAGGATTCAGCCTGTGGCCAAACCTCCTCTCCTGCACCCCTGTCACATTCATGCTGCTTTCCTGAGATGCCACAAGGGAGGTCCAGGGGCAGGTTCAAGGTGGGCTCATATTCTCAGGTGCTCACAGAGCCATCTCTGAGAATGCTTAGCATCTTCCTGACCTTTTTGGTGCCAGCAATGGACAGCATGATATTTTCAAAAAAACCCCCAAGATTCTCCCACACTAGTATCCCCTCATTCTCCTAATGAAAACCTTGTTTTTAACCTTGGTAAGAGTTTCATTGTTGTTTTAGTTTTGTTTTCTACTTTGTGACCAATGCCTTTCCCAGTGATGCCCAGTGGCTTTCGTATGCTTTTCTTTAGAGGGGCCGGGGGCAGCTCTGTGTCCTCTGGCACAGCCCACATTCACCCAGGACCTTTGCTGGAGCAATGCTACCAGTTCAACTCAATCCTCCTATTAAGTCCAGTTTGGGTGATTTTCTCCAAGTGCAGTTCCTTGCATTTTCCCCTTGTTAAAACCCATTTGCCATTTTGCTGTCCACTCAGCAGCCTTGAAATAATTCTTGGTTCGTTGTTCCCTTTAGCTTAGCATTTCCTTGCAGAGTTGAAATTTCTTCCTCTTTCAGCATTGTTTTAAGTAGTTAAGTGTGTTCTGGTCTGAGTCAGCCTTCATCTCTGGATCCTTTAGGCTCAATTTTCTATACTTTTCTTTGTTCTCCACTGGCCTCTCAAAAAATGATGTTTGTCCATTAAGCACAAGGGAGGGAGAGAGAAGAGTTCAGCCTCCTGCCTTCCATCATCTTCACATACATCAGTTCCAGTTTGGACCCCACTTTAAGGAGGCAGCAAAAAGGTCTTGGGCTGAAGAGTCAGACCTGCATTGAATCTCAGCCCCATTCTAGCTGTGTTATCTTGGGCAGCTTATTTAACTTCTCTGAGCCTCAATTTCCCAGCCATGAAATGAGGATACTAATCCCTGCTTCAGAGAGCACCCAAACAGAATACAAAGGATGGAGTCATTTGATGGCCAGGGATGACAGTGTGATATGGTTTGGCTCTGTGTCCCCACCCAAATCTCATGTCGAATTGTAATTCCCAATGTTGGAAGTGGGGCCTGGTGGGAGGTGACTGAATCATGGGGGCAGATTTCCCCCTTGCTTTTCTCATGATAGAGTTCTCATAAGATTTAGTTATTTGAAAGTGTGTAGCGCCTCCTGCTTTGTTCTCTCTCTCTCTCCTGCCACCATGTAAAAACTTGCTTCCTTCCCCTTCACCTTTTTCCATGATTGTTAGTTTCCTGAGGCCTTCCCAGCCATGCCTCTGTACAGCCTGTAGAACTGTGAGTCAATTAAACCTCTTTTCTTCATAAGTTGCCCAGTCTCAGGTAGTTCTTTATCGCAGTGTGAGAATGGGCTAATACAGAAAATTCATAACAGATAAGTAGGGCATTGCTATAAAGAAAACTGAAAATGTGGAAGTGACTTTGGAACTAGGTAACAGGCAGAGGTTGAAACAGTTTGCAGGGCTCAGAAGAAGACAAGAAAATGAAGGAAAGTTTGGAACTTCCTAGAGACTTGTTAAATTATGACCACAATGCTTATAGTGAGATGAACAGTGAAGTCCAGGCTGAGGAGATCTCAGATGGAGAGGAAGAACTTATTGAGAACTGGAGTAAAAGTCACTCTTGCTATGCTTTAGCAAAGAGACTGGCAGCATTGTGCCCCTGCTCTATGGATCTGTGGAACTTTGAACTTGAGAGAGATGATTTAGGGTATCTGGTAGAAGAAATTTCTAAGCAGCAAAGCATTCAAGATGTGGCCAGGCAGGCTGCATGCAGTGGCACATGCTTGTAATCCGAGCATTTTGGGAGACTTAGGTGGGTGGACTGCTTGAGTCCAGCTGTTTGAGACATGCGGAAACCCTGTCTCTAAACCTTTTTAAAATTAATAATGATAATAAAAAAGATGTGGCCTGGTTGTTTCTAACAGTATATGCTCATATGCATGAACAAAGAGATTATATGAAACTGGAACTTATATTTAATAGGGAAGTAGAGCATAAAACTTTGGAAAATTTGTAGCCTGACCATGTGGTAGAAGAAAAAAAAACATTTTCTGAGGAGGGATTCAAACACGCTGCAGAAATTTGTATAAAAGGAGCCAATTGTTAATAGCCAAGACAACAGGGGAAATGTCTCCAAGATATTTTAGAGACCTTCACAGAAGCCCCTCCCACTCACAGGCTTGGAGGCCTAGAAGGGAAAATTGGTTTTGTGGGCCAGGCCCAGGGCCCCTGCTCCTCTGTGCAGCCTTGTGATATGGTACCCTGCATTGTGGCCTCTCCAGCTCCAGCTGTGGCTAACAGGAGCCAAAATATACCTTGGGCTTTTGCTTCAGAGGGTGCAGTGACTTCCACATTGTGTTAAGGCTGCAGGTGCACAGAGGACAAGAGTTGAGGCTTGGGAGCCTCCATCTAGATTTCAGAGGGTATATGGAAATGCCTGGATGTCCAGGCAGAAATATACTCCAGGGGTGGAGCCCTCATGGAGAACCTCTACTAGGGTGGTGAACAGGAGTGGGAAATGTGGGGCTGGAGCCCCTACACAGAGTCCCCATTGGGGCACTGCCCTAGTGGAGCTGTGAGAGGAGGCCCACCATCCTCCAGTCCCCAGAATGGTAGACCCACCAACAGCTTGCACCATGCACCTGGAAAAGCTGCAGGCACTCAATGCCAGTCCCTGAAAGCAGCTGTGGAGACTGTACCCTGCAAAGCCACAGGAGTGGAGCTGCCCAAGGCCCTGGGAGTTCACCTCTTGGATCAGCATGGCCTGGATGTGAGACATGGAGTCAAAAGAGATTACTTAGAGCTTTAAGATTTAACAGCTGCCCTGCCAGGTTTCAGACTTGCATGAGACCTGTAGCTCCTTTGTTTTGGCTGATTTCTCCCTTTTGGAATAAGGGCATTTGCCAATGCCTGTACCCTCATTGTAACCTGGAAGTAACTAACTTGTTTTTTATTTTAAAGGCTCACAGGCAGAAGGGACTTGCCTTGTCTCAGATGAGACTTTGGACTTGAACTTTTGAGTTAATGCTGGAATGAGTTAAAACTTTGGGGGACTGTTGAGAAGGTATGATTGTGTTTTGAAGTGTGAGAAGGACAGGAGGTTGTGAAGGGGCCAGGGACGGAATGATATGGTTTGGCTCTGTGTCCCTACTCAAATCTCATGTTGAATTGTAATTCCCAATGTTGGAGGTTGGGCCTTGTGGGAAATGATTGAATCATGGGGGTGGATTTTCTCTGTGCTATTCTCGTGATAGAGTTCTCAAGAGGTCTGGTTGTTTGAAAGTGTGTAGCACCTCCGCCTTCTCACTCTCTCTCTCCTTCCACCATGTGAAGACGTATTTGCTTCCCCTTTGCTTTCTGCCATGATAGCAAGTTTTCTGATGCTTCCCCAGCCATGTCTCCTGTACAGCCTGTGGAGCTGTGAGTCAAGTAAACCTCTTTTCTTCATAAATTACCCTGTCTCAGATCGTTCTTTATAGCAGTGTGAGAATGGACTAATACAGCCTGATAACCTGTTTCCCAGAGGCCATGGTGTCTTTGTCTATTTGGGTTACTATAACCAAATATGAAAGGCTGGGCAGCTTATAAACAACAAGTACTTATTTCTCACAGTCCTGAAAGTGAGAAGTCCAAAATCAAGGTATAGGCAGATTCAGTGTCTGATGAGGACCTACTTTCTGGTTCATAGATGATGCATTTTTGCTGTGTCCTTACAAGGAGGAAGGGGTGAATGAGCTTTCTTGGGGACCTATTTTATAAGGGCTTGAATCCCATTCCTAATCACCTCCCAAAAGGCCTCACCTCCTAATACCATCACATTGTGATTAGGTTTCAACATAAGTATTTGAGGGGACACAAACATTCAGACCATAGTCCCTGTCCTCCCTTTGCTTCCTCATTCTTATACTAAAATGAAGAGAAACTCCCGAACAGGTACTTTTAAAAGTTGAGCTGGTTGTACACCCATGTTTATAGCAGCATTATTCATAATAGCCAAATGTAGAAGCAACCCAAGTGTCCATCAATACTTGAATGGATTAAAAAAAGGTATCACATTTTCATATTACTATATATTTATTTATATGTATTCTCATATATATGAATATTATTAGGCCTTAAAAAGGAAGAAGGCCAGGCGTAGTGGCTCACGTCTGTAATCCCAGCATTTTGGGAGCCTGAGGCAGGTGGATTGCTTGAGCCCAGGAGTGCAAGACCAGCCTGGGCAACATGGCAAAACCCTGTCTCTACTAAAAATACAAAAAATATCCAGGTGTGGTGGTGTGCACCTGTGGTCCCAGCTACTTGGGAAGCTGAGGCTGGAGGATCACTTGAGCATGGGAGGCAGAGGTTGCAGTGAGCTGAGATCATGCCACTGCATTCCAGCCTTGGCAACAAAGCAGGACCCTGTCTCAAAAAGAAGAAGAAAAGAAGAAGGAGAAGGAGGAGAAGAAGAAAGTTCCAGTGCATGCTACAACATGGATGAACCTTGAGGACATTAGGCTCAGTGAAATAAGAAAGTCACAAAAAGGCCAAATACTGTATGATTCCCTCTATATGAGGTACTTAGAGTAGTCAAATGTATAGAGACAGAAAGTAGAATGGTGGTTGTCAGGGGCTAGGGAGAGGAGTGGGGGAAACAGGGAATTATTGTTTAATGGGTATGGAGTTTCAGTCTTGCAGGATGAAAAAGGTCTGGAGATGGATGGTGGTGATGATTGCACAACAATGCGAAGTGAGTGTACTTACTGCCACTTAACTCTACACTTAAAAATGATTAAGATTGTACATTTTATATTATGTCTATTTTACTTCAATTAAAAAAAGAAACCTGGGCTGGCTCTGCTTTTCAGTTACGTTGTCTTTCAACTGTTTACCAGTTGAGAGGAAACATTTTATGTTACTTAATTTTTTTAATCACAGTAATACATGCATGCAAATGAAAAGGACCAAATAGTACCGTGCTGAAAAATGTCTGTAACCTTTCTAATCCACCCCACTCTGGCTGTTCCCTAGTTGCTGTGAGTTTTTTTAGCTGGGAAATGAGCTGCCTCAAAGAGCTGAGGGGAGGGTAAAAAACAGACCATTTCCAGGCAGTCCCCAGGACCAAAGATGTGAAGATGTAATTGTAGCATCAGACGCCAGGCCAGGCTCCAGAACAAAGCCCAGCTGCAGAGGAAGAGACTCAATCTGACAGGCAGGCAAGGCGGGGGTGGGGTAGGGGACCTGGCTGGGCTCCTCTAGCTTCTTCTCTGTTCCCAGTTATGTGAACTCACAGAAACCCTCTGCTTTGCCTAAACTAAAAGAAACAGAAAACGCAGAGGTGTGCTGGTAAGAAATAAAGCCCAAAATGGCACCAGTGGGTGGGTTTAGAGGTAAAAAGTGCATTTGTGAAAAGTTGAGGTGGATCATGATCATTGCAAACCAGCAGAGCCCTTCCTGTGCACGAGGCATTGCTCTGAGCACTCTACGTGCATCACCCCACTTCGTCCTCACATGGCCCTATCAGGAGGGTGCCACTATTGCCCCCTTTTACAGATGTGGGAGTTGAGGCAGAGAGATGGGTGAGCAGCTTAAGATTACACAGTTGGGGGTAATCCAGCTGGGTTCAAATCCAGGCTGCCTGGCTCTAGAGTACATAGTCTGGGCCACTACCCTAGGAGGGAAGAAAAGGAGAGAGAGCAAAGGCACAGCCCTGGGAACCTTGCGGGAAGGGCTACATGCAGTCACTAAAAGCACCCAGTTCCTGGAGAATCGGCATATGAGGATCTGGGGAGGTGGCTGAATGCTTCTGGGGGGCTCTAGCAGCATGGGGGCTGGGCAAAGGGGCTATTTAAAGGGATTCTGATGGAGCATGGCTCTGGGGAGGAAAAGGAGGTGCCTTCAGAGGGGACATCCAGGGGAAGAACAGGAGGCTGAGGGCCACGGGAGGCATGGGAGTGGAGGTTCAAGGCTGTGTTTTCTATACTGAACATTGAGAAGGGCTGGACTGAGCAACACAGGCAGGGTCAGGAACCTGAGAAAAGACCTTGAGCTGGAGCCACAGAGGCTGTGAAGATGGTAACTTCGTCCCTCCCTCCCTCCCTCCCTCCCTCCCTCCCTTCCTTCCTTCCTTCCTCCACCTTCCTTCCTACCATTCATCAATCCTTTTATTCATCCAACCCTGTCTTTTCTTCCATCCTTTTTGCATTCATCCATCCATTCTTCATTCATCCATTAAATTATTTAGCAAATATTGGATTGCCTACAATGAGTCAGAGACCCAGGAGCTATAAAGGTCAAAGATCTCCCCAGACAATGGGGAAACAGACAGTTACAAGCTGGTGGGGAAAGCAGTGGGACAGAGGTGTGCACAGTGATATGGAAAAGGACGAAACGGGGGTGCCCTGATTGAAATAGAGGTGAGGTGGTAGGATGGGGGTGACAGGGAAAGGCTACTAGAAGATATGGTACTTAAGCTAGGTATTGAGTGCAAGTTAAACTGGCAAAGACGGTAGAGGGAAGGGAGAAGGGCACTCCGGACACAAGGAACCTCACGTGCAAAGGCACAGATGTGGAAGAGAACAAGGCCCAGTTGGGGACCTGCAACAAGTCCATGCTGCCTGGAAGGTGTAGTGCATGTGGCAAGCCACGAGCTGGAGGAGAGACAGGAAAGAGCTGTCTGCACCTGGATGTAGGGGCTTGTTTTATCCCAGAGACAGGAGGGGTTTTCAGCAAGCGAGGAAGTCTCTCCTCAGCACACCCTGAACAGTGGGTGTCTTATTTATCTTGCTTATTTTCTGCCGTGCCATCTAGACTGTAAGCCTCTCTGGGCAGGGAGTTTTGTCTGCTTTGTTCATTGCTATCCTAGCTCCTAGCATTTGTATGAACAAAGTCTCCTTTGTTCATTGTATCCCTAGCTCCTAGAGCATTCCTGGCACAGTAGGCGCTCCGTGAATGTGTGGAGTGTATGATTTGATTTGTATTTAGGAGGCTCAGTCTGACAGACATTGTTTGGAGCCTGTAAGTGAAGCCGGAAGATGTTATGGGAAACCACAGAGGTGTGATGAGCTGAGAGACAACACAATGTTTGAGATGGCGGGGAGGGAGATGAGCCTTTTGGAAGTCCAGGCTCTCCAGAGACGCTGCCCGGTGCTCTCGTGCTCCATGTGGCTGACTGCTCCCTTCAGCCCAGCACACAGTGCAGTGAGGGTTCTCTGCAGCTCCAACTCCTCTGTAGGACTGGGAAGCCCATCACTGGTTTGATGTGTACATGTTCATGGCAGTCAGCACGTATTTATCGAGCACCTACATACTGTTCTAGGTGCTGGAAATATAGAAGCAAATAAAACAAGGCTGGGCATTGTGGCTCACTCTGTAATCCCAGCACTTTGGGAAGCCAAGGTTAGGGGTTCGAGACCAGCCTGGCCAACATAGTGAAACCCCATCTTTACTAAAAGTACAAAAATCAGCCAGATGTGGTGGCACGTGCTTGTGGTCCCAGCTACACAGCAGGCTGAGGTGAGAGAATTGCTTGAACCCAACAGGTAGAGGCTGCAGTGAACTTAGATAACTCCACTGCACTCCAGGCTGGGTGACAGAGTGACAGTCAGTCTCAAAAAGAAAGAAAAAAAAAAGTGAATAAAGCAAAACAAAATTTCTTCCATCGGGCTTATATTCTCACTAAGGAAGACATTATTGGTTATGAATAAACACAATAACTAAGTAAATTATAGAGTATGTGTATTGGTCAGGGTTCCCTAGAGAAACAGAACCAATAGGCTATATGTATATCATATTGGAAATGTGTGTATATACATTCTGGATAGGCCCAGGAGATAAATTATTTTACATATATTTAAAGAGAGTTATTGTAGAGAATTAGTTTGCGTGATTATGGAGGCTGAGAAGTCCCACAATCTGTTATGTGCAAACTGGAGAGCCAGGGTGCTAGTGGTGTAATTCCAGTTTGAGTCCAAAGGCCTGAGAACCAGAAGAGCCAATGGTGTAAGTTCCAGTCCAAATATGGGAGGAAACTGATATCCCAGCTCAAAAACAGGTGGAGAGAACAAGTTGTTTTGTACCCCTCTGTTTGTTCTACTCGGGCCTCCACTGGATCGGGTGAGGCCCACCTACATTGGAGAGGACATTCTGCTTTCTTCAGCCCACCCACCCCAATGTCAATCTCATCAGAAACACCCTCACAGATGCACAAAGAATGACGTTTTACCAAATATCTTGGCACCCCATGGCCCAGTCTATCTGACACATAAAGTCACCCATTGCAGAATGTAGAAAGTGGTTACATAGAAAAAACCCACAGAGCAGGGTAAGGGGTCCAGCAGTGAGGGTTAGGGAGGTGTGAGGGTGCAGTGTGACGGTGGTCAGGCTGGGCCTCCATGAAAAGGGGGAGGAGTGAGCCCAGTGGACACCTAGGAGAAGGGCATTCTGGGCAGAGGGAACAGCCGGAGCAAAGGCCCTGAGGTGGGAGCTGGCCTTAGGCGCTGTGGCGTGGCTGAAGCCAGGTAGGTGAGGAGGGGAAAAAAGAGAAGCTTGGAGGTGCCATAGTAGTGTGTGTGTGGTGGGGCAGGCCTGGAGGACTATCCTGGGGACGTTTGCTTCTCTTGAGTGTGAAATGGAGAACTGTTGCAAAGCTTCGCAGTGTCTACTCCTGTATCTTTGTAAACTCACAAACTCTTAAATCTCAGTTTAAGATTTAAATATGAATTCCCAAATGGCAGGCTGGTATCTGAATGATCAGTATACTACTCAAACACACGGAGCCATGTCACTGAAGTGCTTCCTGAGCACTTGAGTGGGTAGAGGTGGGAAATGGGACAGACCCAGGGGCTCCTTTCCCAGCAGACCTAGTCTAAGCCTCAGCAGAGACTGATGGAGGGCAGGGGAAAGGAAAAGCCACTCATAAGAAAATGATGTCAACTACAGCAAGACAGAGAGTGAATTTTGACTCAGGGGAAAGAGAATCTTCCCTGGATAATTAAAAGTAACTGGAAGAGGCCACTGGGTGAACATTTAGAAGACCAGGCCTCTCTCGTGACCAGCAAGGACACGACCCTGCCTGAGCCTGCTGGACCAGAGCAACTCTTCCAGCAACCGCCAGTTCAGAGATGCCGTACACCCACCTAGTTCCTTTGTCAAAGTCATTTCTGATGTGGGCTGTGACGACAACGTGAAATTATACTCCAGAGTCAGCTGGGCTTCCCGCTCCCCTCCCTAGTTCTTGCTACCCATGGATTAAAGAAAAAATTAACGTGGTGAATGTCAAGGCTCTGTCACAGAAATCTCTGTCAAAGAGAGATATTACCAGGGCAAGATGAATGATTTATTCCTCAGGTCCAGAGATTTCAGAGAGGCCTTGAAAGCCAGGCCTGCTCGGGTTGAAGGGTGCCACCAAGGCGCTTTGTGGGGTGACGTTTGTTGCCTGGAACGGAGAGGAGGGAGACAGGTTGGGAGAGCTTCAGGCCTGAAAGCAAACACACACACGTCTTCCGGCGCTCACTGTGTCCTGCCGTTGTGGGCTGTCACCAGGGTTGAGGGAGCCTTGAGTGATGCTCCTGACAATGTGGAGAGTTTCACATTTATCTAATTTTCTAAAAGACAATTGTATACCAAGAGATTATTATCAACTTTGTCCCCGTGGAAGTTATCGATGCCCTGACTTCAGGGCTGACAAAGTAATGTGTAGTTCATGACATCCGTCAGCCAGACGGAAGAGAAAGCCATTTCCTGCTGGTAAGCACATTGAAAGGAATTTGGGAGATTAGAACCAGCAATATCATCACTCCCGGGTGAAGGGATGTCAATCAGGGGCCATCGGCTTGTTAAGAAGGGAAAAGAGCATTATAGACCTTGACTGTGAAATTGACTGAGCCTGACTTGTATATGTGTGCAGTATTATTAAGATTTTCCCAGGCACCTGGGAGGCCCAGAAGAATGGAAAGAAAACTGATTTTCAGATCAAAAGTAAGCTTCAATTCTGGTCCAAATCTGTCACCTTTCTGGAAATTCTCCCTGTAGACCCCAATGTGTGGGCTCTACCCAATCTCATTGATGGCGCCCACAAATCAAGGTTTTGAACTTTTAACTGACATCTTAAATAGACATACTTATTATTGGAAACGTTACATAAGTTCAGCTCAGGTCTTAAATGTCGTCAGCTGACGTTTATGTTCTAATGCAATTTATAATTCTTCACAGAAAGGTTAACACTTAATTAAAGTACTGCTGGAAATTGCCTTTTTGATAAACCTGGGCTTTGCGCTTTCCTTTGCTTGAAGGGGAGAAAAAAATAATCTTCCATGATCTGCAGGTCTCTCACTAAACATACTCATTTCAGGACCAGGAAGGAAGCCAAGGACAAAGTGGAAACAGGGTTTGTGGCTCAAAATCCCAATCTCTAGGCCCTCAGAGAGCAGCAGCACTGGTTGAAAACCCTCCTGGCAAGGGAGGCAGTTGACTGGGCCATTGCCAAATGTTGGATTCTTCTTCTTTTGTTTTTAGTTGGAAACCAACGAAGGTTGAACTAAAGGCAGATTGCTGGTTTCTTCTTGGGTAAATTACTCTGAAGAGAAACAATATTAGTTATGACAAGAAAACTTGGAAGGCTACAGGCTGGGGAACCAGAGAGATGTTTACATATTGTTCACAAGCTTCTTCTGTGGAGGAAAGCATTCTGCGGCCTAAAAATGATGATTAATCCAACCTATTATTTAAAAAGTAAAAGCCACTATTAATTCAACCCGGAGTAATGCTGTTCTACACTCAGTTAGGAAGCAGGCAGTTCTGAGAAAGCAGTGGGAGGGCCAGGTGGCCGGAAGCAGGGCAGTGGGTTTACCAGCTTCAGGAACAGGAAAAGGATTAACAATCTGGAACTGCAAATAGGAAAATACGTGGCCACGAA
The DNA here is from genome assembly GCF_000001405.40 of Homo sapiens. NCBI lineage: Eukaryota > Metazoa > Chordata > Mammalia > Primates > Hominidae > Homo > Homo sapiens. The sequence continues at coordinate 88,561,710 of NC_000006.12, read as the reverse complement.
TCTGGAGCCCCTGAGCATTTTCCTGGGCTTTAGTTGATCAAATTTGCAGTAGAGAAAGTTGCCTGTGACTTCTTGTTTCACACAAGGGAAGCATTTTCATGTTACATAATCTTGTTTGGTATCTGTATGTGTTTTTCAGTTTCTTACCTATGCACACCTTGCTGAAAGTGTTAAAAATGAAGGCATAAGAGTTTTACCAGGATACTTTTTTTTAAATTTAGCTTTTGTTTATAAAAGTAAAAATCTCAGCAAGCTAGTGACCATCAAATTATTGCAAGAGCTAATAGCTTCTCAAAACTTACTTTGAAATAGTAAAGATATTTATATACTGATTACATTAGGCTATTCTCACATTGCTGTAAGGAAATACCCGAGGCCGGGTAATTTATAAAGAAAAGAGGTTTGATTGGCTCACAGTTCTGCAGGCTTCTACAGGAAGCAGGGCAAGCACATCTGCTCGGCTTCTGGGGAGGCCTCAGGAAGTTTTGCTCTTGGGAGAGGGGGAGGAAGGAGCAGGCATGACATGAGAGGAGAGAGGGAGCAAGGCCGGGGTGTGCCACACACTTTTAAATGGCCAGATCTCATGAGAACTCATTCACTCTCATGAGAACAGCACCAATGGGACGGTCCTAAACCATTCATGAGAAATCTGCCCCCATGATCTAATCACCTCCCACTAGGCCTCACCTCCAACACTGGGAATCAAAATTCAACATGAAATTTAGAGGGGCAACATCCAAACTATAATATAGATTAGCAAAAAAAGCATTGTATGGTATAAGGAAATGGATCAAATCAAAGGAGACTGAAGATGTGTGCAGGAACAAAGCCTGTCCTATAAATGCCTTCTTATTTGATAATTTTCCGTTCATGGAAAATTAGCAATAAGCGGTAAGATTGGATGACTATCACTGATAAATGCCTGGTGGTTATGAAGCTGATGTGACTGGCTTTTGCCTGTTGCTTGTTATTTCTTTAAACACATAATCTGTTAATGAACTCATCTGCCTCATACATGTGCCATATTGCAAACTTATTCAGAGACTTCTAAGTGAATATAGAAGAACCAGAAGATTAAAAAAAATTTTTTAGCACATTTGATTTGGAAATCAGAACTCCAGCCAAATCACCAATGAACTGAATGACAACAGGAAACTTAAGGGGAGCCCAGTTTTAAGGAATGAGCAAAAGCTAGTACTGCCCTTTTCCTCAGGCCTCTGTTCCTTGAAACTAATCAGAGGGCGCTGGATCAGCTCACAACATCTTAAAACTCAAGACAGCAGCAATATAGAGGCAGCATCCCACAGTGGCATCATACAGAGAGCAGTGTCTACAGGGCAGCATCACTTACCAGCCATGTGATCCTGGGCAGGCTACTTAACACCACTGTATCTCAGTTTCTACAACTGTAAAATGGGGATACTAACAGCACCAACCTCACAGGGTCATTCTGAAGATTAAATGAGTGAATGTATGGAAAGCACTAGAACCAGTGCCTGGCACTTAGCTCAACAAACGTTAGCTCTTCTCATCAGAATTTCGTGTCAACTTGGTTTGTATGCGAGGGTAGGAGAGGCTGGTCTTCAATTGAACCATCTAAACAAAAACTTGCCAGACCTTGGCATTTGGCAGGGCAACTGAGAAAGAGGTTAATTGTTTTAGCCTTTCTAAGAGAGTTCTGGTGGGAAATATCAGCTTTGGCAAATGAACTCGGAACAGATAAATATACTCAGTGTTTTTGGTCACGTCCTCTATTATTAGTAAAAGCACATTTCCCTTTGGGGTGAACATTAGGGACAAAAATAAGGCTCTTCAGATTACCACCTCCCTTATTAATGCTGTGCAAACAGTTGGGCTTGCATCGAGCCTGACTGGCAAATGCATCCTCACAAAAGCAAATGTGGTGCATTTAGGATACTGTTCACTATGAGCAGAAAAAATGGCGGATTTTGGCGCTGGAAATGTAACGCATGATCTCAGCAGTGGCTGTTAACATTCTTAGATGGGGATTCAGGTCACAGCTCTAAGGGGTCATAAAGTAGGGAGCAGCTGAATGTTATTTTGAGGCTTCCTGAAAGATCTGCAGGCATGTGGGTGCACATTTGCTGCTTATGTACAGGCAGGTTTACTTTTAAAAGCAAATGATTTTGCTGAGCCTATTTCTCAACTTCAGCAGGTGGATATTATATCTTTCAGTGAGTTTCACTGTTATTTGGAACCAGTGAAAGAACAAGAAAAAAAATCAAAGGATTGCTTAATGGCATGATTTCTCCTAAATCCTTTACACCAATTTTGTCTTTCCCAGCATTACTAAGCTTTATGACTTCTTGTATTTTAAGAGTTCACAAAGCTAAAAAGAATCTTCTTGAGTATTTGGAGTTTTCATCTGAAGAGAATCCTGCAGCACCATGGGTGCCGGCCAAACTTGTTTGTCTAGGAGATCCAGCCATGCTCCAGGAAGAGTGGGATGCCCTTCGGTATGAATTCTCAAGCCGCTTCACAAATTGGAAAAAAGCAAGTCTCCTCTTTGCCTTCTTCTATCACCCAGATGCATTTCTGCCACGAGCTGAGGGTTTGGGGTTGTCAGTGAAGTGAAGCTGAGTGGACTCTGGCCACATCCCTTGTGAGAAATATCAGCTGCTTCAAAAACCAGTTCATGTAAAAACTTCACATGTAAACCTAAAACAAATGAATTTACCTTTCATGATGGTTTCCGGCTACAAACCTAGGTAAAACAAATTTGGTTCCATCATATCCAGAGAAAGTAACAACTAACTTACAGCCACCATGATGACCCTTGAAATCTTGAGTGAGTTTGGGGGTATACCATGCTTGGACATTTTAAGGTTAGAGGCGTAACACTGAAATGAAGTTGCCCTGAGAGGCCTTGCAACTCCTTTTCTTGGAGACTTTGAGAAAAGCACAGATTATAGGGAGGAGCAGATACTGAGAGCTGAGGGGACGTTTCTTGCTTCATTCTTTTATGTGATTCCATAAACATCAGCCAGAAACTTGCCTTTGTAAATACTCAAGTTACATTTAACACAAACCAAATAACTAGAGGGCTGATTCAGTATTTAAATTGTTCTGAGAAACTTTTAAAAAACTGCTTTTGCATTTATATTTTACAGAGTGAAAAAAGACAATCATGGAAAAGCACAACCAACTGTGACAGATACAAAGTGGAAAAAAACCTGAGCTTAACAATGAGAAGCCTCATGGGCGGAATTGCAAGAAGACAGCCTAAGCTCTCCTCGTCCGCATGTGCAATTATGTATAGATGAAAAATTACAGAGGCTAATAATTACAGTAGCAATTGTCCACTTGCAGCACAATTAGCCCTTTGCTCCTCATTCTGAGAAAGTGACTAATTGTACCCACAGCAAGCCAACTCTCCATGTATTTGTTTTAGAATGAAATGTTATGCTTGCCAGAAAGTCCCACCTACAAGAGCACAGGACCCAGGGCACCATAAGGCCCAGTGCCCAGGGACTCAGGGCTTTGAAAAACCTACCTTCTAGCCCAGAACAGGCCCTGCAGTATGTGGGAAAGTGGGTAAAAATACTAATGCTGGAGATCTTGTGGACTACATCATGCCATCTATATATTAAAAATGAGGAAGGTAAAAATAGAATTCAGGTAATGACAACAATTATACTTAATGAGTACCTTTCATCGGAGATCAGAAATGCCTTCTAGTTAAATTTCACAGCCTCCGGTGAGATGTAAGGGGAAAATATTTGTAAGCTAAACCTCACTTTTCAGTCAAAGAATCAGAAGCACTTTAGGCAGCGGTGAATAGCAGTGTGTCTGAAATGGATAGAGGATAATTCTCAGAGATTTCTGACTTCTTGCTCCAGAAATCACATTCCTGCTTGTTTTGTTAAGGTAAACACCTTTTCAAAATAAGGCATGTAATGTGTCAGGTGGGTTATAGATGAGCAAAAAGAGGTCCTCCTACACTCCCCCTGCACCCCCCAACACACCCACCTCCACCATGAGGTGACATTATGTTCTTGGTTTCATTAGCCAAGAATACAAAGTCTTCTGAGACGTGGGGTGAACACTCAGGGCAGGAAGAGATGGCCTATCTCTGGGTGACTTCTGTGACCCCTAGATTTTTTTTATGGGACACGCAGCTGCTGACAACACTGTCCACACACTCAGGTCTCTACCAGTTCTTGCTGTGCAGAGATCTAAGACCTGAGCTCACTTCACCATTCTAGAAGATCTTACTCAATCAACCATACCTTTTCATTTGAGGAATATATCTTTGAAGGCCATTGGCTTCAAGAATGCAGCCTCAGGGCCTTGGGGTCCCGGAACAGCCTGTTCCTCCAGCCTTCTAGGGTCCTGGCACAGGCTATCCTCTGGCTCGGAGTATGGTTTTTATTGTCTGGATGTTTTAATGGTTTGGTCAGAGGACTTGATTCCAGATTTGCCTGGCCACAGATCACTCCCTACCCCTGGATGGCTAGTCATATGTTTGTATTTTTTGCATTTGTTGGTAACAGACACAGGTGAATCAACATACAGGACTCTCTAAAGTGTGGGGCCCTGGTGGGGGCTCATCTCACCCATGGCTAAGAGTAGTACTACTGAAGCATGCAGGCTTCTCCTCCTCATTCTCTTTTCTTTTGAAAGCTGGTGAATTCTTTTTCTTCTCCTTCTTCTGGTTAAGTCTCAGTGGACTTCCTCACCTTCTCACTGCTTGGCTCATTCAGCTTGGAGACGTCTGGGGTACGCATGGGCTGCCATGGGGAGGTTGAGTGGATGTGGGGGCCTGGTTCTACTGAGGGCAGGGGCTGGTGTCCCACCACCCTCTCCTCTCCTCTCCTCTCCTCTCCTCTCCTCTCCTGTTGGCTCTATCTGTCTGCTTCTGTCCCTTGTACCAGTGTTCCGGGTGATGGTGCATGAGCTCTCCAGTGGGCCTCTGCCCAGTTCCTCCGTCTCAACTCCCTTTGTTTATTCTCACCATAAAAGACATTTTTAAATGAAGTCTCTGTTATTTTTCTCTTCCAGTGCTCAGTACTGTACCCTCTGTCCAGTACTATCAACTTCACATGCTCCCCAACATCTACCATGTTCATCTCCCACATTAATTCCCCTACATTCTACTGAAAAAAAAAATACAGAGGCACAGATGTCCAATCACCCCCCTTGGCACAGAAGCTCAGATACCAAAGAAATTGTGGCCTCACACCGAGATCCTAAAGTGACCTAAAAGAAAGGAAAAACAGGTGTTTTCCTAAGATTTCCAGCTTTGGAGATGCTGGGTGCATTGCCAGCCTTCTCCTTGTCTCTGCTGGCTCTGACCCAGCAAGATCATTTATGCCCCAAACAAAGGCATGTCTAAAACACAGAAGTCAGATACTTAATGCTTTAGCTGAATTGTCTTGAGACCATTTTAATTCAGTATTCTTGGGAACCATGAACATCCTGAAAATAGTGCCTTAAACATTTTTATTTTTCCCAATTTAGTTGAGACACTCAAATACTCTACTGTGTCAGGTTATATGTGTATACCCACTTCAAGTAGGAGTTTCAGAAACAATTGCTTACCTTTTTGCTAATAAACATGCTATGGTCTTATTCAAGGAAAATACGAAACTTAAGAACACAAACTTTAAACCAATTACTTCCCAGCGTATGTGTCCAAATCTATCTCAAGTTCAGATTTGCCTGTCCGGGGAACTATTTTGCACAATTTTAGAAACAGAATTACTCACAGTTAAGAATGTAAAGTTTCATAGTCTCATATGAAGGACTATCGAGTCTGTATCTAGGTATTTTTTTACTCATATTTTTCTTCTTTGACCTCTTGACAACCTTTCTAAAGTCAGATCACGGTGTTAGGAGGGCCTTTGTGCCGCTCCTACTTGGACGTGACTGTGATGTTGCCTTTGGGATGTAGATTGGTGGGAAAGACCCAACTTTCATGTATGCCTGTTCCCCTGGCAGACTGCCTCACTCTACCTTCAGCTGTCAAGTTCCTCTCTTAAATAGACTAAGATACAACGTCTTATCAGGATCAATGAGGAAGAACACAGAACAAATCTTGGTGTAGCTTCTCTTGGCCCCTGAAATCTATAATGGGGGCTTGGAGTTGCCAGCAATACTGTCCAGTTCTGTCTAGATCATGAAAGCACAATTCTTGCCAACTTCCACGCTGTTTAATCTCAAGGATTATATCAGTACTTCAGAAACATCCACACGAATAGTCTATGAGCTTTCATTTAAGGGAATGTTGATAAACATCCCTAGAGTCTCCTTGTTCTTAAGCCAAAGTCAGATTTATTGATAGTTGGGTGGTTGGTGTAAATGAGTGGGGTAGAAGTCCGAGGAGATTGGTTGAGGCAATAAAGAGAATTAAAGATATCAGTATAAGGGATCAGCTTCATCCTTTGATACTATGTATGACTCATCAATAAGGGCAAGGTTTTGGGGGTGGGGCATTAAATGCATTAATGAATCACATCTCCACATCCACCTTTCTAGTGTTCCAGAAAGCCCCTTTCCTCACCATAACATTTCACCTTATTTCTCCAAGTCTATACAGTGACTCTATTGTCTACCGAATCTAGTGGGAACATTCAGGTCTGGTTGAAGGCCGGCTGTGTTTTGGAGGTAGCTTGCCTCTCCATTGCTCAGTCACCATATTCTGCTGATGTCACACACTCTATCTCCTCACGCAGCCACTGTATTTATTTCCCTGCACACATTTGAATCATGCTATTTCCCTCACCCAGAATATTTTCAGCTGTTCTGTCCTATACATTTTGTATCCGATATTTTCCTGGCATCTTCTTACCCTTCATCTGGAATTTCCCTCTAGGAACTATCCGTTTCTCTGCTCTCAGCTGAGACAGAGCCGCCTCGTGGGCCCTGGGCCTGAGGGAGTCCTACTCAGAGCCAGACTTTTGCTGAGAACGCTGAGATAGAGGCAAGCCAGTTTCCTTCCCTAGACCTGAATTCGACAGGAAATAAGGTTCAGAGCTATTGGCCACCATCTTGAAATTGTCAGGCACAAGCCAGCGGGAGAACAGAGCTAACCCAGAGAAAGTGGAGCCAGGGAATGATGAGAGAGGAGCATGGTCCTGACACTGAGCCCTGCAGAGGGCTCAGGCTGTGCCTCAACTCGCCTTGGCTTTTTCATTATGTTATCTTTTTATTTTATTATTGTTTTGCTTAGGTCAATTTGCATTGAGTGATCTTCTTATCCCTCACTATATCACTTTATAGGGGTTATGATGATGATGATATGGGAAAATGCATATAAACTATCCAGCACAGTGCCTTCTGCAGAAGAAATACTCAACAAATGTTAGCCATTACTATAGTGATGGCAGAAGGAGATTAAGTCAATATAATCTTTAAACATTTTAAATGTTAGTTTTCCCAGCAGTTAAGAATAGTATGAAATGCTTGTTCTGTGTGGTAATGAATGACAAGAGGAACTTGGGAAAGTATGGGGGAAATACATCAAGGTTTGCCTTTGATGTTGGACTTCCCTTTGTTATTTTTCTGGAGGATCAGAAACAGTGCTTCATGTGTAAAGATTGTTTTCCATGCTTAAGAAACTCCCTTCAATGTCTTTGATTTTCCGGGACAATTTGTTGTCTTCTCTTAGTAAGCTAGAAACGTGTTCAAAGAAGCTTTTTTTTGTGTGTGAATTTTTATTTTGGAGTCTCAGATGCAGGACGGCATATAACTTTAACATCACAACTAGATGCTTCAGTCTGACACACTCCATTGGATACTAATCTGAGTTTTCTCACGTCTCCTGTCTCTTGGGACCTTAGAAAAGGACCATTTCCCCAGGTGGATAGCTACCAATCTGGCAGATGCTCCCCAAATGGGGAATTAACTTGCTCATTATTTCAGATGCATAGTAATTCATTTGCTTTAGAGATATTTTCTGTTGCCTCACAGCAAGATCTTCTTTGAATGGTTAATATTATCTCTTCAACAGAGTTCAAATCCTGGCCTGACCATTCGTTGACTTTCATAATTTTATCAAATAGCTTGGACTCTCACCACCCCACAGCAGCAATATTTGTAAAATGCAGGAAGTTTATATTTTCCACCAGATGTTGGAATATTGCTTTGTACTCTGATATTGATGAGATGTTCCAAAGTAAGTGGTCATTATCACTCTCACTCATTTTTAGCTGAAGGGAATTTAATAATGCTGACTCTAATTTTCTTTTGGTCTGATAATTATAGGGCATGTGGTTTTAGTCCAAATAAAGGTTAACATCTGCCTTAATTTGTCTCGGTCCTTTTCTCTCCAGTGCCTTATATCAAGAACAGTGACTGCCATCACTATAATCACAGAATTTTTATTATTATACATGCTGATATTTTCTATAGCACTCCGTAAGACACGGGTTTCTCTGGTGCTTACCTTGTAAGAGAGATAATGGTGATAAATAAGTATGAGAAATTTACCAGTCCATCCAAGTGTTCAGCAAGCCTTTCTTAAAGGTTTCTCAAAGGACACTGTTTATAAATGAAATAAAATCATCATGCTTTATTCTACATCCTGTAGAAATTATTTCTCCTTAGGACAAGTAGACTGGAGATTGTTAATATTTAAATTCTGGAATTTGGAATAGAAATTCTCCTTTCAAAAATGTATACTTTTAGATTGTGATAAGGATGAGCAAAGACTTAAATGAAGTACAATATAAATCAAAATGAACTTCCAGGAGAAAACAAAAAATGATTACTAGGAAAAGGGATTTGATATATGAGCTAAACTCTCAACAGATATTTAACAGGCTGATTCAATACTGCTGTTGATCCCAAATCTCTCAGAAGTTAGAGTGAGAAGCAAGAGGGATTTAAGAGTTTGAGCCATGACATTATTTATGTAAACTTTAAAAAAACACACACAAAATACTAAATACAGTTCATGGATACCTGCCCATACTATGAACGTATAAAAACAAGGATGGACACAAAAGCACACTTGTCTTAGGACACTGCTAAGTTCTCAGGAGACAGAGTGGAAAGGGGTCAGAGAAGACGTCAAGCAGGGCTTCAAATGCATTTGTGTTATGTCTTTCATTTTGTTAAAAACAAGATAAGGTTTTGAAGAAATATGGCAAAATTGTAAGATGTGTTAAATATTGGTGGATGGCAAATAGTTGTTATAGTGCTATTTTGTATGTTTTAAGTGTTTCACATGAACAGTACTTTTTACAAATTTTAAGAAAATGTACTGTCTATCTGAGTAGAGGAATAGAATCACAGAATTGATGACCTGAGAGAGTAAAGTATAGTTATGGCTTATGGTTCATGTTTTATGAATGAGGACACCAAGCCCTGAGAGGTAAAGTGATTTTCTTAAGGTCCCAGGGCCAGGTGCCATCACGATGTCACTCAGGTTCATCAAAGCCCCTAGCTGAGAGCTCTGTCCAACATATATTGCAAGCGTGTCTCGTAAGCAAAACTTTCCTAATGATGAAATAGGCACTGCTCTCACTCCAAGGTAAGTGACAGAAGAATTCTCACTGGAGACATTACAAACATGTCTGAACATCTTTTTAAAAGGACACGTTGGGCTTGAAATTAATTCAGTTCAACAAATCTATTGAGTACCTAGTAATTACAAGGCATTGTACATCCTACCCAGGTAAGATTCTTATAGATCTTTTCCATCTGTAACTAACTTTGTGATAGTTTTCCCCTTAACTGGTTTCATCAAGGCAGAGAGACATAATACTGAACCCAAATGTCCTTGATAAACCAGAGGAGAGGCTAGAAGCCAAAGACCAAGTGGGAAAAACCCCTGGGGCATGGCAGCCTCGAAATTTCTAAAGGTAAAATCTATATTTAGAAACAAGCAGTGATGGTTGTCTATGACCAATCTAGAACTTAGGTGTTCCCAAGTAAATCCATAAATAATACTGCCATTAGAAGAGTCTGATTTCCAGGGTCTAGAAGTAATAGGCAAGAAATGATCCTTCCTAATTCAACTCATAATCTGTGTGACTGAAATTGATTGTGCAACCACGTGGATCAAGGCAGGTGACTAAAGTGTTAGGAAGGAAACAGTGAAGAGGGGATGGCTCAACAAAGGATGCTCCACATTGGCAGAGAAGAGGAAATAAGTTCTAAATTGTGGATCTTGTTTAACATAGGAGTTCCTGGCTGCTCATGTTGGCATATATGAGAATAAATTTATTGAGAAAGGTTTTGGAAGTGCTGTCTTTAGGCAAATTCTAACAACAACATTTATTCATGTGTGACTGAAACAATTCCCTTTAGGGTCAGTGGTTGGAGCATCTGTGTTCTCAAGGGTTCTCCCTCATCTGTGGTCCCAAATCAATTTCTGTCATCAAGGCTGAACGCCGGTTCACCAGTGGAGTTGTTCAGTGTGGTTTGCCCTGTGCAAGTTTGGGCTTCCGGGTTCCACGATATGAACCGGTTGAGGAGCTGGTGGGGGTGAGGTGGGTATTCACACAATGAGGCTGGTGTTGGCAATGGGGTAGACTGAGGATGGGGAGCGTACATCCAGGGCCATATGCATTTCTGCGGAGGGCCCTACTCAGCCATCTCCGTGTAGTCTGACAGCGACAGTGGCAGAACCTGAACGTGAGGTGGAGGGGAGGTGCTGTGGAGATGGCTGCACCAATACCCACCCACCCCAGCCCCACCTCATAACCACCGCTAGCCACAAGGTCACTGGGGACATGAAGTATTGGACATCCAGGGATGTGGTGGGGATGCGATGGGGACCTGGAGGGAGGGAAGAGAAGTGGGCGACTGGATGGATTGATCATACTTCCCAGTTAGCCTAGAATGGTCCTGGCTTATGCTCTTTTTTCCCCCTGAAACTTGTTAAAAGTGTATCATCTCCTTTCACTCTCAGACCTGTTCCCATTTGGATGATAAATTATATTGTTACCCCAGAGGGATCACGGGGCATAAGACGAGCATATATATGGCCCATCTTAATCCAGCTGAGAACATTAAAGTCATCCCTTGAAAATTTTGGCACTGCGATAGTTTGTGTTCTGACTCACAGCTGAGTTCAGGGGCAAAATGTCAGCATCGCCACAATTCCTTACATCCAACTGTTATGGAGGCTGTGAATTTAAATGGTTCCTGTCTTTGAAGCTGCAAATGAGCCCTGTCAAATTCCCAGAGTTGTCAGGGTCCTCGCTGAGATGTGAGTCCAGCAAGGGCAGATGGACTCTTCCCACCAAAATTACCTCCCTGGCTTTGTAAATGAATATCCTCAGCAAAAATTGCTTTTGAAATAATCATCTTCCCATTTAAATATGGAAAGCTGGGCCCCATGCATTTTGCAGCATGTTTGAGACTATATTCCTGGAAAATTTAACTGATTATCTTCAAGATCAGCTGACATTGACTATCATCCTGGCACAGATGAAAGAATAAATGATTAAATCTGAAAAGAAATGTGGGTATTTTAAAAGAATTGGATTTTTTTTTTTTTGCCAACATAATCATCTTATTCATGTGTTTTTCATCCTCTGGTAACATTTTGATATACAGCCTATGTTCAAGATCAGCAACGGAAGCAGGCACAGAAATGAAATGAAATGAACTTCCACAACAGCCAGTTTTAGATATTTTGGGCAGTTCTCTCTGTAGGCTGGGGACTGCCTAATAATGAAATGAAGGTCTCAGGGCTCACCAGCAAACCACAAAGCAGCTAATTTGGTATTTCTTGCAGAAAAAGAACTGGAAGCTGCACAGTGTTTGTTTAGGAAAGAACTTAGCCAAGTTAGTTGATTAGGGTGTTTCAGGAAGGACAGTTTATACTCCAATAATCGTCAGAATACAAAATAGAGATGTGAAGTGAATTCTATCGAGGAACAGCCTTTTCCAGAAACCCACGTTGGGGCTGGTGGGAGTGTTACACACAAAAGAAAATTGTATCTTCCTCTCCTCAAGACTCCAGGCAAAAAATCCACATAACTGCTGAAGAATGGCGCCTTCCTATACACACACAGAGGTGAAAGAATAGGGGACACTAGTCTTCTGTGTGGTCTCAGGCAGGCCCTGAACATAATTAGAAGCCCACTGGAGTAATGAAAGAAGGTAAAGCACTGTAAACCGGGTGCTGGGCTTGCAACCAGAAAGGGAAGGTCCATGCCACTAGGTAGGAGAAAGTTCACAGGGAAAAAAGAGCTCCTGACCTCTTCTGATAATTCTCAGATGAAGGTGGAGACTGGCCTAGCATGTCTCTAGCCATCCGGAGGCCAAAACAGGAGAGCAAGATCTTCTGGTGGGTGGATGCTGAAGAAGAAAGAAGCAGCAGAAGAAGGAAGCAGAAGAGGAGGAAGAGGAAGAAGAAGAAAAGGAGAAGAGGAAGAGGAAGCAGAAGAGGAAGAAGAAGAAAAGGAGAAGAGGAAGAGGAAGCAGAAGAGGAAGAAGAAAGAGGAGGAGGAGGAAGGGAGATAAAGAAGAGGAAGAAGAAGAAGACAAAAGAGGAGGAGGAGGAGATGGTGGTGGCCCTTAAGAGGGAAACATTGCTTTTGAGCCTTCTGCCAGCTTAGATATTGTGAGATTGAAGGTGGTGACCTCAAGTGTTGTGACTCATGTGTTTATGGATCATTGAGCTGTAGCTGCTGGGAATGGGCCGCAGGGTTGCAGAAATAATGATGCCCTCAGCTCAAGGCCATGAGGCAGCCAGATCTCCTTGTTGGTGGCCTCGGGCCATGAACAGTCGCATCCTTGCCCCAGCGTGCTGCTGAAATGCCATTTCTATGTGTGCTAGTGAAGTGACCAAGGCTGGGAAGCCCTGGAATAGTGCCTTCCTCTGAGTACTTCCAGGTGATAGTGGGGGTCGGGGGTGTCGAGGATGTGGAGTTTATTTCTGCTGTGGTCTTAACTGTGTTCCCAAGAAAGATAAGTGAGAGTCTTAACCCCTGGTACCTGTGCATGTGACCTTATTTGGGAATAGTCTTTGCAGATATCGTTAAGATCTGAAGATAAGATCATCCTGGATTTAGGTTGGGCCCTAAAGCCAATGACTGGTGTCCTTATAAGAGAAAGGAGAGGGAGATTTGACAGGTGCAGGGAAGAAGACCATATGAGGATGGAGGCAGAGACTGGAATTATGCAGCCATAAGCCAGAGAATGCCAGGACCCACCAAAAACTGGAGCAGGCAAGGAGGGATTCTCCCTAGAGTCTGGAGGGAGTGTGGCCTTGCCAGTACCTTGTTTTTGGAGTCCTGGTCCCCAGAACTGGGAGACAGTAAATCTCTGTTATTTAAGCTAACAAGTTCATGGTCATTTCTTGCAGCAGCCTTAAGAAACTGATTCGACTTCCACCTTGCCATCTCTTCTTTCTGAACAACTTGAATATGCATGGACTCCACTCTACTGTCATCCATCCCTGCCTTCTTCCCCTCACTCTTTTCCTTCCCTCTCCCTTCCCCTATGTTCCCCTCCTCTCACAGAGGTCTCCATTCACTGCTCTGTTCTAGGTATTGCTAGTCTGTGGGACTCCAGGCATGGGTAGACCCTGCTCCTGTCCTCAGCTCAGTTTGGTGGAAGAGATAGACCTAAGCAGGTCAATTCAAGGGTGGTAGGTGCTGGAGTTGACATTGGTACAAAACGCTGTGGGAGTCAGAAGAGGGAGCGATTCATTCCGTGGGTGTAGGGGAAGTTTTCCCAGAGGTGGGAGCATTTGAGCTGCACCACTGGAGCATGAGTGAGATGAAGAGAGTCAAGTGGAAACAGGCACTCTAAGCAAGGGGAAATGTCATCTGAGGTGGATCTCTGATGGGTGAGTCATCAGTGACATATCCCTTACTTGTGCTTCTTTCTATTCCTGTGACATGTGATGAAGTGCTGGGCTGTTTCGTACATTCCATGACCTACCTTCCATTACCTCTAAGGTAATTTCTGGGTTCACAGTCTGGCCGGTGTTGGGCACAGGAATCGATTATAGCTCAGAGCTGTCCCAGGAAGTGTGGTCTGCTCTTGGCCTGGTAGGCCCAGAGGTGCCATATTGAATCTAGGACTTCTCATGAATTTGTGCTTATTGGAAAGGAGGAGAGCAGAGTTACCATGGAAGAGAGTCCCTGGGTGCACCTGCACTCTGCTGGGATCATGGGGTACAGACCAGCATTCTCAAAGGGTGTGGTGATAGATACACAGAAAGGCACTATGGATCCTTCTCACCTAGAGTGGAACTGACCCATGAAGCACTCTCTAAAGGTTTCTCTACCCCAAGGGGAATGGAAAACTAGTAAGACAGCCTCATTTTTAAACTAAAGTAGTTGAATGCTGAGACTTTGGTATTATCCACTTTTGAAAGTATGCTTTTGACTTTTAAGTTGTATTTGTGTCTGGGTTTAAGAACTTGCACTTGACTCTTCAGGTATTCTGCATTCAAACTAGAGACAGGTTGACTTTGTCCTGAAACATTAGACTGTGGATGATGCTCCAAATATGCTAATTGAAGCCAAAGTGTGTTAATTATGGCCTGCACCTTGAAGCCAGGTCACCTTTCAATAGACAGGAGTCAGCTTAGGGTAGGGCGGGTCAGGGTGAGGGAAGCAAGACACTAAGTCCCCAGGGAGACATTGGCTCCTCACATAGTGTAAAATCCCTTGGTGTATAAGATGCAAGTCCTGGCTTTTCTCTTGTGTGTCTCAGAGCAAATTACTAACCCACTTGTGCTTCAATGTTCTCATCTGTGAAAAGGGCATAATATTAGTATCATCTTCAGGTTCTGTGAAATTAAAATGAGTTAATGCATGTGAAGTGCTGCGTGCTGCCTGGCATGAGGCCAGCAATCATCGAAAGCTCTGTTATTATGAAGACCATGGCTACTTTCTGCAAAGAGTCAAATGAGATGATGTAGGTGAAGTGTCTAGCATAGTGTGACCGCATCCTAGGCCCTCAACAAGTATGAATGCCCCTTTACCTGAAGGCACTTCCCAGCTGACCTGGAGTCGGAGGAGGACTCAAGGCGCATAATGAACAAGAGTCTAGAACAGGTGTGGAGCAGGTGCCAGGGATCCGTGTCACATCTGCTCAGGGCAGCCCCGGGAGCCTGCCTGACCACACAGAAGGGGGTGGCTCTTCCAGCACCCCAAGATGCAAGGCCAGGGAGATGACAGGAACCATGAACAACTGCTCCTGCTCCAGGCCTGGCAATGGACAGAGCCACCCTTAGTGGCAAATCCATTTCCTTAATGCTATTTCTAGAAACTATCATGGGTGCTTGCTAAAGAGCATGGGGTTCAGGTCCTATGCCTGTGTTGGGGGTGTGGGGTGGTGTTGTCAGGGGTGTGGGGGGTGGTCCACGTTGGTCCAAGGCAAAAGCTACTGGAGGAAACAACATTGAGCATTGAATTCGTGCTCACTCTTGCATCTCACTGGATTCTCACATTAACCTTCCATGGTGGACATGAATATCCTCGTTTTTATAAAAGAGGAAAGGAAGGCTTAGAAAAGACAGTGACCTGCCCAGGCCCACCCACCTGATAAAGGCAGAGCTGAGAATCAAACTCACTCTAACTCAAAGCTTCAGTTTCTTTCCCTCCACCAAACTGCCTCTCTGCTTTCATATCCCCTTAATGATAAACACACACTTCTGATTTTACCGTAAGATGTTTTTCTTCTAAATTTCATTTTAAAGAGAAAAAACAATATTATTTTTTGTTCAGTTAAATAAGAGCTTTTTATTGTGCCCAGAAGAATATATAGGAAACTTGGAGGATAACGAAACTAAACATACAAACTTTCTAATTTACTAAACATACCACATCCCTGTAAAGAACTTACCTAGTTTTGCTTGCAAAAGAGGAATAAATTGAGAAATTACAGGAAAAGTATGTTTTCTTTGTGAATCTGGAACAAATTGAAACTAGGATATTATCTGTAGGGAAAAATACTTTAGGGAGAGAACTTCTGAATTGTTTTAGAGATTCATTTCTGTGCCTTAAAAAACCTCAAATTTGCATGAAAAGAGAGATGATAAGAGGAACCTGTAGAATTTCGACTAGATCCAGACTCTCATCCTCAGCACTCCTGGCATTCGGGGCTGGATGATTCTTTGTTGGGGAGCTGTCTGGTACATTGTAGGATGTACTGCAGCATCCCTGGCCTCTACCCATTAGATGCCAGCAGCAACTCCTTAGTCGGGACAACCAAAGACGTCTTCAAACATTGCCAGATATCCCTTTGGGGAAAAATCACATCCTGTTGAGAACCACTGAGCTAGATGAAAAAATGTTATCATCAATTAATTTTCATGCTTATTCTCATGGTTTGTGGCATTATATCAAGAGCACATCTGCTTCCTGGCAGTTCCCAAGAGGCACCGGCAGAACAGAGAGACCTTTTCATGATGGGATCATATGGGGCCTCTCCATTCTTCATTCCTCTTAAAAATAAAAATAAAAATAAAAGCAGCTTTATTAAAATATAAATCACACATTATAAAGTTCCCTCTATTAAAGAGTAGCATTCAGTGGTCTTTAGAATATCCACAGAGTTGTGCAACCATTACCACTACTTAATTTTAGAACATTTTCCTCACCCCAGCTTCTGGCAAACACTCGTCTACTTTGTGACTCTGGATTTGCAGGGATCCATTCTCCAGTGTGAGATGCCTGGCTTGAAAACCAAACAGCCAATGTTGATAGGGTTCCTTCCCCTGACCCAATAGCTCCTTATCCTCCCTTAGGAGTTTTTAAACTTGCTTTAAAATCTGGTTTAAAATTCTTCCCTTCCAGGAAGCATTCCCCAGTTTCTTCCAGGCCTGACTGTCTGATCATTGCCCCCAGCGCTTCCAACTGCAGCTACTCAAACAGAAGAGCTTTGCAGAGGCAGAGGCCTTCTGGCCCGGCCCTGCCGCTGCCATTGTGCAGTCAGGCCAGCGACAGGAGTCAATATGGTTCCTTGGCTGATTTGCTCTGGGCCTCAAAAGCTGCTTTGCTTTGTGGGAATTAAAAAAAAAAAAGCAACAAAGTATATTGAGTAAGGAGCTAGGCAGGCAGGTCTGTGGCCAGTCAGATTCCTGGGCTGTCAGTAACTGAGGATCCGTAAGATTGAGCCGCTAGGGCAATGGGCAGAGGTGAAAAAGTCAAGATGAAAATCCATGAACGGTTCTAGCTATAACACTCATTCCAATGGGAAAAAAACAAGCAGGAGGTGTTAGTGCCCAAATGTCTATGGTTTTGTTTGTGGAAAGCCAGAGCAAGGAGCTGGTTTATCTTGGTCTTAGGGCTGCTTTCAACCTGCCACGCTCCAACTTTGATGAGGTGGCAGCAAGGCCTGGGAACCCAATCTTGGGGCCTCTGTGAGAAGGAAGCAGGAAGGGCAGGAAATGACCTCTCCCAAGCATTTGCCATGTGTTAGCACTGGGCCAGAAGGACCATAGCTGAGAACGGAGCATCCACCAAGTGCCCAGCTCAGCTCTAAGTCCTCACATTCAGTTCCCAAAGCGAGCCAATGAGATGGGTGCTATCACTGTGCCCATTTTGGAGACAAAAAAATCTAAGACCCAGGGAAATTGAGTAAATTGCCCAAAAGGTCACTGAAAAGTAGTGAGTGTGGGGCTCTGGTCCAGAATCTGGGCATGTAACTACTGCCTGATACCGCTTCTTGGAGGAGCACTGCCAGGTGCTCTGACATGTATAACCCCCCTTAGTTCTGATGACAGCTCTTAGTTCTCATGACATGCGTAACCTACCTTAGCTCGTCAAAGAAGAGAGCTAATTATGATTCTAGTTATTTACATAACTTAGATGACAATTTTGAAAACAGTTATACTTCAGAGGCTCATGTCTCTGTGCTCTCATGTGAATATTATTACCTTGTGTCCAAAGGAGGACCTGATGCTCAGGGAGATTAATGATCACTCAGCTCCTAGGCGGCACAGCCAGGTTTAAACCCAGGCTAAAATGTGCTCATCCCACAGGAACACTGCCAAGGACAGTGCCCACAACTAGGTTCTTCCAAAAGTCAGCCTGGGAGCCTTCATTCTTACCCCTTGGAAAGAAGAGCCACTGGTTATTAAGGGAAAATGACTTAGTTCTTTTCTTGTCTTCAGGCAAAGGTGAAAAATAGGCAGTGCTCCTAGAAGGATCTGAAAAAATTTTCCTTACAGAGATAGAAAGAACGTAGAAAGAGAAAAAATGGTGCTGAATCATAGGATCCTGAAAAGGAGTTAGGAGAAATAAGGATCCGACTGTTTGCATTCCTTGGAAGAATCTTCCAGGACTGAGGACTGGGAAACATGTGAGTTGAGCATGGACAGGAAGGCTGGTGGTCAGGCCATTCTTGGTCAGGATGCTTACGTGACACTTACCCCAGGAGGATCCCTACTGCACAGTCATGCCTGTCTAAGACAAAAGCACACCTCAAACTGATAAATATACATGAACACACCTCAAACCTGAACGGAAGCTCATCAAAGAAGAGAGCTAATTACAGTGCTAGTTATTTACATAATTTAGATGACAATCTTGAAAACAGAGTTATACTTCAGAGATTCATTACTTTAATCAGGTTGCAAGTAATGAAAAATAACACAGATCGAGCCAGGCTGATTTGCGTGAGCATTAAACATATAGGTCAGTATCTATACATAGAGCAAAATGCCAGAGATTGCAAGTTATCTTAGAGTCATTCTAGGATAAATGGGGTAATGGATCAAAACAGAAAGTATGAAAAATAAAAATTGATCAGGACAGTTATTTGAATGTGGACTTAGATGGCTCTGTAACTGCTTTAATCAAAGTATATAGCTGTTGCATAAAAGAGTATATCTTAGTGAAAGCTTAGTGGGTGGGAACATGGCATGAATAAAGGATTTTATTACCATAAAACCATAAAATTCAATTTTATGCAAAAATAAAAATGACAGGCAATATAAAAATTGGGCTATCCAAGAAAGAGTATCCCACAGATATAATCTACTTTTGGGTTGGCTCTGGACAGTTTGATTGCTTCAGTGGGAGGTAACTAACTGACTACATGGAGTGACTTGCTCTTTCTCTGGAGGTTTTGTCCCGCCTCCAGACTTACATACATGTTGTTCTTCTGCCTGCAGTACCCCACCTGCTCTTGTCAGCAAACACATATTCGGCCTTCAGTGCAGAGTGGAAGGCAATCTGGTAGCACAGTAGAAAGAGGGCTTTGGCCTTGGACTCCCAGTTTAGCCATTGTCTGGGTGGCTGGTCTTGAGCAGTTTACTTAACTTCTCTAATCCTCTGTCCCCTGCAACCTCCAATAGGTAACATAGCATTAGTCCCCCATCAATGATCTCCTTTGTCGTTTTTGCTTTCCTTATCACTATTATAGCATTCACAATTATAGACTACTTGCTGTTTATGTGGATGTAGCATTTGGCTTGCAGTCAGAAGTCTTGAGTTCAAATTCCAGAGCTGCAAGTTACTGGTTAAGCTTCAGTTTCCTCAGCCTGTTGTCCCAGCCTGAGCAACATAGTGAGACCCCCATCTCTACAAAAAATAAAATAAAATAAATTTACCTGGGCATGGTGCACGCCTGCAGTCCCAGCTACTAGGGAGGCTTAGCTGGAAGGATCACTTGAGCCCAGAAGATCAAGATGGCAGTGAACCATGATTACACCACTTTGCTCCAGCCTGGCCAACAGAGCAAGGCCCTGTCTCAAGAATAAAATAAAATAAAATAAAATAAAATAAAATAAAATAAAATAAAGTAAAATGATGGTAAAGCCTGTCGAGGCAAAGACTGACCACTGATCACCAAACCTGTCATAGCTGGTCATGTGACTGAGTAGAGCCAATAGAATATAAGCAGGGATTATGAGGGCCACTGACAGTTCCTGGCCCTTAAAAGCCCTCCCTGCTTCCAATCCTGACAATTTAAGGTAGTTGAGAACTGTAACCTAATAAGCCACGTCTTGAAGGCAACAGAGACACAAGATGGGGGAGTCTTAGCCCCTGACTCACCACTTGGGAGAGCTCATCCCTCCAGCCAAATAAGGAATATCCATTTTGGGCTTAATGTGAGTGAGACACAAGCATCTCTTGAGAGCTGGCAGTTTATCTGTTACAGCAGCTAGCATTACCTTAACTAATATATCAATACTATAGAATTGTTGTGAAGATTATAACATCACCTGGCAGGGTTCCTGGTACATAATAGGCCCTTAGCAATGTCTAATAAATGAATGGACCATTATGTTCTCCAAAAGAGAAAATAGAATTAATATATATAATGATGTCCCCCATGCTAAGCCAAGTTTATTTTTTTTTTCTGTCAAGTTAGATACACATAATTGGGATTCCTCAGAGGTTTGTAAGGATGGTACTCTCTTGTGGCTAAATTAGTATAACTTGTAATCAAATTTCTCACAGATTTCCAGAATATTGGTGCTGAATGGGATCTTAGCAAGCAAGTCACACACACAACTTTCTCATTTCACAGATGAGAAGACAAAGGCTTAGAGAGGGTAATTACTCTTGGGTAATCAGGGGCAGAGCAAGGGCTTTTAATTATTTTCACAATAATAGAGAGATTTTGTGATTGCCAAAGTTACAAATGATTGTGGCTTAAAATTGAGAAAATAGAAAAGTTTTATTTGATGGAGAAAATAAGATTAACTCTCGAGTAGCCAGGGGTTATGTTTTCAATCTTTTATCTATATATGTTGTGTAGAGTTTAACAGAGATCATGGTGTTTACACAATTTTAACTACTGGGCACCAAAACTTGACCCTGGGCCTCAGGGAGAATTGGGGCTCCCTGGGCCACTCTTAGAGGCTGAGATCTCAGAATAGGATTGCCATGACTGCTTTGACAAAAATGACATCTCATAGGGTGAGAGAATTCCTACTTTCTACTTGAGGAGGTCGGGGTGGAAGGCAGGGGTGGTGAGAGTTGGAGCCTGCGTGTTCGGGGTCAAGCCCTCTATTCAGCCTGGTGCTTTGCAACTCCTGCCTGAGTGGCAGGCTTTTTGTCCAGAGGGCCCAGATAGAGTCTCAGGCGTGCGGCTTTCAAAGCCAGGAAGCTGGAACTGTGGCTTCAAGGCTGGGAGCTTCCCCTGCCTACTTTCCTAGCAACTCTCAAACAGTTCTCCCCTCAGTTATCCTGAATGGTGACTTTTGGGAACTGAGCACTTCTTTTGGCTATAAAGTGAATTCTTCCCGATGGTAATTTGTTAATAACTTCAATAAACCCTAAGCAGGTATTATTCTGTCACAGGTCCCCTTTGGTCCTCAAGATGGTGGATACATCTGGAGAAACCGCCAAGGGAGAGGGCAGAGGGAGGCCCTAACCCCTGGCAAAGGGTGGTTAATGGCCTCTCTGGCAGAGGAATCCTGCCCTCACTACCATGGCACCTCCCAATTAGCCTATGAGGGTCAGCAGTGCTGCTTTGGTCACAGAGGAAACCACGGACTGACGTTTAGTGACAAGAAGGAGGTTTGTTTCATGGAGAGCAGATTTGGGGTCCTGCGGCTCTCTGGGTTTCATTAACACCTTGGGCCTCATGACTGCTCCCTAAGTGACAGAGCTTAATATTCAAGGATAGTGTGATGGAAAATTGAGCCTGGCTTCTTTATGCCATCATGAATGTCTTGTTTCCTCCACTTTTTCTTTCTGTCTGAACATCCCCCTCCCACTGACTCCACTTTCCTTGACAGCTGTTGTCTCAGACTTAGTGTCTACAATGATGTAGGACATATCTGTAGCCCATACAAAGATGAGCTGCCATGTGGCTCTTCCTCAGCATGGAGTCACATTCAAAGTACAATCTATCACTTCAAAATACTTAAAAGTAACTCGAGTCTTCACTATAGCTTATTGAGAAAATGCTGAAGATACATACCAGTTGTAATGCACAGAAAACTAGAAATTCTTTCTCTCCTTCCCCCATACCCAATACAGCAGCTTCTCCCTACCCTACTGCAGTCTCTCTCCTTCCTTCCTCCTCTTGTTTTCCTAACCAGTAGGTGGGGGCCTGGCCCCGCATTCCCTGCTCTTTTACATATATACTCTCTGCTCTTTCTGAAACAAACCTAGCCCAGCTTTGAGGTTCTCCCCCACACAGCTTCTGTTATGTTCTTAGAAAAAGCCCAGAGCTCTCTCAGGCAGGGAAGAGGGCAAGGCTCTGAATATTTATATGTTAATATTTTTCCTTGTCTCATAGCTTAAATTCTTCCCTTCAGTTTTAGTTGTGTTTTATTGCAACACAGCTTCATTTCCATGATGGATGTCTTTGCAGGGGGTCTGCTTAGACATGGATCAGGCTCGCAGAACGGAATAAATAAGGCGGTGACTGACTTCAAGACATTGAGAACAAAAGCCCATGGCACACAACAGGAGCTAGTGAGTTGCTTCCAAAACCATTTGGACAGTTCCCTTTTGCCTCCAGAGTTATTTTTCCTTTTGCTCTCCTCTTTATTTATTTTCTTCCCCCATTCTCCCTTTTCTGTCCTTTCCGCCCTCCCAAGCTGTCAACAACAGCTCCCCTAGACTCTGCCTAGCACAGAATTTTGCTGACTTCTGAGAAATTCAAGAGGCAAACCTGCAGGGCAAAGAAAGTGAGTATAAATGTATACTGAATTTCATAGACAGGGAAAGGGAAACCCACCCTCACCTCCTGCAACTGGAAGTTAACACTTCCAGCCAAAGAGAAATGTGAAAATGAAGCCTTCACAGTATTGCAGACAAAGGAGAATGGATATCGTGCTTTTAATTGGTAAATGTGACACTGTCTCCCATGAGGATTGGAGTGGGATGGTGGTGACGGAGAGAGGGAAATGGCTCAGAGTAAAAAAGAAAAAATCAGACAGGGCGATTTTATGTGAAAAATGTAACTGTAGATGACATGATCACTTTCTTGGTACAGGAGGGATTAAACCACTTAGAAAGCATCTGTAAGGAGAGGTGGGATGGGAATACCAGGTCAAATGCTGCCCGAGGCACGTTTGAGGTCAGAAACATACTGGTCTGGGTCAGCCCCCAGTTTGCACATGGCAGCTTCCTCTAACTACGAACATAGCAGCTGTCTGATAATCACTGGCTATTGATTGACTAATTAATTAAACATATTCATGGTGTCATTTTAGGAAACTTGGGAAAAGAAAGGAGTGTTGCAGGGAGATCTGAAGCAAAGAAGAGCAGTTGGGAAGAAGCACATAGAATCTGTCTCCCTGCGCTCTGGGAAACGATTGCTCTCCTTTTGTAGCTGTAGCCACCACCATGCATCCCCTTCAAAGGGGTTTCCTCTGCTGTTGAGCAAAGTGGCCTGCCCCCCATTTCCCCAGGTTCTGCTGGCTAAGTTCACTTCTAGCCCCTCCATGCCCCTCTACCTCTGCCTCAGCATGTCCATGACAAGGACAGAAGCAAGCTGTGGTCTCAGGCCCCAACTGCCTCCCTCCTCTCCCACATTCAGAGGCAGTACCTACCATGGACAGCGGCTTTTGTCAGCGGCTGCCCACACTGGAAACTGAAGCATGACACCTCAAGCCTAAAAACCTTTCCTCATTAACACTTCCTCCTAAAGCACACTGCTGGCATCATCATAGGCATGCAAGCCATTTGCAGCCCAGGTGAATGAGGAGTTTTGGCTCCTCTTTATGTGAAACTATCTTTGTCATAAGGCTGGCTTGACAACAGTGAGATTTCCCAGTGAGGCTGTTCCCAGTTCCATTATGCCACTTGTCTTTGTAGCAAAAATGTGTTGTGCGCTTATTACATGCTTATGGGGCTAAGTGCTGAGACTAAAAAAGGTGAACCAGATCGCTTCCTGGCCTTTAGAAGTTCAGAGTCCAGACACCAATTCAAATTATTGCAATACCAATTCATGGCACCAGGTCTAATGTCGGCTCTGTTTAACAGGCTCCAGCCCTTCCAGGGCCTAAGATGAGAAAGGAGGACAAGCACTCCAGGCTGATGGGTGCCCTTTCTCCTTCCTCGAGACAGTTGATCTTATTTTTAGTTAATTTTGTCACTCTTAACCTTATTTTGCCATCTTGAAATTTTACCATCAGCTCCTCCCTTGCCTTTGCTCCCTCACATACAATCACCAAATTTGTTGGTTCCACCTCAGACATGTTTTTGGACTCTCTCCCATATCCTCCAACCCCTGGCCCCTCTTCCTTCCTGGCCTTGAAAGCTGACAGTGGTCAAGTGCCCAACTGGTCTCCTTGCCCCCAGGCTCTCCCTCCTCAGTCCTTCTGCCATCCTGCCTACATGGTTATTTTCCTAAAATACAAATCAGATTGCATCACTCCTCACTTAGAGACAATCACCGACTCTCAGCTTTCAGCGTGACTGGGCTTTGCACCATCTGCAGACACTTGGTGGAGGAGGGGGTATTAATGGCATTGCCTGGCCTAGGGAGAAATGTGAATGGAAGGGAAGGGGACTCAACCTCAGAACAGGATGGGCAACGGCAGGGCTCCCATCATGATTGCACATTGAGACCACCTGGGAGAGCTTTGATGCCCACAGATGCCAGAGCTGTTTCACCTCCCCACCACCCCCAGCCATTGGATTTGAGTCTGAAGGTGAGATCTGAGCACCTGTAGATTTATAAAGCTCCCTGGGATGAGTCCTGTCACAAGCCACTGTGCTGGGGACCTCAGCAGGCTCTGCATTTTGGGATGGATTATGTGCTTTGAAAAGGCACCCTCACATCAGCTCCACCTCATGGAAAGGGAGGTACCCTTGTCTCTCCATGGTCTTTTGGCTCATGGTCCCAAACCAAACAGTGACTGGTGGCCCATGAGTCCATCCCAGCCCTGATTTTGGCTCTGCAGCTCCCCAAGCTCTATCCATCTGATCTAATTTACCAAAAGCCAGGCTGTTTCACAGATAATATAATGCTTAACCAATTCCTCAGTCTCAGCGTACTCTGTTCTCTATAGGGAGTTAATCTACAACATTTTAGTTGTTTCCTTAAAATAGCATAGTGGTATATTTTATGAGCACGACTTGAACCAAACACAATCTTTGTTTGCTTCAGGCTTGATTTGGAATACTTCTTGATGTTCTGGGTTTTGCAATACTTCAGCAGTATTAGAAAATATTTAGATTTGCTTCTAGTTAACTAGGTGCTCTTTTAGGGAGGTGGGGATAAATCTCGTTGATCTCGTAGTTCATTAAAAAGAGTATTGTCTTTTCCACTCAGGGTTCAGCAAATGTGTGTGTGTTTGGAGTGGGGGTGGTTTTATTTGATTATTGGCATTTTAATTTACTTCTTATTAGGAAACACACGTTTCCTTTGATGGTAACCACAACAGTGCTGCTACACTAAACTACTCCATGGCTACAAAAAATGACAAAGTGTCGGAAGCCTCCTATTTTCTTTGAGGATGGTAGATAAGCCAAAGACTTTTAAATTTTGTTTTGTTACATAAGTCTCTGCTACTGGCCTCAGGCTAGTCCAAACAGCCTCATTATTCAAGTCAGGGCCAGCCAGGCTTTAGGCGAGGCTGCCTGGGTGGAAACGTTCTGCTCCTTCGTCTCCGTCCTCCGCACTTCATTGTGCACCGCCCCCTGCACGATCCAAGCCTAAAAATACCCCAGTTGTCCACAGAGCCTCGTCTCTGCTGGCCTTGCCTCTTAATGCAAGAGGCAAGTTCTGTCTTCATTGCCTTGCCCCTTCCCCCACCTCTTTCACCCATTTTTCCCACCTAATAATTATAAAGAAAACCATTAGCCATGAAACCTTCCCCTCCCCCCTTGCTCTTTTATCTACTTAAATATCCTTGACTGCGAGACATCGAGTACAGCACATTTATTAATTTTTAATCTGTCTCTTCTTGTGGTTACTGTGTTCCAGGGACTGAAGGACCTCGAACAATGGTCTCTGAAACCTTGGGCTGAACCTCTTTTGTTGTAGGCAGGGAGGTAGCTGAGGGCATAATGGAGTCTGATCAAATAAATATCTGTTATCTGAAATAGCCTGTTCAAGGTGAATATGGATTTTCATCACATTAAACTCAAGCTGGTGAGACAGGGTTTTGGGCCTGAATATTATTAGCAAACAGAAAAATAAATTTTGAGAGATGATAAACTGAAAGAATTATTCCTCGTGGGAGAGCTGTTCTGGAGGCAGCCCAGAGGACTCTGAGGGCAGACAGCTGCAGAACCACAGGGCCCCCTCATTGCTGGATCAGAGGAAGGAAGTCCAGGGAGGGCCTTATGGAGAAGCTCTTATGTGCTATTGGTGTTCCTGGGGGGCCTGCCACAACCCACTTCTCCTTTTGCAGTGCACACTCTCCTTGGAGGATCTGATCCACTCTACCCCTAACTGTCTGTGCCTCCCACAACTGGTTCTCCAACCTGCTTTCTCTTCTGAGCTGCAGAACCACATATGCAGTGGCTCCTGGGAATCCCCAGGAGGGAATCCCCAGGTAGTTCCAGAACAGAATTCACTCTCCAGACATCCCAGTCCTGCTTCAAGCATGCCCTTCTCCTGAGCATTCCTCTAATAATGGATGGTACCATTGCCTATCCATATTCATAGGCTGGGGACCTCGAAGCCTTCCTTGGTTTATTTTCTCCACTATTTTGCCCAACAATTTGGCTGTGAAGACTCCTAATTGTGTCTCAGACGCATCTCTCGAGTCCATCTGAACCCTCTGTTGTAGTTCATTCATTTTCCTTCCCTTGCCTGGAAGGGCAAATGCCTTCCAGCCGAGCTTTTCAACCTGTACACATGTTGCACTCTGGCCTGTCTGTACGCTACCATAAAGTTCCACAGCACATGTCCCATCAGGCCACGGATGAAAAACCTCCCAGGCTCTTAGAAGTCTACAGAATAAGGTCTAAACTCGTCTTCACAGCTTCTCAGACTCTTCACAGTCTGGTTCCAACCTGCTTTCTTAGCCTTATCTTCCAGCCTCAACCAGCTGCGCACTCTGTTGTCTACTTGCTGAGCTCACACAGCTCCCTAGATTCAAGTTTCTCCTACCTGTCACTTGAATTCGTACAATGGCTGATATGGTTTGGTTCTGTGTCCCCACCCAAATCTCATGTCAAATTGTAATCCCCACATGACAGGGGAGAGACCTGGTGGGAGGTAATTGAATCATGGGGGTGGATTTCCCCCAGCTGTTCTCGTGATAGTGAGTGAGTTCTCACAAGATCTGATGGTTTAAAAGTGTGGCACTTCCCCCTTCATTCTCTCTTTCCTGCTGCCATGTAAGACATGTCTTGCTTTCCCTTTGCCTTCTGCCATGATTTTAAGTTTCCTGAGGCCTCCCCAGCCACGCTGAACTGTGAGTCAATTAAACCTCTTTTCTTCATATGTTACATAGTCTCACGTAGTTCTTTATAGCAGTATGAAAATGGACTAATACAATGTGCCTACTTCATGCTAAGCAATGTGTTACGCACCATGGATTCAGAGAGAAGTGAGGCATAGCTCCTGGAAGGGCTCAGCCCCCGAAAGGGGAATACCCAAGAATAAAGATAATTGTAAGGAACACCAGGAAAGAGATAGGAACAGTCTGTAGGACTTCACTCAAGGGAGCTCATCGTTATTCCTGAGAGGGCCAGAGAAGGATTCTAGAGGAGTTAGCTGTTAAACTAAGACTTGAAAGACAAGTGCAGCCTGGGTCCAGTGGTTCACACCTCTAATTCCTGCACTTTGGGAGGTCAAGGTGGGCAGATCACTTGAGCTCAGGAGTTTGAGACCAGCCTGGGCAACATGGTGAAACCCTGTCTCTAAAAAAAAAAAAAAAAAAAAATACAAAAATTAGCCAGGCGCAGTGGTGTGTGCCTGTAGTCCCAGTTACTCAGGAGGCTGACGCAGGAGAATTGCTTGAGCCCAGGAGGCAGAGGTTGCAGTGAGCTGAGACTGCACCACTACACTCCAGCCTGAGTGAAACCCTATCAAAAAAAAAAAAAAAAGAGAGAGAGAAAGAAAGAAAGGAAGAAAAATAAGTGCAGAGGAAACAACCTAGGTAAAGGCACAGAATTATGAGATGGCAAAGCATGCCCTTGGAATGGTGAACAGGTCCACACGGCTGGAGTAGAGGGTGCCCAGGAGAGCAGAGTAGGAAATGAGGCTAGGGAGGGGGCTGGGGAAGGAGGAAGCACTGTGTATGTCAGGTTACAATGTTTGTACTTCCATTTCTATTCTTATTCACAATGAAAATGTGTTATCCGTATTCGTTTCCTGTGGCTGCTGTAACAAGTTACCACAAACTGGATGGCTCGACACAATAGGAATTGATTCTTTCACAGTAGTGGAGGCCAGAAGTTCAAAATCAAGGTGTTGGCAGGGTTGGTTCCTACTGGAGGCTGTAAGGGAGAACCTGCTCCATGTCTCTCTCCTAACTTCTGCTGGTTGCTGGCAATCCTTGGTGTTCTTTGTCTTGGAGATCCATCACCCCCACATCTGCCTGTCTTCACCCAGTATTCTCTGCTGTGTGCCTATGTCTAATGCCTGTCTTCCTGTAAGGATATCCTTCATTGGATTCGGATTCATCCTAGATCAATACAAGCTCACGTTACCTTAATTACATCTGCAAAGACTCTATTTTCAAATAAGGTCACGTCATCATCACCAGGAGTTAGGACGTGAACCTATCTTTTGGGGGAACACAGTGTAACCCACAACACCATCCTTGACGCCAACTACATAAGTGTTTTAATAAGGTGCATTAGTTCAGTTCAAAAGGTATCTATGGAGTGCTTGCTCCATGCCAGGTGCCCTTCAGTGGCACCAGGCATTGAGAGTAGATGTGGGACAAGCACCTTCACACAACGAGCTGGTTCATATAATGCAAGGTTCTTGATTTAATGAATCCAACCAGCACTGGAGTGTCTACTACAAGGTGAGCGATCCTGCTCTGTATTTCTCAGGACAGCCTTGGTTTATGCCAGTTGTCCTAGTATCCCATCGAGTTAGCCCCCACTCTCACTCTCATTCCTGATTTGAATGATACTTTTTATGGTTCCTAACAATAAGGGAGCTACTGTGTCAGGTGATGGAGATACAAAAGTGAAAGGGTGGGGATGGAGGGGTCCCTGCCCTCAAGGTCACAGCAGGAGGGAAGTAAAGAAGCAGGAGGGAAGTAAACAAGCATTTATAGTTCAGCATAACAAATACTCACCTTAGGCAGTGACAGGATGCCACAATAGCGCATAGGGGTTTCAACTGGAGGGTTCTTGTCAATTCATTGAAAATCAATTTAATGAAGAACTGGCTTACCTCAAACTGACAGAGAAAAAAACTTCTTCTAAGTCTAGGAGAGCTGGCTTGAGTGGCATTGCTCTGTGACCCTGCTTAGAGGAACCTCTCTCTCTCACCTTCTTCCTTTCTTAGTGTGGCCAAGAGCTGGGGTTGGGGTTGGGGGCATTTGAGCAGATGAAGCAGGACAGACATGCTGTGGAGCCAGCCTCAGCAGCAAAAGGCTATTGCTGTGGAGGGCCAAGGCCTCTGCCTATCTCTCTACAGGCTGGAGATATCAAAACTAAATATTGGGGCAAAAATCTCCAAAATCTGTTGAAACCACCTATGCACCAATATGGCTATAATCTCTGGAGATGGTTTGTGGACATTTTTGATAACTTGATAAGTTAGCAAATTAGCTTTTGGTAAACTGTTTTTTTGTTTGTTTGTTGTTGTGGCCTCTTAGTAGTGGAGCCCAGAAGTTCAAAATCAAGGTATTGGCAGGGTTGGCTCCTACTGGAGGCTGTAAGGGAGACCCTGCTCCATGTTTCTCTCCTAACTTCTACTTGTTTTTTTTTTTGTTGTTTTTTGTTTTTGCTTCTTTGTTTTTTGTTTTTGAGAACTGACTTTTGGAAAGTGGTAGGTTCAGGTCATTGGATATCAATAAAGAAAATATGGGACATTTGAGGCAAAATGGTTAAAAAGCTCAGACCATGGGTGCAGTTGAGCTGAGTTGGAATTCTGGCACTTTTATTTAATAGCTGTGTGACATGGCAGTCAGTTAACTTCCTGGAGATTGTTTCCCAAACTGGGAGAGCACTGTCTAAAGTTTTTAGAAGATTGAATTTGCTGCTATTTGTAAAGGCTCTTCATAGAATGCCAGGTTCAGAGCACATGGCAGTTGTTATTAACATTATTATTGTCTTACTAGATCAGTGTTTCCAATCCCAAATTATTGGCTGGCCAGTGCCTGAGGATGCCAGGGGCCTCAGCTGTTGCTGGGAGAGGGCTCAGGAGGGGAGACAGAATGAAGATGTGCAGTCATCCCATTGCTAGCTCTCTTTGTTACTGCGATGGGATATCCATACCTTGAAAAACATCTAAGGAGACTTCCTGTGTGAACCTGGGGGGACTAGTCCCAGCCCTAGAGATCCTGGCTTAGTTGGTCTGGGATGGCCTGGTTGTCAGGGTGGTAAACTTTTCCTCTGGTGATTCTGATATGCCGCAGAGCCTAAGAACCACCATACTACACCTAAGGGGCTTTGTCTGTCTGCCTCTCCATTTAGAGTGGGTCCATTCTAGGGTGGGGTGAGAAACATGTTGTTCCCTGCCCCTGGCCCCGAAACGGCTGGGAGAACCAGAAACTCGAGGGGTCAGTTTCAAACCTGATGCTGTTCAGGGCTGTTTGCAATGGATGAGGAGCAGAAGGGTTCGGGAGAGTACTCGACGCACAATACTCAGACCTCTCAGAGGGAGAGCTTGGCTTCCTCCTGCAGAACTGTGTTAAGAAGAAAATTCTCTCTTGGTTAGGTACAAAATGTTTGCCTTCTGAGGAGATAAATATGGCCTTTCACAGCAAGTGGAGAGCCTGTGCTCAGGCGCTTACAACAAACAAGCAGAGGTCATAGCATTCTGGTCTCAGATTTCAGCGATCTCGGTCTCTCGGGTTCCCCAAATTTCTCTTTTTCCTCCTTGGTGGTAATGCTCTCTGGACCCATAGCCTGAGGGCGAGTTAGAGGAGGGAGAGGGCCCTGTGCCTTCTAAATCCTCTGGGGCACCCAGCAGCCAAGTGTTAGGGCCCAGCTAAGCCAGTGTCAGTGCCTGAGCTGGAGAAGGCTGCAGCAAAGTCTGCCCTGAAGAAGAGGCCAGTGGGAACAGAGAAATAAAATCCTCCCTCTCCTTCCTTCCTGCCTGCCTGCCTGCCTGCCTGCCTTTCCTCCCTCCCTCCCTCTCCTTCCTTCCTTCTTTCCTCCCTTCTTTTGTTCCTCACTTCCCTTCCTTCCTTCCCTCCCTCCTTACCTTCTTTCTGATTCACGGCAGGATGAGAGTGTCTCCAAATGCAAGGTAATGCTACCTTTTACTTTGTAGCACTTGTGGCTTGATCTTTGGACTCCAGGGGTA
Organism: Homo sapiens; assembly: GCF_000001405.40. NCBI lineage: Eukaryota > Metazoa > Chordata > Mammalia > Primates > Hominidae > Homo > Homo sapiens. Next base: position 88,530,468 of record NC_000006.12, on the reverse strand, counting down.
CTTAGGAAGATGAAATCAATTCCACTGAAATCTCCTTTCTTCCTCAGGCTTCTTACCTGCTCACTAAGACAAGTTCTTTTGTAAGAGGGAGGTTTTAAAAGTCTGTTAAAGGACATTACCAAGAAGGCAGACCTATGAATTTACAGCCTTTTGGGATCCTCCTAACACTGTGCACTCCATGAACTTCTTTGGATGGTAGCTCAGAAGGTGGGATTATTCTTCTTATGGGATCTCAGCTGCTTTGATAGATCAGTAGCATAAAAAATGGGGTCACATAGGGTAAAAGAATGAGAGGAATGAGGCAGACCTCAAGCGGGGCCTGGGAGATTGGAGTTACCTGCCATGTCTTTTTATTTAATTTTTCTTCAAAACAGCTCTACATGGTGAATTGGTACCTGACCTTCTTTCATAAGAGGGAAAACTGGGGCATGGAACTTGTCAGTGAAGCTCAGCATGCTACAAGAGCATCTTGGTTTGTCCTAGTTGAGGACTGGAAAATCTCAATCTCTAGTCAACAAATGGTGAGTTCTCTCTCGGCGGCTGCAATCAAAATGCCAGCTTAGTCAGGGCTGCATCCCCGGCAGGTTGATAACCAGTCCACCCGGGGCCTGCCTGTGCACACAGACACACTCTCCACCATGAGGCACAGACAGACCCTTGTTGTTTGTCTGCCTTTATGACATAAATCTCAGAGAAATAGCCAACATCAGACAGAAAAGACTTCAGAAAGGGGATTTTCTAAAACATGTAGATACTGGAGAGAATAAGCCCAGTGTCATTTTTATGGCAGGGCTCTCCACAACAAAGAAAACAAAGAGCTAAGGTTTTTAAATTTTTTATTTATTTATTTATCTGTGCTTATTTGACCATGCTTTCTCTGGTCTTATTTCTTGCTGGCCATGCCTCAGAGTGTTCCTACCCAGGGATGGCCTGCTTCTGAAGAGGCACAGTGATTTGGCATAGCCCGCAAGAGCAAGCATCAGCCTGGGAAGAGGACTGATCCCACACCCACCCACCCACCCACTCATTTATTCAGTGCTCTACATATCGCCAAGTGCCTTCTATGTGTCAGGCAAGGCTGAGACCTGGCTCCCACTCATGGCTGCTAGGTGGTGAAAACTCAGCTTCTTCGCCCCGTAGAATGGTCAGGAAGAGCCCCGTGCAGCCCCATTGAGAAGGGGCAGGATGAAGGAGCTGCTTCCTCATAATGACATTGTCCAAGAATGACCATGCTCTTCAATGATGCTCCATCCAGCCCGGCATTGTGCAGCTATGTGGATGTTATTATTCTATCTTGTGAAAGGACACGGTGAATGCTGGAATCAGTGAATCATCCGAAGAAATGAGAGGTGGAGTGGCTGGGCGGGTGGAGCCACCGAGCTAGAGATGTCCTTTGTCCTCACAGGCAGCTTTGGCCGTAGTACTGGGTTTGAAGGGAAGTGGAAGTGACACGTACCACCTCTAGGCCATGGCCTTATGACACTGGGCACTTGCTCCTCTATCCTCTCATCTCCCTTCCTGTGGGCTGTGATGGATGGGCAGTGTGACCCAGACTTCGTCATGCCTGTGAGGCTAACACTGGGGATGCCAGGACCTGAGATGGAGAACCTGGGTCCCCAAAGAGTGTGTGAAGTGGAACCTGCCGCCAGTCTAGACTGCTCACCTCTGCTGTGTGTGAGGCAAACACACTTCTGTCTTATTTAAGCCACTGACCTCTTGGGCCACTGTTACAGCAACTTAGCCTTTGCCCTACTAATATAAAGGGGTGAAAGAGCAGCTCTCTCTTCCTTTTCTGAGTTTAGAACCAATTAAGAGAAGAATAGTGGACCCAGAAAGATGCAGAGCAAAATACTGTGTCTGTTACTGCTAACACTGGGCTGGAAAATGCAGCATTGCAGCTGTGGCCATGCAGGCTTGCTAATACCTTGCTTTTGAGTTAGACCTACCTGCCTAGTCCCTGTCGCAGCTGACAGCTGCTGGTACTGGGGGCATATGAAGGGGAAGAAATGGTGCCTCCAGGAAGGAGAGAAGAGGCTGAGCCAAGGAGCCTTGTTTTTTCCCTCCCAAACTCACCAATCAGATAGATCTTTTCTCCTCTTCTGGGCAGAGTAGGAGAGGCAGGTGGGGAGAGGTGAGGAGGCTACCATAGTCAAAGGCCTCTCCCAGAATGTGAAGAATGGTGAGCCCCCCTCACATGACAAATGCCCTGAAGTGGGCACTGGTGGGGCTGCTACCAAGGCCCCTGTGCAGGAGTTAGACCACTGAGCATTCTCTAATCTTGGGTGAATCTGCTGGAGGGTTTCAAACAGGGGTTTGGGATGGGTCATCATCAAATAGTTTCATGAAAATCAACTCTGTTCCTCCATTTCTGATGACTTATCTGTGAGCACGCTGGCATGTGTGGGGCACAAAGAGTTCCAGGTGTGCAGATGGGTGTGCATATTTCCGTGGAGGGTTGAATGCAAGAAGGAGCAGGTCTTCTCATTTCTTAGATCAGTGAGTTTTTGAGAAGTGTGAATCTCTACCTGTTTTGTTTTTCATTTCAGGAGCCCAGATACATTTAATACTTTTGGTACTGGGGCTATTGATAAAGACGAACATCTTTCTAGGGCTAATGAAGAGCAAGCTCGCAGGCCCTGCACATGTTCAGGCCTCAGCATCTCTAAACCAGAGGTTGTGCAGCCCTGGAACTGGTTTCCCTGTCTCTGCTATCTACCCTCTTTAACACAGTGGTAGCAGAGTGTCCTTCTAAGACCAGGTCTGATGGTATTCACCTTCTCCAAAACCTCTAAGGGCTTTCCATGTCCTAAAACATGAAGTACAAATCTCTTGTGTGGCATTAAAAGCCTGCCCTGATCTGGCCTCAAAGGACATTTCCAGCAATAATTCCCCTTGGCCCACTTTAAGTTTTGCTCCACACTCTACTCAAGCTGAAGTACCTTCCCTCCCTCCCTCCCCTTCTTTCCTTCTTTCCTTCCCTCCCTCAGCATTGGGAAAGACCTCAACATCTTGGATTATGTGATAGTCTCCTAAGGGGTCTCACTGCTTCTACTTTGACCCCCCTACTGTCTATTCTTACCTCAGCAACCAGACCAATCCTATTTAAAACCTAAGCCAGGGGGAGGAGCCAAGATGGCCGAATAAGAACAGCTCCAGTCTACAGCTCCCAGCATGAGCGAAGCAGAAGACGGGTGATTTCTACATTTCCATCTGAGGTACTGGGTTCATCTCACTAGGAAGTGCCAGACAGTGGGCGCAGGTCAGTGGGTGCAGTGCACCGTGCGCGATCGGAAGCAGGGTGAGGCATTGCCTCACTTGGTAAGCACAAGGGGTCAGGGAGTTCCCTTTCCTAGTCAAAGAAAGGGGTGACAGATGGCACCTGGAAAATCGGGTCACTCCCACCTGAATACTGCGCTTTTCCAACGGGCTTAAAAGATGGCGCACCAGGAGATTATATCCCACACCTGGCTCAGAGGGTCCTACGCCCACGGAGTCTCGCTGATTGCTAGCACAGCAGTCTGAGATTAAACGGCAAGGTGGCAGTGAGGCTGGGGGAGGGGCGCCCACCATTGCCCAGGCTTGCTTAGGTAAACAAAGCAGCCAGAAAGCTCCAACTTGGTGGACCCCACCACAGCTCAAGGAGGCCTGCCTGCCTCTGTAGGCTTCACTTCTGGGGGCAGGGCACAGACAAACAAAAAGACAGCAGTAACCTCTGCAGACTTAAATGTCCCTGTCTGACAGCTTTGAAGAGAGCAGTGGTTCTCCCAGCATGCAGCTGGAGATCTGAGAATGGGCAGACTGCCTCCTCAAGTGGGTCCCTGACCCCTGACCCCTGAGCAGCCTAACTGGGAGGCACCCCCCAGTAGGGGCAGACTGACAACTCACACGGCTGGGTACTCCTCTGAGACAAAACTTCCAGAGGAACAATCAGACAGCAGCATTCGCAGTTCATGAAAAACCACTGTTCTGCAGACACCACTGCTGATACCCAGGCAAACAAGGTCTGGAGTGGACCTCTAGCAAACTCCAACAGACCTGCAGCTGAGGGTCCTGTCTGTTAGAAGGAAAACTAACAAACAGAAAGGACATCCACACCAAAAACCCATCTGTACATCAGCATCATTAAAGACCAAAAGTAGATAAAACCACAAAGATGGGGAAAAAACAGAGCAGAAAAACTGGAAACTCTAAAAAGCAGAGCACTTCTCCTCCTTTGTTCCTCACCAGCAATGGAACAAAGCTGGACGGAGAATGACTTTGATGAGTTGAGAGAAGAAGGCTTCAGACGATCAAACTACGAGCTACAGGAGGAAATTCAAATCAAAGGCAAAGAAGTTAAAAACTTTGAAAAAAATTTAGATGAATGTATAACTAGAATAACCAATACAGAGAAGTGCTTAGAGGACCTGATGGAGCTGAAAGCCAAGGCAAGAGAACTATGTGAAGAATGCAGAAGCCTCAGGAGCAGATGCGATCAACTGGAAGAAAGGGTATCAGTGATGGAAGATGAAATGAATGAAATGAAGCAAGAAGGGAAGTTTAGAGAAAAAAGAATAAAAAGAAATGAACAAAGCCTCCAAGAAATATGGGACTATGTCAAAAGACCAAATCTACATCTGATTGGTGTACCTGAAAGTGACGGGGAGAATGGAACCAAGTTGGAAAACACTCTGCAGGATATTATCCAGGAGAACTTCCCCCATCTAGGAAGGCAGGCCAACATTCAGATTCAGGAAATACAGAGAATGCCACAAAGATACTCCTTGAGAAGAGCAACTCCAAGACACATAATTTTCAGATTCACCAAAGTTGAAATGAAGGAAAAAGTGTTAAGGGCAACCAGAAAGAAAGTTCAGGTTACCCACAAAAGGAAGCCCATCAGACTAACAGTGGATCTCTCGGCAGAAACTCTACAAGCCAGAAGAGAGTGGGGGTCAATATTCAACATTCTTAAAGCCAAGAATTTTCAACCCAGAATTTCATATCCAGCCAAACTAAGCTTCATAAGTGAAGGAGAAATAAAATCCTTTACAGACAAGCAAATGCTGAGAGATTTTGTCACCACCAGACCTGCCCTAAAAGAGCTCCTGAAGGAAGCACTAAACATGGAAAGGAAAAACTGGTACCAGCCGCTGCAAAATCATGCCAAAATGTAAAGACCATCAAGACTAGGAAGAAACTGCATGAACTAACAAGCAAAATAACCAGCTAACATCATAATGGCAGGTTCAAATTCACACATAACAATATTAACTTTAAATGTAAATGGACTAAATGCTGCAATTAAAAGACACAAACTGGCAAATTGGATAAAGAGTCAAGACCCATCAGTATGTTGTATTCAGGAAACCCACCTCACATGCAGAGACACACATAGGCTCAAAATAAAAGGATGGAGGAAGATCTACCAAGCAAATGGAAAACAAAAAAAGGCAGGGGTTGCAATCCTAGTCTCTGATAAAACAGACTTTAAACCAACAAAGATCAAAAGAGACAAAGAAGGCCATTACATAATGGTAAAGGGATCAATTCAACAAGAAGAGCTAACTATCCTAAATATATACGCACCCAATCCACGAGCACCCAGATTCATAAAGCAAGTCCTGAGTGACCTACAAAGAGACTTAGACTCCCACACAATAGTAATGGGAGACTTTAACATCCCACTGTCAACATTAGGCGGATCAACGAGACAGAAAATCAACAAGGCTACCCAGGAATTGAACTCAGCTCTGCACCAAGCGGACCTAATAGACATCTACAGAACTCTCCACCCCAAATCAACAGAATATACATTTTTTTCAGCACCACACCACACCTATTCCAAAATTGACCACATAGTTGGAAGTAAAGCTCTCCTCAGCAAATGCAAAAGAACAGAAATTATAACAAACTATCTCTCAGACCACAGTGCAATCAAACTAGAACTCAGGATTGAGAAACTCACTCAAAACCGCTCAACTACATGGAAACTGAACAACCTGCTCCTGAATGACTACTGGGTACATAACGAAATGAAGGCAGAAATAAAGATGTTCTTTGAAAACAGTGAGAACAAAGACACAACATACCAGAATCTCTGGGACGCATTCAAAGCAGTGTGTAGAGGGAAATTTATAGCACTAAATGCCCACAAGAGAAAGCAGGAAAGATCCAAAATTGACACCCTAACATCACAATTAAAAGAACTAGAAAAGCAAGAGCAAACACATTCAAAAGCTAGCAGAAGGCAAGAAATAACTAAAATCAGAACAGACCTGAAGGAAATAGAGACACAAAAAACCCGTCAAAAAATTAATGAATCCAGGAGCTGGGTTTTTTGAAAGGATCAACAAAATTGATAGACCGCTAGCAAGACTAATCAAGAAAAAAAGAGAGAAGAATCAAATAGACACAATAAAAATGATAAAGGGGATATCACCACTGATCCCACAGAAATACAAACTACTATCAGAGAATACTACAAACATCTCTATGCAAATAAACTAGAAAATCTAGAAGAAATGGATAAATTCCTCAACACATACACTCTCCCAAGACTAAACCAGGAAGAAGTTGAATCTCTTAATAGACCAATAACAGGAGCTGAAATTGTGGCAATAATCAATAGCTTACCAACCAAAAAGAGTCCAGGACCAGATGGATTCACAGTCGAATTCTACCAGAGGTACAAGGAGGAACTGGTACCATTCCTTCTGAAACTATTCCAATCAATAGAAAAAGAGGGAATCCTCCCTAACTCATTTTATGAGGCCAGCATCATCCTGATACCAAAGCCGGGCAGAGACACAACCAAAAAAGAGAATTTTAGACCAATATCCTTGATGAACATTGATGCAAAAATCCTCAATAAAATACTGGGAAACCGAATCCACCAGCACATCAAAAAACTTATCCACCATGATCAAGTGGGCTTCATCCCTGGGATACAAGGCTGGTTCAATATACACAAATCAATAAATGTAATCCAGCATATAAACAGAACCAAAGACAAAAACCACATGATTATCTCAATAGATGCAGAAAAGGCCTTTGACAAAATTCAACAACCCTTCATGCTAAAAACTCTCAATAAATTAGGTATTGATGGGACGTATCTCAAAATAATAAGAGCTATCTATGACAAACCCACAGCCAATATCATACTGAATGGGCAAAAACTGGAAACATTCCCTTTGAAAACTGGCACAAGACAGGGATGCCCTCTCTCACCACTCCTATTCAACATAGTGTTGGAAGTTCTGGCCAGGGCAATTAGACGGGAGAAGGAAATAAAGGGTATTCAATTAGGAAAAGAGGAAGTCAAATTGTCCCTGTTTGCAGATGACATGATTGTATATCTAGAAAACCCCATTATCTCAGCCCAAAATCTCCTTAAGCTGATAAGCAACCTCAGCAAAGTCTCAGGATACAAAATCAATGTACAAAAATCACAAGCATTCTTATACACCAATAACAGACAAACAGAGAGCCAAATCATGAGTGAACTTCCATTCACAGTTGCTTCAAAGAGAATAAAATACCTAGGAATCCACCTTACAAGGGATGTGAAGGACCTCTTCAAGGAGAACTACAAACCACTGCTCAATGAAATTAAAGAGGATACAAACAAATGGAAGAACATTCCATGCTCATGGGCAGGAAGAATCAATATCGTGAAAATGGCCATACTGCCCAAGGTAATTTACAGATTCAATGCCATCCCCATCATGCTACCAATGACTTTCTTCACAGAATTGGAAAAAACTACTTTCAAGTTCATATGGAACCAAAAAAGAGCCTGCATTACCAAGTCAATCCTAAGCCAAAAGAACAAAGCTGGAGGCATCATGCTACCTGACTTCAAACTATACTACAAGGCTACAGTAACCAAAACAGCATGGTACTGGTACCAAAACAGAGATATAGATCCATGGAACAGAACAGAGCCCTCAGAAATAATGCCGCATATCTACAACTATCTGATCTTTGACAAACCTGAGAAAAACAACCAATGGGGAAAGGATTCCCTATTTAATAAATGGTGCAGGGAAAACTGGCTAGCCATAGGTAGAAGGCTGAAACTGGATCCCTTCCTTACACCTTATACAAAAATCAATTCAAGATGGATTAAAGACTTGAACATTAGACCTAAAACCATAAAAACCCTAGAAGAAAACCTAGGCATTACCATTCAGGACATAGGCATGGGCAAGGACTTCATGTCTAAAACACCAAAAGCAATGGCAACAAAAGCCAAAATTGACAAATGGGATCTAATTAAACTAAAGAGCTTCTGCACAGCAAAAGAAACTACCATCAGAGTGAACAGGCAACCTACAAAATGGGAGAAAATTTTTGCAACCTACTCATCTGACAAAGGGCTAATATCTAGAATCTACAATGAACTCCAACAAATTTACAAGAAAAAAACAACCCCATCAAAAAGTGGGCGAAGGACATGAACAGATACTTCTCAAAAGAAGACATTTATGCAGCTAAAAGACACATGAAAAAATGCTCACCATCACTGGCCATCAGAGAAATGCAAATCAAAACCACAATGAGATACCATCTCACACCAGTTAGAATGGTGATCATTAAAAGGTCAGGAAACAACAGGTGCTGGAGAGGATGTGGAGAAATAGGAACATTTTTACACTGTTGGTGGGACTGTAAACTAGTTCAACCATTGTGGAAGTCAGTGTGGCGATTCCTCAGGGATCTAGAACTAGAAATACCATTTGACCCAGCCATCCCATTACTGGGTATATACCCAAAGGACTATAAATCATGCTGCTATAAAGACACATGCACACGTATGTTTATTGCAGCACTATTCACAATAGCAAAGACTTGGAACCAACCCAAATGTCCAACAATGATAGACTAGATTAAGAAAATGTGGCACATATACACCATGGAATACTATGCAGCCATAAAAAATGATGAGTTCATGTCCTTTGTAGGGACATGGATGAAATTGGAAATCATCATTCTCAGTAAACTATCGCAAGAACAAAAAACCAAACACCGCATGTCCTCGCTCATAGATGGGAATTGAACAATGAGAACACATGGACACAGGAAGGGGAACATCACACTCTGGGTACTGTTGTGGGGTGGGGGGAGCGGAGAGGGATAGTATTGGGAGATATACCTAATGCTAGATGACGAGTTAATGTGTGCAGCACACCAGCATGTCACATGTATACATATGTAACTAACCTGCACATTGTGCACGTGTACCCTAAAACTTAAAGTATAATAATAAAAAAAAAAAAAGAAGAAAATCTGATTGGGTAGAAAGGATTTTGTACCTGAAAACCACCAACTGTGTGTAGTAAATAATCAAAATGATGATTATTTATGGGTCAAAATAAAACAAAAATATTGTATTATAAAATAAAAAATAAAAAAATAAAACCTAAGCCAAATTTTGTCAGTCTGCTCAAAACCCTCCAATAGAAGGCTGCCAGATTTAGCAAATAAAAATACAAGACACTCAATTAAATTCAAATTTCAGATAAACAATAGTACTTTTTTAGTGTGAGTATGTTTCATGTAATATTTGGGATATGCTTGTACTAAAAAAAACTATTTTCTACTTGAAGTTCAAATTTACAGAGCATTCTATATTTTGTCTTGTGACCCTCGACCAATGATTTCCCATCTCGCTAAAAAATAAAGGCAAAGTCTTTAAAACAGCTCTGTATGATCTGGCACTTCAATGTTGTTCTGACCTCATCACCCTCACTCTCCACCTCCTCTTCCCTGGTCCACTGCCCCCCCGATGGCTCCTGGAACACACCTAGCATGTTTCTGCCTCAGGGCCTTTGCACTTGCTGTCTGTACTGCCTGGAACACTGTTCCCTTCCAGATGGCCACGTGTGTCTTCCCCTCACTTCCTGAAGCACTCTGTCCACATGCTGTCTTTTCAGCGAGTTCTTCCTGATGATTCTGATAAACTCCCACTCTCCAGGTTCTGTCTTCTCTTACCCTCCTTTCCTGCTTTTTCCCTAGAGCACCGATCGTTATCTGGCAGACATTGGATTTACTTGTTGATTTCCTCATTGTCAGTCTTTCTCTTCAACCCTAACTGGAATACAAGTTCCCTAAGAGCAGGCACTTGTTTAATACAGTGCTGTAATCCCAGTGCCTAGAATAGGTCTGCCAGAGTAGGTAATCAGTGAAGAGATGGTGAATAGACAAATAAATCAACAGACAGAGAAATTTATAATACAACTCTAGGGAGTGATAAGTGCTACAGAGACAAATTAAGCAGAGCAAGAGTAGAGAGTGAGGGGTGGCACTCTCTCCTGTGAGCTGGGCTGCTCTGAGAAAGTGGTGTTTTAGCAGAGACCTGACTGAAGTTTCAATGAAGCCCTTCCACCTTCAACCTTACTTGTGTTCTTTGTGCTACCTGAAACCACCCTCTTTCTCACCTCCTTGGGTATAAGTTCCACCTCAACTGCTTAGATAGTGTGGCCTTTAGACCTTGTCTTATGAACACATCAATAAAACCAGGCTTTCCCCTTCATTCTGCCTACATAACTGACAGAGAGAACACTGAGTGAGCTGGTGGGAGTGATGAGGGATTTATTTTTCACATGTCTTAAACTCTGCAGTTGCTGCTGTTTGAATCACGCTGACAACCTCTGGCAAGGGCTTGGCATTTTAGTGCCCCTCTGGGTTCTGGCTTGACCTAGGCAAGAAGGACTACGAAGTTTCTCTGAAACTGCTCTGTTTCTCCACTTGGTATCGGCTGCCACAGTCAAGGGCTTTACTCAGGAAACCAAAATAAAAGTCATGTTCAGTGAGAGTCACATCCTGGGAGTCTAAGGTTTCTTATCTTATACATTTAAAACCAACAAACTCCCTTCTCTCAATAAGGACCATCTGGAAGATAGTCGTTTTGAAGCTTAAAAAAAAATCTAATGCTTTAATCTTCTTAGTGTCTTCAAACATCAGGTCTTCTTTTTCAAACTCAGCTGGGGGATAACGTTCTTTATCTGCATCTGCGTTGCTTGCTGAGAGAATATGTCCCTGGAATTGCACACAGAAGCCTTACCTCAGAAAGTGTTGCTTTAGAGATTTCAGAGAAGCACGGTGTTAAACTCCTTCAGCAGATGCAAAACCCCTCGGTAAAACTGCAGGATTAGCGTCTCTGTTGGCGGGAGCTTTCTGTCTCTCAGTGAACTTCAATTTTGTCTTCTCTGTCTCCTCAGGATTTGTCAGATATATTTTGCAAATTTAAATGATAAAACAGTTGTGTGAAGAACTTTCTTATAGCTTCCAAATATTGCAGAAACAGAACAGCTTTGCTCTGAATGAGAAACCCAATAACACAAATTTTATTTTCATTTCATTTTCTCTTTGGCTGTTCTGGGAATTTATATTGGCCATTTAATTTTGCTGTTATGGTTTTATAAGGATATTATCTCTGTGTACAATAACATTTTTAAAAAAAGAATTGTAAGTTGTATTAAAGCTTTAGAGACTACACTTCTAAAAGCTGAATATTCTTATCATTTTATTTTCCATGTGAATTTTGAAAGTCATGGTCTTTTCGTATTGGTACCTGAAGGTAAATCAGAAATGCTGGAATTTTCTTCCATCTCATTATATAACTCCTGAGAAGCCGCTTTCCTAATGATAACAAAATAGTGTGTGTGAAGTAAAGAATATTTATGTTTTTGTTTGGAATATGATTAGAATTCAGTTAAAGATATATGGGACGGATGACCAAACATTGGTGAGCATTCACAATACGGTTGGAATAAATTTATCTATCTTCTGTTTATATTTACATGATCAAAGCTTATTAATGTATGATTCCCTCTTGATCAGAGGCATGACTATATTATATGAATAGTTGATAAGACCAAATTTATAACCTATAAAGAAATATTTATGGAAACTCAAATGACTTTCATTTATTAAAGGCCAGAATTGGAGGCAGACATAATAATAATAACTATTATTTATTAAATATTTACCTCATAAGAGGCACAATGTTAAGTGCTTTACATGAATTATTGTATTTATTCCCCAATTAGTTGAATTCCATTATCACCATTTTACAGATGAATTGAGACTTAGAAAGTGTGTTACTAGGGTCACATAACTGACAAGGGGTAGAACTAGAATTTGAACTCTAGAGGCTTAAAGCTTAACCACTATGCTATAATGCCAACCAGCTTTGGAAAGTCATGGAAGCAGAAATACAATTCATTATTTAAAACAATTTTGTTTTCCTGCCGAGAATTAGAGTGACATTCCTGCTTCTGAGTAGAATAGTATATTTTCTGCTCTCTCTAGGACTTGAAAACTCAATTCTAGCCTTTTCAAAGCTCAGTGCTCAGCTATTTTAATGAACAGCCAATACTTACCATTCTGTTACAACATAACTGACATTTGCAAGTCAAATAATGCTTAATGATAACAGAAAAAAAAATATGAGAGAGGCAAGGAAGCACTGCCCCATGAAGAATTGATGATGTCCAAGGTCACAACTCAGCAAAGCTCAATCAGAGCTAAGTTTCCAAGAGATGACTCATACAGAGAAAATGTGTACAGGACACAGAATTTGTGAATAATCGGAGTATGAGGAGAAATAGAAGAGTCAGCAGAATGAACGTGTGGTTATCTGGTCAGGGCTCTGAAGATGTCTTGGTAGCTCCTGCATGTCTAGCAGAATGCCTTTCATATCACAGTCACTCAATCAATACTTGTTGAATAAGTGGACGAAGAAAACCTTCTAATCTCACAGGAGGCCCGGTATCAGCAGATTCACTCGTGTCACAGTATGAACAACTTTAAAAGATACTTAGAAGATGTCAAGAAGAAAGCAGAAATGATTGGTAAGAATGGTTTTCTTGATCCTCAGTTTCAGAGAAAAGAAGGACTTGGGGAGGGGGAAATAACTAGTAAACAAACAGAAATGGAGTTATCACCATAATTATAATGCCTGGTTAAGTCAACTTTACTTTTTTTAGAGTAGAAATGGATGATTTTAAAGTCTAGAGAAGCCCAGACAGGTTGTTGACAAAGTTTCACAGTTGGCAAGATCATTACAAAAGATTTTATGGATCTGAGAGTAGATGAAAGACACTAATAAGTGATAAGTAGACTAGAACATCCCCAAAGGGCAAGATCAATGTGTAAAATAAAATCAATAGGTAAATTAGACAGTCATCCGCAAATGCCCTTCTGCAGAATATTGGTATCCAACTAATAAAATGATTGTAATGTTTTCCTAATGTGCAGAAAAATAAGTTGAAGTATAACTTCTTCAATTGAACACTCACTTCTCCTCCCTCATTGAATTTTTTCTTAAAACTTCCATATCTACTATATGAAAGAATGGATAGAAATGAAATATTATTGGAAAATTTCAGGAAAAGATAATAATTACTAATCTAATACTTTGATCTTTATGGGCATGTGTTTATTCTTTTTGTGATTTTATATTGTATATATTTTTTGCTAATAAAATTTTTCTTTGTTGGTGTGATGAAAGGTCGGTTTTGCTAACCGCTGCATATTACATTCGCATATGTAGTTTCTGCTGTGAACCAAGCCACTTCAATCTCAGAGGTTCAAAACAAGAAACATTTATTACTTGCCATGATTCTGTGGCTCGGTTCTGGTCTGGGTTGCTTTAGCTGATCTCTGCTGAGCTTACTCATGCCTCTGTGGTCAACAGGATCTGCAACATCCCATTGCAAGGACATGCATGTAGGGAAAGGAAGAATTTGTGGCAGCTTAAAAAAAAATCTATGCCAATCTGCAATATGGATAAGCCTGGACTAGCGTGCTACAGAATGAGAGGCATGTGAAGAACTAAGCCAACTCAATGGGCAAACTACAAACTACCTAACATGTGAATGGGGCCACCCTAGATCATCCAGCTGCTCAGCCAATTTGCAGGCTCCTGGGAAGTAATACGTGGTTGCTGTTTTAAGCCATTAAGTTTTGGAGTGGTTTACTGTGCAACTATGGTAGGTTGAAATGTAACTTTCTGCTGTCTTAAGGTTGTGTTTTTTTGGAAACAGACTCTGAGGAAGATTTTCATGCATGCAATTTATTGAGGAATGCTCTTGGGACTATCTGTGAGGGTATGAGGGAAACAGGATTGGACAGAAGCTACAAGAGTGACCTTCGTCAATCTCATGGGAGCTCTGAATATGGAAGGAACCCTCAGAGGTATCTTTCATTGAGATAAGGAGTGTGAGTCATTGGATTGGAGGGCCCCTGAGGGAGTGGTGTAACCTGAGATTAGGAAACTCACCTTGGCAGAGGGCAATTCCTGGGGAGGGTCTCAGCTGTGGCTATCAGCAGCCAACGCTTCCACGGGATGGGGAAGGAGTGCTTTGGTCCTGGAAGAAGGATCAGGGCCATACAACACAGCATCCACTATGGTAATGCTTCCCATCAAAAGATGGAGTTTATTTCTGGACTGGCCTTATGACTTGCTTTGACCAATAGAATGTGGTGGAAGTGACATCGCAGAGCCTAGGCCTCAAGATGCTTTGCAACTCCTGCTTTTGCCCTTTTGGAGCCCTGAGCCCTGATTTTATCTTGTAAAAAAACCTGGGCTGGCCATCTTTAGGATGAGACCTTGTGGAGCCTGTGGCTGGCACTAACCACCAGAGACACCTAAGCCATCCCACTCCAGTCAAATTGCCAGAGACTTCAGCTATATGACAGATCCCAGGAGAGACCAGAAGAACAATGGCGCGCTGAGTCCAGACCAAACAGATGATCCGCAGAATCACGAGAAAATAAAATTACTAACTTTTGGGATGGCTTGTTATGCAGCAAAATATAATTGATACAGCAGAAAAATTGATACCTAGAAACAGGTTGCTGCCGGAAAAAAACTCAATACATGTGCCATTAGCTTTGGGGCTAGGCAGGGGGTGGATCTAGAAAAGTGCAAGGAAACTGTTGGTGAAGACTGGAAAAATGATGAAAACTATTTTTCAAAGTTGGGAAGGTGGCAATACATGTAACATAGTAGCAAAACAATTGTCAAAAATATTGTATGTAGTAACTTGGAAGATAAAAAATATACCTAACAAAATTTTGTATTTGGTTAAGTAGATTATCAAGTAAAATGCTGGAAGTGTCAAGATGCTTGTGAATGTATATAATAAGATATTGCAGGCTGGGCACGGTGGCTCACGCCTGTAATCCCAGCACTTCGGGAGGATGAGGCGGGCAGATCACGAGGTCAGGAGATCGAGACCATCCTGGCTAACACGATGAAACCCCGTCTCTACTAAAAAAAAATACAAAAAATTAGCCAGGCGTGGTGGTGGGTGCCTGTAGTCCCAGCTACTCGGGAGGCTGAGGCAGGAGAATGGCATGAACCTGGGAGACGGAGCTTGCAGTGAGCTGAGATCGTGCCACTGCACTCCAGCCTGGGTGACAGAGCGAGAGTCTCTCTCTCAAAAATAAAAAAGATATTGCAAAAGAGGGATGAGTTAAAGAAGGACTCTTTACTTTGCAAGCAGAATTGAGGGGGAGTTAGAGAGCCCAGGACTTGCTGGTCTGGAAAATAAAACAGTTTCTCATCCCCAGACTCCAGACAGTAAAAGATTTTCAAAGTAAAAGGAGTCCTGGTGCTAAAGGTCAAATCAAGAGTGTATCTATAAGATTCTTGGTTTATGCTTCTGAACAATTTAAGGTAATACTTATTAGACCATGTCAGCTAGACAAAAGAACTTCCAAGAATCTTAAGGCATTATGCTACAGTAGCTTAACATGCTGCTTAAAGTAAAAAGGGCCTACCTGGAAAAGAATTGTGGATGTAGCTTTTGTTAAAGGGAGTGGACCATAATCTGATTCATGAAAAGCCCATAGATATTTTAAGGGAGTTATACCAACCAAAGAACAACACATTTGTTCTAAAAAAAAAAAAGAATGAAATTGCTTAAATTGCAAAGAGATTTCTGGCCTCCCGATTTTCTCCATGTTGAAAGCAGTTGTCAAGAACTATAAAAGGGCTGAGATTTTATTCTACTTACATGCTAACATATTGTGGGTATTGTCAAAAGACATGGACCTCCAAGGTCAGAGACTAAAATAAAGGACAGTTTATTATTCATGGCATGACAAGTAGCATGAGCAGGAGTGTATTTGTGCTAGTTCTCTGAGCTGCAATTCCCATATGGTGATAGAAAGAGAGCCATGTGACACGTGCACATGCAATGGTTTGCAATATAGGAGAGGAACTCTGAAGTTTGGGAATCTGAATCTTTTATATTAGGCAGTAGGTATGCCTGCCCATTGTCTCAAAGGGACACATTACCTCTATCTTCTAAGGCTAAAGCAAACCTGCCTTTTGCTCCAGAGGGCGACATTGTCTCTACATTCCAAGACTGTTCACTTCACAAATATCTTTAAACAAAAGATAGCTCGGAACAAAAACAGTCAGTGATGCTACTTGTAAGATGTACAGAAATGCAAAAGACCCATGGAGAATTATCTTCCCACCGTAGGCAGCTTCAAACATAGGCCATTCTGTTGGAAAAAAGGGAGTATATCTCAGATGGCTAATTCAAAAAGCCAAGAGCCCAGAGGGTGAAGCCACAGTCTTGAAGGGCAATGGACTAGACATCCAGTCTCAAGGAGAATCAGAGAATAACAGTCTGGGGAGCTATTCCCAAGGAGCAGAACTGGGCCCTAATCAAGAAACATTCTCTGCCTCCACAGCAGGGGATCCTGACAACCTGTGCTCCATTGTATTTCACAATTGCCATGGACTGGTGACTGGTAGGGTACTTCCCATTCTTTCCCTTTTGGAGTAGGAGGACCTACTGCAGTTCTCCTGTTCTTGTCTTGTGATTGCATGTGGGTGTATGAGGGCAGATAGCTCATCTTTTAAGCTCATTGGCTTCTGGGTCAAGAGGAGCTACATGCTGACCTGATTTTGGTCACAAAATCCTGGACTTCAAATCCACTACCATCACTGGATGGGATTTTCAGATGTCCTGAGATGGGAGTGGGAGTACTTTGCATGTGGGAAGAATGTGAATAATTTGCAGCTAGGGATGGAATTTGGTTGATTGCAAGAATAGCCACGTGGTCTTCGTTCTTTGCATCCGCTCTCCTGTGATGTGACTTTGCAGATCCTTCCATCAGGGGTAAAGTCTGTTTCTTCACCTTTTGAATCTAGACTGCTCATGGAACTTGTTCTGGCTGGTGGGACATTAGCAATCATGATGTAGGCAGAGTTGTATTGGGGCTTGCTGTACCTGGATCCCTGAAACTGCCATGTAAGCAATTCTGAGCTAGACTGGGAGGATGAGTGGCACATGGAGAGAGACTTAGGCATCTCAGCCAACACGTGCCAACTGCCAGGCATGTGAGTGAGATCATCCTAGATTCACCAGTCACCAGTCATACTGCCAGCTAATCATGGACACATGAATGCACCCAGTGGTGATCTTCCCAGGTAGCTCAGGGTAGAAGAACTGCCCTGCCTTCACAGAGAATTGTGAGAAACAATATATATTTGCTATTTGAAGCCACAAAGTTTAGAGGTGATTTGGTAGACAACAAAAGTGAACTGATAAGCCATCACACCCCCCAAACCCAGCACATAGGAGATAGTCAATAAATATTTGTTGAATGAATATTTATGAAGTTATCAGAAATATAAGAATATCATAACTAGTTATAAAAGGCCTGCCACCTGATTGGGTTTGTACATCACTGAAATTGTTTATATGCTCTGAAAACTACCAGGTGTTAAGACAGAGCTTTAAAAATATATAATCATGGAGGCAATTAAGGAAAGTGAAAGGTGGGAAAAACCCAAACAGCTGCATGTCTGATCTCTTCTAGACATTTCCTTAGCTAATACAAGTAATAAGATTAGATTAGAAAAATAGATTATATTCCAACTCAGTTTCTAAAACAAAACAAAAAGATTAATTTATTTTTGTATTCTGTTTGTGTAAAATAAAACGACAAAGCCAAGAAAAATAGTAAAGGTTACAGGGCAGCATATAAAACATTTCATAAGTTTAATAGTTATTTAAATAAGTTATTTAAAAAAGAAGGTTGATTCCTAGTTTAGACATCAGCAACCACAACAAATCAGAATTGAGCACATAGCTGCATACAAGAGATATTCTTGAAACTAACATAAGAAGATAGACTAAAAGTTACAATGCAGTCTAAAGTGGGTACACTCGCTGGTGTGTATATAATGTGCTTCAGTCCTTGACTAACCATGTTTTGTCCCAAGAGATGTCAGTGGCAAAAGGAAGGTACATTGTCCACTGGGAATATACTATGTAATTGCTTTCTCCCCCTATGTTATGCTAGAATTTTCTGGAAAACAGATAAACAGGAAAACTAAGATTTGTTATGCATTTCACTTTTAACACATTTAAAGATAGAAACTCACTGCAAACACCAAAATAAGCACACCTTCCACTGGCATCTTTGCTACTCTCACCCTCCATTAGGACCACAAAGAATCCAGTCGGCTGCCTCCTGGACTCATGGAGATCCCTCTGCCCTTCCCTAATAATTTACCCCAGAGCTGTTAACTCCAGAATGACCCATCCCTGTTCTTTAAGCTGGTAATGAAAAATAATCAAACAAACAGCGAATACTGGATTCTCATGTAGGTGAGGGCATGTCACAGACTCTCTGACCCTTACTTGATGCTCCTGTGTTGACCACCTGTTTCCCGGATCAGAGGCCCTGGCAGAGTGGGAGGAGCCACGATCTGGCACAGTGCTAGGAGTTGCCTCCATGGTTTATCTTTGATTTCAGTCTATTGTGACAAAGGTTTTGCTATTCTTGCCAAGCATGCAGAACAAATATAAAAGTAATTTGCACTTTCCACTTTAGGTAGCTGGTTTCATGTACGACCAAATGTCAAGTGCTGATATGTTTCTGTTGCGATCTGCTTTTCCCCTGGGATGTCAAGACTTCAAAAGCAGGACGCGCACTATGTTGTCCTTGACATAAGTCCACTCAGGGGTGCCCACCTCTGACATGTACATGTTCTGCTTCTAGAGATATACGAGTAAACAGACTGTAGAGTCTAACCAAGAAGAGAATGAGAGAAGGCTTCCAGGAGATGAGTGGTCTCTTACAGCAGACCTGAAGAACTTGAGAGTGTTCTCAGATGGAGGGAATGGGAATCATATTAAGTCCAGAGAATAGAATAGAATAGAATGATCTTGAAAGCAGGAAATAAATTAGTGTAACTATAGTAAAGGGGACCAAGGGTGGGCAGATGGTTCAGTGCCGAGAGACGAGGTTGCGGATACAGGTACCACCAAGCTAGAGGTTATGGGTAACATTTGAAGATTCTAAGCATAGAAACAGCATGGTTTCAGAAAAATCCCTTTGGCTGTCATATGAAGAACATCTGGAGTGTGTGTAAGGGTGGGGAGGGATTGGGGAAGGGGAGAGTCAGGTGAAACTGGAGCTGGTAATTGATACTCCAGGGAGGAGGGAGGGAAGAACAGTTAAACCAAAACCCAAACCAAAACCTCTACCTATGTCCAGGCCTGAACCTGAAGAGAGAGGACATTGGATTCAAGAGCTACAAGGGAGGTAGAATATGCATGACTTGATGTCTAATGAGAGTGAAGGTAGAAGAGAAGACAGGGTCAGTGTTGACTTCTGAGTTTTGAGCTTGTGCAATAGGGCCTATGGCTCACTGCAATTAGAAATATCAAAGGAACAGGAGGTTCTGGGAGAAAGATGAATTTTCTGCTGGTTGTATTAAGTTTGAGGTACCTGTGGGATGTCTTGGCAGCAAACAGTTGTGTAGATGTGTTTGTTGTTCTGGGAAGTGGGACTTGGGGTAGAAATTTTAGAATTGAAACCATAGGAGGCAGTGAGTTCAAATGGGGTGAATGTGTGAGAAAAGGATATAGGATTAATTCACCACACAGAGGAAAAAACATCTTTCTGACACCAGTGATTCAAGGCTGAAAAATGCAATGAAAATGGAGATTCTGTTAAAATAGAAACAGGACATTAAATTCTTGGCTACTAATATCATCCAGGACAAAAAGATTTATTTAAAGACTCTATAACACTCTAATGAGGACAATAAAGGCAGACTTGAGTAAGTAGGGAGCTATACTACACTATTTATTTGAAAGAGTAAAAATGGTGAACATGACAGTACTCCCTATGTTAATATATAGATTTAATGCAATGCCTATTAAAAATCACAGCAAGATATTTTATAAGAATTTACAAAATAATGGTAAAATTCTTTTTGAAATAATTAGTGGGCAAGAATGCATATATAGATCAATATAGACACATTTATGTAACACTTTAGATTCTACAAAGTACTTTCACAATGCTCTTATTTAATTCTCACAATGACTCTTATAATAAGGTATGTTTAATTGTTATTCCCATTTTAGGGTGACCACAAGTCCCGGTATATCCAAGGCAGTCTTGTTTTATGCTATTGCCTTAATGTTTCCCTTTTATTTAATATTTCTCCCAAATGTTTTCATTTTTAAGGACAGTATTATTGTTAATAGTTGCATTAAAATAATCTGGGCTGGATTTGGTACCATCTCCATGAAGTACTTCTTGGTCTCTGTCATGGTCTTGTCTAGTAGTGGGTAAGGTGCATGCGTAGTGAACAGAATTCTCACTTTAACACGTGTTCAGTCTGAGAGATGACCAGCGATAACCTTTTTCTCCCCACCTCCCCTTACCTGGTGAAAAGTAACTCACACATCTCTTGCATGCAGCATGCAGGAAGAGGACATACTCTCCAGTGAAACAACTTGTACCCAGACTCTATAGATAGCTACTTTTTTCTAGTTCAAATGACAGTGGGAGAAGTATTCGATGTTGCTACCAGCTCCTACTGGAGACTTGGTGTAGCAGCTAGCTGCTTATATGAACCATTTTCATGAAGCCACCAGGCTGCTTGTTGGTGGGGTCAGTGGAGAAATTGAGAAATTATAGGTTATATATAACAATAGAAATATGTACAAGATATGGGAGCAGAACAGTTCTTCAATAGAGCTCATAGAATATCCTGAATTTTTTAAACAATGGTTTGTCATTTAATATGTAAAATAAATATGATCAGTATTTTTACATTTTTATTGTGGCAAAATATACATAAAATTTGCCATTTTAATTATTTCTAAGTGTACAGTTTGTGGCATTAAGTATAACCACATTATTCTGCAACCATCTCCACCATTGATCTCTGGAACTTTTTATCTTCCCAAAATGAAGCTCTGTGCCCATTAAACACTAACTCTCCAAGCTCCTGATAACCATCATTCTACATTCTTCCCCTATGAATTTAACTATAGATCCAGGTACCTCATAGAAATAGAATCACACAATATTTGTCCTTTTGCATTTATGCAGCCAAAAGACACATGAAAAAATGCTCATCATCACTGGCCATCAGAGAAATGCAAATCAAAACCACAGTGAGATACCATCTCACACCAGTTAGAATGGTGATCATTAAAAAGTCAGGAAACAACAGGTGCTGGAGAGGATGTGGAGAAATAGGAACACTTTTACACTGTTGGTGGGACTGTAAACTAGTTCAACCATTGTGGAAGTCAGTGTGGCGATTCCTCAGGGATCTAGAACTAGAAATACCATTTGACCCAGAGATCCCATTGCTGGGTGTATACCCAAACGATTATAAAACATGCTGCTATAAAGACACATGCACCTGTATGTTTATTGCAGCACTATTCACAATAGCAAAGACTTGGAACCAACCCAAAAGTCCAACAATGATAGACTGGATTAAGAAAATGTGGCACATATACACCATGGAATACTATGCAGCCATAAAAAATGATGAGTTCATGTCTTTTGTAGGGACATGGATGAAGCTGGAAACCATCATTCTCAGCAAACTATCGCAAGGACAAAAAACCAAACACCGCATGTTCTCACTCATAGGTGGGAATTGAACAATGAGAACACATGGACACAGGAAGGGGAACATCACACTCTGGGGACTGTTGTGGGGTGGGGGGAGTGGGGAGGGATAGCATTAGGAGATATACCTAATGTTAAATGACGAGTTAATGGGTGCAGCACACCAACATGGCACATGTATACATATGTAACAAACCTGCACGTTGTGCACATGTACCCTAAAACTTAAAGTATAATAATAAAAAAAAACTTGTCCTTTTGTGACTGGCTTATTTCACTTAGCATAGGTTCATCCACGTTTTAGCATGTGTAATAATTTCTTTCCTTTTAAAAGACTGAATAATATTTCATTGTAGGTATACATCAGTTTATTTTGTTGCTTGGGATTGTTTGTTAATTTTGTAATAAACTCTTGTTGGCAATTAGGCCAAAAACAAAAGTTCATGTTTCATGAAATATTGAGTACTAAATTTTTTTTCTCAAGAAAGGGTGAGGAATGAATAACTTGCATAAATATTTGTTGAAATGTATCATCCACCAAAGGAGACTGTTGTAGTATAATTGACCACAAAAAAAAGAGAAGACATAAATCTAATGAAGAAGCATCAGCATTTACTCAAAAATTAGTAATTATTTTAAGAAAATAGTTTCTGAAAACAATGATTTAACACATGTGGGGGCAAAAAGTGCATTGCATGTCACTGTGGATCATGACTTTTCATTTAGATCAAATTACTCTTCTAAATTAACTTTATTTATTTTTGATTACTTTTTTATACATGTCTGATTTTTTTTTGTTTTTTTTTGGGATGGAGTTTCACTCTTGCTGCTCAGGCTGGAGTGCAATGGTGTGAGCTATCTTGGCTCACTGGAACCTCCGCACCCCAGGTTCAAGCAATTCTCCTGCCTCAGTCTCCCAAGTAGCTGGGATTACAAGCGTCTACCACCATGCCCAGCAAATTTTTGTATTTTTAGTAGAGACAGGGTTTCACCATGTTGGCCAGGCTGGTCATGAACTCCTGACCTCAGGTGATCTGCCTGACTTGGCCTCCCAAAGTGCTGGGATTACAGGTGGGAGCCACCACATCCAGCCTGAAAAAGTTTTTTTAAAAGCTGAGTGGCGAATTTATTTTGCCTAGAAGTGAATGATAAATAGAATAAATAGAAAGATGGCCCTATTGCTATATCTCAGCCAATATGCTCTTTTAAAATTGTAATGTTGATGCTCCCCCTTCATGGATAGGACTTTATGCTTCCTCCCAGTGATTCTTTCTCTCACTATTCATTCTTAGACAGTCATAATATGACAAGGTCCAGGGTCAGGACCAGGTCACATGGAGAGGCCGTGAGTTAGGTGTTCTAGCCGACAGTCCTGAAAGTCTCAGCTAGCAGCCAGCATCATGTGGGTGAAGGAGTCTCTCACAGTTGATTGCAGTCCTAGCCTTCACCTTAGCTGAAACTGAGTGGTGCACAGACCAGCCATGCTGCTAAGCCCTTCCTAAATTAAAGATTTGCAAGCAAAGCAAATGTCATTGTCATTGTTTTAAGCCTGTATGTTTTGGAGTAATTTGTTACTGAGCCAAGGGAACTAGAACAGTGTTAACTCATTGACTGCATTGTGGAAAAAGAACTTCACAAACTTAAATGATGCTCCTTTGGTATCAGAGTCATCAGATGCTTCAAATGGGAATATGAGGAATTCTAGTACAATATTTAGGTGACTTCTAAACACACTCCAGCTCTGATCTTTGTTCCCATGCAGGCAAATGGAATCTTATCTTGGTTCTGAGTAATAACTAATAACTGAATCTACCTTGTTCATCCAGTACCTGCATCTATGCTTTGACAGATTATTTAGGAGTGAGGCTGTGCTTAAATGATCAGCTCCTGCATTTATAATAATATAAGCAGTTACCATTTATTAAATAACTCCTATGTCCCATGTCCCACGTAGTGCACCACATATTTTATATATAATTCTAGTCCTTACAATTCTAGTCCTTATATATAATTCTAGCCCTGCAACAATAGTCATTATTAGCCCTATTTTATAAGTAAGAAAATAAGGCTCAGAGAGGTCAATAACTTGCTTAAGATCACATAAGCAGGAGGAAGCCATGCTTTCCTCATACCAAGGGCAAGGGCCTTTCCACTGTGTCACACTAGAATTCTGCTTTGATCCCAGGTACTTAGCTGGGTGTCTTAATGTTTTGTGTTGCTATAATAGAGTACCTGAGACTAGGTAGTTTATAAAGAAAAGGGGTTTATTTAGATTATGGTTCTGCAGGCTGGTGAGTTCAAGAAACATGGCACCAGCAACTGCTTAGCTTCTGGTGAGGGCATTCATGCTGCATCAAAACATGGCGTAAGGTCAAAGGGGAAGTGGGCACATGCAAAGAGGCAAACCAGAGGGGCACCACAGCTTTATAACAATCCACTCTTTGGGTGCTGACTCATTCCCAAAAGAACAAATCCAGTCTCACCAGAGCAAGAACTAACTACCACAAAAATTGGTGTGCACTACCAGGCCATTCAGGAGGGATCTGCCCCTATAACCCAAACACTTCCCATTAGGCTCCACTTATCAGTACCACCACATTAGGGATCAGATTTCAACATGAGCTTTGGTGGTGACAAACTCAAACCATATCAGTTGCTAACCTGATCATAGGCATCTTTCATGCTGATTATCTTTCTGCTCATGTTTCTGAATGTTGCCTGCCCCAGGGACCACTGATGATGGGCCTACCTATCTGTCATTCATCTTTTCACCTTTTTCTGGACCCTCCTAATGCCACCTGATTGTCTGGGTTCTGCAGGTCCTCAGTGCTTCAGCTCTGTCTCATTCCCATTTTAGTTAAACTGGATGGTTCATAGACTTGACGTAGCATCAGGGCAAGAAGTCATGACTTTAGAGGAGAATAAACCTGGACTCAGTCACTCACCTTATGAAGTCATACAAACAGAGCAAAAGTTAAATAAGCAACAACAACAGTGATACCAGAAACCTTTCCAAAATCTGAAAGTAAATAACACTATATTTATCCTATATGTGGACCAAATAAGTTTTTCTCTACTAATGAGAAGAAACTATGGAAACAAGATGCATGTATCTGAAAATGCAAAGATTAGAACAGGAAGAGCACAAGAATACAAAATGAAAAGCATTAGAATTGAGTTTTCATTGGAAAAAAATGGAGACCAGAAGGCAATGATATATTCAAAGTGCTGAAAGAAAAAAAAAACTGTCAACTAGAAGTTCTATATCAAGCAAAACTACCTCTCAAAAATCAAGATGACATAACATGTGTGCCCAGGTTGCACTCCATGACACAGTAGTTCTTACTGTTAGATGTCTGGTCACATACAAAGGTGGCCTCTCCTTACAACTCTCTCACAGGATGTTCTAGGTTGTCCATTTTCTACCTGTTTCATCCATCAACCACTCTCATTTGTATTTTGTTTTCAAGATATCAAATACATTCCCAGATAAACAAAAAATAAAAGAATATGTTTTTAGAATATGTGCCCTACAAAAAATACTGAAGAAAGTCAGAAAGTTAGTTAGGCTGAAATGAAATTCCACCAGATGGTAATTCAAGTCCATAGGAAAAAATGAAGAACACCAACAATGTTAAATATGTGGGTAAATATAAAAGACTGGAAGTATATTTTTTTCCTCTTTTCATCTCTTAATTTAAAAAAATGTTATTTCTTAAAACAATAACTGTGATATCATATTGTTGGGTTTGTAACATATCTGCTACATTATACCATATATATATATATATGGTAATATAATACATAAGTGGTAAGTTACTCCATGCCCTCTAGGAGTTCGCCTTAGCTTCAGGCTTTACACCTTCTCTCTGAGAAGAATTTCATAGCTGAAGGGACCCTATAGCTTTCTTTCTGCTCCCTGGGTTTTGAGGTGAAACAGAGTAAAGAGAAGCTGACAGAGCAGGGCGCTGGAGAGTCTTAGGTGGAAGGCCTAGTTGAGCTGGAAATAATTAATTAGTCAGGAAAATTTTACTGCCAAAAGATTAAAAATAACATGATGATAATTCTCCTTATTAGCAAATTTGGTTTTCTACATGGATCCAGAAATAGATTAAAACTGAAATCAAATGAGGATCTCTGAGTTTCCTCAAGAAAAGTACTGAGAAACTTGTTTCAATGCTTAAGAGCCATTGTTTCTCTTTTCCCCAAAGATTTTAAGTATAGCTCCTGCATTTTCTCTAAGAAATGGTTCTTAATGTTCTGAGTCAGACCTTACAAAAAGTATCCATGATACCCAGAGACTTATGGTTCATGCTGTGACCATTACCACAGGACTAGCTTCCTATTACCCATGCATTATCTTTGACATCCTCACTATAGATGTTTCAGGATGAGATTTATAAAAATCTAGATTTTGATGATGAAAATTGAATAAATATCAGATGTCACATTTCTTGAATCATAACAGATCATTGAAAATCACAGAAGATTTGAAATGAACAATAATTGAATGTTACTAGGTGCAAGGCATTTTGATAATCGATGGTGGATGCAAAGATAAAGATGCTGCCTGCCCTTGGTGGTATATTACACTGCTCCTGCTGCTATAACAAAATACCTTAGGCCAGAAAATTTATAAATAACAGAATTAATTTTTACAGTTCTAGAGGTTGGTGTTGGCAGATTTGGCATCTGGTAAGGGCTTGCTCTCTGCTTCCAACATGGTGCCTGTTGTTACATCCTTACCTGGTAGAGGGAAGGAATGCTATGTGCATACATAGAAAAAGGAGTCAAAGGGCCGGACAGCTCTCTGAAGACTCTTTCATAAGGGCATTAATCCCATTCTCTGCTGACATGCCCCACCTGCTAATAAATGAACACTCCATCTCTTTCTTATGGTTTTTGTCCTTTTCTTATTTTTCTCACCTCCTCTCCTTGTAACTGTTGGCAGTCAAAACGCACCAGGGTAATTGGAAAAAGCTGATTTAGTCATATGGACAGGAGAGACTTGGCCCCTCACAGGGGAAAGTGATCTTGGCTGTCCTCAGTACCACCTGTCTGCATGGCCTGGGTTTTTGCCTTGTTCTGCTCCTCCAGTCAGGAAAGAACTGTATGCCTGAGACCAGAGCCAGGCCTGGGATGGTGAGCCGCTTGTGGAGAGAATTTTCACAAGGATGTTTCTGAGGGTGCCCAGAGTGTTTTTATAATGAAGAACCAAGGGATAGTCTCTTGTCTGGTTTTAGTATCAGAAGAACTCTGCTTCTCTTGAGCAATTGATTTGTTTCTGTGTCACAGGGAAGGTGGATTTTGTGACTCATCAGGTAGAGTGTGTGTGTGTGTGTGTGTGTGTGTGTGTGTGTGTGTGTGTGATACTGACCTTTAGAAAGATTACAGGCAGATGCATGTTTCTCTCATAGCCAGTTGATATGGCTTGGCTCTGTGTCTCCACCCAAATTTCATCTCGAATTGTAATCCCCTCGAGTTGAGGGAGGGAGGTGATTGGATCATGGAGGCAGTTTGGTGATAGTGAGTGGGTTCTCAGGAGATCTGATGGTTTTATAAGGGGCTTTTCCCTCTTCACTCCCTCCCTCTCCTGCCACCTTGTGAAGAAGGCGCCTGCTTCCCCTTCTGCCACGATTGTAATTTTCTTGAGGCCTCCCCAGCCATGCTGAACTGTGTGAGTCAATTAAACCTCTTTCCTTTACAAATTACCCAGTCTCAGGGAAGTTCTTTATAGCAGTGTGTAAACGGACTAATACACCAGTGCACAGGATTTGAAGATATGCGTGTTTGTATTATTTCTGGCTTCTTCTGACCCAGTTTTTATTACTTGCCTTATCCTTTCTCACTTAGCTCTTATTTATGTTACCTTGTACTTTCTGTGTCCTTGTAAAGGTGCCTTTTGTTCTTCTTGGAACCAGACAGGGTATAAATACATGAATAAATATAGAAAGCACCTGGCTTTCCGAGCTTCTGGCTCCACATCACACTTCACTGCTTCTTGGCCTTTTGGCTCAATCCAAGCACAGGGTAATAGCAGGCTCTGTTTCTGTGCGGGGATGGTGCCCCATGACTGCCACTTAGGACTGCTCTTAATTTTTGGCTTTTTGCTCTGACTCTTTGGTCTGGTTTCCTAACATTCTCTTGTCTGACCACAATTTCTGGTGTCCAACATCTCTGTTGCCCACCAGTTCCTCACACTAAGGCTGGATTTTGCTTTCTGAGATCCATAGTCTCTGCCCCCCTCTGGCTTTAACCAATATCTGTAGAAATCATTTGTAGCCTGCCTTACATGGTATTTTAGAACCCTGGGGAGGCAGTATGGTGGTGTGGTTTTGGTGTCATTTGGGTTCGGGTTGGTCCAATCATCCCTCCATTCATCCAGCCATGTACCCATCCAATCTTCCATCTACCCACCACTCCGTGTGTATGTGTGGGGTGGGGCTGAGGTGGTGTTGGTCATGTGCCAGGTACTGAACCAAATACTAGGAATATGATAGTGAACCAGAGATATGAATTGAACCCAGGCTCTGATTCTTGCTACCTGTGAAAAAGTAGGCAATTATTGAATTTTTCTGAGTCTCCAATTCTTAATCTGTAAACTATGAATAGTAATATCTACTGCCTGAAGTCATTTCAAGGATTAAATGCTATTAAATAAGAAAAGCACGCAGTCCAGAGTGTGGGCCCAGGCAGCACTCCACGACACAGTAGTTCTTACTGTCAGACGTCTAGTCACACACAAAGGTGGCCCCTCCTCACAAATCTCTCACAAGATAGTCTAGATTGTCCATTTTATACCTATTTCATCTATTAAACCACTGTCATTTGTATTTTGTTTTCCAGAAATTTGCTGCAGTTTCTCATTCGCCGAGGCTCTGCATTTCTGTTCTCTCCCATTATGGATTTATTTCTCTTTGTATTTGAAAAACAGAAGACACTATTGGCAATAAATGGTAGTACTATGTCTTGCAAAACAGCTGAACTGCACCAAACCCGTGACAGGTAAGGTCATGTAAGCTCAAACTCATGTGTTTATAGTTACTGTATTAATAGTAAACCCCTGCGGACTCACCTAAGACCACTGATGGTTCCAGCAACTGCCTAATTTCTAAATTCTGACCAATCCCTGCTTAGATCATACCTTCCAACTTCCACCCTAAGGCACCGAGCTCTCCTCTGTAAGTAGCCTCTGTGATGTGGTTCCCTCCTTTGCTCTGCGAGTCTAATACAAAACCTTGCTGGTGGTCTCTGGGTTTGTTGGGGAGGCTTTGGCATGTTTATATTTTGGTGGAGAGAGGCTCTCTCAAGAGGGATGGCAGACAAATATGTGTGTCTAGTCTACGACTGTAAACCAGAAGTCTCCATCAAATTTTTCTTTTTCTTTCTTTCTTTCTTTCTTTTTCTTTTATTTTTAGATATGGGGTCTCACTGTTACCCAGGCTACAGTACAGTGGTGTGATGATCTTGGCTCACTGCAGCCTCAACCTCCTGGGCTCAAGTGATCCTCCTGCCTCAGCCTCCTCAGTGGCTGGGACTAGAGGGGTGTATCACCACACCCACCTGACTAATTTTTTTATTTGTATTTATTTATTTATTTATTTATTTATTTTGTGGAGACAGGGTCTTGCTAAGTTGCCCAGGCTGGTCTCAAACTCCTGGACTTAAGTGATCCTCCCGCCTTGGCCTCCCAAAGTGCTGGGATTACAGGTGTGAGCCACTGTGCCTGGCCTCCACCAACATTTTTTAGCTGACAAGGTAGCACAACAAACAAACAAGTGAAAAAGCCAGATACATGTGGAGTGACGGTGCCTCATTTGCCTTTGTGCTCTTAGGCAACGTGAGTTGAATGAATTCTCTGATGAGAGAGGTTCAGGGGTCCAGGGCTTTTGAGAAGAAGCAGGGGGAATGCCTCCCAAACTTGACCCCTTTCTCCACACCCACATCCCCTTGCCACTGTCCACACCGTGCCTTGTGCTATATGCCAGCAAAGGGAACAATCATTAGCAGTGGCTGGCGGTTTAGTGAGAACCACCTGGACTCAGGAGTTTTTCAGGAAGTGACTGTGGTTTCAGATTTAATGAGAAGCATGAAGGCAGATGAACCTGGAGGTGGGCTCCCTCCTTCACACAGGTTCTGCTCGTTAGGGTCACAGATAACTTCTGCTAGCTTCAGAGATTATACTGGTTGTCTGATCTCTCATCAGGCCTGTGTGGTGTTGTTTCAGTGACTGCAAACATGATCTGAATGTTCAATGCTAAAAGGAGCAGTTGGGGTGGTTCACTCATGCAAATCATCTCTGAACAATTAAAAGGATGGATTCCATCCACGCATGCATTTTCCTTCATGGCAAAGATGATTTTAGGAAGAGGACTTCTGCTACTTCTATGATGGTTGTACTGACAAGTATTGACTCACTGACAAATGAGAAAAAGTAGCTTCTTCTGATAATTATTGCTAGAGGAGTCCACGGCTGTGAATCTACGGTCAAGCTCTCAGGCAGGAAGTGAGAGTGGTGTGTTTTAAGTTGTAATTGTGGCCTTAAGCAAGGCATGTATTCAGGGGACCGAGTCTGGGATGGGCTTACCAATTGTTAAAATATTCAGTGCTTCTGTGCTGGTTAGGAAGCAGCCATTGCCCTGAGTCCTGAATGTTCCCTGCCCCTCCTGCCATCTCTCAGACCTCATACCACTCTGCAACAAAGGCTAACCTGGCACATTGGGAGCCAAGACCCTGCCCCAGCACTCAATGCCTTGCCAGGCCCTGTCCTACTTGTTATTGACTATGTGGAATATCACTCCTGGTCTTAAGTATTTTTGATTCACCAGGAGAAGGGAATGAGGATTATAAACTTAAATTGTGGAGTCCTGGCTATTGGTCAGACTCAGAGGGACACCCTGTATGCCCTGCATTGATGGCTAATCCCTGAGGAATGGAACTTTGAAAAGTAAGGATGACCACAAAGGAAAGAAAATCAATGAGGACTTAGAGCTGCTGACTCAGAGCTTCACAAGGGAGGCTGCAGTGATGGGTTGGGGGCGGGGGTGTCAGAGAGGGGTCTCAGCTGGGATGGTGGACAGAGCCACCTGCGGTGACCCGGACAGGAGAGAGATAGAAAGACAAAAATAGCAAGGATGTCTTCATGGAGTGGTATAATGTGGGCAAAAGGCTGAATGAAGCTCACCAGTCCAGTGAATTATGAGAGTGGCCACACATCATTGCTCCTGTCCCACTCGCTACCCCCACCCAATTCCAGCCACAGTGGCCTCCTTGCCATTCCCCAAACACAGCAAACCCCTTTCACCTGAGGATCTTCCCTGCTCCCTCTGCCCAGACCCTGCCCGCTAGATACCTGCCTGGCTCCCTCCCTCCCCTTCTCCAGGTCTTTCTCAAATGCTACTTCTGCTGTGGCCCCCTCCACAAACTGCCCGACACATGCATATGCACCCATTCCCCTTCCTTGCTTCATTTCTCTTCCTAACACTTGTCACCACCAAAATATGCTATATAGTTTGCATTTATTTTATTTATTGCTCTATTCCCCTTACTATAACATAATGGAAGCCCCATGACAGCAGAAACATTTTGGTCTGTTTTGTTCACCACTGCCTCCAGAATAGCTAGAAAAGCATATTAGTGGTACTCAGTGAATGTATGCTGACTGAATGAATGAAGAAACCAATTACTTCATGGCTATCATGAATCAGACATTGTGTTATGCTCCATACATTTCCCGTGGAGCTCCCTATCAGCCCTCAAAGAGCTGCCTCAGATGTGTATCAGGGGCTGCCTCCTCCTTCTACATTTGTAATTTGCATTAACTTAAATCTCCACATGTGCCTAGGATTACTCTACCGGACAGGGCAGTTCTAGCATAAGAGACATAAGCAAGTGGAGCTCATGTACTCCCGCTGGGCAGACTGGAGTGCTTAAAGTCACCCAGTGGCCTTGGCAGTGCATAAACCCCCAGGATAATTTCTGGGTTCTGGATCAAGCCCATGCCAATGCCCCCTTTTCACTTTGTCTCGGCCTGGGCAGGGCCAGGCTCAAGGAGATGAGTGAGGCATTTGCCTTGGGTGCGAAATTTAAAGGATTACTGAAAAACTCATTAAGATAGTTATACAACATTTCAAAAATTGAAATTATTGCCAAAAATCCATGATGAACAAAATATTAACATTTTAAGTAAAGACAGGGTCAATATTACTGGTTTGTCCTTTTGCCTGAAGCTCCATTATGGCCTGCCATGGCACTGTAGTGCTTATGCAGTAATACAGCAGCTTCTACCAATGGCCAAAGGAGAAGTGAAGACAGTAGATCTTCAAGTGTGCAGTGTGTGTTCAACGGCAATGTGGACTGTTGGGTGTTTTTAAATGTAGAGTGGAATTACCTGGAATTGTGTCTTGAATAAAATTCATCCCATGTCTTTGGACTGGAGAGCATGTAGGCTGGAGTGAGCAGATATAGGATGGAGATGACAGGAGAGGAACGATGCTAACAGTGTGAAACTCTCAGTGTGTGGTTTTGAGCTCACTGCAATATATATCAGAAGATGCCACAAAAGTGTAACAAAGCAAATAAACATCACTTTTAATCCACCAAGGCATTTTTTCTTTACTATATTAAGACTATTAAAAATTTTTAAATGATGCTATTTTCTTATAATAAATAAGGAAAGAGACATGTAAAGAAAAGCTAATAATCTTCCCACTCCACTAAAAATTCATTCCCACTGAGATAATCTATGTTCCTAGTTCTTACCATTTGTATCAGTTTGTTCTCATACTGCTAATAAAGACATACCCGAGACTGGGTAATTTATAAAGGAAAGAGGTTTAATTGACTCACAGTTCAGCACGGCTGGGGAGGCCTCAGGAAATTTACAGTCACGGTAGAAGGAGAAGCAAACACGTTCCTCTTCACATGGTGGCAGGAAGGAGAAGTGCAAACAAAGAGGGGAAAAGCCCCTGATAAAATTATCAGATCTTGTGAGAACTCACTATCGCATGAACAGCATGGAGGAAACTGCCCCCATAAACCAATTACTTCCACCTGGTCACGCCCTTGATACGTGGGGATTATTACAATTCAAGGTGAGATTTGAGTGGGGACACAGCCAAGCCGTATCACCATACTTCTCTGTTTTATTTAATGTTTTGACAAAAATGGTATCCTATTGCCCATATTAATACTCTGCAACTTCTTATTCTTACTTAATACATTATAGAGAACTCTCTAGGTCCAAACATATAGCTCTTCTTTTTAAATGAAATTTTATTTATTTTTGTAAAGATAATACATGCACACGATAAAAAATATAAAAAGGAATAAATATTATTTGGTGAAAATTGTGCTCCTAGTATTCCTGTCCCAAAGCCACTCATTTCCCCTTCTCAGAGCAATCACTGTTATCAGTTCTCTTTTGAAGCCCTGCAGTGCTGTTCTATGCCTGAAAACCTGTTCTATTCTGGGTAGAATTCTTCTCACATTGTTTTCTCTTGCTTTTTTCACTTAATAATATATCTTGGAAAGTGTTCCTTATCAGTTTGTAAAACTGCCTCATTCTTTGTTATTATTATTATTATTATTATTTGGTTTCGTTCTTTTAAATGACTGCCTAGCTTTCCATTATATGGAAATACAAAATATATTTAATGTACTTCCAGTGGAAATTCAGCTGTTTTTTTTCCTACTCTGGCATTTACAAACAATGTTGGAATGAATAACCTTGTAATTATATCACTTTGCATACATGTATATTTATCTGTGGGATACATTTCTAGAAAGGGACTTGCTAGGTCCATTGCTGATTTCAGTTTTGACACTTATAGTCCAATTGTTCTCCAGAGAGGTTGTGCCATTTATAGTTCACCAGTAAGGTGGGACCCAAATCCCCACACTCTTGCCATCGTGGCGAGTCATTAAACTTTCTCTTCCTTGCCAATATGATAGGTGAAAACTGGTATCTCAGGGTAGTTTTAACTTTGCATTTTTCTTATTATAAGGGAGATTGAGTATGTTTTCCAGTCTTCAAGGGGATTTAATTTTTTTCTGTGAACTATGTGTTAGTATCCTATGCCCATTAGAAAGTTTGGAGTATTCATTCTTTTCAAGATTGATTCCTGAGACCTCTTTGTATGTTACAGAGTTTTTCCTTTTGTCTCAGATAAAGTCTTTTAAATAGCTACATAATATTATATATGAGCTATGCTTATTATTAGATATTCCTTTTTTTTTCCCTGGGAATTGTTTACCAGGACAAATAATGTTGCAAAAATATCCTGGTATATACATATGAACTCGTACTTTTATTTTTGTAGGGTATATTTCCCAAAGTGGAATTGCTTGTTCTAGAAATATATGTATTTTAATATTAATAGATACTGTCAGATTACTTTTTCAAAATTCTGACATAATCACATTCCCACCCTTAGTGGAAGGAAGTGCCTGTTCCCCTGCATCCCAGTCAGCACTAACTGTTATTGCTCTCTTACATTTTGAAGTGGTAAATGGTGTCTTCTTGTGGTTTTACTTTGTATTTATCTGACCACCAGTGATGCTGAGCATCTTTTAATATGTTTATCGGCTATTTGCATTTTCTCTTCTGTGAGTTGCTTGTTCATATCCCCTGCCTGTTTTTTCCTCCTGGATTTTTGGGTTGTTTTCTATCAATTTGTAGGGACTTTTTTTGTGTACAGTCAGTGTTCTGTATCCTCGGGTTCCACATCTGCAGATGCAACCAACCATGATTAGAAAGTATTCCAAAAACTAAAAAAGAAAAAAATGACAAGACAAGAATAAAAAAAATCTAAATAAAAAACAATAGAGTATAACAACTATTTACACAGCATTTACATTATATTAGGTATTAGAAGTAATCAACAGATGATTTAAAGTATACAAGAGGATGTATGTAGGTTATATGCAAATACTATGCTATTTTATAGAAGGGACTTCAGCAATCCTTGGGAACCTGGAACTAATCCCCCACAGATACTGAGGGAGAATATATTAGCAATATTAAAGTTTTATTTGTAATGAATATTTTTCCAATCTCTTATTTGTTTCTGTACTTTGTTTATAACTTTTCCTAAATGAATTTGAATTTTTTTGCTGTCAAATATATCTTTTCATGTATGGTTTCTGAGCTTCCTGGCTTTATTAAAGAGTTCTTCTCCACTCTTTCTGTAAAGGGCCAAATAGTAAGTATGTCAGGTTTTATGGACCATGTCGTCTCTGTCCCACCTATTCACTTCTACCATTATAGCTTGAAAGCCACCAGAGACAAAAGAAATGAATGAGGCTGTGTTTCAAGAAAACCTTACTTATAAAAGCAAGTGGTGGGCTGGGCGTGGTGGCTCATGCCTGTAATTCCAGCATTTTGGGAGGCCAAGGCAGGTGGATTACTTGAGGTCAGAAGTTGAGAGCAGCCTGGCCAACATGGTGAAACTCCTTCTCTACTAAAAATACAAAAATTAGCTGAGTGTGGTGGCACGTGCCTGTAATCCCAGCTATTCAGCAGGCTGAGGCAGGAGAATAACTTAAACCCAGGAGGCAGAGGTTACAGTGAGCTGAGACCACACCACTGCACTCCAGCCTGGGCAACAGAGCAAAACTCCGTCTCAAAAAAAAGCAAGCGGTGTCCTGCTGGTTGTAGTTTGTTGACCCTTGTGTTGAAGTGAAAGTCAAATGATGAAATCCTTTGTTCAAATCCTCTGAAGTTTCTCTATCTCACTTAGATGAGTACAAGCCAAAATTATACCCCATTTCACCCTCACTACCTCTCTGACTTCATCTTCTACAGCTCTCCCCTTGGTCAATCTGCTTTAACTGCCATAGCCTCTCTTTGTTCCTTGTACCCACCAGACAAACCCCAAGCCAGGCTCTCTCTCTCTCTTTGCACTTATTTTTCCCACTGCTTAGGATGCTCTTTCCCCAGATATTTGGGTAAATATTTTCCTTATTTTCTTCTGGATTTAGCTCAAATTTCAGCATATCAGGATGTCCTTCCCCAGCCACCTATTTAAAATTTAACCCCCTGTTCTGCCACATACTTTCTGTTCCTCTTTCCTGTTTTTTTCTTTTTAACTCCCCACTAATACTGTATAGTTTACTTACTTATAATGTTGATCATTTCCTCTCTTAAAATATAAGTTTCACAGGGGCAAGAATTTTCATCTGTTTTGTGTCCTCAGCACTTAGAAGAGTGTTTGGCATATAGTAATTTTTGTTGAATAATTGAATATACATAATAGAGAGGGAGAACTGAAGATACATATATATATAGAGAGAGGGAGAGAGAGAGAAGCAGGGGGTGATATCAGGAGGAAGGTCCTTGAGAATGAGAGATAACCAGCTTTTAGGGGAGCAGGGACACTTCTTCATTGGAGTAAGAGATAAAAGGGGTGCCTGGGCAGTTTCGTCTATACCAGGGCTTCTCAGCCTTGGCACTATTGACATTCTGGGCTAGATAGTCCTTTGTAGTTGGGGGCTGTCTGTTGTAGGATATTTAGCAGCATGCCTGGCTAAGATATCCCAGTAGTAGCCACCTCCTCCAGTTGTGACAATCAAAAATGTCTCTAGACATTGCTGGATGTCCCCTGGGGAGAACAATTTCCCTTGGTTGAGAACCACTGGTTTCTTTATTTAGACTGTGAAGGGGGACTTTTTAGTGATGACTCTTATTCCCTCAATTACGTATAAGATGCGGTCTTCAGATGAGAGTTTGGGGGGAAGGAGTAAGAGGTTTGAAGAAAGAGAAGCTATGTAGTGGTGGCCTCAGAGTGGGAAAAGGCAATGGTGAATAAGAAATAGGCTTGCCTCCTTCCTGGCCCTGAGGAACATGAAGTGGGGTGAAAAATAGCCTCTTTGTCAGAGGGCTGCAGGGGAGGCATGCTTGGTGGACAACCATTCAGAAATTAGGTTTCTGATCACAGACTAAGAGTTTTACAGAGCTCAGGGAAAACATTGGGGAGGGAGGGGTGTTGGATGGGATTAGGCTTGTTCAGTATAGTGTGGGGGCTGAGAGATCCATATAACTGCTAATGGGAAGCCTTGGGTTTCTGAAGGGGACTGATATACAGTAGGCTGGGACTAGTCCTGAGAGCCTGATGGAAGGTTGGGAAGCTATCAGATCAGTGTCATAGTCCTGAGTACTTTACTTGAATGTGCAGTAAGCCTCCTGGAGGAGAGGTGGCCAGCCCTTCCATGCTTTCATTACTAATGAGGATGGAATTATTGTTTCTGTTTCCATTTCAAATCGGTCACTGCTAGTCTAGGGAAAAGCTTCACAGTTTTGTATATTTATCTTATCTTTAGCCTCTTTGCCAAATTCTCTTATTAATTCTAATAGTTTTAATGAAGTTTATTAGTTTTTTAGTTAAGCAATTATACCATCTGTAAATAAGTTTCACACTTTTAATGTGACCAATACCAACTGAGGCCCACTGTATAAAACTCATTCCTGAGACCCTTTTCAGCCCCCCAGCTTAGTCTCCCGTTCATGGTTAAAGCAGTTATTCTGTTCAGCCACTGGATGGCAGTGACTCAGCATATCTGTGATACTTGGTTGGTTTGTAGGTTTGTGGAGATATTAGCTGCGCAAACTTTATTCCCAATAGAAAAAAAAAATCTATTTCTAGCAAATTCAAAAAAATTTAGAACCAGTCAACTTTCAGCTAGCTGTAAATATGTATCTACAGATTATCTTATATCAAAGCAACACAAATGAGTTCTTGCTCATTAAAAGGCCTTTCTGTTCTTATGGTTCTTTAGCAAGTCCAATAACTTTAAGGATCATTTACAGTGGGAAAGATCTTTATATTTCAGGAATTCCTTCTTCATAAGCTGGGCTTAATTTTGGGAGATCGTCTTCAGCTTTGTCCTTTGAATATTTGAGATTATCTCCTTTTTAAACTGAAAATGATATCAATCTTATGAAATCTAGCTCTGTTTTTCTATTTCTTCTGTTTCATTTGATAGTTTGACTCAAAAAGAAATGGTACATATCAAGACAAGCTGTCTCTCCAAGACCTGATTTTCTAATATCATCTTGAAAAACTTCATGTGAAGTCGTCCCGAAATGGTTTACTTCTCTATTTGCCAGCCTTGCTTTGAACTCAGTGGAATGAGTCATTAACCTTAGCCCTCCTGGGAAACAACAAGCCAGGAGTATCACTGGATTCTTATGATCAAATTATCCCAAACAACATATAAAATTTATATTATCAGAAAAGAGTAGGAATAAATACAGTTTTCTCTATACAAACAACTACATTGTTTGGTACAATGAAAGCACAGAATTTGTGTCCTAAATTTCTCTTACTCTATAACAGGAGTCAGCAAACTTTTTCTGTAAAGGGACAGACAATAAATATTTTAGGATTTGTGCGTCATATGGTCTTTGTAACGACTATTCAACTTTGCTGCTATAGTGCATAAATAACCCCAGACAATACATAAATGAATGAGCAGAGCTGTCTTCCAATAAACCTTTATTTACAAAAACAGGCTGTGGGCCAGATTGGGCCTGTGGGTCGTGGTTTTCCAAACCCTGCTTTATAGTAAAGTTGTTCAATGGAACTCTGAGGATGTGTGGGACTTAAGTGAACAGGGTCAGAGAACAGGTCCACAGCCAGTGAAATCAGAGAATGGATCCGGGGGTACATCAGGACCCACAGAGTAGGTGTTTGTGGAAGACAGCCCATGTTTCAACTTAGAGAAGTGACTATAAAAATGGAACTAAAACCTAAGAGCAGGAAGGCAAGAGACAGGGGCATGGTGCTGTTTTAGATTCCCTATCTGATTTCCTTGTAGCTGTGAGAATCGCATTGCTAATTATAGTGTCTTGAAACTATTTTCAACCCCACTCTTTCCCTGGGAGTAATGGATTATGCATAGTACAAAAAAGTGCATTTTGTCCAGGCAATGTTTCCCGAGGGACACTCCCCAAAGAAACTACCACCAGAGAATTTGAGTGTGACAGTTTCTTCTCATTAGAGATTCCTAAAAGCCTGGGAATAATCTGTTGTTTACAGTCTCTGCTAACCTTTTCACTACATTGAGGGATCCTAATGGGCTTCTGCCTTTCTTCTTTGGGTAGAAGGAGAAAGAGAAGGATGTATTAGCCTCTGACACAAAGAGACAAAGGAAGGGTCAGAGGCAAGGGGAGCCAGCATACGGTTCCATGGCTCTCTGGAGTATGGGGCAGCGATTGCCTGGCTTCCTCACTTTTGCATCTCTAGGCCCTGGGGCAATGCTGGCACATAGTATGTGCTGAATACTGCTTATAGAATGAATGAATGAGCTGGTTCTCAATGGATAAAGAACAGAGTTAATTGGATCATCCATTTGCTTCTTATGTTCTACAGTACAGAGTGAGAAAGAAGGACTTAAGATCAATGATTATACAGGAATTCACTCTCAAAGAATTTTGGGGTCCAGGCCATATCCTTCCTGTAACATACAGACTTCCCTCTCCACTTAGCCCATTAGGAACCCTCTGTTCTTGGAAACCGCTCAGCACTGATTACTCATCCGGCTCTTTTGTGTACTATGCAAGTGTTCAGTTTAGCTTACTTTTTTTTGAAGCTAGGTCCAAGGGGGACAGAGTTGAATAAAACAGTCTCCCCCCTCAAGGAACTCATGGTATGACACGCCTATATTATGTATCTATGTCTTTTCTCCCCTGTGAAGATTATAAACCCCATGATGTAAGGTACCCCTTCTTTTGAATCTGTCCAGTTACTACTGTGGGGCGGAGGATTCAGCTTAATGAATATTTGCTGAGTGTACAACATATGTACTTATCAGGCCATCTCCTTGGCACAGCTCTTAACCAAACTGAGTATTTTAAAATGGCCCACTCAAGCTGGGAGCAAACTGTAGTCAGAGCAGGATGATTCCAAGTATACGTTCCAAGTGTAAGTTCTACTTTCACTCTCAGCTTTACCACCAGGTCATCCTCCAGCTCAAAGTGACTTCAACAATCCTCTCTCATCTCTGTTCCTTCACAAGAAAGATGGGGATA
The DNA here is from genome assembly GCF_000001405.40 of Homo sapiens. NCBI lineage: Eukaryota > Metazoa > Chordata > Mammalia > Primates > Hominidae > Homo > Homo sapiens. The sequence goes on along the minus strand of NC_000006.12, from coordinate 88,490,531 downwards.
CATGAACCCTGACACCATGTAGTTTTCCCAGTGCTCTGAAATCCCTACATGAAAGGGTTTAGGCAAAATATGAGCACATTCATATGTGAGTGCTATAAGCTTTTATCTCAAAGCCTTCTCAGTTTAGAGTTTCGGTTGGGAAATAAAACCACTTCAGGGACAGAGAACTGCTGGCTCCCAGCAAAGTTAAGAATAAGGGAAGTTTTACTTTTCGTGCCTCTTGTTTCTGAGCTCTTTCTCTATCCAGTCTCCTAATGGAAACTTGTTCTCAGCTAACCGTTGCACTGAAAATTAGCATATGCATTTATTGGAATTTTAGTCAGAGGTTCAACAGGATGTTTTTTGGAGGGGGTGGGCAGAGAGAAGGGAATAGACAAACTAATTTTTAAGTTTGTATCATAGAATAAAATGGGAAAATTATCAAGGAAATTTTGAAAATTAACAACTAGGTGAACTTGCCTTAATAAAAATTCAATTATATAGTGATTGAAATAAAAACAGAATGATACTATGATGTAGTTATAGACAAATAGGCCATTGGAAAAGAACAGATAAACAGATCCAAGTATATTTAAGGAATTTGACATATAATAAAGGAGGCATTTCATTTTCATGGGAAAATAATGGACTATTTAATAACTGGTACTGGGAAAACTGGCTATGCATTTGAATAAAAGGATTTTATATTTACCCACATATTTACCATTTGTGACACTCTTCATTCCTTTGTGTAGATTCTAATTTCCATCTCGTATAATTTTTCTTCTGCCAGAAGAACTTTCTTTCACATTTTTGTTAAAGACCTGTTTGTGATGAATTATCTCTGCTTTTGTTTGCCTGAAAAAACGTTTATTTCATCTTCACTTTCGAAATGAAGACTAGTAATCTCTAACAGACAGGAACCAAACCAGGTGAAACTTACTATTGCTCTAGTTTACTGCCTTGAGTTTTCAGGCCACAGCATGGGGAAGGTAACTCAGGCGGAGCCCAGAGGTATCCAGAATTGAAGTCCAGGGAGATCACCGTGGCTGGAATGCATAGGACTAGGCCAAAGCCTTGGAGGAAGGAGTTGTACAGATAGAGCTTCAGAGATGTGTAGAGGGGCCTCCAGAGTCTTCAACAGAACACTGATCGCACATGCATTTGAGAAAACAACCCGAGTCCTGAAAGAAAGCACCCAAAAGGATTCTTGAGAATAATGGCCATCGCACACTGTTGCTGTAAACCAGATAGAAAAACCTCATACTTCATGGGCATTGGGCAGAGCACTCAGAGGGGTCTTGCCTTGGCTGTGGAAATTTATTAGACCTAGATTGAATGCTACTCTGAACCCACTTGACAAATCTTAAGAGCAAGAGCCGAAAGGATCAAACAGTTTCCAAGGAACTTAACTGCATACCAGAACAAAGCTGCTCAAGAATATTTATAGAAATATAAAAATACACAGTACTCAGATAGGTTTAATTCATAATCTTCAATACCCAGTTAGATATTAGTAGACTTGCAAAGATGCAAAAAACCCACAACCCACAATGAGGAGAAAAAGAATCAACTAAGCAAAACTGAGAACTGATGCAGATGTTAAAATCAGCAAACAAAGACATTAAAATAGTTATTATAACTGTAATCCAGATGTTCAAAATATTAAGTGTGGTCATGAAATATATAAAAGAGACCCAAATTAAAAAAAATTTTTTTTGAGATGGTTTTTTCTTTTTTTCTGCCCAGGCTGAAGTGCAGTGGTGCAATCTCACCTCTGCCTCCTGGGTTCAAGCAATTCTCCTGCCTCAGTTTCTTGAGTAGAGTAGTTCTAGAGATGAGAACTACAATGTCTGGGATGAAAAATACATAAGAACTACAATGTCTGAAATGAAAAATACTCTGGATTGAATTAGATTAGACATTGCAGAAGAAAAAATTAGTGAACTTGAAGACATAGCAATAGAGACTATCCAAAATGAAACACACAGAGAAAAAAAAAGGGTTAAAATAATTAAAAGAGCATTAGTGAGCTATGGGACAATATCAAACAGCCTAATATATGTATACCTAGAGTCCTGAAGGAGTGGGGAGAACAGACCAAAAAAAAATGGAAGAAATAATGGCTGAAAAATTTCCAGATTTGACGAAAAGTATAAACCCAGAGATCCAAAAAGGTCAGCAAACTCTAAGCATAAGAAACATTAAAAAAACTAACCAAGGCACATAATATTCTAATTACTCAAAATTGTCAGAAATGAAGACATGTCATACACAAAGGAACTAAAGTGAAGGATAACAGTGGTTTTCTCACCAGAAACAAAACAGTTGCACAACATCTTTAAAGGACAGAGAGAAAAAAACCCTGTCAAGCCAGAATTCTATACCCATACAAATGATCAACAAACAAATCAAGCACATGCTTAATTTCAAGAATTGTTGGGAGAACATTTAAAACAATAATTAAATATTTTCCCCTTCTTTATTTCCTAAATTTGTAATCAGCTGGGAAACATAACACAAGAGAGACAGAAATCAATATTGAACTTTCTTTTTTTGAGACGGAGTCTCCTCCGTTGCCCAGGCTGGAGGGCAGTGGCGCAATCTCACCTGCGCCTCCTGGGTTCAAGCAATTCTCCTGCCTCAGTGTCCTGAGTAGCTGACATTACAGGCACCCACCACCACGTCTGGCTAATTTTTGTATTTTTAGTAGAGACAGGGTTTTACCATGTTGGCCAGGCTGGTCTTGAACTTCTGACCTCAAATGATCCACCCGCCTCAGTGTCCCAAAGTTCTGGGATTATAGGTGTGAGCCACTGTGCCTGGCCCAACATTGAACTTTCTTATTGATAAAGTTCATTAGAGAATTAAAGAAGGCCTTAGATTAATGGCCAAATTAGATTAAGTAGTAATCCTTAACCTCTGAATGAGACAACTTACTTGTGCAGTAACAGATATATCCTGCTTTGGTAACTGCCACAGGGTTGCATAGAACAGAAAGACACCCTCTCTGTAGGTGGACAGATCTGAAATGATAATGATAATGCCCAGATGAGACAGTTGAGCCAAACATTTTCAGTTCATCTTCCTGAACTCACCAATCAGATAACTCATGTAAAGGTGTCAATGAGTGGCATAAGATTCTGGAAGTGTTTTTAACTATCCTTCCACTTATGGAAACAGGAAGTTGGGGAATAAATGTTCTTCCAAATAATAATCAGTAAAGAAATCATTTAAAAGATTAAAACATATAGTAGATATTAATTCGCAGCCAAGACCTTGGCAGTCTTTGTTTTGGTCTACCTAGCAGACTGTGAGACAAAAGTTTGAGTATAAGTTGTTTTTGTTTTGGTTTTTTTTTTTGAGATGGAGTTTTGCTCTGTCGCCCAGGCTGGAGTGAAGTGGCATAATCTTGGCTCACTGCAACCTCTGCCCCCGGGTTCAAGCGATTCTAGCTCCTTAGCCTCTCAAGTAGCTGGGATTACAGGTGCCTGCCACCACGCCCAGCTACTTTTTGTATTTTTGGCAGAGACGGGGTTTCTCCATGTTGGCCAGGCTGGTCTTGAACACCTGACCTCAGGTGATCCACTTGCCTCAGCCTCCCAAAGTGCTAGGATTACAGACGTGAGCCACCGTATCCAGCCTAAGTGGTTTGTATAGAAAGCAATCTCCGGAAATACTAGTAAGTCACTGGGGAAGTGAGACACAGAAGGGAAGGAAGGCCATATGGGCATTTCTTCAAGCAGTTTACCACTTCGGGCAACTGGCATTTAATTCCACTAGAGAAATTTGAGAAACAGTATAAAACTTACAGTTATCCTGTCTGAGGGGCAACTGAGCTGGGGTATTTAGCCACTAGTCATTGGTTGGAGGTTGCTCCTGGGCAGTATTATTTGTTTGGAACTTCAAAGGCTGGCCCTCCTACAGGCAGAGCTGACTCCAGCTGCCACAGAGAGCTCTTAGTGACAGGCTTGGAGATTTTGGCATTTGGAAACTGGGCCAGCAAGCATGGAAATGATAGTTGCTGAAGGTACATGGGTGGGAACCTGATAGCATTGAGTGTATTCAAGAAATGTGACAATATTTCATTTTCTTTAAATGAGACTGAGTCTGACTCCAGTTCACACCTAGCTAGGCTGGCAGAAAATTTACCATCGTTCATTATTAGTGCTCTTCCTGGCCCTTTTCGGACGAGTGAAGGTTCCAGGAGAGTCATGTAAAGCAACTATTCAGGGAGCCCTAGGCATCACCCTGACATTGTTTTCATTAGAGTGATTTGTTTCCGTCCGGAAGCTTTGCTGTGATTGGGAACTCCAGGTTGGATTTGCCTCCCAGGCACATCTTGCTTTCCCGTTTATCACAGATTCAATCCAGAGCACTGGAAGGCAGTTGGTTATGGGTCTTCATTTGTTGGGACCTGAAAGTTTGTATCCCCTTCTCTTCTGCCGGATGCAGCTATCCTTCAAAGGAATTCTAACAACTCATCCTTAACCCTAATTCTAGTCCCCTCATTTAGATTAGGTTTTAGCAAACCAAAGCCAGGAAGACTGGCTGACTTCAGGCTACTTCTGCAGTTCCTATTCCAATCTCCTTTGAAGCAAGTGCTAATAAAAGAATGTTAGATTAGATCTGTTAGATATTCTTAGATTGGAAGCAAGAGAGAAAAACATTAGAAGAACAAAACATAAATTAATAATGCATTAGAATGGGCCAGAAATTTTCAGCTTTATGATATGTATATTTATTGTGGTGTTGGTGGGCCTCCGTCACACCATTAGAATGTCACCCTTTTGCTGAGGAAACCTCTGACCCAATGCATAATTGCATGATAGCTGGTAGCAAGGCAAAGGGAGCTCTCCTTGTGTATAATTAGAATCTTATCAGGAATCAAGAGGACTCCATGCTATTAAAAAATCAGGACCCAGATTAATTACTCCAAAGATAATTGAAGAACAAACCACATGAGTTTCTTGGATATAAAATGTCACAGCGTCTCTTCGTCTCAATCCATTTCTTCATTTCTGTTTTGGTTATTAAATATAAAAAAATTAATATACTGGAAAATTGACTTTTGCATAAGAATAGTTCTATAAGTCTAAACACATATAGATTAATGTAAAAATAACCACAATTTGGATACAAAACAGTTCTATCACCCAAAAAAATCCCTTGTACCCTTTTGTAGTGACACACCCCCAACCACCACATCCTGGCAACCACTGATTCTCCATCACTGTAGTTTTGTCTTATCCAGAGTGGTATATAAATGGAATCATATAATATGTAAACTTCGAGACTGCTCTTTTGTCCAGCATAACGACTTAGAGATTCATCTGTGCCATTGTGTGTATCAATAGTTCACTCCCCTTTTATTCAAGCAATTCCTTTGCATAGGTGTAACACATTGTGTTTATTCATTTACTCATTGAAAGACATTTAAATTGTTCTGAGTTTTTGGTGATTATGAATAAAATTGTGACAAACATTTGTGTGAACATACATGTTTATTTCTCTAGGATAGATATGTAGATGTGGGATATCTAGCAATATAGTGCTGGTGGGATATCAGTACATCCTCACCAGCACTTCATGTTGTCAGCTTATTTTTTAGTCATTCTGATAGGTGCATAGTGGTATTTCATGTAGTTTTAATTTGTTCCTCTGCCAGTAAGTTGTCTTTTTCTTATGGCTGCCTGCAAGATAGCCTTTGTCTTTGGTTTCCAGAAGTTTTAATAGGATGAACCCAGAGGAGTGTGTGTGCGTGCATGTATTTGTGTTTGCATTTATTCTGTTAGATGTTTTCTGAGATTTAAAAATTTGTAGTTAGTGTATGTCATTCATTTTAGAAAATTCTCAGCCATTATATTCTTCAAGTATTTATTCTGCCCTATTTTTTCTATTTTCTACTTTTGGGATTCCAATTTTACCTATGTTAGACCATTTGACACGATCTCAGCTCTCGGATGTTGTGTTGAAGGCATTCTTTATGTGTGTTACAATACTGTGGGTTTGATTTGATTTGATTTTGATTCTACTGTATAATTTCTCTCTGCTGAAATTATCTATGTGATCTTGTGTGTCAGATTGGAACCTTTAACATATCAGTCATTGTTATTTTAAATTCTCTGTCTGATAATTCCACCATCTGTGTAATACTTAAGACTATTTCTGTTCATCATTTTGTCTCTTCAGAGTGTGTTTTTCCTTACCTTTCGGTATGCCATGTATATATACATAAGCTTTTTTTCTCTCTACGTATATTTATGGAAGCCATAAGCGAGATATAGGACAAAAGATACTGAAGTAATTATTATTATTTTTTGCTTGGAAATGAGTACATCTTTCCTTCTAGGCCTTTAGTGTGAGGGTTTGTGTTAATCTAGTCAGGAGTTGGGCTGAATTTGAAGTTTCTTGGGCTGGGTTACCCTTAGTGTACCACAGGTTTCAAATTTCTCTCATGGTAACTTGTTTTTAGGATGTGGGCTACTATTTTTCCAGATGACTTTCCTGTTTCTACTCTCCAGAGACAGGCTGTCACCTGCACTTCTTTCAGTTGTATTCCACTGTTATTTTAACTTAGTGCTTGTTACTGTGGTATGGGGGGAAGGGTGTGTGTTGGGTTGTTCTCTGATGTTCTGATTTAGTATCAGGTGTGGGTAAGCTCTGTGAGCCTGGGGGTTGGGGCTGTGGGCCTCACAAGTGTTCCTGCCCTTCCTCCACTGCTAGTGCTTGTCCTGGAACATGAGCCTGCCATTCCCCTAGTGGGAGAGCTTTAAAAATTCTGTTCCCTTCTCACTGCTGCAGTAGGTTTCTACCGTGGTTTAGGTGTTCATTTTCATTGCTCTTCCTCCTGCAGATTAAAGCTTTCATTCACAGGAGAGATGAGGAAAATGGGCCTGGGTGAAGTTTCATCAGTGGCCGCTATTCCCTTCTCTGAGCCAGCACCATGGATAGAGGCTTTTTCAGCATTCTCCTTGGTTTTCCCAACAAGTGTCAGGTGAGGTTTGTAGAGTAAAACTGGCAAGAGGGCATGAACCCCTCTCTGTGGGCCCCAGGGCCTTCACACTGTCTTGCTAGACAACACTTGGCCCTTAGTAACTCCTTAAAATTTTAGCTAAATCTTATCAGCTTATTTGCTATTTGGCCACATATCTCCAGGTCAGCGAATGCTTGGTTTCTCCCCGCACGTGCCTGTCTTTTCAGATTTTAGGTTGGGTGTTTGCCCTGCCAACTCAGTTCTCTGATGAGTGCAGGAAAAGTTTCCATTTGTGTCTTATCCTAGTTTTTCTTGTTGTAAGTGTGGCTGGAATTTCTTATTGTAAGTGTGGCTGGAATGCTGCCTCCAGCTCTCTGCATTTATAAGGTGGAACAAAAAGTATCCACTGTTTTTGGAGAGTTATTGTATTTCTAAGCCATGATTTTAGGACAAGAAGTTAGGAAGAGGAGATTCTGCTCCCTTCTTTCCCTCCTCTCTTCTCATCCCCCTCAACACAAGGCATCTTTAGATCAGCTCTATCTATTTCCAGTCACTTTAATAATTCCCACTATCCCTTCTCTTTTCCTCATATCCTTGTTTTAATGTTTATTTACCTATATATGTTTTGTGGATTGGTGGAATCTGTGTGTGCATGTTCCTATCGGTCATCTTCATTCCATCTTTTTTTGTTAGTTATGTGTTGGGTGCTCAGGCACAGTGTACCACCTTCTCCATGAAGATTCCTGGCATTCATGAAAGGAGTCCTACTCCCTGGTGGCACAAAGGTCCCTGCTGCACAGCTATGAGAGGAAAAAGAGGAGTTGACTGTTTCTCATGCACAGGCAGAGGAGTGCAGATGGAGAATTCACACTTCAGAGTCTTGCAGATGGAAGGCAAGAGCCCTAAGTGGCACTGTTCTCTCTGTACTCCTTGTGTGCATGTGTGCTTTCTATTGTGAGATATGCAAGTGCATGCACACAAACAAAAACACACGCATCTCTCCACAAATTGCAATTTCAGAATGACTTCCTGCTTCACATTGACAAAGTAGGAAGCAAAAATAAACTTGCTGTGCTCTTTTTTAAAATAGAAAAATGTCTTTATTGATGTCTTCAAACTGCCAAAGTAATGTAGGATCCTTGCAAAAAAAAAAAAAATCAAGCAAAAGCAAAGTGTAGTAAGCATCTGTTTTCTTTCTCTTCCCCTATTCCCAATCAGAACACCATCATCCACATTTTGGTGTACATTCTTCCAGTTTTTTCTATTTATATGCAAAAGAGTATACATTCTTATTTTAAAAAAATTAGGCTAACATAATTGATTACTAGTTTTGAAGAAATGTATTAGTGGAGGTCACTTTCTTTCCTGTTGGCAGCTCAAGGCTTGCTACTGTGATGGGTGAAGCAAAAGACAGGAAGTCAATAGGAAATCATAACAGCTTTTGTGAAAAGAAAGAGCGTGCAGGAAGGCAATAGCTAAAGTCATGAAATGAAAATGTGAGGAACTCAGGGAAAGGTTTGCCACCCTTGCATTGAGCGATGCGAGGTGCTTTGATGGTACCATCCTGTCAGCAGAGGGCAGGATCTCAGGACCAGCCCAGAGTCTGCAGGGACTGGCATATTCACTGGGGAGCACCCCTTGGCTCCACCAGGTTCTTTCCTCACTGTCCTGTGTTCCCTGGATCTCTGCAAGCCCTGGCTGTCACATCACACAAGGACAACCACAGATCTTTCCAGTTGCCTCATTGCTAAAAGGTCATTTTGCTCCTGTTTTCTTCCCAATGGTTCTGGATCCCCTGACGGTAGGAGTGCTGACCTTCACTTTGATCTGTAAACATGGTGGCTCCTTGGGGAGCCTTCATGTCAGTAGCAAATGTGTATTTGTGTCATGTCTGTCTGGATAAAGAGGGTGCAGGTAAGACTGTCAAATGTCAGCACTCTAAATGTGGCAATTCTGTTCTCAACTGAAAATTACAGCAGGGGAGGGGGTTCTCAAATGTGTGCACTTGCAAAAGCATTCTTTCATGATTTAGAGCCTTAATATGTTTCAAAGATGGTCAGAACTCACACCAGTATGAAATTTGAGATTTGATATGAGGAGCGATATCTCTTTAAGCCAATCTATGGTCGAGTTCCTAACATTAACATCACACGGAGATCAGCTTGACCAGAAGTGCAGATCTTGAACAATGCCTGAGATGAACCAAGGTCCCTGAAACAAGCACAGATACCACTTTACTGGATTATCTCTGATTCATTTATGAGGAGAAAAGTGGTTTTAATGTTAATGCATTAACACCCTCTCTGCCATTAGTTATCCTTATACTGATTTCCATAGCAGGCCTCTCTACTTTAATTCTTTAATGTGACTAATAATTATAGTGTTGATTCTATGTTCGGCAACTCCTAGACCTCCAGCTTTCCATCTGGTGAGATTCACTCTGAGCTGGGAGCTCCCGCTGACTTGACTGCAAAAGAAAGAAGCATCACCAATGGAGATTAATCCTCCCATCAGCCTTGAGAGAAAGGGCTGCAGGCCCGTGTGGATTTGCTCAGCACGCCACTGACTTTATTAAACAACCTACCAGACAAAGGGAAACAAAGTCTCTCCCTCTTTCCAAAGAGCACCGTGCCAAAAATGTGTATTAGATGGTCAAAGGCCATAGGGTCAGGTCCAAATGCAGCTTTTCTAGATACAATGAAGCACTTTCCCATGTTGCAGCTCAATCAAACATAGTTTTTGTAAGCCAGGGAAATTCAGAGGGAGGCTTGCGGTAATTTAGCAATCGTTTTTCTTATTTCCTGTAGTTGATTTAGGAGGAGGTCACTTGTTTGCTTAACGAACATTGAATTCCGTGCCAGAGAGGGAGCGAGGGCCTGGGAGCAGAGAGGTAGGAATGTGGCGCACAGTCTCTGCCCCAGGAAGTGCACGGGGTGGAGAGATGGGGTGTGGAGGCGACAATCAAGTAAATCCACAGTTCCAGCACGTCAGCAGGAGCCTGGGTCTCGAATCGCATGCAGCGGGCTTGGAGTAGATAAGATGTGCCTAGTCAGCCTAGGGAGGAATCAACCAGACTTCACAGAGGAGGTCAGCCTTTGAGGAGTCATTCACTTATTTGCAATTTATGGATCCATTTAATAAATATTATGGAATGTTAATTTCATTTTATGCTAGGTGTCATGGGCTGAGTGCTGGCCACCCCACATCACCAGAATCTGTGTCTGTGTCCTAGTCTTCGGAGCCCATGAATGTTATCTTCTATGGCAATAGACGTGATGAAGGGAAAGCCTTTGAGAACAGGCCTTTGTTCTGGATTATCTGGATGGGCCCTAAATAGAATCACAGGTATTCTCATAAGAGAGGCAGAGGGAGTTTTAGACAGACACACACAGAGAAGGCAATGTGAAGACGGAAATAGGAGTGATGGGATGACAAGCTGAAGAATGCCAAGGAATGCTGGAGGTCACCAGAAACTAGGGGACAGGCATGGGACATGGGACAGATTCTACCCACCCTACACCCCAGTCTGGGGAGGGAGTGCGTCCTGCTGACACCTTGTTTCGAAACATCTTGGCCCTCCCTCAGGGAGCTAGGGTCTAGCGCAGGTGGCACACTGGGGGTGATGAGCGCCCAGGCCCTGTGGAGGTCACGGGTGACCTTGGTAAGCACAGCTACAAGGAAATGTGAGGCAGAAGCCAGAGGGCAGGGAAGGGGCAAGCAAACTGTGTCCGTGGCAATGAAGGACCATTTTTGGAACACCTGTCTGTCCCAATATGTTTTACTGAGGTCAATGCAACAAACTCATTTTTAAAAAATAATGTTGATATTATTTTCTGATTATAAAAGAATATATATATATACATTGAAGAAAATTGGAAAAATACAGGAAGATAGAGCATAAAAACTGCCCATGCTCTCACTATGCAGAGATAATCCTTATGAACATTTCTGTGTATTTTGGTTAATGTTACTTCTGCACAGTTGTGACTGCCATCTCATATTTGTGGGTGGGTGGCCTAGACTTTGGGGTCTAAGGAACAGAAATTCTCTCAGTCTGGAAAAGGGTTTGGGTTTCAGGATGCATTAGGTAGGAGAGCTGATGTTATGTTTCTGTAACCAAATCACCCTGAGCTCCCAAAGGTTCGTTTCCTGCACGTGTTACCTATTTGTTGTAAACTGCAGTGATGGCGATTGCTGGGGGACTCTGCCCACGGCTGTCACTCAGCATCTCTGGCAAGGGTGGAATGCCTTTGGCTATTAAGGCAGGGAGAGAGAATGGATGCCACTCATGGGCTTTTCACCTCTTCCCCGGGAGTGACATGCAGCATCATCCCCTCACAGCCCAGTAGCACAACTGGTCACACAGCCACGCCTAACCGGAAATGGCTGGGAAGTGTAGAGGAGCAGTGCTGTGTCCGTTTTTGCACAGGGTACCTTGGATTGCCCGTGTTCTCATTCAAACATTGGCCCATGACCTGAGGTGGCCAAGTGAAGGTTCTGTGCACCATAGCAGGGGTGATAATTGGTCAAGCCAGTCAGGCTGCCACTTTCTGGGTCTGGGGAATGCAAGGAGAGTGGCCAGTGGGCTGCACAAGAGAAATGAAGTAGACATGGCGACCACAGACCCATGAGAGCAGCTCTGAGGCAGCCACTGCTCCTGATGGCTCTTTGTGCCGACTGATGTCCACTCCACACACACTTTACTCTCTGTGGCAATGTTGGTACTGCTCTCCAAAAGTTGCTACTGCAAGAGACTCCCTCTTTCCGAGCTGCCCTCAACCCTGGCTCCACCGATGGCTCTACACCAACTGCCCTACCTCAACCCATAAGGTGATGGCCCACAGTGCTCTATCTGCCACAAACAGAAGGCAACATGTAGAGAATGCATTTGGGCTGCCTCTCCCCATGTCACAGCACACCCTCTGACCAAAGTCCCAGCATTCCTGGAAAGCGAAAAGAAATGTTTAGGTCTCCAAAATGTGTAAAAAAATCAAAAATAGGTGAATTATGTATATGAAATAAGTACGTACATTATGAAACATCTTATATCTATCCTGTGAGGGGACAAATCACAAAATTCCTGCCAGGCATTTTTTTTTTTTCATGGACATCTGATCTGACCATTAGCACTGACCAATCAACTGAACCCAGACTACATACCACTGCAGCTTTCTTGTACTCCCACCTCCATTTTCCCTGAAGTCCCCTGTGGGTGTAGTAACCACTGTCTCTAGGGGAGGGGAGTAGAGGCAGTTGCCCAGTCCAGATCCTCCTTATGGGCTCCTGTGGAAACAAGCTCAAGCTTCTGCCTCCAGTTCTGTTCCCCAGCTAACAGGGTGGGCACAGACCACCACATGCTCCAGATGAGCTCACAGTGCCTCACTCCTTTCCCATGTGCTTGATAAAAGGTTCTGATTATTTGCCTCAATCTATAGATTTCCCAGAGTAGGAGGCTTTTGAGTGTCCTCAGCCGGGTCCTGAGCCCCATGGACTAGTAACTGCTGCCCTTCCCTCCTCAGAGGTAAACACTTTCAATTACAAACACTCTACCTGTGCTGTTGCCCATCTGTGCTTTCACAGCTGTATTTGTTTTGTGACGAGGGCAACCAGAAGACACGGGACTTTTCATCAAAATATGAGCATGCTTTCTGAAGTGTGCAAATCTGAAAGTGCCTACATCATGGATAAAGTAACATCAGTGGCCTCCCCATGCAGATCCGCCCTCAGCCATCAACAAGGGGTGCTTCAGTGCTGCTTTTCCTGGTAACACAGGCAGGCCAACCCCGTAGGAGGAGACATCTACTTCCCTGAAATCGCCTGTCCCTCTGAAATGGGAGATTGGCAGGACTTGCTTTCTGGTCATAACCCTGATGACCAAAGAAGCATTATGGACCTGTCTGCTCCAGGCAGGATAAAGTGAAGAAATCTGAAGAAACCAGCAGATGGTGATGTGGGTGCTCTCTGGCTGCTCTCATTACTCATTAGCATGGGACACTCACAACAGCGCCATCACAGTTTACAAATGCCATGGCAATGACCCAGAAATTACCACCCCTTTCCATGGCAATGATCTGGAAGTTACTAATCCTTTTCTAGAAGGTTCTAAATAACCAACTCCTTGATTTGCATTAACCCACCCCTTAATTTACATATAATTGAAAGTGGGTATAAGTGAGTATAAACACACTTGCCAAGAGCCCATACATTGCCAACTCTGGATGCACTGCTCATGAGTTTGCCCTGCTCTGCAAGGAGCAGTGCCATTCAATAAAAGATTGTTGTCTAACACTTCTGGCTCACCCTTGAATTCTTTCCCTGGTGAAGCCAAGAACCCTCCTGGACTAAGCCCCATTTTAGGGGCTTGTCTGTCCTGTATCACCCCCACAAAGTGTGAGTCTAGGCAAAACTCTCTCAAATACCAGTACTGGGAGGATTTTTGATTCAGACTTTAACCTGGTAGGAGGGTCTCAATTTGATAGCAAAGGGTGCTGTAGGAAAAAATATTTTTTGGAGTCAAGGAAATAGGAGGAAGGTCATTAATAAAAGTGAATGTTAATTCTTACCTTATATTTGGGTTTCATTTATTTCATGTTTTGGTGCATGCAGGTGAGTTTAGTTTTAGTACAATCAATATTAAATTAAAAATAAAAAATCATACATATAAAATAGGAAGGAAACCTATAATCCTTTTACTAACCTTTGTTCTGTAGAATACCTGAGTTAATTCTGCATAAAAACTTTCTTATTTGTAATGGTAAGAAATCCAACCTTGCTGAAATGGATTCTAACTTTAAGGAAACATCATTGGTATTTTCCCCCGTGGCAAAGGAGGCTCTAGTGAGTTCTAGACCCTGGAGTTTTTAGAACCAGGAGAAGATATCCTTGAATGCTCATATACCCATGAGGGGAGCCTGGGCAATGAAGTGAGGCAAACTCAAATGTTTTCCAGAAGGGGATTAAATGGCTTTCAGAGCTCAGTGAAATTGCCACCTGCCTTTGCCTCCTGCAAGGGAATACAGAAAAGATTTGGGATTAAGCTTTAGCATTGTCTCCAGGAGGGCTGTCTTTGCAAAAGGGACTTTTATGCCAATTCTATTCAGAGCTCCATTTTGATCAGGATGGGCTTGCGTACTTTCCTTGAGAGCAGGTATGTGATTACACTGGAGGTTTTGTGTTCTTCCCAGCACCCATGCAGGGTATTGTACATGAAAGGAACTTCTAGAATTCTCAAATTTCTAAAGGCTCCAGTTAAAAATTAGAGGATTCCTACTCATCATATCATTAATTGGGCCCCTACTCTTGGTACTTTGGTAATGTGCTGCCCATGCGTTGGGCATTGTCATTAATGTTTCACAGGTGGGGAAACCGAAGATGAGAGAGTTTAGGTAATTTCCTAAGGTCATGCAGTTTGTAAGGGGTGGAGCCACTATGAAAACCCAAATGTATCAGGTTCCTAACTCATACTCTGTGTCTGCCAGATGAAAGCAAGCTTTGCTTTAAGTTTCTTCAAAGCTAAGATCAGAATGGGTACAGAGATCCAGAGGGAAGAAGAGTTAGGCTAACAATACAATGAAAGATAATTGCAAGATATCTTCAGAGAGAGGACAAATATGGGGAAAAGTGCAAAGGTTTGGGACGTAAGGTTTTTGTACTTTTTTTTTTTTTTTGAGACAGAGTCTCACTCTGTCACCCAGGCTGGAGTGCAGTGGCGCGATCTCGGCTCACTGCAAGCTCCGCCTCCTGGTTTCACGCCATTCTCCTGCCTCAGCCTCCGGAGCAGCTGGGACTACAGGCGCCCATCACCAAGCCCAGCTAATTTTTTGTATTTTTAGTAGAGATGGGGTTTCACCATGTTAGACAGGATGGTCTTGATCTCCTGACTTTGTGATCCGCCCGCCTCGGCCTCCCAAAGTGCTGGGATTACAGGCGTGAGCCACCGCGCCTGACCTCCTGCCATTTTGATAAAATTATTTGTCCACGTAACTAAAATTTCTATTTCTCTTCCCTCTGTGATCATAGAGCTTCATGTTGATCCCATATTTGGTGATACCTGATACTGGTGTTTTTGGTGTAACTTTATAGAAGGTCAAAGTAGAAAGGGCTTCCTGGCAAGTACATGTTTTTTTTCCAAGTTTCCGGTGTCAATTAATTGTGCCACACATGGGGGTATGACAATTGGAGAAGGTGAGGTTGAGTTAAGTACTCTTCTCCACTTGGTAGTCACCTTTTCTAGTTTCTTCTTAAAAGTATATCTGATCGATGGGTTTTTATTTATGGCATCTTGACAGAATTTTAGCTTTTCTGGGACTCTCACAAGTTTACATCACGGGAGAAGGTGATAATGGTAAATCGGTAGCTTGTTAAATTGGATAATCCTGCTCCCACCTTCTGCAGCAAATTGTGGATTCCCTAATTTTATATCAGAATTACCTGGAAGCTGGCAGGGAAAGAGCCATGATTGTGGCTTGGGATGTATGATATAATCCCAGATTTTGTCTGCTTTGAGAGGCAGTGGTGAGGTAGGGCCTGCATTCCTATAAAAATCAACTTCAGAGTAGGCCAACCTGGGGAAATTAACCCTCATGATTTCTACAGTTACCAGAGCAATCCATTCCATATCAGCTACTAATATTAAACCTGTAAATATGTACAGTCATCATAAAATCACTAGGCATTTGAGGAGAATCAGGAGTTAGTATAGAAGATCTAGCTGGACCATCAGAGTCATTGCCTCAGGAAAAGAGAATCAGTGGTGGACATTAAGAAAATGAAAAGAAATCCAGGTAACATTGTCACTGAGTATTGAGAATGAGAATTGAGAACATATGACCTTCATAAAAGAAAAAGCAGGTTACCATGAAAAGGAAAAATAAGAGCAAGAAGGAGTCTTAAACATTACAAACATCCCAGAAATTAATGATATAAAAAAATAAACTCACTAAAATAATTTTATATCTTCTTTGTGCCTTTACCTACATGGTCATATTTTCTATAATGGAAACATATTTATTTAGTTAGGACATTCCAATAAAGGTTATTAAAAAAGATTTAAAGCCTTGGGTTTCATTTCTTTCCTAATTTACTTTTTAAAATGTATCTTTATTTTATATGTGGTTTGAATATTTCTATTATTTAGCTTTCCATTAAAAAACTCATCAAATGGCAAAAGTTATTTTAACTGTCAATTACATTTTTAAATACTATAAAACGGTAAGATTTAGATACTGTAAAACTGTAACACTAAAATTGGCATTATGCATCAAAATGCTAAAAATAAAAACAGTGTATAAAGGCAACTTTTTCTGACTCCAAATTCTTATGCCCTTTTATGTTTCTTTAGCTGAGTTGTCAGGAAACGATAGTGTTCTAGAACCAGATCCTGCAAATATTAAGAAATCTTCAGGGCCAGGAAATATGGATATTCTATAATTCAATATATAGAATGAAACAACGCTCTTGATGTATTTGCTATTTTGAAGGCAAAGGAAATTTGATTTGGACCAAGTAACCACTACTAAAAGAATTATGGTGTAAGTAGCAGGTACATTTTTCACTTTTGGGAATAAGATAAGCTAAAAAATAAAAGAGGCTAGAACTATCATCTTACACAATTTCACTTAGAATCTAAAAACAACCATCCTTAATATTTTTTTCTTTGCCAAGTAAGCAAGTAGAATGGAATCCAAGATGAAAAACTGCAGGATAACAGGAAAGACAGTGAAATGAATGCTCTGTTGGGAATTGCAGATAATACAAGAATGACAGACAGGGATGGAGGGGTAGTCTGGAAGTTGAACACGAATCAATAATGTAGTCCTGTTACTATGACAGGGAATACAGTGTGAGGACAAATAAAAGTCTAGCAAGTAGAAACCAAGGGTTCTTTGTTCACTCCACGTGCCATACTTTAAAGCACTGTTTTTATTTATTTCATGGAATACCAAGGCCTTTTGTGGGGGTGGGCAGGAGGGCTCTAAAAAGACCAACATAAACAAGTTTTAGAAGATAAGAATATTGAAAAGATATGAAATTATTTACTGCCTCAAAACCTAATTAGAATGAGGTAAGGGCATAAAGAAGCAAAAATAAGCAAAAATCCCCAAAGAAACATAGAAAGAATTGTATTAATTCGATAGGAAAAAAGAAGGAAGGCTAATTTGCAAACCACAGGCAAACATATGGGAGTTCCTAGAGCTTGTTGCAGTGGCCAGTTTTCTCCACCTGAGAACTGCGGGGAAGAAACTGAATTGTAAAAGAGCAGATGCGGACGTGAAAAATCACTTTCCTCTGTGATGTTATGCTATTAGATACTGATGTGGGTTAGACAAGTGGATTGTAGAATTTTGTAAAGAGTCAGGGGAGGGGAGAGAAGAAGGAAAGGAGAAGGAGAGAGAGAGAGGGAGGGGAGAGAGAGCTATTAATGTCCGTGTTTGTCTGGGATAATTTCTTTTTAAAAACCAATTCCTCAAACAAAGGACTCACTCTGATGCTTTTTAGTAAAGCATCACACACAAAGGACTAGCCTGTTAGGAAGCCAGCTCTTTGGGGTTGGTTTAGAGGAGGATGAAGGTGAGCTCTTCGTGTGTGGTCATGTGTGTGCGCATCTGAGTGTCCCATTCCCACGGGAGCTGAGAGGAGCAGAGGGAGAGGAGTGAGGTGTAAAGAAAGAAACGGCTGCGATGAAGATAAAGAGCAGTGGGTAGCAAAGAGCAGCGTGTGTGAGGCCTGCAGCTGCTGGAGCTTGAACAGGAATCAGACGAGGGCTGACTCCCCTGGCTCCGGGCCCCCTGTCTCCACACATCCTACCCCAATTCAAGAAACTCTAAACCTGGTTATGTGGACAGGGACCATCGCGTTTATCTTAGCATTCCTATTAATAATAGTATAAAGGACTGAGGATGGTAGAATAAAGGTATGAATGGATACATGGAAGGGGCTGCAGCCTCTCATTATGTGTAGCACAGTGACATCCAATAGAGATATAGTGGAAAATGCAAATGCAAGATGCATATGTAATTCTAAATTTTCTAGTAGCTACATTAAGAAAGTAAAAAGAAGCAAGTGAAATTAATTTTAGTAATACATTTTATTTAACCCAACATATCAAATATCATTTCAATATGTAATCCATATAAAAGTTAGTAGTGGGCTATTTTATATTCTTTTTTTCATATTATGTTTCAACTACAGCCTGAATTTTGCAATTACATCACATGTTAATTCAGACTAGCCACATCTCAAGTTTTCAATAGTCTCATGGGGCCAGTGGCTGCTGTATTGAACAATACAGGTCTTTATGTGTATTTATATTTTAATTTTTATAAATATATTGGCTCAATAATGAAATTATGCTATTTCTTTTTCTTGAGATGGAGTCTTGCTCTGTTGCCCAGGCTGGAGTGCAGTGGCATGATCTCGGCTCACTGTAACCTCTGCCTCCCAGGTTCAAGTGATTCTCCTACCTCAGCCTCCCAAGTAGCTGGGATTACAGGCACATGCCATCACACCCGGCTAATTTTTTTGTATTTTTAGTAGAGGCAGAGTTTCACCATGTTAGCCAGGATGGTCTCGATCTCCTGACCTCAAGATCCACCCGCCTTGGCCTCCCAAAGTGCTGGGATTACAGGCGTGAGCCACCGCGCTGAGCCGAAATTATGCTATGTCTAACATGAACTAGCTAACACACTCTCTCATTATATGTCTGTTCTATTTCCCTTTTTAACTATTTGAAAGTTCTTAGTAATTGTTTTATATATAAAACTAATAGCTTTCCCAATTATCAATTATTGCAAAATTTCAGTTTACAAAAATGAGTATAGGTATATTTGTATTTCAACTGATTGAATTTCAAGGGAGCAGGTTAGGGACTAAAAAGGCCTTGTCCCAGCAGGATTCTAATCTAATCAAGTCTCCTTCTTGCTCTTATATATTAGGACAGCTCCAAAAATAATTTGATTGGTTCCACTAATACTGTGTTTTAGCTCATAACAATAATGATGAAAATCAACATTTATTTTTTGTTTTGTTTTTTCTTATTATATATATACATTTTTTATTGTACTTTAAGTTCTAGGGTGCATGTGCACAACGTGCAGGTTTGCTGCATAGTATACATGTGCCATGTTGGTTTGCTGCACTCATTGACTCCTCATCTACATTAGGTATCTCTCCTAATGCTATCCCTCCCCTCTGCCCCTCACCCCATGACAGGCCCAGGGTGTGATGTTCCCTGCCCTGTGTCCAAGTGTTCTTATTGTTCAGTTCCCACCTATGAGTGAGAACATGTGGTGGTTGGTTTTCTGTTCTTGTGGTAGTTTGCTCAGAATGATGGTTTCCAGCTGCATCCATGTCCCTGCAAAGGACATGAACTCATCCTTCTTTATGGCTGCACAGTATTCCATGGTGTATATGTGCCATATTTTCTTAATCCAGTCTATCATTGATGGACACTTGGGTTGGTTCCAAGTTTTTGCTATTGTGAATGGTGCTACAATAAACATACGTGTGCATGTGTCTTTATAGTAGCATGGAAAATCAACATTTATTAAGATATGTATTAAGCACGTACTTCTATGTGCTGTGAACATTATTGCATCAGCTTTCACAATTACAATATCAGGTAGGTATTGTTACTATCTCAGTTTTGGAGATTAGAAAGTTATATAGTCACTCAAGATTTCACAGATGGTAAAAACAACACAGAGATGATCTAGCACTACAAATGTAGTGGTATAAAACAATAGAAATTTCTTCTCTCCCAGTTCTGGAGTCCAGAAGTCTGAAAGCAAGGTGTCTTCAGGGCTGTACTCCCTCCAAAGACCCTGAGGGAGAATCTCTCCTTGTTTCTTCCAGCTTCTGGTGGCTCAAGGCATTTCTTGGCTTTCGGAGATATTAGAGATTGGAAAACCAAATGGTTTTTCCTACGCTCACACATTCAACACAGAACACCTCTGTGACCAGATGTGTGTGTGGGAAATGGGTCTCCCACATCAATTGATTGTCCTATAATTTAACTCAATTTTGATACTATCTACCTGGAGATAGCTACAGATATCACAGAGTAGGGGCTCAATCCCACAAGACTGCCCCCCAGCTTCAGATGCCAATCACAATAGGTTACCCCCAACTTCTGTTCCACTTGACTACAAATCGGAGGTTCCCATGACCCCCTCCTTGCATTTGATTAATTTGCTAGAGAGGTTCACAGAACTCAGGGAATCACTTATGCTTATCAATTTATTATATTGAAAAGGTTATAATGAAGAATATGGATAAACAGCCAGATGAAGAGATACATAGGGTGAGATCTGGCAGGATCTGAGTGTAGAAGCTTCTGTCCCTGTGGAGTTGAAGTGAGCTACCCTCACAGCACGTGGATGTGTTCACCAACCTAGGAGCTCTTTGAACCCTGCAGTTTACTTATTTTTATAAAGGCTTCATCACGTAGGCATGATTGTTTATCAGTCTCCAGCCTCTCTTCTATTCCTGGAGGATGGGTGTGTTAGGCAGTTCTCACATTGCTGTAACAAAATACCTGAGATTGGGTAATTTATAAGAATAGAGGTTTAATTGAGTCACAGTTCCGCAGGCTGCACAGGAAGCATAGTGCCAGCATCTGCTTCTGGCAAGGCCATAGGGAGTAAGCCAATTATGGCAGAAGGCAAAGGGGGAGCAGGCGCCTCACATGGCGAAAGCAGCAGCTGGAGAGAGAATGGAGGGGGAGGTACCACACACTTTTAAATGACCAGATCTTGCAAGAATTCACTCACTATTTTGAGGACGGCACCAAGGGAATGGTGTTAATCCATTCATGAGAAATCCACCCCCATGATCCAATCACCTTCCACCAGGCCTCGCCTCCAGCACTGGGAATTATAATTTGACATGAGATTTAGAGGTGACACAGATCCAAAGTACATTATTCTGCCACTAGCCCCTCAAGTCTCATGTCCTTCTCACATTGCAAAATACAGTCATGCCTTCCCAACAGTCTCCCAAAGACTTAACTCATTCCAGAGTTAACTCAAAAGTCCACACTCCAAAATCTCATCTGAGACAAGGCAAGTCCTTTCCATTTATGAGCCTGTAAAATAGAAAATAGGTTATTTACTTCCAAGATAAAATGGGGGTATAGGCACTAGGTAAACATTCACATTCCGAAAGGGAGAAATTGGCCATAAGAAAGTGGGTACAGGCCTCACGCAAGTCTGAAACCCAAACTTTGAAACCAAGGGCAGTCATTAAATGGTACAGCTCCAAAATAATCTCCATTGACTGCATGTCCCACATCCAGAACACACCAATACAAGGGGTCGGCTCTCAAGTCTTTGGGCAGCTATGCCCCGTGACTTTGCAGGGTTCAGCTCCCATGGCTGCTCTTACAAGTTGTTGAGTGCCTGTAGCTTTTCCAGGTGCATGGTGCAAGCTGCCAGTGGATCTACCATTCTGGGGTCTGGAGGACAGTGATCCCTTTCTCACAGCTCCACTAGGCAGTGCCCTATTAAGGACTCCATGTGGGAACTCCAACCTCACATTTTCCCTCTGCACTGCCCTAGTTGAAACTCTTTGTGAGGTCTCTGACCTCTGCAGCAAGCTTCTGCTGGGCACCCAGGCTTTCTCATATACCCTCTGAAATTTAGGTGGAGGGTGCCAAGCCTCCTTCACTCTTGAATTCTGTATGCCTGCAGGCTTAACACCACGTGAAGCCACCAAGTCTTATGGCTTGCACCCTCTGGAACTGGAGCAGCAGCCTGAGCTGTACCTGAACCCCCTTGAGCCTAGGATGGGGCTGGAGCATCCTGAATGTGGGAACAGTGTCCAAAGGCTGCACAGGGCAGCCAGGCCCTGGGCCTCACCCACACAGCCATTCTTCCCTCCTACACCTATGGGTCTGTGATGGAAGGGGCTGCCTTGAAGATCTCAGAAATGCCTTCAACATCTTTTTTCCATTGTCTTGGCAATCAGCACTTGGCTCCTTTTAATTTTTAAAAATTATTATTATTTGTTTGCTTCTCCACAGGAGAAGTTCCAAGGCTCATTTTTGGTTAGGCAAACTTCTCTAGCAAGTGGTTGCTCCATAGCCTGCTTGAATTCCTCTCTCGAAAAAGCTTTTTCTTTCTCTGCCTCATGGTCAGGCTGCAAATCTTCCACTTTTAAGCTCTGCTTCCTGTTTAAATATAAATTCCAACTTTAAGTCATTTATTTTCTCCTGTATTTCCTCCTTTAAGTCATTTATTTCCTCCTGTAGGTTGTTAGAAGCAATCAGGCCACATCTTGAACACTTTGCTGCTTAGAAATTTCTTCTCCCAGATACCCTAAATCATTACTCTAATGTTCAAACTTCCACAGATTCCTAGGGCATGAACAGAATTCAACCAAGTTATTTGCAAAGGCATAACATGCGTGACCTTTGCTCCAGTTCCCAATAAGTTCTTCATTTCCATCTGAGACCTTGGCAGTGTGAACTGCATTGTCTGTATCACTGTCAACATTTTGTTCACAATAATTTAATCAGTATCTAAAAAGTCCCAAACTTTCCCTCATCTTCCTGTCTTCTGAGCCCCCCAAACTCTTCCAACTTCTGCCAATTACCCAGTTCCAAAGCTGCTTCCACATTTTCAGGTGTCTTTATAGCAACACCCCATTCCAGGTACCAATTTTCTGTGTTAAGCTGTTCTTGCATTGCTATAAAGAAATACCTGTGACCAGTAATTTATAAGAAAAGAGGGTTAATTGGCTCACGGTTCTACAGGCTGAACAGCAAACATAGTAGCATCTGCTTCTAGGGGGCCCTCAGGAAGCTTACAATCATGGCCTAAGGTGAACGGGAAGCAGGCACATCACATGGTGGACGCAGCAGCAAGAGAGAGAGAGCAAGGTGTCACATGCTTTTAAACAGCCAGATCTCCTAAGAAGTCACTCACTATCACGAGGGCAGCACCAAGAGGATGGTGCTAAACTATTCATGAGAAATTGACCCCCATGATCCAATTGCCCCCACCAATCCCCACCTCCAACACTTGTGATTACAATTTGACATGAGATTTAGAGGGGACACATATTCAAACCCTATCAATGGGGGATGGAGCTGAAACTTCCAAGTGTCTAATCATGGCTTGGTCTTTCTGGTGACAACCCCCACCCAGGAACCCCTAAGAGTTGACTCATTGGAACAAAAGATGTTCATTCAAGCAATTCCAAGGAATTAGAATTTCTGTGTCAGGAACTGGGAAGGAAGACAAGAATATATATTTCTTATTATAAATGGCAACATCCTAGTAGGCATAACTCAAATCTGCCTCTGTCTTCATGTGTCCTTTCCTTTTCTTATAAGGGCACCAGGGCACCAGTCATTAGATTTAGAGTCCACTCTCTATCCACGGTGATTTCATCACAAGATCCTTAACTAATTACATCTATAAAGATCCTATTTCCAAATAAGATCACATTCTGAGGTTCTGAGTAGGTGTGGGTTTTTGGAGGACACCATTTGACTCATTCAGGGACACTTGTGCCATGCAGAGGCTCCTCATGGGACTGCTAAGTGGTGCCCCACAACACTCAGTGATCAGCCTTTAAAGAAGACACCATTTTCCCCTTGTGTCTTGGCATCAAGAAAGATAAAACTGCTGATGTACCTTAGGTACCTTCAGAACAGTAAAAAAAAAAAAAAAAAAAAAAAAAATTAAATAAAATAAAAGAAGGCCAGAAAGTCCAGAGGCCATGGATGGTTAACATGGAAGGAATAAGCAACCCTCACCCCTGGCCCACCATGTCTTGCACAGGCCTCATCTCCCAGCCTTGCTACCCTCTCACCAACAGGGACTGGAACTAAAACTTTACTGGCAAAAAATTAATTTCAAAGGAAACCAAATATAAATTCCGTCTCCCCCAGAAAGACTTCACATGATATTCTTAGTGAAGTGTGCTGCCTCCTCTGGACTTCTGTAGTACTTTGTATCTCATTTTATTTTACTTTTTAAGTTAACAATTTATTGAATACATACCACGTACAAAACATTAAACTAAATAGGACTAGAGGGAGATTGACTGGAAAGGGGCGACTTGGAGGTGGGGAGATATAAATGTGACAAAAACACTGCTCTCAATTAAGTTTTCCATCTGGTAGGGGAAGTGGGCATAGAAAATTATAGAAGAAGAGGCCAGGCCTGGTGGCTCACGCCTGTAATCCCGGCACTTTGGGAGGCCAAGGCGGGTGGATCACCTGGGGTCATGAGTTTGAGACCAGCCTGACCAACACGGTGAAACCTCGTCTCAGAATCATCCGGGCGTAGTGGCACACGCCTGTAATCCCAGCTACTTTGGAGGCTGAGGCAGGAGAATCGCTTGAACCCAGGAGGCAGAGGTTGCAGTGAGCCGAGAACGTGACACTGCACTCCAGCCTGGGTGACAGAGCCAGACTCTGTCTCAATAAATAAATAAATAAATAAATAAATAAATAAATAAATAAATAAATAAAATGAAAAAGAGAGGGCACTGGGAGGGTTTGGTATGGAAGCAGCCACCTTCTGGCTCTTTATTGGAACTTGGCATTACATAGCACGTGATTCTTCCAAAAACATCTCTCAGAAACAGCCACTTGGGGGAGCACTTCTGGGCCTGAGGGCAAGAGAATCCTCTTGCACTCTTTCCCCATTTCCGCTTTTTACTGTAATCCTTTCAGTACCAGTCTTACCTTTTCCCTTATTAATAGTTCTTAACAGAAATTATATTGGAATCACTGTGTGTGCAGGCTTCTTATGGACACACTGAGTTGAGAAGCAGCTCCAAGCAATTCTGATTGCCTCCCCCAATTCCCTTCCCTGAGTACAAATGTGAATAGATGGGGACAAGGACCTTCTTGGCTGTTGTCTTTGCTGCCTCTGAATGTATAACACAAGGCATTGCCATGGAAGGCAATGCATAATATTTGCTGCATGAATGGACTAGTGGGTAAACAGTATCATGATTCCAACTACAAGGAAATGTCCTGATGAATCTCCATTAGTTACTGTGATTGGCAGACTCTAAGAGGCCCACGGGTCCCTGCCTCCCACCCCACATGTCCTTGTGTCGCCCCTTCTCCTTGAATGTGAGCCAAACTTATTGACTTGCTCTAATAAATAGAATTTGACAGAAGCAATGAAATGCCCGTCCAAGGTTTGGTTACAAAAAGACTGTGGCTTCTATTTTGGGCACCTTCTCTCTTTCCCTCTCTCTCTTAGAGCCGTCACTCTGGGGAAAGCTAGCTGCCATGTTTTGAGTAGCGCTATGGAGAAGCCCACACGGAAGGAATGGATGTCTCTGGCCAGCAGCCAGCGAGACCTTTCGTTCAACAATCCTTGGGGAACTAAATGGTGCCAAGAGCCACATGAGTGAACTTAGAATGGGATCCCCGTCCCCACCCTCCTTAAACCCTGAGATGACTGCAGCCCTGGCCAAGAGCCTGATCACAGCCTTGTGAGAGACCCCAAATCAGAGGCTGCCAGCAAAGAGGAGCCTGGATTCCTGATCCACAGAAATGATATTGCCCAAGCTGCTAATTTTGGGGTAAGTTGTTATGCAGTAATAGATAACTAACGGGGTTGCTGCTCATGCCTATGTCCAGTCCAAATGTCTTATATAAGAAACAGAATTTCTGACTTGATAGAGAAACTTAGAGCCTATCCATCCAACCCCTTCGTGGTACAGATGAGAAGATTCAGGCTTAGAGAGGAAGCATGACCTGACCAAGGGTGCACGGTCAGGAGGTATAGCAGAGTTGAGACCCCTGGCCTTAGATCCTAAGGACATCAGGGCTCTTTTTACTCCTTAGTGGCTGCCTCGGCTGAAAAATTGATCTTTGTACCAGGGGCATAACGTGAGAACTGACATCATAGTGATTCCAGTTACCTATCAATAACAGCTTAATTGTCTATAAGTTGGGAACAATGTATCAAACATGGAAAGATGGAAGGATATTTTATATATTATATATAATATTACAAAATGTATTGGTAATTATATATCATACATCATATAATTATTATATGTATTATTCTAGGAATTATGATAATAAATTATATTTTATTATTTCCTACATCTAAAATCTTGCACTTATAGAATCTTTGAAGCAATCTCACAATATGAATAATGACCTCTATTTTATAGACATGTCAGATCATTTGCCTCAGTTCACAGCTGGGACCTGAACCCAACTCTCTGAGCCCAGGTGCCAGGGGTGGCTGCCAGCCTGGAACTCCCTGTCAGGATCCTCCTAGTGATCTGGTGCCACCCCAACCCAATGCCACTGTCATTCCTGCTGTTCTTTTTGGCTAGGCTACTATTCTACCTCCATCCTGGTATAATTGGCATAATTTCTATAAGATTGTGCTGTGTGAAATAAATAATATTTTAAAGTTTTTTTGTGTCCTGGATCTTAATGACAAATAACAACAATCAATAATAATAGTGAAGGAAGCAAAGAAAAAAGAAAGAAAGAAAGAAAGAAAGCAAACATTTTTGCAGAATAGCATTCCCACTGTGGCTTCCACCTAGACTTTTAAAAGGCAAAGAGTCATCCGCCTTCTCAAAATCAACAGGGAGCCTCCCTGGCTCCTGTACTTTTTGCCGAAACCCTTTTAACGGGTGGAAGCACCACACAGAGGCTTTAAAATGTACTGTTTGAGACATATTCTACATAGTCTGCTTTACACAACTCAGCTCAAGGACATGACAACAGACTTTGGCACAGGGGTTATAATATGGACCCCAGGAAGCCTTCTCACATCAACAGACTTCACAATACCACCAAACTCCTCAAGCCTCAGGTCAAGGGCTGCACCGTGGAGATGGCTGCACAGGAGAAATACCGACTCTTAAGAAGATATAACAAACCACAGGCCACGTGGCAGAGTTGGCAGAGATCTCTCACCTTACAGTAGGCTGGAAAGGCAAATGGGGAGATTCTGTAATCATCTGAAGGACCTTTCCGTAAAGCAGCCTGAGATTTACATCAGCAACAGGGACCTGTAAATATAGTATAATTCTTCCTTCTTCCTCTGTCTTCACCTCCCGCCTCTGCAGCACACTCATGCACACACACAAGCACACATTCACTCATCTGCACACTAGTTCATATGCACACACACATGCATGTACACATCTGCATCCTATATTACTCCCATTCTCTGCTCATTTCAGACTTATTTGTTTAAAGCCCCCTTCATCTGATTATTTCACTTGCATTTTTCAGTTGCTCTTGGTGTACCCACAACCTGAATTTATTAATTGCTTCCTTTTTCTTCTCATAGAATTTTCTTTAAAATGTTTCTGAAAATCTATGAACTCCTTTTTTCCCCCTGGCAACCCCCCCAGAACCATCTGTGCTCCTTCTCCCTCCCCCTGACCAACCCTGCCGACTGTCACAAGGGAACCTCTCTTCAACATCATCCTGGGAATTTCATTCCCGACTTTCCAATTGAATTTCCACATTTTCTAGATTCCATGTCTTTTCCTATCTTGATCATTTTCCTTGTTTCTATGGATAACATCCTTCAGTTGTTTCTCAAGGAAGGACGGATGGGAGGACAATTTTTGAGAAATTTCCTCTCTGAGAGTATCTTCCTTTTACTCTCATGCTCAACTGATATTTTGGCTGGGTATACATTTCAAGTTTATAAATAATTTGCCTTCTGGATTTTGAGAATATTGCTCTACTGTTTTCTGGTATCAAGTGTGGTTATTGAAACATCCACTGCCATTCTGATCCATGTTCCTTTGTGAGTGGCTTTATTTTTCTCTCTGAAAGCCCTTTAAAAATTATTATTAATCTTCTCTTAATCTCTGATATACTGGAATTTATAATAATATGTCTTATGATGAGTCTGTTTGCAATTTATTGAGCCATCCTTTCCACCTGGATACTCACGTAATTTTCTTTAAAAAAAAATAATTTCAACTTTTATTTTAGATTCTGGGGGTACATGTGCAGGTTTGTTACATGGGTATACTGCATGATGCTGAGGTTTGGGGTATGATTTATCTGGCCATCCAGGTAGTGAACACAGTACCTACACAATGGTTAGTTTTTCAACCCTTGCTCTCCTCCCTCCCTCCCCTCCTAGTAATCCCCAGTGTCTATTGTTGCCATCTTCATGTCCGTGAGTACCTAGTGTTTAGCTCCTACGTGTAAGTGAGAACATGTGGTATTTGGTTTTCTGTTCCTGCATTAATTAACTTAGGATAACGGCCTCCAGTTGCATCCGTGTTGCTGTAAAGGACAAGATTTCATTCTTTTTTAATGGCTGTGTAGTATTCCATGGCGTATGTGTACCGCATTTCCTTTATCCAATCCACTGTTGATGGGCACCTAGACTGATTCTATGTCTTTGCTATTGGGAATAGTGCTGTGATGAACATGTGAGTGCATGTGTCTTTTTGGTAGAATGATTTATTTTCTTGTGGATATCTACCTGACAATGGGAGATAATCACACAATTTTCTTAGGGCATTTCTTTGGCAATTTTCTTATTCCTATTTTATCTTTTCTCTTTCTGGAACTCAGATGTATTTTCTTGGTTGAAACTTTAATATCTTTTTTTCTTCTTTTCTAACTCTGCCTTTTTGCTTTATTTTCTGGAAGAGTTTCTTGATTCTTTCTAAGTTTTAATTTTCAACATTACTTTCTGATTCTTAATGATTCTTTTTTGAAATCTTTCTGTTCTTAGTTTATGAATGCAACATATTATCTTATCTCTCTAAAAGTATTTACTTTGGGAAGGATTTTTTTCTGTTTTCTGTACTTACTCTCTTCCCTCTTTGTCCTTTTTATTCTTTATTTTCTCTTTTCCCATACATGTTGGAGGCTTTCCTAAAATGACAATAATGCTTAGCTGTTTATTTCTAATAAAATCAAGAAGAAATAGAGACTTTCTGGGAATCTTTGTATGTGCAGGTGAGAATCATTAAGCTGGAAAACATTTTTGCAGGGTGATCAGGCAGTGAAATGGCCATTTGATTTTGAAATAG
Source organism: Homo sapiens (assembly GCF_000001405.40). NCBI lineage: Eukaryota > Metazoa > Chordata > Mammalia > Primates > Hominidae > Homo > Homo sapiens. The sequence continues at coordinate 88,461,568 of NC_000006.12, read as the reverse complement.
AGCCTAAAAGTCACTCTCTGGAATTTTGCTCTCTGAGCATTTAGTTTTTGTGAGAAGAATCCTCCAGTTTCCTGCCTGTGGGCCATATACCTAGCTGCCAATGTCATGAGACCAATTACCATGCAGTATTCAATCTTTCATTTAATTTCTTCATTTAATGTCCCTCACTAGGTCTGTCATCTCTGAGTTCAAAGCTTCTTCCTGTGAGTTCTCAGGAAAGTAAATCTCATTTCTCTCACTTGGAGAGCTTGGAATGTGTAGGTGCTGTATATTTGCTGACAGAACAACATAGAGGAGAGAGCCAGAGGATCTAGCTAGTCCATACATGAAGACTTTCAACCAATTCTGTTGTTCAACTTCATGCCTCATCCCTTCTTTCTGCAATATCAGATTGATAGTCTGAGAATCACAGGGATTCTCTGGATAAAGTGGTTTCTCATCTCTGAGGCTCCTTCAAATATGACTTCCTTTGCTAAGTCAGTTACTGCAGATCTATGTGCCTTCTATTGTCCAAAGATGTGCTGAAATTTCTTGTCTGCTGATATCTTAGCCCACATTCTCTTTATCCTCATGGATAAATACATATGGTCATGTATTATATATAAAATATATATTATTCCTTTATTTTCATTTTATCAGAGTCTTCAGAGTGAGAGGAGACATAAGTAGGCAGTCATTCTGGCATATTTGACCTGAAGTCTTAAATGGGCTTGTTGATTCTGATAATAAAACCAAGAGAACTTTCTGGAGTGATGGAGAGTTTCTCTACTTTGATTGCAGTGGTGGTTACATGACTGTATTGATTTGTTAAAGCTCATCTTGCAGTACCTTTGAAAAGTGTGCATTTCTTTTATAAGTGGAATTTTAAAAAAGCTGAAATAGAAGCAGAGAGTAGAATGGTAGTTACCAGGGGCTGGGGGAAGGATTGGGGAGATGTTGGTCAAAGATTACAAAATTTCATTTAGGGGAAATTAAAGAGATCTATTGTATAGCATGGTAACTACAGTTAACAACAATGGATTGTATTCTTAAAAATTGCTAAGAGAGTAGATTTTAAGTGTTCTTACTACAAAATGGTAATGATATATGTGTTTAATTATCTTAATTTAAGCATTCCACAAATGTATACATATTTCAAAACATCATGTGGTATACCATAAGTATATAGTTTTTGTCAGTTAAAAAATAAATAAAAAAACAAAAATGTGTGTACTTGACTGCATACAAATTATACTTATATAAAGTTGATTTAATAATAAAATATTTTATGGACACCAGTTACCTTGAAGCTAAAGCACAGAATCCTAGTCAAGATGCTCTACAAACGATGCTGAAATTACTCTCCTGCTTGTTCTCCTGAACTCTAGTTAAACCTCTCTCCAATCTGAGAAGTGGTCCATTTTCCCCTAACACACAATGCCTAGCTCACTTCTGTGTATTGACCATGCCCAGAGAGCCTCCTTTAAAACTATCCAATGCATATCTGTTCCTTTTCCAGGAGGCTTTTTCTAACCACTGAGCACTGAAAGATTATTGTTTCTTCTAATCTCTTATTTTTTGTCTATACTAGTTACTTGGCATTTCAAAATGTACTGCTTTGAGAAATCTCTTTTATGGTTTTGCATTATTTTAATTTCTGCATTGATATTTCACTTTTAATACGTGCATATCTCATTGTCCTGAAAAATATTCATTTTCTAGAGGGCTAGGAGTGTGTATTATGCATATTTACATCTCTCCTAGTGTCTAGCATAATGCTATACACATAGATGGCAGTCAATAAATATTTGTTGAATGAAGGATAAGATAATAAATCATGTAGACATTTTAAATAGAAGAAACTGGGGATTTGGAAACTACAGAGAGAAGGATTTGCATTACTAGTAAGAATTGTTAGAACAGAATCATCCAAAGAATATACTGAATTAATAGAAGGCCCAAGTCATTTATAATCTGCATTTTTTAAAGGATGTACATTATAATGAAATCAACACAACTTATAAAGTGAGTCCATAGGACCTATGGGACTGTTAAGAACAATCTATAATTGGAATATGGTAATTTTAAGCCCTAGTGATTCCTGAATTTATTCCCATGGATTTATTGCTAGGAATTCTGACATTGTCCCAGGGGGCAATATCTTGAGCTATATATGGCATTCTTCATGTCATCTTCTCTCCTTGCTTCAGTGCCATCAAGATAACAAGCACTTCTGCAATCCTAGGTAGAATGTATATGCTGCAGACAGTAGGAATGAATTCAGCCGTAACATATGCTACACATTTATTATGCACAGCTTGTTAGATTCTGATTTCTGATCTGCCATTTTTCCCTAAGGAATACAGACTGCCTGTGTGGCAAAAAATAATATGGGCAACTATTTATAAAAAAGGGTGCACTATTTATAAAAAAAAAAGAGCCCCAAATGAACTCATTCGTAAGTCATATATGATCTTTCTTTTACTTACTCATTAGATAAATTTATTTATGATAAGTAAGTTTTCATGGTGTCATATTTATTTTATCACAGAGAGAAAGAGTACATGCCCAGAAATTGGATGCCACACATTTCCCACTCAACTTGCAGTAATGAGGGCTGTTCTCACCGATTTACTTTCTGTCTGGCAGACAAGAGGGTTGTTCGTTTTATATTGTTGCCCACACCTATCAGCCTTCCCTCCAATTTGATGACTACCACAGCACTATATATAGCAAATCTCCTCAGGGGCTATAATTATTCATCTTTCAGAAGGCACAAGATCTATAATGGATGAGTGCTGTAGACAAGAAACCAGTTTATAGGTTTATCTCCTAAGCGAAAGAATAATCTGTCTTTATTGGAGGAATAGACCATTACCATTTAATAGATGAGTTGTAAGTATTGAAAAAGATTGTATAAATGCATTTGTGGCTCAGGCACATAAAATCTTCTGGTATTGCCAAGTAGAAAGCAAAAGCTGACTATTTCATTTCATCAGACCATACCATGATTTGGAAAATTCAGAGAACTGTCATGAAGACTTAGCTTGTTGCCTTCAGTTATGAATTACTCTTAAATTAATATCACTACTGCTGCTATTGGAAGTTCCTGATTTCATAATATTTTTGAGAGGAGTAGTTAATCAAGGCACTCAAGCTGTTATTTCCATCAGAGAAGGTGGCTTAAAATGTCTCCTGTGGCATGTATCTTGGTTATTCTTTGAATTTCCAGTTGAACATGCAATCCATTTGCCCTGTATGATTAGGTGTTATGGTAGCCAGCAGTGCATTTTTCTCCATTTGTTTTGCAGTATTCTGTTGGTTTTCACTACAGCTTGTTTACCCACTGAAGCATTTGAATATTGCTTATGCCAAGTAGTAAATTGGTTCTGCTCAATGGTATTCTGATTTGTCTTAGTTGAGGCTCTTTAGAATTCAAAGAAAAAGCCATCCAAGCTACCCAGGAAGGGGCTGTTATATGTGAATGTGAGGTCATTGCATGGATATGTATAGATTCAGAGACAAAAGTGAAAAACTAATGCTTTCCCTATATCTGGGGCTACACAATCTCTCTCTTTGCTTTTCTCTCATCTGTGTATTCTTGCCCTTTTCATTAGCTTCTCTTACTCATCTTTCCCATGACCCATTAAGCCCACAGCTCCAATTCTATATTATGACTTCTGCTTCACTACAGTTTCCATTGCTAAATTCAAACTCTTCTGAAAATTGGATTGACCTACTCTCTCAATAGTGATGTTCCCTTTGGGATGCTCCATCACCCAGGCTGGAGTGCAATGGCGCGATCTCGGCTCACTGCAATCTCCACCTCCCAGGTTCAAGCGATTCTCCTTCCTCAGCCTCCTGAGTAGCTGGGACTACACGTGTGTACCACCACACTTGGCTAATGTTTTGTATTTTTGGTACAGTTGTGGTTTCACCATGTTGACCAGGCTGATCTCAAACTCCTGACTTTAGGTGACCTGCCTGCCTCGGTCTCCCAAAGTGTTGGGATTACAGGCGTGAGCCATGGTGCCCGGCCCTAGGATGCTCTTTCAAGACCCAGGGATAGGACAGTTTCTCTAGAAGAGGCCCTAGGAAGCATAGGCCATGAAACCCAGAAAGTTATGGACGTCTTTCCCATCATACTCTCAAGCCTCTCTATTGTCTCACATTTAAGTCTTCAAGCGGCCTTGGAAATAGGAGCAATTGTATCACATGCCTGTACTCCTGAATACACACCAAGATACCCTTTGAGTTACAGTTTTTCAATTCTGCAGAAACTATAAAATTAAAGCAGTTTCTGAAAGTTCCTAGATCAGAGGCCATCAATCTGTATGTCCTCTATTGCAAAACACCAGTACCAGTATCTGAGTTTTCTTTCTTGACCACTTTTGGGGGCCAAATATTCTAACCATCAATGACTGACTGTGCAATATAGAAAGGAGGTCAGGGTCTGGACGTGACTGTTCCACCACAAACTGGAACTCTAGTTCCTCTAATGTAAATTTAGTTAAGTCCTCTTGTTTAAGCAATAGGTGATTGGAATTGTTTCTTTTGCTCTCAGCAAAGGTATACCAAGTAAAATTGAACCCATGAGGCTGGACTGGAGAACACAGGTCAGATACCAAGACTAAAAACCAGACCCTTAATAACATGGCCAGGAGATAGGAGAGAACACTGCTGTGGGGAAGCCATGAAGGGATTTAGTCCTTAATATACATGCTTCTATCATGCTACACTGTAGTGCATGTACAAATCTATCTTCCTAAAAGAAGCTTAAGATTCTTGAGGGCACAGATGATATACTATTGTCTGTGGGTCCCAGGACTCAATGTGGTACCTGGCATATAGTAGGTACACAACAGTATTTGCTAATTGAATGAATGGATTGTGTAAGGAAGCTACTCTGCTGACATCAGCAAGGGCTTCCTCAAGCAGGAGCCAGCTTTTCTCCTTGTACCTTCCTGTGTGTGTAGAATATTGAGTGGATTAATCATCCTAATTAAAATTTAAATATATTTTCTAATCTTAGGCAATTTCAGGAAGTGTTTTTTCATTGTCAGCCTTCAAAAGAACTGTTTTCATTTTACATCTTCTAGTTACATCATTTTATTATGAGTTAATGGAATATATCTTCCTGAGTGCTTAGACCTATAACATTTTGAAATTATTCTTTGCTATGTTTGCCATGCTTAAACATTTCCATGCCATTTACTACCACACGTCATCTTATAATTTTTTCTGCTTCTTTCTGATCAAAGGCACCTGTCTGCACAGTGGTATCTACAGCAAAGCACTGATCTTCTGGTGCCCCCAGGTAGGTACTCTCTCCCTGTCCCCAAATGCTATATTTTATATAATATCTTTGCCTTCGAAAACCTATTGCCAATTTTCTTTTCACAAAAATAAAACACGTGTATTGTAGACTTTTTAGGGAAAAAGATAAGCAGAAATAACATGCTAATTAGCCACAGTTCCCATCACCCAGAGATAATCCCTGTTTTTTACCAGGCTTTTCCCTGTGTTCATAAGAATGTTATTTTGAACAAAAACAGTGTAACATTTTTGAAAACAGATATCCCAAAATAGTAATGGCCCTATTCAAACTCAGTAAACCTGCTAAATTTGGTGAGCAACCTGCCTCTCTAAGCTTAATACAAGCCCTCTGTGACAGTTGGATAAACAATTCACCTGAATTTTACTCTTATGATTTAAGTTGCATTTTGCCACATTAAAACATTATAGCACTCTTTGGTCTGTAGTTTATTTTTGGATTTATTTAGCACAAATGAAGCTACTAATTGGCAGTCTTTCAACTCTCTGGGTATGGGTAATAATAAAGACATCATAAAGGGGGTGGTGCGGGCAGATCAGATGCCCTCCTCGGTCTTTTTGATGGGAACAAGTGAAATAATTTTTAAAAAAATCTTTCAGAATTCATTGTTGAACTGGTACAAAAGTAAGAACTTCTCAGAGGTGGGAGCTAAAGTCAAAGCAGAACCTTGGGTGGCAGGAGCACTGAGGCTGGCTTTTGTACTGAGACCTCGTGCTTCAGCTTTGGCAGCAGCACAGACACAGGGAAGGAGAGCCAATGCCAGCTAAAGCCAGGAGAGTCTCAAGAGGCGACCTCCAAATCAGCCAGGACTTTGTGCACACTTAGTGCAATGGAAAATGTGAAATGAAGGCCATCCCATGGAAGGGGACAGCCAGGTGATTTACCTGACTTGAATTTGGTTTTGAAAATGTGAAAGTACAATGTCTAATATCTTCTCTGATAATTAATAATCATAAACCAGCCCACATTTGGACTTGAAGGCAAGAAAGAGGTAGGGAGGAGAACAGAGAATGTAAATACAATTGGGAAAAGAATAATCAGATTGTGAAAGCAAATTAAAATACAAGCATATGTTTCAGAGTTTTCTTCAACTAGTATGTTTCCAGTAGAATACTTCTTTTCAATAACCAAATATCATGGAACATATCTCTGAATATAAATTTTTATCAGCCAATGGTTATGTAGAAGTGGTGTCTAATTACATTCCAAATACTCATAGCATTTTTAACAAAATGATGTGCTGGAAAGGTATCAGGTTACATTCCAAATACAATGGATAAGTCATCAGAATCTCATGAAGATTTTCTGAAAAGCATTCAGAGTTCCAGCAAAAAGGAGATGCTGGCCCTAAGCGAGACAACACAGCTCACACTCCTTGGGAACTGGCCTTTGCCACTGTAATACTTGTCCTGAATGCATTTTCGAAGTGCCTTTGTATTTAGCCTCTATTTTTGACTAGTGATGAATGAGTCACATGTACACAGGCACACACACACACACAATTTTAAAAAGTATTGAAGAAAAGTGTGAAGAAAGAAGAAAACAAATGCAAATAATGGGATTTTAAACAAAGCTACATTTTACAAATTTTTTTCCCTTAAATGTTGGTCACCTCCTTTGACAATTTTTCATGGCCCTTTTGTTCAGGTGCATTTTCAGCAGTGACAAATGATGGAGAGTTTCCATTAGTTTCTGAGTTGGATGGTTTGTTTGAAATTACTCTTTATCATCCCACTCATCCACATGAGCACTTTCCACAACCAGTGACAATTACTGTCAGCTCTCCTTCTCTCTCAGTTTTTTCAAGTATCAAGTTTTCTCCTCACTCAGTGAGTGACAGTTTATTACAGGTAATTGTCTTGTTTTTATTAAAAAATTTCACTGTACTTTTTCTGACAAAATTTATTTATTGCTGTTGTTATTTGCTTTGCCATATTGTAAACATAATGTTCACAGTATGCATGCAGTTTTACATGTTTGGTAATCAGAGAACAATGTTGTATTCAAATAACATTTTTTATTTCAATAGCTGTGGAGTTGCAAGTGGTTTTTGGTTACATAGATTGATTATATAGTGGTGAATTCTGAGATTTTAGTGCACCCATCGCCTGAGTAGTGTATGTTGTACCCAATATGCAGATTTATATCCCTCACCCCATCCCATCTTCCCTTTCTGAGTCTCCAAAGTCCATTATGTCTGCATGCCTTTATGTACCTATAGCTTAGCCTCCACTTATTAGTGAGAACTTGCAGAATTTGGTTTTCCATTCCTGAGTTATTTCACTTAGAATAATGGCCTTCAGGTCTATCCAAGTTTTTTATGGCTGAGTACTATTCTATGGTGTGTGTGTGTGTATATATACATATATAGCTCACATTTTCATTATCCACTCATTGGTTGATGGGCATTTAGGTTGGTTCCATATCTTTGCAATTGTGAATTGTGCTGTGATAAACATGCACGTGCTGATATAAAGACTTCTTTCCCTTTGGGTAGATATCCAGTAGTGGTGTTGCTGGATCGAATGGTAGATCTATTTTTAGTTCTTTAAGAAATCTCCATACTGTTTTCTATAGAGGTTCTACTAATTTACATTCCCACCAGCAATGTATAAGCATTCCTTTTTCACCACATCTACACTAACATCTATTGTTTTTAGGCTTTATTAATAATTATGGCCATTATTGCAGGGGTAAGGTGGCATCTCATTGTGGTTTTGACTTGGATTTCCCTGATTAGTGATGTTGAGCATTTTTTCATAGGTTAGTTTTGGCCATTTGTATATCTTCTTTTGAGAAATATCTATTCATGTAACTTGTTCACTTTTTGATGGAATTATTTGTTTTAGAAAACAATGTTTTTACTTAAGAAAACTAGTTGAGAGATAGGGTTAACATATAATGCATTACATGTTATACATTTTCTTATATAGAATAACAGAAAACAGACTCCTAGTTAGTGTTTTTAGGCAAAATATCTGATGTTTTAGGAGTAGATTATTGACATTAAGCAGGGGATGGCTTTATATTGTTAATCACAATTAATATAAATGGACTAATCTCTGCAGGTAAAATATAAAGATGAACAGGCTGGATTAAAAAAAACAAATAATAATAAAAATAAATTAATAAAACCTCCATCCAAACCCCCCAAACCCAGCCATATACTACTTTAAATAGACCACATACATTACAAGGATATCTAAATATCTAAAATCGAATAATAGAAAAAAGATATATCAGACAAAAAATCAAATGAAATCTGAGGCAGCTATATTAATATTAGATAAAATGGCTACAGGGCAATAATAAAGACAGCCACAATAGAACATTAAAAATTTTTAATTCATCTTAAAGATATAGCAAATCTAAACTGTATGCACAAAATAACATATTGTCAAAATATATAAATCAGAAGTTGACAGAACTATAAAGAAAATGGATAAATTTACTACTATAGTACCCTCTAAAATACTAATAGATCAGGCAGACAAATTAGTAAGCTAAAGAAGATTTTAACTGAACAATTAAGCTTGATCTAATGGACCTTTAAAGAACAATACATTTAATGGTTTGAAAATACACATTCTACATACTAATGTGTCGCACACATGATTTATAAAAACTGAATTATTGCTAGGACAAGAGCAAGCCCAACCAAATAGAAAAGGCTAAAACCATAGGGGGAAGATTGGTAAATCTTGGCTATATGAATAGTAAGAATGGCTGTTTATTGAAAAAGCAGCCCCCAAACTAGGGGAAATCTGTAAGATGTATAACTCAAAGGATTATATAAAGAACACCTAGAAATCAAAATGAAAAAAAAAAATAAAAGAAGCCAAAACAAAGATGGGAAAAGCTACTATCTGATGAACCATTCCAACTGTCCCATAAACCATGAAAAAATGCTCAAACTCGTAATTAGGAAATGTAAATTAAAACCATAATGAAGTGTAATTTCATACCAGCTAGATGGTGAAAATCTCAGTGTTGGTCAATACTAATGGTAAGATGTAAGTCTAACAGGATCCCAAATCCATTGCTGGTGTTAAACAATATGCTATCTGAGGATACATACATAGCTGAAAACACTATAAAGAAGGGCAAGGGAATGAGCTATATAAAATTCAGGATGGTGGTTACCCCTGAGGGGGACGTGAAGGGAGGAGGATGATTATCATTCATTAAACTATGCATGTATGTTTGGTACATGTTTTTGTAGGAATACTGTATTTCACAACTTAAAAAAAAGTTAGTGATGGTAAAGACTGCTATCGGCCTGCACAAAAGACATTTTGGTACTTGGTAGGCATTGCCTTACGGTTTACAGAAAGGCACTTTGCTGTCAGTTTGTCTTTTATCTTCTTTGTGCTTTTTCTAATGGTTTTCAGTACTGGGCCTGAGCTCTAGTCAATTATACCAAACACACACATTAAATTTCAAGACACTGTGTTGCCTGCTTGTCACAAACCCAAAGTACCTTGTTTACTGCAAACCTTTTTAAGACAGAGGGACCATCAAGCAAAGACTGTTTAAGCTAACATTCCTGATGTGGAATAGTATGGTCTAATATTATTTAAATCTCTCAAACATTTAGTCAGATTGTGGTGTTTGGAGCTTTTTAGTTTTATCTGGCATGATTCTCCCCATAAAATCATGCTGCTAATGTATTCTAGTGTGTATATAAACTTTCTAAATTATTGTGAAGTATTTGTTTTAGATTCCTTTTAAGACGATTTTAATCTTTTTATAAGCCTTAAGGAAAATGAAGATCAAACTATTTCCCCTTTTCTTGTTGTGATGACCAAAAATATTAGATCCATATCTAGCCAAGCCTCAGTTTTTGTAAAGATCCTGTAGTAATTTATTAAGTCAACAACCAGAAGCTTCCTTTACTTGGCTGTAATGAATCACCTCAAATATCTATCTATGCCTACAGACTCCTAGGACCATCTGTCTTCTATTTGAGTTAAATTTATACTGTCTGACTTTATGCTGTATAGAAGTGATGCTGAAAGCAGCCACGGTTGGCTGCAGGCTTATTCTTGAATCTTTATCCAGGACCTCTGGATGAAGGCATTTCTTCCTTTTCCTTAATCAAATATCTTTAACTCTGTTTTGGATTTCCTTTTTTTCCCTTTGAAAGGATTTTTCTTCTATAATAATTCCCTCCTGTTTCATAGCTCTCTCAATCTCTTCTTCTCCCCCCTCTAAAATGTTTACATCTCACTTTTCTTCAAAAACAAACAACAAAACTTCTGGTGACACCAATGAGCTATTCAACACCAGTTTATTGCATCCCTTTTTTATTTCCCTAGCAACTGTTGGAATTATTGTGAACTTCATACCCCTCCCTCTTGGTCACTGGTGCCACAGCCAACTGACCACTGCTCAGAGCTCATCTCTTATTTCTCTTCCTTTGTGAACTGTGCTTTAACCATGCTGGTCTCCTGGCTAAGCGTGCCCCATGTTTCAGGCATTTGCATTTGCTCTTTCCTCTACCCCAATGCTTTTCCCCTATTGAGTCACATGACTTCCTTTAGGTCTCTGCTCACATATCCCCTTGGTCACCCTATTTTTGAAAACCAAAATAGCAAAACAGTGTCCCCCATCAGCCTTCTTGGATTGTTTATTTTTCTTTACTGGTCGGCATGTATTTACTGGTTGTCTGCAAACACAATGAAAAAGAGAGACTTTGCCCCATTTGTTCCCTGTTGGAACAGTGCATGGCACATAGTTGGAGCTCAGTAAATTCCTGTGTATTGGAGCAGTTAATGGATGTTGAAACTGTCCCATCTAAGGTCTGTAATGATTCTTCTGTTTCCTTGATGTCTGATTTATCACTCTGTTTCATTTGGTTGTCCTTGTAGCACGTCCTTTCTCTCAGCTATGGTGGTTATCATACTCTTTATTCAACCTCTCATGTTCTTCCTCTGTCTTTTCCAAGAGTTCCTTTCAAATTATGGCCTCTTCCAAGTCTCAGTTCTGGACCCTAGAAATTTCTTTTTCAGTGCTCACATCTTTGGAAATGTATCCTATTTTTAAAACTGTGGTGAAAAAACATATAATACTGACCATCTTAATAATTTTATTTTTTTATTATTATTTTTATTTGTGGTAAAATATAACAAAATGTATTATCATAACCATTTTTCAGTGTATAATTCATTGGCATTAAGTACATTTACAGCATTGTGCAACTATAACTACAATCTCTCTCCAGAACTTTTTCATCATCCAGACAGAAACTCTGTGTCCATTAAGCAATAACTCCGGATTCTCCATCCTGCCAGGCCTTGCCAACTTCTGTGGCTGTTTCTCTTCCTCCTTGCCTTCTGACTTAAACAGCCACTGTCTGCAAAAGGACACATCTGTATGAACCTACTTACATGAGGAACCTAGAATAGATAAATTCATAGAGACAGAAAGTAGAACATCTTAATAATTTTAAAGCATATGGTTCAGCGGCGTTAACTCTATGCACAGAGTAGAATCATGCAGTATTTGTGTTTTTGTGACTGATTTATTTCAGTTTGCATAATATCTTCAAGGTTCATCCATGTTGCCACATATGACAGGATTTCCTCCTTTTTAAAGTCTGAACAATATTCCATTGTGTGTATATGTACTATGTTTTCTTCATCCATTCATCTGTTGATGGACATTAGGTGGCATCCACCTGTTCGATGTTGTGAATAATATAAATATCTCTTTAAGATCCTGGTTTTACCATAAAAACCCTAGAAGAAAACCTAGGCATTATCATTCAGGACATAGGCATGGGCAAGGACTTCATGTCTAAAACACCAAAAGCAATGGCAACAAAAGCCAAAATTGACAAATGGGATCTAATTAAACTAAAGAGCTTCTGCACAGCAGAAGAAACTACCATCAGAGTGAACAGGCAACCTACAAAATGAGAGAAAATTTTCGCAACCTACTCATCTGACAAAGGGCTAATATCCAGAATCTACAATGAACTCAAACAAATTTACAAGAAAAAAACAAACAACCCCATCAAAAAGTGGGCGAAGGACATGAACAGACACTTCTCAAAAGAAGACATTTATGCAGCCAAAAAACACATGAAAAAATGCTCATCATCACTGGCCATCAGAGAAATGCGAATCAAAACCACAATGAGATACCATCTCACACCAGTTAGAATGGCAATCATTAAAAAGTCAGGAAACAACAGGTGCTGGAGAGGATGTGGAGAAATAGGAACACTTTTACACTGTTGGTGGGACTGTAAACTACTTCAACCATTGTGGAAGTCAGTGTGACGATTCCTCAGGGATCTAGAACTAGAAATACCATTTGACCCAGCCATCCCATTACTGGGTATATACCCAAAGGACTATAAATCATGCTGCTATAAAGACACTTGCACACGTATGTTTATTGCAGCACTATTCACAATAGCAAAGACTTGGAACCAATCCAAATGTCCAACAATGATAGACTGGATTAAGAAAATGTGGCACATATACACCATGGAATACTATGCAGCCATAAAAAATGATGAGTTCATGTCCTTTGTAGGGACATGGATGAAACTGGAAATCATCATTCTCAGTAAACTATCGCAAGAACAAAAAACCAAACACCGCATATTCTCACTCATAGGTGGGAATTGAACAATGAGATCACATGCACACAGGAAGGGGAATATCACACTCTGGGGACTGTTGTGGGGTGGGGGGAGGGGGGAGGGATAGCATTAGGAGATATACCTAATGCTAGATGACGAGTTAGTGGGTGCAGTGCACCAGCATGGCACATGTATACATATGTAACTAACCTGCACAATGTGCACATGTACCATAAAAGTTAAAGTATAATTAAAAAAAAAAAAAAGATCCTGGTTTTAATTCTTTTGGCTTTATACCCAGAAGTGGGATTGATGGATCACATAGTAATTCTATTTTTAATTTTTTGAGAACACTCCATACTATTTTGCATAGCAGCTGCACCATTTTACATTCCCACAAACAGTGTGCAAGACTTCCAATTTCTCTCCACATCTTCACCAATACTTGTTATTTTCTGGTGTATTTTTTTGATAGTGGCTATCCTAATGGATATGAGATATCTCACTGTGGTTTTGATTTGCATTTCCCTGATGATAAGTGATCTTAGGTAACTTTTCATATGTTCTTTGGCCACTTGTGTATCTTTTTTTTTGGAGAAATATCTATTTGAGCCATTTGCCCATTTTAAAAATATGTTTTTTTGTTGTTGTTTTTGAGTCATAGGAGTTCTTTATATATTCTGGCTATTAACCCCTTATCAGATATATGGTTTTGCAAATCTCTTCCTCTGTTTTATCGATTGCCTTTTCACCTTGTTGATTATTTTCTTTGCTAGGCAAAGTTTTTTTTCTCTTCTTAAGACTTGTTATAGGCCAGGCACAGTGGTTTATGGTTGTAATCTCAGCACTTTGGGAGGCCGAGGGGGCAGATCCCTTGAGGTTATGAGTTTGAGACCAGCCTGGTCAACATGGTGAAACCCCATCTCTACTAAAAATACAAAAATTGGCCAGGTGTGGTGGCACATGCCTGTAATCCCAGTTACTCAGGTGGCTGAGGCAAGAGGATTGCTAGAACTCAGGTGGTGGAGGTTGCAGTGAGCCAAGAGCTTGCCACTGCACTCCAGCCTGAGCAATAGAGGGAGACTTTGTCTCCAAAAATAAATAAATAAATAAATAAAGAAAGAAAGAAAGAAAGAAAGAAAGAAAGAAAGAAAGAAAGACTTGTTATACCTCAGCTGGCTCCTGATTTAGGTTTATGGTCCTCACTCTTATTCTACACCCCTTTGTACTTAAGTCTTGCCTTACTGTGTATTTCCTTTCTTCCTTCCTTTCTATGGTGCCAGGTATAGTATTATATATTAAGTGGAAACTCAGTAATTGAGTTACTGAACTGAATGATTTAAAATGCCACACGATCCCTTCTAGTTTTGACTTCTTATCAGGTCTCCAAGTTCATGTCTCCAAATGCTTTCTTAACATCTCAAAACTGTCTCATTGCCAACATATGAGGCCTTACAATTATCCTTCTTCCACTTTCCTCTTATGTAATAAAGCATTAAGTTCTCGCTATTCCTTCCGGACAATAAGTCTTAAATTGAACATTTCTTTTCCAGTCACAAGGTCCCTGGGAGGCAATCCTAACTAACATAATCCCTCCAAATGCCACCTCCTGTTCTGCTCTCAGCTGCAGACTCAAACAAAAGGTCACCCCATTATTGTCCTATTCAGGAACCTATGGTGATCTCCAGTCACCCTGAGGACAAAATAAAAAATTTCCCTTGGCTTTCATTGTGCTCTATGAAGGTGGGAAATACAGTTTCAACCCCAAACCCTAAAATGGTCTCCTCACTTTAACCAAATGTACTTTTTCATCTCCAATATGACCTCCTCATTCCTATCTCTGTACCCTCACTGTTTCCTGGAAGACTTTCCAACGTGGATTAAATAATTCAAGTCTTACTCTCCTCTAAAATCCTAACTCAACTATGCATTTAATTTCCTCTGACAAGTCTAACTCAAATGAATTTTGACCTAACTTTGAATTTCATTAGCATCTCTGTATGTTTTAACATTTAACAAGTTAATGCTTTCATTAATATAACAGCATTTTCTTTTGTGATATCGCTACTTTGTACTTTTTTCTGAGCAGTGAGGATGGAGAAAATTGCAGTAATTTTTTAAAATTTGGAGTTATAGATTTTTGGAAAAGTCAAGAAGCAATGATTTTTGCTGCACCATAGCTGCTTCTAAAACCAAACCAAAACAAAACAATTAACTTTGCAATGACCTTACACCAACTTTCCATAGATCTAAAACCCAAGGTGGCTGTCATAGGATCATGTTTTTTGAATATGTTTTCAAAGTAATTAACTAGCCCAAGCAGTCATGACCCAAGTGCAAGTGGAATGCTGGGCTCATAAACAATGTGCTGGTTGAGGAAGCAAAAGTCCCTTAGGGACCCGTGGCACTAACTTAGTCTATGATCTTGGACAATTCACTTAACTTTTTGAAAATCTTCCTTTCTATTTCCAAATGGGGATAAGATTAGTGTCCAAGAGGTATTAATCTCAGGAGTCTTTAGTTCTTGATAGGCAAGACATAAATTATGACATTAGGCTAAAGCAAATTCTCTCTTTATTAGAAATAGATCGTCTATGTATTTAGAGTTAACCCATCTTATTCTGAAATAAAGGGTTTTATGTCAGTTTTCAAAATATGTACTATAAGACTTTACTTTTGTAAGTTAAAAAAAGTCAAGGTGAGTGGACAATAAGTAGTAAGAAAAATAAGAGACGCACAGAAAAAATAAGTAGAAAAAGCCATGATGAAAAATAAGAGTGGGATTAATGCACAGAAAGTATGTCCTGAGAAGCAATCCACTTGCTACAGATGGACTGAAAATCTGACTCTGAGATTTCTAACTCAGATAGGAGAACAGGATCAGTTAAATGATTCATGAGATCCATAAGTAAAAACAAACCAGCTGCTCAAAAGCATAACTATTCCTGGTACAAAGATCAGAGGGAAATTTCCTGTTCTAAACAATGACACTCAGCTGATGAAGGGAAGCAGGCACAACAGTTCAGTAAGTGATACAAAATTTTCCCTTTTAACATTTTTGAGTCTTTTTTGTAGTGTCTTTGCCCCCATTCTATTTTTCAATAAGAAAAGGTTGGCAATAGGCTAGATTGGTCAAAGACTTTGATAGGTGAAAATAATTTTTAGGGGGAATTTGAAAGAAACAGCTAGGGAGTGGCAAAGAAACACATCGAGAAGGAACAGGTCAAGAGTACAGAAATGACAAGTTTTCAGGCCAAGGCAAGGACAAATTAGGAAGTTAGAAGCCATCTGGACAGATGGAGTGTGGTGCCAAAGCCCTAAAGTAGCAGAGCCTGAGTTTTATGTAGAAGATAAAGAAAATGAGCTAATCATTGCAACTATGTGATATTATAATTATAGTGAGTAAATTTATTTTAATAGAAATATTCAATAGCATTTTTTGCATTTTTATTTCACTTATACTATTTCTAGAAAAAAAATTATATATTTAATTATTCTGAATTGGGCCTGAAAGAACTTCTACATTGAGACTACAATTAGCTTTGGCCTTAGTCCATTACAAAGGAAGTAAAGGCAATTGGAAAATGACCAAATGATGTAAACAGGCAACTTAAAAGACAGAAAATTTGTATTTGTGTGGTCAATACACGTAAAATATTCTTTTTTTTACGGGTAATTATAAATGCACATTGAATCAGCAATGATATACTAGTTTCATCTATCATTTAAAATCACACAGCGGCTTTAATTTTAAATGATAATACACAGCATTGGCTCTCTCATTCTCAGCTGGTGGCAGGGTAAGCTGACACAATCTTTGTACAGTTTGGCAATATATACCAAATCTTTAACAACCAGCACACACTTTAATTTAGCAATTTCACTTCTAAGAATTTATTCATAGAATATAACTAAGGGCAATGCCAAAGATGTTCACTGCAGAATTTTTCAGTGATATTTAAAAATACAAAGGCTAAAAAACCAACAATTAGAAATTTGTTCATTAAATTATAATTCATGCATATGATAGAGTACTATGCATTCATAAAAACGGCAGATGTCACAGAAATTTTGGCCTGGGAAGATACTCATAACATCTTGTTTTGTGCCAAAAGCAGGTTACACCAAGATGTATTGTAAAGCTATAGTTGATCAAGATAGTGTGTTATTGACTTAGATATAAGTTTAGGCAAATAGATTGGTGGAATGAAATAGAGACCAGAAATAGATGCAGATATATACAGTCAGTTAATTTTTAACAAAGGCACAAAGCATTTGAAAGGGAAAAGAAAACCCTTTCAACAAACAATCCTAGAAAAACTAGACATCCATGTGAGAAAATAAATGTACCCTAGCCCCTACCTCACACCATAAACCAAAAAAGTAATTCAAAATTGATCATAGACCTAAACATAAAAGCAAAAATTATAAAGCTTCTAAAAGAAAACAAGGATAATATCTTTGCAATTTTGGGAGAGGCAAAAATGTCTTAGCTAAGTCACAAAAGCACTAACCATAAAACATAAAATTGGTAAATTAGACATTATCAAAATTTATTCTCATAAAAACACACCACTAAAGAAATGAAAAGGTGCACCACAGACTGGGATCAAAGGTTTGCAACCCAAATAGCTGACAAAATACTTGTAATCAGAATAAACAAACAATGCCAACAATTCAATATTGAAAAACCAAATAACCCAATTAAAATAAACAAGGAGATACTTTGCAAAAGAAGATACTTCCCAAATACTAGTGGATATTTCACAAAAGAAGATAATGTAAATGACCAATAAACACATGAAAAAGGTGCTCAATAACATTAGACATTGGGGAAATGCAACTTAAAACTTCAGTGAAAGATTACTACATACTTACGAGATTGCTGCAACTTGAAAATGGGAAGTTAAATGTTGGTGAGTACATATAGTAACTGAAACTCTAATAAATTGCTGGTGGAAGTGTAAAATGATACTATCACTTCAGAAAATCATTTGGCAATTTTAAAAATAAGATCAAATATATATCTAGCCTGTGATGTGCAATTAAACTCCTTAGTTTTTACCCAAGATAAATGAAGACATACACCCATGAAAAAAAAGACTTGTACAAAGATGTTAACAACAGCTTTATTCGTATTAGCTCTAAACTCTGAAGACAACCTAAAGTCTGTAAATAGGTAAATTAATTAACAATTTGTGGTATATTCATACAGTAGAATACTAGGCAGCAATAAGAAGGAATGAACAACATTTAGCAACAAGAATGAATCTTTAGTGATACTGCTGAGTAAGAAAAGCAAGACAGAAAAAAGTACATACTGTCTGATTCAATTTATAAGAAGTACAATAACAAATGAAAATGATTATATGGTGAAAAACCACAAACAGTGGTTGCTGCTGGGGAGGTGGGCAGGGATTGACTGAAAGAGGTCATGAGAAAGCTTTTTGGACAGACATAAATACTTTGTGATTAGTGATGGTTGCATATGACATTTGTCAAAACTCATCAATGTACACACAAAATCTGTGCATTTTATTTGTGGCAACATTTCTAAGAAGGTCACCATTAATCCCTGCCTCTTGGTATTTCAAACTCTCTCACATTCATTGTTGGTCTGGGTGACCCTGAGGATACAGCAGAAATGGTGTATGTAACTTCTGACATTGGGTAATGGAAGACACCATGGCTTCCGTTTTGATCTTGCTTTCATGCTCTTCCTCTTTTGGATCACTTGCTCTGGGGAAGCCAGCTGCCATGTCCTGAAGATACTAAGGCAACCGTGTGCAGAGGAACTAAAATACCGAGTTCAACAACAGGTGAGTAGGGAAAACCAAAAACCAGGGCAGGGAGCTTGGAAATGGCTAGTCCGGTCTTCAGATGACTGTAGCTTGGCTTACCTCTTCACTGCAACTTCATGGGAGATCCAGCACCAGAACCACTCAACCGAGCCACTCTCAGGTTCCTGATCCACATGAACTTTGTGAGTTAAAAAATGTTTGTGTTTTTTAAGTTGCTAAAATTTGGGGTACTTTTTAATGCAGTAGTAGAAAATTGATGCCCTTTGTATATAAATTCCTTAATTTAAAATAAAGCAAGTAACATAACATATAGTATATTGGTCTGTTTCTTTAAAAAACATCTTGTACATCAAAATATTGATAACTGTTGTCTGGGTGGTAAGATTATGTGTGGTTTAACTTCTTTATGTTTCTAAGTATTTTTTATTTCTTCTAAATAGTATTATACAAATATTGTAACTTTTAAAATAAACTTTTAATAAAAGCAGAAAATAAAAATAACTCTTTTTTTTTCTGTGTTCACCCTTCTACAGATCACAGGTTGCGAGAGGTCTTAAATCCATACTCTTCCAGTGACTAGAGCAAATGCAGCCCTAGGTCTGGCATCCTGAATTTTTGTCTTATTTTTTCATTAGTACACGAGACTCTACTTTCATCTTTTTAAAAGGTCTCTTGCTATCCTTCAAGCAAAGCTATCTCCAAATCTGAAGAAGAGACCAAGAAATAGAAAAAGTAGCACCTCTTGCCTGCTTCCCTGTCTAATATTTGAAAGAGTGGTGAGTATTGATGTTATTATTGCCTTTTCCTTTTTTTATATTGCTACCAAAGCCATGAGTATTCTCTTTTTTTCTTTCTCTTTTTAAAAAACAAAAAATACTAAACTCAGTTTTTAAAGGGGTTTATAACCCTTGGGTCTTGGTCCCATCCAAAAGCATCTTCATTTTTATTCACTCGGAAAATCTGACTTTATGTGGTGAGCCCAAGAAGATTTGGGTTGAGGTGGTCTGAGGATTTGGGTTGAGGCCAAAAGCCAGTACCAGGGCTGAATAGTGGCAAAAATTGGGGCCAAAACCTATAGCAAGTGCAGAATGATGGGAACTCCCAGGTGTCCTGTGGTTCTTTTTGTTCCCAGGAGGCTCTGTAGCACCATTTGAACTTCTTGTTCTTTAGAATCATCCCCAGCTTTTGCAGTATTCTCAGACACAGCAGGAAAAACAGCCACGCAGCTTGAACTTAGGGTGCACACTGTGATGCTCACATAGAGCTGGGAACACTCTTGGCATGGTGCACACACCTTTTAATGGATGCAGCCGTCATCCACCAAGTGCCAATGACGACAGGCAACCAGCTGTCATAGCTTACATTGCCAGGGCCTTGTAGAAAAGGTATGACACAGAAAACATCAGTATCCAGGAAGTGATTACGTCCATTTTCTGTGACTCTGGGCCAGATTATGCAGTCTCTGTGTTCTTCATGCCCTTTGTTGATTCTCCAGATTCTGGACTGGGGGCCTCGTGGTCCTGTTGGTAGGTGATACTGGGGGAAGAAACAATGGTCACATTGTATAAGCTATCAGTTACTGGCCTGGTCAAAACTCTCGGAGAATAAGGCTGAAATCATGGGATAAAATGAAATTTGTGGATATACAAATATAATTTGTCCTTTATGACAGTACTCAGAAATCCACAAGGAAAATGTTGTATGGGAGTTGGGCATTGTCAGTGTTTAGGTAGGAGAGCCTTTATTAGGGTGACTGGATTTTCTTTTCTACCTTTTTTTTGGTGATATAATATACGTAGCATAAAATTTACCATCTTAACTATTTCAAGTGCACCGTTCTTGGGCGTTCAGTACATTTACATTGTAGTGCAACCATCACCAGCATCCACCTCCAGAATTCTTTTCATCTCACAAAGTTGAAACTCCATACCCATTAAACAGCTGTCCATTATCTCCTCTCCCGCTCCCTGGAAACCACCATTCTACTTTCTGTCTCTATGAATTTGACTACTCTAAGGACCTCATGTAAGTGGAATTGTACAGTATTTGCCTTTCGGTGACTGGCTTATTTCACTTAGCAAAATGCCTTCAAGGTTCATCCAAGTTATAGCATGTGCCAGGATTTTCTTCCTTTTTAAGGCTGAATAATATTTCATTGGATGTCTCTATCACATTTTATTTATCCATTCACTCATTGATGGAATCTTGGATTGCCCCTCCTTTTGCCTATGAACATGGATATATATTTTCTACCATTTTTCATGAGTTAAAAATCAGGCTTGTAATTTTACACATTTTTTTTCTAATTTACTTTTGGATCTTTTTGTTATTTCAAGGACCTAGGGTATGGTCTGATATGATAGAATTGACAGTGGGAATGAATCAGAGGCAAGGAGCATATAAAGTCAGTAGAGCCACCATACATTGCTAAATTTGGGTTCAAGTCCTGGACTACTATAGATAAGAAAATTACTTATCAATGATCTTTCAATAATTCCTAAAAAAAAACCCTCCCTTGAATGAAATCCAAATTTGGTTTATACTGAGTTCTCATTAGAAAATAACATTTAAAAGAAAAAGTGACATTAATATTGAAAGAGCACTGTTATAGAAACATTTAGAATTTTCTTATATGTAACAACTTTCTTTTCTTCTTAAAAAATTTTTTTTTTGAGATGGAGTGTCACTCTTTTTGCCAGGCTGGAGTGCAGTGGTGCGATCTCAGCTCACTGCAACCTCCACCTCCCGAGTTCAAGTGATTCTCCTGCCTCATCCTCCCAGGTAGCTGGGATTACAGGTATGGGCCACCATGCCTGGCTAATTATTGTATTTTTAGTAGAGATGTGGTTTTGCCATTTTGGCTAGGCTGGTCTTGAACTCCTGACCTAAAGCAATCCACCCACCTGGCTTCCCAAAGTGTTGGGATTACAGGCGTGAGCCACTGCATCTGGCCAATAACTTTACTTTCTATCAGTCTGGAAATATTAATAAAATATTGTCAACTTGCAATTTGTCACAAAAATCACTGACATATTTGGAAGTGGTCATTCAAGCAGGTGTGTGTAGCGATGGCCAAGAGGAATCGCAGAGCTGTGTGCTCAATATGGTGGCCACTAGCCATATATGACTAATGAGACTTGACAAGTGGGTATTCTGAAATGAGATGTGCTGTATGTGTAAAATACACCTTGGATTTTGAAAACTTGGTTCAAAAAAAAAAAAGAAGGTAAAATAACTCAATAATGTTTTATATTGGTTACATGGTAAAATGGTAATAGTTTGGATATGCAGAAGTTCTCCCTTATCTGTGGGGGATACAGGTTTCAAGACCACCAGTGGATGCCTGAAACTGAGAATAGTGCTGAACCCAATTGCCATCAATCGAGACATGTTTCTGTTCATCTTCCACCCACAAATTTGATGCCTTTTCCATCTTGACAACACTTATCACATACTGTGGCCATAACTTGCAGTTTGAGGTGCAACAGGAAAGCTAGCAAGCATGAATTTCTTTTTCCTTCCACACAATTTCACAGTTTTGTTCTTACTGCAGATATTAGCGACTTTGGCATATGATTTTTTCCTTCTTCATTAAGTTGAAAAGTTTTACCTTTTTACTTAAAGGAAGCACTTAACTGCTTCTCTTTGGCATATGTGAATTGCCAGCATTATTCCTCTTGCACTTTGGGGCCATTAGTAGGTAAAATAAGAGTTGCTTGAACACAAGCACTGTGACACCATGACAGTGGATCTGATGAGGGCAGGGAGTGTCTACAGCTCCCTTGGATGACTCATGACTCAGGTAGGATGGAGCTGGACAAGGTGAGACTTTATCATGTTACTGACTGTCACACAACTTAACATTTGCAAATTGTTACATTTATGAAATTTTCCATTTAATATTTTCAGACCATGATTGACTGCAGGTAACTGAAATCATGAAAAGTGAAACCACAGATTAGTGAGGGACTACTACGCTGGGTTAAATTAAATATATCATTAAAATTAATTTTAGTTTTTTTACTTTTAAAAATGTGATCACCAGAAAATTTAAAACAACATATGTGGCTTACATTATATTTCTAATATACAATGCTACCCTAAAGATTAGTTTATATGTTATAATTTTTGTGGAATTGTTTGGTGTACCAACATTTATATTAGTATGCAAAATAACTTTAAAGAACTGCATTTAATTTATAATTTTAATTAAATAATCATATTTAGATCATGAGTCTTTAAAAATAAAAGCCCTATTTGGGAGTTTTAAAGAAATATCATTTGAGGATAAATATTAACTTGGCCAACTAAAGTTGATTTTAACTCCCAAATTATGTATGTCAGCGATAAGTTATCTTAGATACACACGTAAAAAGAATTTGAAGAAGATAAAAACAATTGTAAGGAAAAAATTAGGCACCTTAGAAATCTTGCTCTTACATTAACCTCAGCTGAAAGTAAATGTCTATTCCTATCATGAATATGTACTTCAGTGGCCATGGGCGAAATGCAGCAAATGAGAAATTATTGTCTCTAAACTATAGCAATAAACTTTTTAAAATCTGACTACAAAAATTTTTATAATACAATTAAAATAATAATTACATTTTTTGATACAATTTAAGATTTACTTCTGTTTACAAAAGCTCATTCTACTGTGGCAAATTAGGTTCCTAGGGCTGCCAAATAGGTTACCACGAACTTGGTGACTTAAAAGAATAGAAATGGATTCTCTTACAGTTCTGGAGGCCAGAAGTCCAAAATCAAGGTGTTGGCAGGGTTGGTTCCTTCTGGAGACTCCGAGGGAGATCCCTTTCCATGACACTTCTTTTCTGGCTTCTGGGGGCTGTTGTGTGGCTCATAACTGCAGAACTCCAATGTCTGCCTCCATCTTCATGTGGCATGGCCTTTATCCCTGCGTGTCTTTGTGCCTCAAATCTTCCTTTCCTTTTTCTTATAAAGACTTCAGTCATTGGCTTTGAGGCCCATTGTAAATCCAGGATGTTCTCATCTGGTGATTCTTAATCTAATTACCTCTACAAAGACCCTATTTCCAAATACGGTCACATGTTCAGGTACAGGGAGTTAGGATTTGTACATGTCTATTTGAGGGACACGATTCAACCCATTACAGGTGGTATTTAGCTTTAGTCATATATTAATGTTAACACTTATCCACTCATGATTGGTTAGTGACTCTATTCAGAGATCCAGGAGCCATAAGAAGAAGGGGATTTATGGCCAATTTATGAGGACATCTTGAGACAGGAGAACACGCACGAGCTACTTGTGCTGCTGCTGTGGCATCTGCTGGAGTTGACCACCAAAGCACACATCCTCTTAGTCTGGAGAAGAGAGGACCCCAGCTGGCGGGAACCATGCCCATTCCCTTCTATGCCATCAGCCTGATCTGCACCTTGCCTGGAGTGGTGAGAATTGGAGACCCTGAACCCCCTCTCAGACAAGAGATGTCACTTTTCTCCCTGGCTCAGTCTTGAGAAATACCAGAAAGCATTAAAATGTGCTTGAGTTTTTATGTATTCTCTACAAGTCTGTAAGGGTACACTCTTACAGAGAGAATCTGCTTTTACTCCTAAAGTTGAGTTAAAGAGTTCTTGAGAGGTAGGTAGTCAATGTGGAAGCAGGAAATTTTTTTTTTTTATTGTTATACTTTAAGTTTTACGCTACATGTGCACAATGTGCAGGTTAGTTACATATGTATACATGTGCCATGCTGGTGTGCTGCACCCATTAACTCGTCATTTGGCATTAGGTATATCTCCTAATGCTATCCCTCCCCTCTCCCCCCACCCCACAACAGTCCCCAGAGTGTGATGTTCCCCTTCCTGTGTCCATGTGTTCTCATTGTTCAATTCCCACCTATGAGTGAGAACATGTGGTGTTTGGTTTTTTGTCCTTGCGATAGTTTACTGAGAATGATGATTTCCAATTTCATCCATGTCCCTACAAAGGACATGAATTCATCATTTTTTATGGCTGCATAGTATTCCATGGTGTATATGTGCCACATTTTCTTAATCCAGTCTATCATTGTTGGACATTTGGATTGGTTCCAAGTCTTTGCTATTGTGAATAGTGCTGCAATAAACATACGTGTACAAGTGTCTTTATAGCAGCATGATTTATAGTCCTTTGGGTATATACCCAGTAATGGGATGGCTGGGTCAAATGGTATTTCCAGTTCTAGATCCCTGAGGAATCACCACACTGACTTCCACAATGGTTGAACCAGTTTACAGTCCCACCAACAGTGTAAAAATGTTCCTATTTCTCCACATCCTCTCCAGCACCTGTTGTTTCCTGACTTTTTAATGATGGCCATTCTAACTGGTGTGAGATGGTATCTCATTGTGGTTTTGATTTGCATTTCTCTGATGGCCAGTGATGGTGAGCATTTTTTCATGTGTTTTTTGGCTGCATAAATGTCTTCTTTTGAGAAATGTCTGTTCATGTCCTTTGCCCACTTTTTGATGGGGTTGTTTGTTTTTTTCTTGTAAATTTGTTGGAGTTCATTGTAGATTCTGGATATTAGCCCTTTGTCAGATGAGTAGGTTGCGAAAATTTTCTCTCATTTTGTAGGTTGCCTGTTCACTGTGATGGTAGTTTCTTTTGCTGTGCAGAAGCTCTTTAGTTTAATTAGATCCCATTTGTCAATTTTGGCTTTTGTTGCCATTGCTTTTGGTGTTTTAGACATGAAGTCCTTGCCCATGCCTATGTCCTGAATGGTAATGCCCAGGTTTTCTTCTAGGGTTTTTATGGTTTTAGGTCTAATGTTTAAGTCTTTAATCCATCTTGAATTGATTTTTGTATAAGGTGTAAGGAAGGGATCCAGTTTCAGCTTTCTACCTATGGCTAGCCAGTTTTCCCAGCACCATTTATTAAATAGGGAATCCTTTCCCCATTGGTTGTTTTTCTCAGGTTTGTCAAAGATCAGATAGTTGTAGATATGCGGCGTTATTTCTGAGGGCTGTGTTCTGTTCCATTGATCTATATCTCTGTTTTGGTACCAGTACCATGCTGTTTTGGTTACTGTAGCCTTGTAGTATACTTTGAAGTCAGGTAGCGTGATGCCTCCAGCTTTGTTCTTTTGGCTTAGGATTGACTTGGCGATGCGAGCTCTTTTTTGGTTCCATATGAACTTCAAAGTAGTTTTTTCCAATTCTGTGAAGAAAGTCATTGGTAGCTTGATGGGGATGGCATTGAATCTGTAAATTACCTTGGGCAGTATGGCCATTTTCACGATATTGATTCTTCCTACCCATGAGCATGGAATGTTCTTCCATTTGTTTGTATCCTCTTTTATTTCATTGAGCAGTGGTTTGTAGTTCTCCTAGAAGAGGTCCTTCATGTCCCTTGTAAGGTGGATTCCTAGGTATTTTATTCTCTTTGAAGCAATTGTGAATGGGAGTTCACTCATGATTTGGCTCTCTGTTTGTCTGTTATTGGTGTATAAGAATGCTTGTGATTTTTGTACATTGATTTTGTATCCTGAGACTTTGCTGAAGTTGCTTATCAGCTTAAGGAGATTTTGGGCTGAGACAATGGGGTTTTCTAGGCATACAATCATGTGGTCTGCAAACAGGGACAATTTGACTTCCTCTTTTCCTAATTGAATACCCTTTATTTCCTTCTCCTGCCTAATTGCCCTGGCCAGAACTTCCAACACTATGTTGAATAGGAGTGGTGAGAGAGGGCATCCCTGTCTTGTGCCAGTTTTCAAAGGGAATGCTTCCAGTTTTTGCCCATTCAATATGATATTGGCTGTGGGTTTGTCATAGATAGCTCTTATTATTTTGAGATATGTCCCATCAATACCTAATTTATTGAGAGTTTTTAGCATGAAGGGTTGTTGAATTTTGTCAAAGGCCTTTTCTGCATCTATTGAGATAATCATGTGGTTTTTGTCTTTGGTTCTGTTTATATGCTGGATTACATTTATTGATTTGTGTATATTGAACCAACCTTGTATCCCAGGGATGAAGCTGACTTGATCATGGTGGATAAGCTTTTTGTTGTGCTGCTGGATTCGTTTTGCCAGTATTTTATTGAGGATTTTTGCATCAATGTTCATCAAGGATATTGGTCTAAAATTCTCTTTTTTGGTTGTGTCTTTGCCCAGCTTTGGTATGAGGATGATGCTGGCCTCATAAAATGAGTTAGGGAGGATTCCCTCTTTTTCTATTGATTGGAATAGTTTCAGAAGGAATGGAACCAGTTCCTCCTTGTACCTCTGGTAGAATTCAGCTGTGAATCCATCTGGTCCTGGACTCTTTTTGATTGGTAAGCTATTGATTATTGCCACAATTTCAACTCCTGTTATTGGTCTATTCAGAGATTCAACCTCTTCCTGGTTTAGTCTTGGGAGAGTGTATGTGTCGAGGAATTTATCCATTTCTTCTAGATTTTCTAGTTTATTTGCATAGAGGTGTTTGTAGTATTCTCTGATGGTAGTTTGTATTTCTGTGGGATCAGTGGTGATATCCCCTTTATCATTATTTATTGCATCTATTTGATTCTTCTCTCTTTTTTTCTTGATTAGTCTTGCTAGCGGTCTATCAATTTTGTTGATCCTTTCAAAAAAACCCAGCTCCTGGATTCATTAATTTTTTGAAGGGTTTTTTTGTGTCTCTATTTCCTTCAGGTCTGCTCTGATTTTAGTTATTTCTTGCCTTCTGCTAGCTTTTGAATGTGTTTGCTCTTGCTTTTCTAGTTCTTTTAATTGTGAAGTTAGGGTGTCAATTTTGGATCTTTCCTGCTTTCTCTTGTGGGCATTTAGTGCTATAAATTTCCCTCTACACACTGCTTTGAATGTGTCCCAGAGATTCTGGTATGTTGTGTCTTTGTTCTTGTTGATTTCAATGAACATCTTTATATCTGCCTTCATTTCATTATGTACCCAGTAGTCATTCAGGAGCAGGTTGTTCAGTTTCCATGTAGTTGAGCGGTTTTGAGTGAGTTTCTTAATCCTGAGGTCTAGTTTGATTGCACTGTGGTCTGAGAGACAGTTTGTTATAATTTCTGTTCTTTTACATTTGCTGAGGAGAGCTTTACTTCCAAGTATGTGGTCAATTTTGGAATAGGTGTGGTGTGGTGCTGAAAAAAATGTATATTCTGTTGATTTGGGGTGGAGAGTTCTGTAGATATCTATTAGGTCCGCTTGGTGCAGAGCTGAGTTCAATTCCTGGGTATCCTTGTTAACTTTCTGTCTTGTTGATCTGTCTAATGTTGACAGTGGGGTGTTAAAGTCTCCCATTATTAATGTGTGGGAGTGTAAGTCTCTTTGTAGGTCACTCAGGACTTGCTTTATGAATCTGGGTGCTCGTGTATTGGATGCATATATATTTAGGATAGTTAGCTCTTCTTGTTGAATTGATCCTTTACCATTATGTAATGGCCTTCTTTGTCTCTTTTGATCTTTGTTGGTTTAAAGTCTGTTTCATCAGAGACTAGGATTGCAACCCCTGCCTTTTTTTGTTTTCCATTTGCTTGGTAGATCTTCCTCCATCCTTTTATTTTGAGCCTATGTGTGTCTCAAGAAGCAGGAAATTCTTGACCCCAGGAGTGATGAGGTGAAAATGGCCTTTGAGGAAGTTTTGTTTGGTGATTCATGTAGGAGAAATTGGAGGGAGCAGACGGAAGGTAAAGACGCAAGTTAGGGAGCTAATATCATAATCCAGGCTTGAGAGCACAGGCTCCAATGTTGGGATGGGGTGGCCTTGAGAAGGAAAATTCAGGGGACAGAAACACTGCACAGTGTGAAGTTGAAGGAAGAGTGAAGGTGCTGACAAGACAAGGAAGTCTGCAATGATTGAGTTGTCTTCATTTTCATTCTTTGTTGGAGGTTCATTTGTTTTCCACTTATTTAGGTTTCTCGTGGGCCCTTTAGCCTGTTAGTGCCTTGTCTCATACTAATCACAAGTGGCTGTTATTGCCAAAATGTGACATATCCAATTTAGGATTCTGCCTGTTAGTTCCCTCCAGCTCTGCTGGATCATTTGCTCGAACTTTTCTTTCTCTTTTTTGCTTATTAGTGTGTCATTTTACAGAGTCTTGCTCAAGCTGCAGAGTTCCATGACAGTCTTCAGACCCTGCAAAGATCCATCTTATGTGTGAAGTTTGTCTAGTTAAGGTTGATTTCTGTGTGTGTATGTTTAATTGTTTGCTAAACTGCAGTGTTATAGTGGTCCAGAAATTTGTTTCAGGATGGGTGGCATGTTTTGTAGTCTGAATGAAAATGGTTCACTAAATCTAAATTTAAGATACTGTCCTGTGTCTCTATTAGGTAGGAGAAATGAATCAGACAAGTTGCAATTAACATTTATTCTACTAGTCATGGGGCTTCATTTTTAAGACCAAATGCAGTGATATCAGATGCAATATATATCTTTGTTGAGGTAGTAGTAGTATTTCCTTTTGATGTTATTATGAGAATTCCATAAGGATGAGTATTCTAGAAGATCTTACTAAAATGGGATGGAGGGAGATACATAGAGAATGGATGCTCAACTCACATGTGCGAAAGTGCCAGTGGCTTATAGCCATAAAGTTGAGTGCACCCACTTCTGTCAGCAGATCAAAGGTATAGGAATCCCAGTTACTGAGTATGGAAAGCACAATGGCCTCAGGTTGCTTTCAGAGATTCTGCCCAATCTCTTGTGAGAGTGTTGGCCTTCACAAGCTGTGGGGTGTATCAGTAGGAGCAGAGGCAGAGAGGGGACTAGGATGGCCAGCAATGAAGAGGCATTGCCTTTAGTCAGAGGGCTGTGGTTTGAAGAACAAAGAGCGGGGGGTCTTTGCAGAAGCCATAGAAGTGCTGATGAGACAGTGTCGACTTTGAAGACCTGCCAGGCCTGAAGAACACGATACCATCCTCAGGCAGTGCCAATCAAACAGGAACTGTTCTGTTCTCTCTTCCCTTATTTCCTCCATACTCTCCCCCAACCTCCATCTTCATCACTGAGGCCGATGGAGGAAGAGATCAAGTTTAGCAAGCCTGGAGAAGAGGAATAACTCCAAGAAGGAGCATTATCTTTAGATGAAAATTGAAGTATGGATTAATATATTGAACTGGACACTTTTAAATGTATGTGTGTGAATGTGTGTTTTGTTTTTAACTTTTTATTTTCAATTATAGACACAGAAAGGTGCAAAAAATACATAGATTCTCTTGTATCCTTCAAGCAGCGTCCCTAAATTGTGACATCTTTTGTAACTATAGTATAATACATATGAGAAACTAGGAAATTGGCATTGGTAAAATAGTTTTAACTAGACTACAGACCTTATTCAGTTTTTCACTGGTTTTTGTGTGCACTTGTGTGTGTGGTGTTTAGTTCTATGCAATTTGATATCAAGTATAAATTTGTGTAATCCTACCACAATCAAATACAAAACTATTCTAACACTGCAAAGAACTCCTGTGTGCTTATAATCACATCTGATCCTGACCTCATCCTCGTCTTCCAAAAATCACTAATCTGTTCTCCATATTTATAGTTGTATCATTTCATTATGACATATAAGTGGAATCATATATTGCAGTGTGTTGCTTTATGAATTGCCTTTTTTTTCACTAAGTAAAATACACTTATCCATCCAAATGGTTGGCTATATCAGTAGTTTGTTCTTTTTTATTGCTGGGTAGTATTCCATTGTGTGGTTTTTCCAGACTTTGTTTAACCATTCACTTGTTGAAAGACATTTGAGTTATTTCCAGTTTGGGGCTATTATAAATAAAGCTACTGTAAACATTCTTGTATGAGTCTTAGTATGAACATAGGTTTTTGTTTCTCTGAAGAAACAAAACACCTGAGAGTTGCTGGGTGGTATGAAAAGTGCATTAGTATTTAGTCTTATAAGAAAATAGCAAGATTTCCAGAGTGGCTGTACTATTTTGTAGTTTCATCAGCAATGTATAAGGGATCTAGTTTCTCTGCATCCTTGTCAGCATATTGTATAATCACGATTTTTTTAGTTCAGTTCTTCTAATAGGTGCACAGGTGTTATATTGCTGTAGTTTTACTTTGCATTTCTCTCATGGATAATGATGGTAAACATTTTTTTTGTGTTTATTTGTGCATCTTCTTTTTGGTGAAATATCTGTTCATGTCTTTAGCTCATCCTCTAATTAAAGTTTTTGTTTTTTTATTGTTGAGTTTTGAAATATCTTTATATATTTCAAATACAAATTATTTGTTAAATGTGTAGTTTGTAAATATTTTCTTCCAGTCTGTAACATGTGTTTTCACCCTCTGATAAAAGGTATTTCATAGAACAAAAAAATTTTAATTTTGAGGAAGTCCAATTTATTAATTTCTTTCTTATAAGCTATGTTTTTGGCTTCATGTTTAACACTCTTCATCTAGCTCTAGGCTTAGAAGATTTTCCTTTTGGATTAGACATTTAAATATTTACTTAGCACAAAATACAGTAGCAAAGGAAGAGCAGAGGGACAAAACCAACATAAGACAAATAGAAACCAGATAGCGAAGTTGTCTGTCTAATACAGTGATATTAATAATTACACAAATGTGGATGGAATAAACACCCTACTCAAAAGGCAGAGATTGTCTGTCTGAACCAAAGAAAACAAGACTCAATAATTGTTGTTTATGAGAGACATGCCTTTGATGCAAAGACAGAAATGGTTTGGAGGTAAAAGGATGGAAAAGACATATTGAAGTAACTATGAAAGAGCTGGAGTGGTTACAATAATATCAAACAAACTTTAAGATAAGAAATATTACTAAAAATATTTCATAATTATAAAAGGATCAATACAGTAAGGGGATACAACAATTTAAAATGTATATGTATTTTATAACTGAGCCTCAAAATACATGAAGCAAATATTGACAGACTTGAAAGGATAAATAGGCAGTTTAACAATAATAGTTAGAGATCTCAATGGCCCACTTTCAATAAATGATAGAACAATTGGACAAAAAAACAACAAGGGTATGTGAGACTTCCGCAAGACTATCAACCCACATGCTCTAAATGATATTTATAGAACACTTGATCCAAAGAATTAAAATACAGTTTTTTTCAAGTGCACATACAACATTCTCTAGGTTATACAATATGCTAATCTAGGAAAGAATTAAATTGGAGATTCACCATACAAAGACATCTGGTAAAAACCCAATATATGTAGAAATTAACACACTTCTGAACAACCTATGGGTCAAAGAATAAATCAAAAGGGAGAGTAAAAAAATATTTTGAATTGGATGAAACAAAAACACAATATATAAAAGTATATGGAAAAATCTAGGTAGTACTAAGCAGAAAATTTGTAACTTTAAAAACCTATCAGAAAAGAATAAAGCTATCAAAAGTCAATAATCTAAGCTTCTACCTTAAAAAACTAGAAAAAGAACAAAGTAAATTAACAGCAAGTATAAGGAAGCAGATAATGACTGAAAATTATTGAAATACAAAACAAAACTGAACAAAAATAATAAAGACAACCAATGAAAGCAAA
Organism: Homo sapiens; assembly: GCF_000001405.40. NCBI lineage: Eukaryota > Metazoa > Chordata > Mammalia > Primates > Hominidae > Homo > Homo sapiens. The sequence goes on along the minus strand of NC_000006.12, from coordinate 88,429,352 downwards.
AGTTCATTCTTTCAAAAGATAGAGAAAATTGATAAGCCCTTACCTTGAATGACAGAGAAAATAAGAAGAAAGACTCAAATTACCAAAATAAGGAATAAGAGAGGGGACAGAATTACTGGTACTATAGAAATTAAAATGATTAAGGGAGAATATCATTAACTATTTTATGCCAATAAATTAGACAACTTAATGAAACGGAAAAGTTCCTAGAAAGATACAAATTACCAAAACTGATTCAAGAACCAGAAAATCTAATTGACCTATGATAAGTCAAGAAATTGAGTTAGTAATTAAAAATCTTCCCACAGTGAAAGCTACAAAATATTGCTGAGATAAATTAAAAAAGAGATGGAGAGACATTTTATGTTTTGGTTTGAAAGACTCATTGTTAAGGTGGAAGTTGTCTTCATATTGATATACAGAACCAACACATTCCCTTTCAAAATACCAGCAGGCTTTCATTATAGAAATTGACAACCTGATTGTAATTTTGTTTGTTGGTTTAATGTGTCAACTTTGCTAGCCTACAGTCCCCAGCTATTCAATCAAACACTAATTTTAGGTGTTGCTGTGAAGGAAATTTGCAGGTGTGCATAATATTAATGAATATTTAACTTTAAGAGAAATGATGGTGGATAATCTTGATGGGCTTGATTCAGTCAGCTAGAAGACTTTAAAACTGGGTCTGAGGCATCCCTAAAAAAAAAGAAGAAAATTTTACTTTGGACAGTAGCATTAGCTCATGCCCAACAGTTCTAGCCTGACCTTCTGGACTGCCTGCCTGTGGGTTTTAGTCTTACTTAAAAAGCCCCTACCATTGCATAGGCCAATTTCTCATAATAAATTTCTTAATATATATCTTTCCTACTGGTTCTGCTTCTCTGGTTTTACTCTGAGTGGCAGATGATCCAATAATTTATATGGAAATGAAAATGATCTACATAAAACAAAACAATTTTAGAACAGAACAAACTTGGATGACTTATCCAATTTCAAAACTTAATATAAAGCTGTAGTAATCATGAAAGTTTAGTATTGATGTAAGGATACATAAATAGAAAAATGAAACAGAACTGAGAGTCCAAAAACTAACCCATCAATTGACTAAGGTCAACTGATAATGAAAATATACGTCCACACAAAGATATGTAGGTGAAAATTCACAGCATCATTATTCATAACAGCCAAAAATGGCAACAACCTAAATGCACATTGATTGGCAAATGGGTGAACAAAACCATGGCATACTTATAGAATGGAATGCCATTCAGCAATAAAAAGAAATGAAACACAGATACATGCTACAATATGGATGAATCTCAAAAGCATTGTGGTAAGTGAAACAAGCCAGACACAAAGACGACAAATTGTATGATTCTGCTTATATGAAGTGACCACAAAAGGTAAATTTATAGAGACAGAAAGTAGATCAGTGGTTCCTGGGTCTGGGGAGGGAGCAGGGATTCATTGTAAATGGGCTTGAAGCAATTTTGGTCGGGGAGTCGTGGAAATGTTCTAAAACTGGGTTGTTATGATGGTTGTGCAACTCACTAGATACTTACTACCATCATTGAATTGTGCATTTACAATGGATTTCCTTACCATATGTAAATTATACTTAAAAAAAAATTATGGAGCTTGCCCCAGTTGTCATCAAAGAAAAAGAAGAGGAAAACTTCCTACAGAGCAAATTTGAAGCAACGGCACAAGATAAAAATAAAGTCAGTTTTGGACACAAGCTCAGCACTTTTCACACACAAGTTATAGAGGTCAATATGGCTCTAGCTAGATAGTGTGACCATCTCTAAGAATGCCATCCTTTTTCATGACATAAATGCATTTTCTCTTAATGCCATGAGACTATGTGAAGATACATGAAAATTTTAATTCAGCAATAGTTATTTTATCTTGCAATATAATTTTACAGTTTTTATTTTAATGAGCCATAAACTATTTTCTATAAGATTCCAGCATAATGGAAAAGCAATGGGAAGAATCACAAACCAGAAGACAACTATGGAAATCCATGGCTTCACAGCCTTCATTTAGTTCCTGCATTAGCCAATTGACTTGACTTGGGAGAAAAACCACTTCAAGGTCAAACTCAACCCCTGCCTCTGGACAATCACCTAAAAAATTGGAGCTTTAACCCTCAATGGGCTTAGCAAAACAATGTGGATGGCTCAGAGTACTTATCTCCAGGGTAGAAAAGGGAGCAATACAATTCAACATTCATAGGAACTATAAAAATCAAAGCAGAAAAGGGTAGGAAGAGCCAAGGCACAATGTCACACTATTTACCAATGACAAATAATATATTTAATTAATAAATAGGAGAGAGTTTGCTGAGAGGCAAGAGTATCAGACGGAAGAGTCACATTTGGTTTTACTTTCAAGTAGTACCAGTTTTAAATGGTAGAATCTAGGTTAAATGTTTGGACAGCAAACTAGAGGTTCTGCAAAAACAGCCTCTCTTCTTTCCCCAATGAAGGGACACTGATTTGTATCCACATTTTAATATTTGGAGGCACTTTGCAAACTGTAGTTTTAAAATCACTGTACGTACCATCTGTCTCTGTTAAATATCCAAAGGCATTTTGGCCACCACCCTACTTTTGTTTCTGTCTTTGGACCCAGTGTTTCTGAGGCAAGTCATGTTTTAAGGCATGTGCTCAGACACTTCTCTACTTCGCAAATCTCTCAGGCACACCAAAGCCTCATCCCAGTCCAGGCAATAGTGTTGTGCTGTCCCTTGAAGACAACCCATGCTAGATTGCTGGGAGCTTTTTGGATTCAGGGTCCTGCCTATTGTGATCTCTATGGAAATGGGACTAGGCGGCCTGCATTTCATAGACTTTAAGCAAGCATATAGATATTAGACACTGTATTCCGGAAGCAGAACCATTTTCTCATTCCAAATTGTACAGAGAAAATTTGGCTCTGTCTGATACTGACATTATTGCCTTCAGTGGAGTGTAAAAAGTCCCAGATTCAGATTTTAAAACTCTTCTTTTGAAATGGTGCAGATGAAACTTGCTTATCATTGTATTTACTGAATTTCATTACAGGACTGTTGTGTTTGTCAACAGGTGGCCAAAAGCCACAGCTGACTTCCCAGTTATCAGAGTCATCCAGCCTGATGCGCTGCCGTTCCCCTCTGCCCCATACATATTATCACTGTCCAGCCAGAGTGGGGCCCTGCAGGCCCTCAGCAGCCCTGTTACTCAGGTTAAGCTGGTACCAGAAGTATGAAATTTGCCTCAGCTAGACAATGCTCCCCTTCTCCTGTCCAACCTGCTATTATATTACCCTGACAATGTCTTCTAACAGCATCCTTTCTACAAAGGCAGATATAGATCGCAAATATTTCAGACAGCTAAGAAACTTAGCTGAGGATGACTTTGAGCAGAGGTGTTGTTATTATGGATGGCATTTCCAGTCACTGGACATAAACTCAGTGATGCGTCAACTCCAGTGCCTGCTTTACAGCTCAGCTGCAGAAATTCAATTGCTTCTAAGGTCAGTTGCTGGGGCAGATACGCCAAGAGAATGTAGTCTCGTTTTCCAACTTTTATTAGAGACAATTAGATGACTATATTTAAATCTCACCAGCTAAGAGAACTTAATCAGAAAGACCCAGATTTTAAAAAAAGGGATAAAAGAGAGAAAAATTCCTTTAACTTCTAAAATATGAAGTACAGCTCTTGTCCCCACTTTTCACATTCTAAAAGGTGATGTTCCTAATTTTGTTATTTTAAAAAGAATCTGTGATTTTAATTTTGATGTCTTCATTTACCCGATAGTTATTTAAGACAGAGTTTTTAAAAAATGTTCAGGTTGTTTGAGATTTTTGTCTTAAGCCTTTGTTACTGGCTGTAGACGTAGTGCCCTGTCTGACTTTCTGAGCATGTGGGTCACACAATGTCTGCTTTTTGAATTCAAAAGTTGTAGTCACTTTTTGGAAATGAAGAACAGACAATTAAAAATAAAGTATTAAATAATAATGCATTGTATATTTCAAAATTATGAAGAGTAGATTTTAAATGTTTTCATCATAAAACAATAAGTACATGAGGCAATGTATTTGTTAATTAGCTTGGTTTAATCATTCCATAGTGTAAATATGGATCAAAACGCACCCTGTATCCCATAAATATATAATATATACGATTATTATTTTTCAATTAAAAATAAAATTTAAGAAAGAAAGTATATTACCTGTAGAGAACAAATACTATATATCTGTTAATTCAGGGCTGGAATTTAAATTATTTAAAGCTTCATGTCCTTATTTATGTCTACTTAGCCTGTCAGAGATTGAGAATACTGTATTACGGCTTCTACTATAATTGCCTCTGACATTGTTCTTTTGCAAAAGGTTTTATTGTATACATTTATTTGCCCATTTTATATATTTCTTAGTTGCTATATATTCAGTATGGGGATGCTTCATTATAAAATATTTCTCTTTTACCATAGTCAATGTCTGTGGCTTGAATCATCTTTGTCTGATATTAATATTTCTGCCTTTGCTTTTTCTTTGTCTTTGATGTAAACTCATTGTGTTAGGCCATTCTTGCATTGCTATAAATATCTGAGATTGGGTAATTTATAAAGAAAAGAGGTTTAATTGACTTATGCTTCTACAGGCTTTACAGGAAGAATGGTGCTAGCATCTGCTCAGCTTTTAGGGGGGCTTCAGGGAGCTTTTACTCATGGTGGAAGGCCAAGGAGGGGCAGGCACTTCACATGGCAAAAGCAGGAGCAAGAGAGAGAGCGGGAAGGGGTTGGGTGAAGGTGCCACACTTGACAACAACCAGCTCTTACGAGAACTCACTATTTCAAGGACAGCGTCAAGCCAAAAGGGATCTACCCCCATGATCCAAACTCCTCCTACCAAGCTCACCTCTAACACTGGGGATTTCATTTCAACATGAGATTTGAGCAGGGACAAATATCCAACTATATTATTCATTTTTCAATTTTAAAGTTTCAGCATCACTTTTGAGTGTCTTTTGTAAGAATCTTCTGGCTAGAATTTATTTTCCAATCCGATCTTAGAGTTTTTGTTATTAATTAAAAGTTTAAGTCATTTACATTGATCTAAATGAGCTACTAGTTCTCATTCCAATCATCTTGTTTTACGTTTATGTGTGCTTCTTGCATTTGCATATCTTTTACTCTGTAGAGAATATAAGGGGGTTATTTTGTTTCAAATTCTGCTGATGGTTTTTTAAAAGTTAAAAAAATACCGTAAGCATATCTTTAATTTTCAAAGTTTAGGAATAAAAAAAAATTTTTGACTTCCTGATATGTCAAACACATGCCAATATTGACTATGTTAATAGTTATGGATTCAGACTATTATATATTTCAGAGTACAAGATTTTTTAGAATTGTTTTTATTTTCTAGATTCAACTTGGTAATATTTATTAGTTATTTATATTTAATTTCATAAGTTTATTTGGTTTTAAAACTCATTGTAAATTCATTTATGTTCCTACATTTTAACGCCTAAGGTCTTAGTTTCTATTTCCTGTTTTTAAATTATTTTAAATTATTTACTGGTAGTAATGTAAAAAATTTACAACTTTTTTGTCTATAATTGGTTTTTGAATAATGTTTGAGATGAGTACTTGTAGGGTATATTTTGAGTATCTTTGAATATTTAAAAGTATCTACTGCCATTTCTCATAAAAGGTAAACCAATTGGGACAAGAATTTCTGGGTCACTGTTATTTTTCCACAAATAGTTGCCAGGCTCTAGGTTTTGGCATGTTACTTTCTGTCTCTAGTACTCATGTGTTTATTTATGAAATGATAATGATAGCCCCTTCCGCAATTCTTTCATACAATTCTGTGAGGTTAAAATGAGAAAATGGACAAGAAACCATGCTGAAACTATAAAGGGGTAATGAAATACAACATATGATCATTTCTCACTGAGTTTAACTTGAAGTACAATGTTTTATTCTCCTCTGGACTGATTCATTTTTTATTTGCTTATCACTTACTCCTACTCAGCCCAGTAACTTCTTTAAGAAGCATTTTCTTAGGCCAGGCGCGGTGGCTCATGCCTGTAATCCCAGCACTTTGGGAGACCAAGGAGGGCGGATCACCTGAGGTCAGGTCAGGAGTTTGAGACCAGCCTGGACAACATGGCAAAACCCCGTTTCTACTAAAAATACAAAAATTAGCTGGGTCCGTGGTGGTGGATGCCTGTAAACCCAACTACTCGGGAAGCTGAGTCAGGGAGAATCGCTTGAACTGGGAAGGCTGAGGTTGCAGTGAGCCAAGATGGCGCTATTGCACTCCAGCCTGGGCAGCAGAGAGAGACGCTGCCAAAAAAAAAAAAAAAAAGAAATAATTGGATTCATCTGTTAACTATGATCTATCTTCCTGGTCCGGCTAACTGATGGGTCAGCCTGCAGAGGTCTTACTCTATTTAAAATACTTTAAATTTCCCTTTTAAAATGGAAACGTGATTCTTGGTCAAACATGAAAAATTGAAAACTGAGAACAACACAGAAAAGAAAATAGTAATCTTTAAATTAATTGTAAATTAATTAATTCTTATTTCTAACATACAGGAACAACCACATTTTAACTTTTTGTCTTTTTTTATACTTACATCACCATTTTCATCAATAGATATGATACTTCATAGGTTGATTTTAGGTTTTTTTTTTTTTTTTCTTTTGCGACGGAGTCTCGATCTGTCACCCAGGCTGGAGTGCAGTGGCGTGATCTCGGCTCACTGCAAGCTCTGCCTCCCAGGTTCACGCCATTCTCCTGCCTCAGCCTCCCGGATAGCAGGGACTACAGGCGCCTGCCACCATGCCCGGCTAATCTTTTGTGCTTTTAGTAGAAACGGGGTTTCACCGTGTTAGCCAGGATGGTCTCGATCTCCTGACCTCATGATCTGCTTGCCTCAGCCTCCCAAAGTGCTGGAATTACAGGCATGAGCCACCATGCCTGGCCGATTTTAGATAATTTTTATATGGTTGTATAAAAAAAGGACACCAATCATAAGTGTATGTGTGATTAATTTATTATGAATCAGTCCCTCTGTGTCACCACCATACAGATGAGAAAGGAAGCCCCCTGGAAGCCTCCTCTGTGCACCCCACCTGGGCTACCAATTCCCAGACTTAGATGATTGCTATCCTGAGGTCTATACCACTGATTAGTTTTGACTACTTTTGAACTTTTTATGTGAGTGGCCCGTATACTTATATCTCCTTTATCTCAGCATTGTATTTGTGAGGTTCATATATGTTGTTTTTAGCAGTTTGTTTATCTTTATTGCTAGGTAGTATTTCATTATACGACCATACCAACACTTACTTATTCTTTCTACTATTAATGGGCATTGGGTTTATTTCCAGTCGGAGCTATTATAAATAATGTTGCCATAAATATTTTTGTACATTTCCTTTGGATTAAATATGTATGAATTTTGGCTGGCTATGCACTAAGGAGTGGAATTGCTGGGTGCTAGGGGCATGTATATGTTCAGCTTTAGAAACAATGCCAAGAAGCTTTTTCTAAATGTTGTTGCCAGTTTACATCCCCAGAAGTAGTGTATGAGATTTTCAGTTGCTCCTCATACTTTTCAATTCTTGGTAATTTTTAAACTGCTATTCTAAGTATGCAGTAGCACCTCATTGTGGTTTCAATTTATATTTAAATGATGATTGAAAAGGCAGAACAATTTTTTTGGTCATATATATTTGTGACGTTTTGAATACTTGCTTTTGAGAAGTTTTTGTTCAAGCATTTTGCCAATTTTTCTATTAGGTCAGAATTTTAAAATTTATTGTTAGAAATTTTTATATATTTTGGGCAACCCCCTTTGGGTCCCCTCCTTATATGGGAGCTCTGTTTTCACTCTATTTCACTCTATTAAATCTTGCAACTGCCCTCTTCTGGTCCATGTTTGTTACGGCTCAAACTGAGCTTTCGCTCGCCGTCCACCACTGTTGTTTGCCGCCTTCGCAGACCCGCCGCTGACACCCATCCCTCTGAATCCGGCAGGGTGTCTGCTGTGCTCCTGATCCAGTGAGGCGCCCATTGCCACTCCCGATTGGGCTAAAGGCTTGCCATTGTTCCTGCATGGCTAAGTGCCTGGGTTCGTCCTAATCGAGCTGAACACTAGTCACTGGGTTCCATGGTTCTCTTCCGTGACCCACGACTTCTAATAGAGCTATAACACTCACCGCATGGCCCAAGATTCCATTCCTTGGAATCTGTGAGGCCAAGAACCCCAGGTCAGAGAACACGGGGCTTGCCACCATCTTGGAAGTGGCCCGCCGCCATTTTGGAAGTGGCCCACCACCATCTTGGGAGCTCTGTGAGCAAGGACCCCCCGGTAACATTTTGGCGACCACGAAGGGACCTCCAAAGCGGTGAGTAATATCGGACCACTTTCACTTGCTATTCTGTCCTATCCTTCCTTAGAACTGGAGGAAAATACCAGGCACCTGTCGGCCAGTTAAAAACGATTAGCATGGCCACAGGACTTAAGACTCAGGTGTGAGGCTATCTGGGGAAGGGATTTCTAACAACCCCCAACCCTTCTATTGGGGACGTTGGTCTGCCTCGCGCCGGCTTCCACTTTCAGTTTTCTTGGGGAAGCCAAGGGCCGCCTAGAGACAGAAAGCTGTTGTCCTGAACTCCCGGCAGTAGCCGGTTGAGATCATGGCACAGCCAGAAGTCTCTACTCAGCAGTCGCCTGTGCATGCGCCCCACCTTTCCTTCTGACCCATACCTCCTGGGTCCCGACCACGACTTTCTTGAAAGTGTAGCCCCAAAATTCTCCTTACCTCTGAATCTACTTCCTCTGATCCCTGCCTCCTAGGTACTAATGGTTCAGACTTTCATTTCCTCTAGCAAGTCGTATCTCCAAGGGGATCTAAGGAAGCTCTACGCTGCGTCCTTAGGCAGCTAGACTATAACCCAGGCAGTCTTATCCCTGGTGTCCCTCCCGATTTAGGTATACAGCTCTTGACATGGGCAGTTATGGGCAGTTATGTGGGACCCGTTCCCCACCACCCTTGCCAGGGCCCCAAGTTTGTAATGGCTAAGAGAGAGAGACTGAGAGAGCGAGAGAGAGAGACGGAGAGAGAGAGATGGAGAGAGGGACAAAGACAGAGTCAAAGACAGAAAGAAAGAAAAAGATAGAAATAGTTTTAAAAAAAAAGTGTGCCCTATTCCTTTAAAAGCCAGGGTAAATTTAAAACCTGTAATTGATAATTGAAGGTCTTCTCCGTGACCCTATAACACTTCAATGCCACTTTGTTGTCAATGTAAATAAGGGCGTAGCCCAAAAGCACTGAGGCCACTGACAACCTGTAGCTTTCCTATCAAAAATCCTTAACCCAGTAACCCGCGGATGGGCCAAATGCATTCGGTCGGTAGCGGCAATTGCTTTGCTAAAAGTAGAAAAGGAACTTTTTGAGGAAACTTCGTTGACAGCACACCTCACCAGTTAAACTATTCTAAGTCAAAAAAAAAAAAAAAGCAAAAAGGTAGCTTACTAAATCAAAAATCTTAAAGTATGGGGCTATTGTGTTAGAAAAGGGTAATGTAACTCCAACCACTGATAATTCCCTTAACCCAGCAGATTTCCTAACAGGGGATTTAAATCTTAATTACCATACAAAGGTCCGACCAGACCTAGGAGGAACTCCCTTCAGGACCGGAGGATAGATGGTTCCTCCCAGGCGATTGAGGAGAAAACCACAATGGGTATTCAGTAATTGATACAGAGACTGGTGTGGAAGCAGAGTGAGAAAAATTGCCTAATAATTGGTCTCCTCAAACATGTGAGCTGTTTGCACTCAGCCAAGCCTTAAAGTACTTACAGAATCAAAAGACTATCTCAATCCTGAATCAAAAGGTTCGCTACACCCTCTCTGAAATGAATTTACATAAGAATTGTTTTTTATAGGAATGCATCTTGATGGGGCAGCTGGGTTGTTATGAAATACTCAAGAACCCAGCCCAGCTCTAGGACTCACCCCTGAGTGCAAAGGCAATGTTGGGCACGCTGGCAAAGGACCACTAGAATCCAGCAGCCCAGACCCCTTTGTTTGTGGTCAAGAGAGGCGGGAAAACAGGTGCAGGACTGCTACATTGGTGAGCATAACTAATCCGATAAGCAGAGGTCCATGGGTGGTTACGCACCCTGGAAAGGATCTCACCCCTGAGCCCAAAGGCAATGTTGGGCACGCTGGTAAAGGACCACTAGAATCCAGCAGCCCGGACCCCTTTCTTTGTGGTCAAGAGAGGCGGGAAAACAGGTGCAGAACTGCTACATCAGTTAGCATAACTAATCCAATAAGCAGAGGTCCATGGGTGGTTATGCACCCTGGAAAAGAATAAACATTAGGCCCTTAGAGGATGCTCTAGGACTAACGCTCGATGGAAAATGACTAAGGGTGCTGGCACCCCTATGTCCTTTTTTCAGATGGGAAATGTTCCCCCCACCCCAAGGCAGAAATGCCCCTGAGATGTATTCTGGAGAATTAGGACCAATTTGACCCTCAGACGCTAAGAAAGAAATGACTTATATTCTTCTGCAGTACCGCCTGGCCACGATATCCTCTTCAAGGGGCAGAAACTTGGCCTCCTGAGGGAAGTATAAATTATAACACCATCTTACAGCCAGACCTCTTCTGTAGAAAGGAGGGCAAATGGAGTGAAGTGCCATATTTGCAAACTTTCTTTTCATTAAGAGACAACTCATAATTATGTAAAAAGTGTGGTTTATGTCCTACAGGAAGCCCTCAGATTCTACCTCCCTATCCCAGCATCCCCCTGACTCCTTCCCCAAATAATAAGGACCCCCCTTTTACCCGAATGGTCCAAAGGAGATAGACAAATGGATAAACGATGAACAAAACAGTGCCAATATTCCCTGATTTTGCCCCCTCCAAGCAGTGGGAGGAGGAGAATTTGGCCCAGCCAGAGAGTGCATGTATCTTTTTCTCTCTCAGACTTAAAGCAAATTAAAATAGACCTAGGTAAATTCTCAGATAACCCTGATGGCTATATTGATGTTTTACAAAGGTTGGGGCAATCCTTTGATCTGACATGGAGAGATATCATGTTACTGCTAAATCAGACACTAACCCCAAATGAGAGAAGTGCCGCCATAAGTGCAGCCTGAGAGTTTGGCAATCTCTGGTATCTCAGCCAGGTCAATGATAGGATGACAACAGAGGAAAGAACGATTCACCACAGGCCAGCAGGCAGTTCCCAGTGTAGACCGTCACTGGGACACAGAATCAGAACATGGAGATTGGTGCCACAGACATTCGCTAACTTGCGTGCTAGGACTAAGGAAAACTAGGAAGAAGCTTATGAATTATTAAATGATATCCACTATAACACCCACTATAACAGGGAAAGGAAGAAAATCCTACTGCCTTTCTGGAGAGACTAAGGGAGGCATTGAGGAAGCATACCTCTCTGTCACCTGACTCTATTGAAGGCCAACTAATCTTGAATGATAAGTTTATCACTCCGTCAGCTGCAGACATTAGAAAAAACTTCAAAAGTCCACCTTAGGCCCAGAGCAAAACTTAGAAACCCTATTGAACTTGGCAACCTCGGTTTTTTATAATAGAGATCAGGAGGAGCAGGCAGAATGGGACAAACGGGATTTAAAAAGGGCCACCGCTTTAGTCACGGCCCTCAGGCAATCAGACTTTGGAGGCTCTGGAAAAGGGAAAAGCTGGGCAAATCAAATGCCTAATAGGGCTTATTTCCAGTGTGGTCTACAAGGACACTTTAAAAAAGATTGTCCAAGTAGAAATAAGCCACCCCCTCGTCCATGCCCCTTATGTCAAGGGAATCACTGGAAGACCCATTGCCCCAGGGGATGAAGGTCCTCTGAGTCAGAAGCCACTAACCAGATGATCCTGCAGCAGGACTGAGGGTGCCCAGGGCAAGCACCAGCCCATGCCATCACCCTCATAGAGCCCTGGGTATGCTTGACCATTGAGGGCCAGGAGGTTAACTGTCTCCTGGACACTGGCACGGCCTTCTCAGTCTTACTCGCCTGTCCCGGACAACTGTCCTCCGCATCTGTCACTATCCAAGGGGTCCTAGGACAGGCAGTCACTAGATACTTCTCCCAGCCACTAAATTGTGACTGGGGAACTTTACTCTTTTCACATGCCTTTCTAATTATGCCTGAAAGCCCCACTCCCTTGTTAGGGAGAGACATTGTAGCAAAAGCAGGGGCCATTATACATCTGAACGTAGGAAAAGGAACACCTGTTTGTTGTCCCCTGCTTGAGGAAGGAATTAATCCTGAAGTCTGAGCAACAGAAGGACAACATAGATGAGCAAAGAATGCCCATCCTGTTCAAGTTAAACTAAAGGATTCCACCTCCTTTCCTTACTGAAGGCAGCACCCCCTCAGACCCGAGGCCCAACAAGGACTCCAAAAGATTGTTAAGGACCTAAAAGCCCAAGGCCTAGTAAAACCATGCAATAGCCCCTGCAATACTCCAATTTTAGGAGTACAGAAACCCAATGGACAGTGGAGGTTAGTGCAAGATCTCAGGATTATCAATGAGGCTGTTGTTCCTCTATACCCAGCTGTACCTAACCCTTATACTCTGCTTTCCCAAATACCAGAGGAAGCAGAGTGGTTTACAGTCCTGGACCTTAAGGATGCCTTTTTCGGCATCCCTGTACATCCTGACTCTCAATTCTTGTTTGCCTTTGAAGATCCAATGTCTCAACTCACCTGGACTGTTTTACCCCAAGGGTTCAAGGATAGCCCCCGTCTATTTGGCCAGGCATTAGCCCAAGACTTGAGCCAATTGTCATAGCTGGACATTCTTGTTCTTCAGTATGGGGATGATTTAATTATAGCCACCCATTCAGAAACCTTGTGGCATCAAGCCACCCAAGCGCTCTTAAATTTCCTCGCTACCTGTGGCTCCAAACAAAAGGCTCAGCTCTGCTCACAGCAGGTTAAATACTTAGGGCTAAAATTATCCAAAGTCACCAGGGCCCTCAGAGAGGAACGTATCCAGCGTATACTGGCTTATCCTCATCCCAAAACCCTAAAGCAACTAAGAGGGTTCCTTGGCATAACAGCCTTCTGCCGAATATGGATTCCCAGATACAGTGAAATAGCCAGGCCATTATGTACATTAATTAAGGAAACTCAGAAAGCCAATACCCATATAGTAAGATGGACACCTGAAACAGAAGTGGCTTTCCAGGCCCTAAAGAAGGCCCTAACCCAAACCCCAGTTGTAAGCTTGCCAACGGGGCAAGACTTTTCTTTATATGTCACAGAAGAAACAGGAATAGCTCTAGGAGTCCTTACGCAGGTCTGAGGGATGAGCTTGCAACCCGTGGTATACCTGAGTAAGGAAATTGATGTAGTGGCAAAGGGTTGGCCTCATTGTTTATGGGTAATGGTAGCAGTAGCAGTCTTAGTATCTGAAGCAGTTAAAATAATACAGGGAAGAGATCTTTCTGTGTGGACATCTCATGATGTGAACGGCATACTCACTGCTAAAGGAGACTTGTGGCTGTCAGACAACCGTTTACTTAAATATCAGGCTCTATTACTTGAAGAGCCAGTGCTGCGACTGCGCACTTGTGCAACTCTTAACCCAGCCACATTTCTTCCAGACAATGAAGAGAGGAAAGAACATAATTGTCAACAAGTAATTGCTCAAACCTATGCCACTCAAGGGGACCTTTTAGAGGTGCCCTTGACTGATCACGACCTCAACTTGTATACTGATGGAAGTTCCTTTGTAGAAAAAGGACTTCAAAAAGCAGGGTATGCAGTGGTCAGTCGTAATGGAATACTTGAAAGTAATCCCCTCACTCCAGGAACTAGTGCTCAGCTGGCAAAACTAATAGCCCTCACTCAGGCACTAGAATTAGGAGAAGGGAAAAGGGTAAATATATATACAGACTCTAAGTATGCTTACCTAGTCCTCCATGCCCATGCAGCAATATGGAGAGAAAGGGAATTCCTAATTTCCGAGGGAATACCTATCAAACATCAGGAAGCCATCAGGAGATTACTATTGGCTGTACCGAAACCTAAAGAGGTGGCAGTCTTACACTGCCGGGGTCACCAGGAAGGAAAGGAAAGGGAAATAGAAAGGAACCACCAAGCGGATATTGAAGCCAAAAGAGCCACAAGGCAGGACCCTCCATTAGAAATGCTTATAGAAGGACCCCTAGTATGGGGTAATCCCCTCCAGGAAACCAAGCCCCAGTACTCGGAAGAAGAAATAGAATGAGGAACCTCATGAAGACATAGTTTCCTCCCCTCAGGATGGCTAGCCACCGAAGAAGGAAAAATACTTATGCCTGCAGCTAACCAGTGGAAATTACTTAAAACCCTTCACCAAACCTTTCACTTATGCATTGATAGCACCCATGAGATGGCCAAATTATTATTTACTGCACCAGGCCTTTTCAAAACTATCAAGCAGGGCCTCTATAGTGTGCCAAAGAAATAATCCCCTGCATTGCAGACCATACATTTCAATCCCTGTATCTTTAACCTCCTTGTTAAGTTTGTCTCTTCCAGAATTGAAACTGTAAAACTACAAATCATTCTTCAAATGGAGCCCCAGATGCAGTCCATGACTAAGATCCACTGCAGACCCCTGATCAACCTCCTAGCCCATGCTCCAATGTTAATGACATTGAAGGCACCCCTCCCGAGGAAATCTCAACTGCACAACCCCTACTATGACCCAATTCAGCAGGAAGCAGTTAGAGCAGTCATCAGCCAACCTCCCCAACAGCACTTGGGTTTTCCTGTTGAGAGGGGGGACTGAGAGACAGGACTAGCTGGATTTCCTAGGCCGACTAAGAATCCCTAAGCCTAGCTGGGAAGGTGACCGCATCTACCTTTAAACATGGGGCTTGCCACTTAGCTCACACCCAACCAATCAGAGAGCTCACTAAGAAGCTAATTAGGCAAAAATAGGAGGTAAAGAAATAGCCAATCATCAATTGCCTGAGAGCACAGTGGGAGGGACAAGGATCCGGATATAAACCCAGGCATTTGAGACAGCAATGGCAATCCCCTTTGGGTCCCCTCCTTGTATGGGAGCTCTGTTTTCACTCTATTTCACTCTATTAAATCTTGCAACTGCAAAAAAAAAAAAAAAAAAAGAAAAAATTTTTTATATATTTTGAGTATGAGTAATTTGCAAATATATGCATATTAACATCTTCTATACCTTGGCTTGCCTTCGACTCTTTTATAGGTGTCTCTGGATGAACACAAGTCCTTGCTTTTAGTATACATAATTATCCATCTTTTTCTATTTTCTTATGACTTTTTCTCTGTCTTAAAAGAAAGCTATTTAGCCAGGTGTGGTCACACAGACCCATAGTCCCACTACTCAGAGGCTGAGGCAGGAACATCGCTTGAGCCCAGGGGTTCAAGGTTATAGTGAACTCTGATCATGCCACTGCACTCTAGCCTGAGTTACAAAGCAAGACCTCATCTCTTAAACAAACAAACAAAAGAGCTTTGTCTATAAAGTTATACTATAATATGATAATCTAGAGGGTTTTTTTTCATCTTCCACATTGAGATCTAACTTCCACATAGGACTGGTTTTCAATTGATTTGCAAGTATAGTATGAGGTCATACTTTATTTTTGAGGGGTCTATATTTAAAAGACCATTATCTCATGCAGTAACACGTTTCTTATAAATCAAGTGACCATATAACTGTGTGTCTGTTTCTGCAGGCTCTATTTTGATCCCTTGGTCTATTTACATATCTTTGTGCTGTGACTGTAGCTTTACAATAAATCTTGATATCTGGTGTTACAAGTTTTCCAGATTAGTTTTTTGGAGACTATCTTTGCTGTTCTTGGATCTTTAAAAGTCCATGTACAGTTTAGGACTATTTTGTCAATTAAAGACATCCTTACCACCACCTCCACTGCCACCACCACTGCCACCGCCACCACTACCACCACTACCACCACCACCAAAGCCTGGCTGGGATTTTTTGGGAATTGAATACATACTTTAATTTGGAGAAAATTGATAGCTTTGCAATATAGGCTCTTTCAACTCACAAACATTATATATCTCTCTATCTGTTTAGGTTTCTTCAATTCATCTCAATTAAGTTTCGCAGTTTTCTGAATAGAAGTCTTCAATGTCTTTTGTAAAATATATTACTAGGTATTTGGTGTTTTTATTAGATGCAATTGTAAATGTTATTGCTTTTCACATATTATTTTCTTATTGTTTTGTGTTTATATATGGAATTATTTCTAAGTAGATGGTTTTTGTATATTGACTTTGTATCAGCAATCTTGCTGAATTTACTTTTAATTCAAATAGTTTATCTGTAGATGACTTTGGATTTTCTAGCCACAAAATTATATTATCTGGAAATATTTTCAACTTTATTTTTTCCTTTCCAATCCTTAAAACCTTTGCTTATTTTTCATGTCTTGTGCTGCTGGCTTGGTTCTTCAGTGTGAGTTGAATAGTAGTGGTGATTATCTTATTCTTGAGACATTATTGTCTTATTCCTGATCTCAGGGAGCTGGTATTCAATTTTCACCATTAAATATGATTTTTATTGTTTTGTTCTGAGATACACTTATTCAGATTAAAGAAGTTCATTTTTCTTCATAATTCATTGGAAGTTTTTATCATAAATTAGCATTGGATTTTGTCAAATGCTGTGTGGGGAAGTTTTTATTACAGATTTGATGTCTTTAGTACACACATAACAACTTATGTTTTCTGTTTCTTCTTTTGTCAAATTTCTGAAGTTGTGTTTTTTTTTTAATTATTATTATACTTTAAGTTTTAGGGTACATGTGCACAATGTGCAGGTTAGTTACATATGTATACATGTGCCATGCTGGTGTGCTGCACCCATTAACTAGTCATCTAGCATTAGGTATATCTCCTAATGCTATCCCTCCCCCCTCCCCCCACCCCACAACAGTCCCCAGAGTGTGATGTTCCCCTTCTGGTGTCCATGTGATCTCATCGTTCAATTCCCACCTATGAGTGAGAATATGCAGTGTTTGGCTTTTTGTTCTTGCGGTAGTTTACTGAGAATGATGATTTCCAATTTCATCCATGTCCCTACAAAGGACATGAACTCATCATTTTTTATGGCTGCATAGTATTACATGGTGTATATGTGCCACATTTTCTTAATCCAGTCTATCATTGTTGGACATTTGGGTTGGTTCCAAGTCTTTGCTATTGTGAATAGTGCTGCAATAAACATACGTGTGCATGTGTCTTTATAGCAGCATGATTTATAGTCCTTTGGGTGTATACCCAGTAATGGGATGGCTGGGTCAAATGGTATTTCCAGTTCTAGATCCCTGAGGAATCACCACACTGACTTCCACAATGGTTGAATTAGTTTACAGTCCCACCAACAGTGTAAAAGTGTTCCTATTTCTCCACATCCTCTCCAGCACCTGTTGTTTCCTGACTTTTTAATGATTGCCATTCTAACTGGTGTGAGATGATATCTCATTGTGGTTTTGATTTGCATTTCTCTGATGGCCAGTGATGGTGAGCATTTTTTCATGTGTTTTTTGGCTGCATAAATGTCTTCTTTTGAGAAGTGTCTGTTCATGTCCTTTACCCACTTTTTGATGGGGTTGTTTGTTTTTTTCTTGTAAATTTGTTTGAGTTCATTGTAGATTCTGGATATTAGCCCTTTGTCAGATGAGTAGGTTGCGAAAATTTTCTCCCATTTTGTAGGTTGCCTGTTCACTGTGATGGTAGTTTCTTTTGCTGTGCAGAAGCTCTTTAGTTTAATTAGATCCCATTTGTCAATTTTGGCTTTTGTTGCCATTGCTTTTGGTGTTTTAGACATGAAGTCCTTGCCCATGCCTATGTCCTGAATGGTAATGCCCAGGTTTTCTTCTAGGGTTTTTATGGTTTTAGGTCTAATGTTTAAGTCTTTAATCCATCTTGAATTGATTTTTGTATAAGGTGTAAGGAAGGGATCCGATTTCAGCTTTCTACATATGGCTAGCCAGTTTTCCCAGCACCATTTATTAAATAGGGAATCCTTTCCCCATTGGTTGTTTTTCTCAGGTTTGTCAAAGATCAGATAGTTGTAGATATGCGGCATTATTTCTGAGGGCTCTATTCTGTTCCATTGATCTATATCTCTGTTTTGGTACCAGTACCATGCTGTTTTGGTTACTGTAGCCTTGTAGTATACTTTGAAGTCAGGTACTGTGATGCCTCCAGCTTTGTTCTTTTTGCTCAGGATTGACTTGGCGATGTGGGCTCTTTTTTGGTTCCAAATGAACCAATTTTTTCCAATTCTGTGAAGAAAGTCATTGGTAGCTTGATGAGGATGGCATTGAATCTGTAAATTACCTTGGGCAGTATGGCCATTTTCACGATATTGATTCTTCCTACCCATGAGCATGGAATGTTCCTCCATTTGTTTGTATCCTCTTTTATTTCATTGAGCAGTGGTTTGTAGTTCTCCTTGAAGAGGTCCTTCACATCCCTTATAAGTTGGATTCCTAGGTATTTTATTCTCTTTGAAGCAATTGTGAATGGGAGTTCATTCATGATTTGGCTCTCTGTTTGTCTGTTATTGGTGTATAAGAATGCTTGTGATTTTTGTACATTGATTTTGTATCCTGAGACTTTGCTGAAGTTGCTTATCAGCTTAAGGAGATTTTGGGCTGAGATAATGGGGTTTTCTAGATATACAATCATGTCGTCTGCAAACAGGGACAATTTGACTTCCTCTTTTCCTAATTGAATACCCTTTATTTCCTTCTTCTGCTTAATTGCCCTGGCCAGAACTTCCAACACTATGTTGAATAGGAGTGGTGAGAGAGGGCATCCCTGTCTTGTGCCAATTTTCAAAGGGAATGCTTCCAGTTTTTGCCCATTCAGTATGATATTGGCTGTGGGTTTGTCATAGATAGCTCTTATTATTTTGAGATACGTCCCATCAATACCTAATTTATTGAGAGTTTTTAGCATGAAGGGTTGTTGAATTTTGTCAAAGGCCTTTTCTGCATCTATTGAGATAATCATGTAGTTTTTGTCTTTGGTTCTGTTTATATGCTGGATTACATTTATTGATTTGTGTATATTGAACCAGCCTTGTATCCCAGGGATGAAGCCCACTTGATCATGGTGGATAAGCTTTTTGAAGTGCTGCTGGATTCGTTTTGCCAGTATTTTATTGAGGATTTTTGCATCAATGTTCATCAAGGGTATTGGTCTAAAATTCTCTTTTTTGTTGTGTCTCTGCCAGGCTTTGGTATGAGGATGATGCTGGCCTCATAAAATGAGTTAGGGAGGATTCCCTCTTTTTCTATTGATTGGAATAGTTTCAGAAGGAATGGAACCAGTTCCTCCTTGTACCTCTGGTAGAATTCGGCTGTGAATCCATCTGGTCCTGGACTCTTTTTGGTTGGTAAGCTATTGATTATTGCCACAATTTCAGCTCCTGTTATTGGTGTATTCAGAGATTCAACTTCTTCCTGGTCTAGTCTTGGGAGAGTGTATGTGTTGAGGAATTTATCCATTTCTTCTAGATTTTCTAGTTTATTTACATAGAGGTGTTTGTAGTATTCTCTGATGGTAGTTTGTATTTCTGTGGGATCGGTGGTGATATCCCCTTTATCATTTTTTATTGCATCTATTTGATTCTTCTCTCTTTTTTTCTTTGTTAGTCTTGCTAGCGGTCTATCAATTTTGTTGATCCTTTCAAAAAAACCAGCTCCTGGATTCATTAATTTTTTGAAGGGTTTTTTGTGTCTCTATTTCCTTCAGTTCTGCTCTGATTTTAGTTATTTCTTGCCTTCTGCTAGCTTTTGAATGTGTTTGCTCTTGCTTTTCTAGTTCTTTTAATTGTGAAGTTAGGGTGTCAATTTTGGATCTTTCCTGCTTTCTCTTGTGGGCATTTAGTGCTATAAATTTCCCTCTACACACTGCTTTGAATGTGTCCCAGAGATTCTGGTATATTGTGTCTTTGTTCTCATTGGTTTCAAAGAACATCTTTATTTCTGCCTTCATTTCATTATGTACCCAGTAGTCATTCAGGAGCAGGTTGTTCAGTTTCCATGTAGTTGAGCGGTTTTGAGTGACATTCTTAATCCTGAGTTCTAGTTTGATTGCACTGTGGTCTGAGAGATAGTTT
The DNA here is from genome assembly GCF_000001405.40 of Homo sapiens. Taxonomy (NCBI): domain Eukaryota; kingdom Metazoa; phylum Chordata; class Mammalia; order Primates; family Hominidae; genus Homo; species Homo sapiens. Next base: position 88,409,162 of record NC_000006.12, on the reverse strand, counting down.
GTTATAATTTCTGTTCTTTTACATTTGCTGAGGAGAGCTTTACTTCCAAGTATGTGGTTAATTTTGGAATAGGTGTGGTGTGGTGCCGAAAAATATGTATACTCTGTTGATTTGGGGTGGAGAGTTCTGTAGATGTCTATTAGGTCTGCTTGGTGCAGAGCTGAGTTCAATTCCTGGATATCCTTCTTGACTTTCTGTCTTGTTGATCTGTCTAATGTTGACAGTGGGGTGTTAAAGTCTCCCATTATTAATGTGTGGGAGTCTAAGTCTCTTTGTAGGTCACTCAGGACTTGCTTTATGAATCTGGGTGCTCGTGTATTGGGTGCATATATATTTAGGATAGTTAGCTCTTCTTGTTGAATTGATCCCTTTACCATTATGTAATGGCCTTCTTTGTCTCTTTTGATCTTTGTTGGTTTAAAGTCTGTTTTATCAGAGACTAGGATTGCAACCCCTGCCTTTTTTTGTTTTCCGTTTGCTTGGTAGATCTTCCTCCATCCTTTTATTTTGAGCCTATGTGTGTCTCTGCCCATGAGATGGGTTTCCTGAATACAGCACACTGATGGGTCTTGACTCTTTATCCAATTTGCCAGTCTGTGTCTTTTAGTTGGACTAAATTGTAAATTTAGTCCATTTACATTTAAAGTTAATATTGTTATGTGTTAATTTGATCCTGTCATTATGATGTTAGCTGGTTATTTTGCTCATTGGTTCACGCAGTTTCTTCCTAGTCTCGATGATCTTTACATTTTGGCATGATTTTGCAGCGGCTGGTACCAGTTGTTCCTTTCCATGTTTAGTGCTTCCTTCAGGAGCTCTTTTAGGGCAGGCCTGGTGCTGAGAAAATCTGTCAGCATTTGCTTGTCTGTAAAGTATTTTATTTCTCCTTCACTTATGAAGCTTAGTTTGGCTGCATATGAAATTCCGGTTTGAAAATTCTTTTCTTTAAGAATGTTGAATATTGGCCCCCACTCTCTTCTGGCTTGTAGAGTTTCTGCCGAGAGATCTGCTGTTAGTCTGATGGGCTTCCCTTTGAGGGTAACCTGACCTTTCTCTCTGGCTGCCCTTAACATTTTTTCCTTCATTTCAACTTTGGTGAATCTGACAATTATGTGTCTTGGAGTTGCTCTTCTCTAGGAGTATCTTTGTGGTGTTCTCTGTATTTCCTGAATCTGAATGTTGGCCTGCCTTGCTAGATTGGGGACGTTCTCCTGGATTATATCCTGCAGAGTGTTTTCCAACTTGGTTCCGTTCTCCCCATCACTTTCAGGTACACCAATCAGACGTAGATTTGATCTTTTCACATAGTCCCATATTTCTTGGAGGCTTTGCTCGTTTCTTTTTATTCTTTTTTCTCTAAACTTCCCTTCTCGCTTCATTTCATTCATTTCATCTTCCATTGCTGATACCCTTTCTTCCAGTTGATCGCATCAGCTCCTGAGGCTTCTGCATTCTCCATGTAGTTCTCGAGCCTTGGTTTTCAGCTCCATCAGCTCCTTTAAGCACTTCTCTGTATTGGTTATTCTAGTTATACATTCTTCTAAATTTTTTCCAAAGTTTTCAATTTCTTTGCCTTTGGTTTGAATGTCCTCCTGTAGCTCGGAGTAATTTGATCATCTGAAGCCTTCTTCTCTCAGCTCGTCAAAGTCATTCTCCGTCCAGCTTTGTTCTGTTGTTGGTGAGGAACTGTGTTCCTTTGGAGGAGGAGAGTGCTCTGCTTTTTAGAGTTTCCAGTTTTTCTGCTCTGTTTTTTCCCCATCTTTGTGGTTTTATCTACTTTTGGTCTTTGATGATGGTGATGTACAGATGGGTTTTTGTTGTGGATGTCCTTTCTGTTTGTTAGTTTTCCTTCTAACAGACAGGACTCTCAGCTGCAGGTCTGTTGGAGTACCCGGCTGTGTGAGGTGTCAGTCTGCCCCTACTCGGGGGTGCCTCCCAGTTAGGCTGCTTGGGGGTCAGGGGTCAGGGACCCACTTGAGGAGGCAGTCTGCCCGTTCTCAGATCTCCAGCTGCATGCTGGGAGAACCACTGCTCTCTTCAAAGCTGTCAGACAGGGACATTTAATTCTGCAGAGGTTACTGCTGTCTTTCGTTTGTCTGTGCCCTGCCCCCAGAGGTGGAGCCTACAGAGGCAGGCAGGCCTCCTTTAGCTGTGGTGGGCTCCACCCAGTTCGAGCTTCCCGGCTGCTTTGTTTACCTAAGCAAGCCTGGGCAATGGTGGGCGCCGCTCCCCCAGCCTCGCTGCTGCCTTGCAGTTTGATCACTGACTGCTGTGCTAGCAATCAGCAAGACTCCGTGGGCGTAGGACCCTCCGAGCCAGGTGCGGCATATAATCTCGTGGTGCGCCGCCGTGTTTTAAGCCCGTCGGAAAAGTGCAGTATTCGGGTGGGAGTGACCCAATTTTCCAAGTGCCGTCTGTCACCACTTTCTTTGACTAGGAAAGGGAACTCCCTGACCCCTTGCGCTTCCTGAGTGAGTCAATGCCTTGCCCTGCTTCGGCTCACGCATGGTGCACGCACCCTCTGACCTGTGCCCACTGTCTGGCACTCCCTAGTGAGATGAACCCGGTACCTCAGATGGAAATGCAGAAAACACCCGTCTTCTGCGTCACTCACGCTGGGAGCTGTAGACCGGAGCTGTTCCTATTCTACCATCTTGGCTCCTCAGAATCTAAAGTTGTGTTTTCTAAAAAAATGTTTATTACATCTAAATGTTTGAGCCTATTTGCATATAGTTGTCTAGAATATATTCTGCATATGTGTGTACATATATATATGTATGTGTGTGTACATATATTTAGCTTTATTTATTGAGGTATAATTTACAAACAATAAAACCAATTTTAAGTATACTATTTGATGAGTTTTACTTCCATCCTTCTTAGTCTCCCATCTTGATTTTGGTTGGCATACTTTAAGACTTTTACCTGTTTTATTATTGTTATTAATTTTAATATTGATAAATTAGTATTTATATCTTAAGTGTACTTATTTACAAATTATTTTAATATTTGCATTTATATACCATATTTAAAACATTTATTTAGACTTTATTTTGATTGTTTCAAAATTTCCTTGATTCTATTATTTTCTCATTTCTTCACTTTTTTCTATTGCATATTATATCATTTTTGGCTTTTGCACATTTGAAAATGTCTCTCTGTTCTCTTTGTACATTCCTTATTTCTACTCAAGTATAAATTTGGGTATAGAATTCTTGGCCACAACTTTTTTCTTTTAATATATCGCGATTTGTTTCATTTTATATAACAGAAGAAAAATCTGAAAAAAAGAATTTATTTTTTTCTTTCTCAGCAACTTTTGTATTGACAGTTGTAGATTTTCTTCTGCTTTGTTCAACAATCTGCCAGAATATGTCTAAATGTGAGTCTCTTTTCATTGATTCTGCTTGGCATGCAGGGAATTTTCAGTCTTTAAATTCATGTTCCTTTACCTCAGTTAAATTTGCTTTTATTGTATCTTTGATAACCATTTTATTCTTTTTTTCTGGTGAGCTCGTATGAGCACTTGTTATGTGTTTCATTGCACACAATATCTATTAAATTTGTAAGATATTTTAAATGTCGAATTCCATTTTCTGTATGTTTTAAAAAGACAAACTTCATCTGATGCTAGTGCACTAGGGACCATCTCATTGATTGTGTTTTCAATTCATCTCAGTCTCCACTTCAGATACTGAAGATAAGAATATCTGCCTGCTTCCTCATTCTATTATCTACTACTGGACAGGAAAAGCTTGTTGCATTAAGAAGCCCCTCTTATTAGCTTTCATCAGTTTTATTCAGTAACATGTGAATTATTCAGCAGCAACTACTGAATATGTTTACCCAAATTGTTGAAATGAGTTCCAACAGAACTGGCTTCTATCTCTATTCCTTGTCTTTTGCATGCTTTTAGCCAAAACCCCATTATAACATATTTATGGTGACTTTTCTGATATCTCATCTTCTTTCTTACAATCTGGCATTGCTTCCTTAGGAAGATAGCTTAATATCTTTCATAATTCTATTTATATCTGCAATATGTCTAGCTGAAATTCCTTGAAGTTTGTGGCTCATAGATGATGCGCTTTCATTTTACCATGGCTAGGGTGAAATTTCTCCCACATTTCTGTCCCCTACATTCCACTAGTTTTTCCAGCCTGACTAGGGTGATGATTTCAAGAGATATTTAATACCTGGGCTCAAATTACCATCTTACCTGTTGGCTGCAAGATAAATCCCTTTCTTTCAACTTCTTTCTTCCTTTTTGTAGTGGTGGTTTATAATGTAACTTTATCTTGTTTTTATTTAACTCTTATTGGCTCCTCTCTAGTTTTCTGAGTGAATAATTTATCATAATTCAACAATTTGTTGTTGAACCTTCTGTTTTAGGAGCCATACATATTTGATATTCTTAATATCCTAAGTTATTAATGATATTAATAGTAAACTCCAATAGTTAACTCCAAATAGTTAACTGAAGATAATTACGAAGTCCAGCATAATCATTTTTCTTCATATTATCTGTATAAATTACATCGGCATGCTGCAATTCAGAGAAGGGAGAGAGTAATATAGGATGCACAAGGAAGCCTTCATGATTGATAAAGGACCCTTGAAACATATAAAATTTAGGCCTTAAAAGGTCTTTAAAGATAATTCAACTCAACTTAATTTTGTAGTTGAAGGGACTGAGGTGGAGAAAGTCAAAGTGACTTGCCCAAGTATGTGATGGTGACTTTGAACAGAGACAGAACAAAACTGTAATATAGGAGGATGCTCAATTTTTTGGTCTACCAATCATATTTTTCTTCTTCTGGAGAAAGCTCCATCTTTTTGGGAAATACTTTTAGGGAATTCTCTTTTTTTATTCTCCAACCACGTAACCCTATTGGGCCCTGCAAACCATACTGGCCTATTCCCATGCACATAAATATGACTATGTGACCTAATTTAGGCCATTCGGTGTCCTTCCACAGAATTTTAAACTTTAACCTAAGGAAGGCCTAATGCTCCTTTCTGTTGGCAAAGCTGGAAAGGGTTGAGCTGCAGAAGACCAAGTTTCCAATGTTATGTGCAAGTTCCCTGTAGAGAATGAAGCTGAATCACTGAGTATCACAGATGAAAAGTGAAGACAGTGGGTCTTGACAGCGTTTGGAACCCTGACTCCAGACATCTTATGGTCAGCTAGTTTCTACTCTGCCCTGGCCTTGGTTATCTGAGTTCAAAAAATGCCCTTTGGCTTAAGCTAGGCCGAGTATGATTTTAGTTACTTATAATCAAAAGAGTACTGGCCAATATGTATACCTTTAAGAATAGGCAGAAATTAAACAGATGGAGAAGGGCAGGGAGGAAATTCTAGGCAAGGAAGAAGCTGAGCCAAGCTTTGGAGGCCAGCATTTCATGCTCTGCTCTGACAGCTTGGTAGAATTAACACCTCAGCAGGTCAAGGATGACAGGGAGTGGAGAGTAAGAAGAGCACACAGAATTGGCTTCCTGGGGTGGAAACTTCTGGGTATCTCACCAGGAAGAGTGCTGAAAGGGATGGTAGGAGGGTGCAACACCGGGTTATCTCACAGTTTGGGCAAGAACATTCCTGACATACACACACTCTCTCTAACATCAGCAAATAATGGCAAACTAGATCAGACAAATACTGCACATTTTTCTTATCTAGCTCAACCATAAATTTCCTACTGAATTTAAAAGAAAGAAGCATTGACTCATCCACAGAGGGATGCAAGACCAAAAAAAGAGAGAGTTCACTATAATTAAGATTGAAAAATTGCTCCAGTATCATCTTATCTTTGGCAGTTCAAGTATTTCCAGTTTACTGTTCTGAGATCCTTTTGCTTATCAGTTATATTTTCAATCTTCTCATTGGAGTTTATTGTACTTGTATTTTATTGCACGCTTTACCCTGTACAATATAGTAGACTTCAGTGTGGGGTCCCTGTCAAGAAAAGAGGAAATTACTGATCCATGTAAGACAATCAAAATTGGAACCCTGGTGTCAGACACTGTGCAAGAGTGAAAGCTCATCTTCTCTAGCTGTCAAGACCCCGCTATTTCCTTAAAATTATTCAGCAGCGCAGATTTGACCATGAGACCACAGGAGGGATTGGCAAACCCAGAGATGCATGATGTGTTAGAATCATGTCAGCCTCTTTTCAGTTCTGTCACTGACCCATTTGTGCTCATGACTGCTTTAGAGTGGGCATTTTAGTCAGAGACCTAGTTTTCCTCTTTGCAATATAATGATAATGAAACTGTTCAGCCTGACCATGGGTTTTAGGAGAATGACTGAGAAAATGTTTTCTAAAATGAGAGTTATTTTAGTACGAGTAATGGAAGGGAACCGGGAAGCCATTACAAGCTTCCCACAGGCCATCAAGAGCTTTTTCTGTGACCATACTTCTAAGGGAAATGCCAGTCCTTGGAAAATCACTGGCTTTGTGATAGTTGCCTTGTGTCTTCTTCTCCTTAAGTTCGGCTTCTTGGCAAGCCCTTTTCTCAGACTTGCTATTAGTGCAGTTGTTCTATGATTTCTCTTCTCTTTAGCTACATCCCCCTACTGCCTTGGCTGTGCAATTTCTAACAGAAACAGAGGAAGAAAGGAACCCAGAGCCTTCCAGGTGTTGTTTGATAGTAGAAGAAATAATGCTCAAACTTTTGGAGCCACTCACGTAGGCTAACCAACAGTGTATTAGGTGTTTGTTCAGAAACATGGTTACAATTGGGCCATAAGTAGTAAGCAGGCAGCCTATTCATGGACTGAAACCATAGGATGACAAAGGCTGTACATGGTTGAGGAGGAATGGAGGAGCCTATGATCTGAAGGGCATGAGAGATGCCAAAAAGCGATTGGACGTGAACTGCTGGAATCTAAGGTTTTTTGTTATTTGGGTTTTTTTTTCCTGTATTCTTATTACTTTCTTTTTATGAAAAGAAAATTCAGCAATGAATCTAGTATGTGTTAAATGCAGAATAAGATTTTCTTTTTAAATTAAAAAATAAAGGAGCCAGGTGTGGCATGCACATCTGTAGCCCTAGCTACTTGGGAGGCTGAGGCAGATGGGTCACTTGAGCCTAGGAGTTTGAGGTTACAGTGAGTTATGATTACTCCATGGCACTCCAGCCTAGGTTACAGAAAGAGACCCTGTCCTTAAAAAATAATAAAATTAAAACTAAAAATTAAATAAATTAAAGAACAAAGGGAAGGATGCACGAATAAATATGTTTATTCCCCAAAAAACAGCAATAACAACAAAAAGCCACAAAAACTATATAGAGAAGATATGTCAACATTTGAGAAGTGCCCAATATTGAGTTCCCAGGGAAATTAGATAAATATCAGCTTATTACACACAATAGAAACTGGTGGGAAAGCCCAATGAAGATTTTCTACTTCTTCAGCCTTCATGAGTAAGTTAGGGAGATATATCTAGAAGAGCGAGGTTTATGTGAGTGTGTATCAGTTCACGTCCTCTGGGAAGCAGACAGTAAGATGGAGTTAGAAGTACAAAAGTGTACTTGGAGTAACACTTATTAAGGATAAAGGGAGAGGGAGCAGGAGTGGGCAGAGAGAGTCTTCATATTGAAATGTAGGTTTGGCACCTATGAAAGGAGAGAAGGAAGGAAGAAAGTTTGCATAGGAAGAGCCTCAGTTGGTGGTACCATTTCAAAAGTCCAGGCCAATTCAGTGCAGAGTACTGGTACAAAGACTCCCTGTAGCAGAATCCCATGTTGAGTAGAAATGTCCAGGATCTGGTATTTCTTCCATGCTCAGTTATTGACTAGGACTGCATGTGCCCTTGATTCAAACAGTACTGTAGCTCCTGAAGACACACTTCCATAGGCATTTCTTGGGAAATCTGAGTTTCTTCATGCAAAGCGTAGTCTTAAAATTTATTGTATGTATTTTGTAGGAGTCATTTCAGCAATGAGTCTAGTATGTGTTAAATGCAGAATAAGATTTTCTTTTTAATAATTTAGTAATAAATTTGGGGTAACAATGTTTTCAGAAGAGATATATAGAGCATTATCCTGTGCTACGGCTATCTACAGGAGAGCTGGAGTTGACATGGGGAGGAGGGAAGGTGTTATATAACAAATAGTCCATGGAACTGAGGACATCTGCTTCTGGATTTGATGGTGTCATTTATAAAATACCAAAAGGTCCCTTGACAACAACTAGAAAGCCAGAAGAAAAAAAAAGAAGAAGAAAAGCAAAAACTGTTATTTGAAGGGATTAGAGGTTGCAAGGCAGCCAGGACTTGAGAGACCAAGATCTAAGAGAGAAGAGAAGTTTACTGCAGCGAGAGGAATATTCTGCATGCTGCTTTTCCCCAGAGGTATTTTTCCAATTTGTGAAATGAAGAAAGAGGCTGAGGAGCTAAGCAGAAGTACAGGTGATTTCTCAGAGCTGGGGTAACAAAATGGAGTTTGGGCCTGATAAAGCAACCAGGTCTTGAAGGGCCAAGATCCCAGAGAGAAGGCAAGTACAGAGAAGTAAGTTCACATTTGGCACTAGTCTTCCCCTTAATGCATTTTGTGATTTAGAAACCAGGCAGGGCCAGAGGCTATGAAGCTGAACAGAAAGCAGCTAAAAAGCAGAGTGAAGTGGAGGGCTGTGTGTGTGTGTGTGTGTGTGTGTGTGTGTGTGTGTGTGTGTCTGTGTGTATGTGGCCGTTTTATGGTGCTAAGGAGATAAAAATTTGAGTCCAACACCTGCCAAGCCAAAACTGTGGATACTAGTAAATGCCCTAGGCTTTCAATTCGCTACACCCTAAGGATTAAGTAGACTAAATCTTCAAAGAATGTAACAATGATGTGTTCACTCTGTGCCAAAGGACATTGTAAATTCACTAGGGAGGGAGGTAACATTGTGACTTTACAATATTCCAAAAATGATTTTTGGCAGTAATAGGAAATTGCCACTCATATTAAGAAACAAAACAAAGAGAAAAACACACCATAGACAAAGACTTATGGGAATCCAAGCTATTTAATTTATCAGTCATACATTTTTCTCTTAAGAATTGCGATTGGTATATCTGAGAAAACAGACTATGAGATGGAAAATTTCACCAGATAATTAGAATCTATATATCAAAAAAAGACAAAATAGAATTCTAAGAACTGAAAAGTACAATAGCTATAATAAGGAACTCAGTATCAGATGGACACAGTTGAGAGGATAAGGGAACTGGAAGAGATGATAGTACAAAATATATAGACTGAAGCAGACATAAGCTACATGTTGAAAATTCTAATACATGTGCATCTGGAATGTCAGGAGAGAGAGAGAGAGAGAGAGAGAGGGAGAGGATGGAGCAGAAACAGTCTTGAAGAAATACGGATTAACAACTTTCCAAAATTACTGAAAATGTAAACATCAAGCTATAAATTCAGAAGCACTACAGACCCCATCCAGAGAAAATACAAAGAAAACTGCAACTCGGCACATCATAGTAAAACTGTTGAAAACTAAAGACAAAGGAAAAATCTTAAAAGTAGCCAAGGGGCAAAAAAAGATAAACTATCTTCAAAAGAGAAAAAGGAAGACGAATGAAAAGATTCTCAAGAGAAATATTGGGAAACAATAATATTACATCTTAAAGTGCCAAAAGTGAGTAAGTGCCAACTAGAATTTTAGTGAAGTAAAATAAAGACATGTCTAGACAAAGAAACACTAAGGAAAGACTGTAGCCCCAAATGAAAGCAAAGAAATGCAGGAAAAAATTAACAGCAAAAGAGTAAGTGAGAATATGAATAAATCTAGGTGAATATAGATTAAAAAACAACAATAATAACAAAGCCTTTGCATGTTTGCAATATATGTGGAAAATGTGTAACAACTATGCCAAAATACAGAAGCAAGCATGATAAATTTAAAGTGCTTTAAGGCTTTAGCTTTGGCTGATTATGTAGTAAAACTTTTCATTCATATTAGACTGTAGTAAGGAGGGATGTTGTAATTTCTGGGATAATAACTAAAATGATAGTAAAAAAGAAAAATTAAGAAACTAACAGAGGAGAAAAAGTGGAAGAAAAATACTTGCTCAATCCAAAAGAAGGCACAAAATATAAATAAAACAAATATAGGCCAAGTGTGGTGGTTCAAACCTGTAATCCCAGCACTTTGTGAGGCTGAGGTGGGTGGATTACATGAGGTTAGGAATTTGAGACCAGTCTGACCAACATGGTGAAACCCTGTTTCTACCAAAAATACAAAAATTAGCTGGATGTAGTGACAGGCACCTGTAGTCCCAGCTACTCAGAAGGCTGAGGTGGGAGAATCGCTTGAACCCAAGAGGCAGAGGTTATAGTGAGCCAAGATTGCACCACTGCACTCCAGCCTGGCCAAGAGAGTGAGACTCTGCATCAAAAACAATAACAAAAACCCATATATATATATATATGAGACAAAAAGAAAATGAATATTTAAAATTTTAGACAGAAACTCAAATATATAAATAATTGCATTCAAAATGAATGGACTAAATGTTTAAACTAAAATTCATGCTAGATGAAAAAGAAAAAAGCCCAATCGTATATTTCTTATAGGCAACACACTTTAACTATAAAGTCAAGTATATTTAATCAAAATTGGCTATATGCTGAGACATAAAGTAAGACTTAACAGTTTTAAAAGATTAAGACAATTCAAAGTATGCTTACTAAACACAGTGGAATTAAGCTAGAAATAAATAAATCACAATTAAAACAAAAAAACAAAACAAATAGGACATCCACAATGTTTTTCAAATAAAAAGGTATACTTCTATACAATCTGTGGATCAAAGAATAAATTAAATGAAAATAAGAAAGTATTCTAAACTTAATGATAATAAAATGTGACATACAAGTACTTTGGTATGAAGCTAAAGCTTGTTAGAAGGAAAATTTATGGGCTCATAAACTAATAAAAAGAAAAATGTCATAAAATAAATGATCTAAATATCCAGCCTAGAAAGTTAGATAAATGACAACAAATGAAATCTGAAGGAAGTAGAAGGAAATAAATTATACAGATAAAGTCAGAAATTACTGAAATAGAAAACAAATGTTTAGTAGAACCATCTGCATCTGACTCTTGAATTGTGTCTTATTTTTCTGCACAAATTGACATAAAAACATCACTAAAATTTGGCTATGAGATATTTGGCATTAATATGAGTGGAAAGCTAAATTTTATGTGAGAATAGATGTGAATTTGGTACTTTAAAATATATAAATAACAATAATTTTACAATAAAGTTACTGAAATAAAAATGTAAAGAAACCAGTTAATAACTTATGTTTCAGAATCTTGTCTGTAATGTACTTCGTGGTGTTCCTATAGTCTTTGATGTTTAGTCCTTGTTGTTTGAGGTTTCTCTTGCTCTGCACTCTTTGTGTGATTACAGAATTTATAGTTTAGAAAATATTACAGTTTATGAAAAAAAAGTTGAAGGAAGACAAAAGTCGAAGCCTTGAACAAATGCAACTGGTAACTTCCAGTCAAGGAAGAAAGAGAATAGGCACAAATAACAAATATAAGGACTAAAAAGAAGACATCAGTAGAAATCCTACATGTTACAAGAATAAAAAGATATTATAAGCAACTTTGTGCCAATCGATTAAAAAATTTAAATGAAATTGTCAAATTTCTAGAATCTCACGTCTTACCAAAAGATCTGAATGATCCTATGCCAATTAAATTAGTTTCTTGAATTAAAAATTGACTAACAAAGAAATCAATCCTCAAAGGTTTCACTGGCAGGTTTTACCAAATATTTAAGGAAGAAGTGACTTCAAGCTTACGCATCTCTTCAGAGAATATTTCCCAACTTTTTTGTAAGACTAACATTAGTTTTACACCAAAACATGATAAAACCTGATCAACTTTGTCATAAATTTAGATGCAAAAATCCAAAGCAAAATAGTAGCAATTCTAATCCATCTATAAATTAAAAGGTAATAAATTTCAACTACTTTGGGTTTATCTGAAGAATGTTTAGGTGTGGTTTAACATTTGAAAATCAATCAATACAATTAACTATAGCAACCAAATAAAGCAGAAATATAGTCATACAGTCATTTTAAGGAATATAGAAAAAACATTTGATAAATTCAACGCATATTAAAAACCTCTTAGCAAACTAGGAACAAAGGGAAATTTCTTTAATTTGACTAAGAAAGCCCAACAACATCCAGTAAATGTCAAACATCATGGTAAAAAACATACAGCTTTGTTTCTGAGCTATGCCATGAGATAAGGATGTCTGCTATCACCATTTCTTTTTTTTTTTAATTTATTATACTTTAAGTTCTAGGGTACATGTGCACAACATGCAGGTTTGATATACAGGTATACATGTGCCACGTTGGTTTGCTGCATCCATCAACTCATCATTTACATTAGGTATTTCTCTTAATGCTATCCCTCTCCCAGTCCCCCACCCACCGACAGGCCCTGGTGTGTGGTGTTCCCCGCGCTGTGTCCAAGTAATCTCATTGTTCAGTTCCCACCTATGAGTGAGAACATGCAGTGTTTGGTTTTCTGTCCTTGTGACAGTTTGCTGAGAATGATGGTTTCCAGCTTCATCCATGTCCCTGCAAAGGACATTAACTCATCATTTTTTATGGCTGCATAGTATTCCACAGTGTATATGTGCCACGTTTTTTAAATCCAGTCTATCATTGATGGACATTTGGGTTGGTTCCAAGTCTTTGCTATTGTGAATAGTGCTGCAATAAACATACATGTGCATGTGTCTTTATAGTAGCATGATTTATAATCCTTTGGGTATATACCCAGTAATGGGATTGTTGGGTCAAATGTTAACTCTAGTTCTAGATCCTTGAGGAATTGCCACACTGTCTTACACAATGGTTGAACCAATTTACATTCCCACCAATAGTGTAAAAGTGTTCCTATTTCTCCACAACGTCTCCAGCATCTGTTGTTTCCTGACTTTTTAATGATTGCCATTCTAACTGGCTTGAGATGGTATCACATTGTGGTTTTGATTTGCATTTCTCTGATGACCAGTGATGATGAGCATTTTTTCATTTGTCTGTTGGCTGCACAGATGTCTTCTTTTGAGAGGTTTCTGTTCATATCCTTTGCCCACTTTTTGATGGGGTTGTTTGTTTTTTTGTCTTGTAAATTTGTTTGAGTTCTTTGTAGATTCTGGATATTAGCCCTTTGACAGATGGGTAGATTGCAAAAATTTCCTCCCATTCTGTAGGTTGCCTGTTCATTCTGATGGTAGTTTCTTTTGCCCTGCAGAAGCTCTTTAGTTTCATTAGATCTCATTTGTCAATTTTGGCTTTTGTTGCCATTGCTTTTGGTGTTTTAGACATGAAGTCCTTGCCCATGCCTATGTCCTGAATGGTATTGCCTAGGTTTTCTTCTAGGGTTTTTATGGTTTTAGGTCTAATATTTAAGTCTTTAATCCATCTTGAATTAATTTTTGTATAAGGTGTAAGGAAGGGATCCAGTTTCAGCTTTCTGCATATGGCTAGCCAGTTTTCCCAGCACCATTTATTAAATAGGGAATCCTTTCCCCATTGCTTGTTTTTCTCAGGTTTGTCAAAGATCAGATGATTGTAGATGTGTGGTGTTATTTCTGAGGCCTCTGTTTTGTTCCATTGGTCTAGTTTTCTGTTTTGGTACCAGTACCATGCTGCTTTGGTTACTGTAGCCTCGTAGTATAGTTTGAAGTCAGGTAGCCTGATGCCTCCAGCTTTGTTCTTTTTGCTTAGGATTGTCTTGGCAATGTGGGCTCCTTTTTGGTTCCATATGAACTTTAAAGTAGTTTTTTCCAATTCTGTGAAGAAAGTCATTGGTAGCTTGATGGGGATGGCATTGAATCTGTAAATTACTTTGGGCAGTATGGCCATTTTCACGATATCGATTCTTCCTATCCATGAGCATGGAATGTTCTTCCATTTGTTTGTGTCCTCTTTTATTTCCTTGAGCAGTGGTTTGTAGTTCTCCTAGAACAGGTCCTTCATAGCCCTTGTAAGTTGGATTCCTAGGTATTTTATTCTCTTTGTAGCAATTGTGAATGGGAGTTCACTCATGATTTGGCTCTCTGTTTGTCTGTTAATGGTGTATAGGAATGCTTGTGATTTTTGCACACTGATTTTGTATCCTGAGATTTGCTGAAGTTGCTTATGAGCTTAAGGGGATTTTGGATTGAGATGACGGGGTTTTCTAAATATACAATCATGTCATCTGCAAACAGGGACAATTTGACTTCCTTATTTCCTAATTTTAAATATCCTTTATTTCTTTCTCTTGCCTGATGGCCCTGGCCAGAACTTCCAACACTATGTTGAATAGGAGTGGTGAGAGAGGGCATCCCTGTCTTGTGCCAGTTTTCAAAGGGAATGCTTCCAGTTTTTGCCCATTCAGCATGATATTGACTGTGGGTTTGTCATAAATAGTTCTTATTATTTTGAGATACATTCCATGAATACCTAGTTTATTGAGAGTTTTTAGCATGAAGGACTGTCGAATTTTGTCAAAGGCTTTTTCTGCATCTATTGAGATAATCATGTGGTTTTTGTCTTTGGTTCTGTTTATGTGATGGACTATGTTTATTGATTTGCATATGTTGAACCAGCCTTGCATCTCAGGGATGAAGCCAACTCGATCGTTGTGGATAAGCTTTTTGATGTGCTGCTGGATTTGGTTTGCCAATATTTTATTGAGGATTTTTGCATCAGTGTTCTTCAGGGATATTGGTCTAAAATTCTCTTTTTTTTGTTGTGTCTCTGCCAGGCTTTGGTATCAGGATGATGCTGGCCTCATAAATGAGTTAGGGAGGATTCCCTCTTTCTATTGATCAGAATAGTTTCAGAAGGAATGGTACCAGCTCTTCTTTGTACCTCTGGTAGAATTTGGGTGTGAATCCATCTGGTCCTGGACTTTTTTTGTGGTTGGTAGGCTATTAATTATTGCCTCAATTTCAGAGCCTGTTATTAGTCTATTCAGGGATTCAACTTCTTTCTGGTTTAGTCTTGGGAGGGTGTATATGTCCAGGAATTTATCCATTTCTTCTAGATTTTCTAGTTTATTTGTGTAGAGGTGTTCATAGTATTCTCTGATGGTAGTTTGTATTTCTGTGGGATCAGTGGTGACATACGCTTTATCATTTTTTATTGAGTCTATTTGATTCTTCTCTCTTTTCTTTTTTATTAGTCTTCCTAGTGGTCTATCAATTTTGTTGATCTTTTCAAAAAACCACCTCCTGGATTCATTGATTTTTTGAAGTTTTTTTTTTTGTGTGTCTCTATCTCTTTCAGTTCTGCTCTGATCTTAGTTTTTCTTGCCTTCTGCTAGCTTTTGAATGTGTTTGCTCTTGCTTCTCTAGTTCTTTTAATTGTGATGTTAGGGTGTCGATTTCAGATCTTTCCTGCTTTCTCTTGTGGGCATTTAGTGCTATAAATTTCCCTCTACACACTGCTTTAAATATGTCCCAGAGATTGTGGTACAGTGTGTCTTTGTTCTCATTGGTTTCAAAGAACATCTTTATTTCTGCCTTCATTTTATTATTTGCCCAGTAGTCATTCAGGAGCAAGTTGTTCAGTTTCCATGTAGTTGTGTGGTTTTGAGTGAGCTTCTTAATCCTGAGTTCTAATGTGATTGCACTGTGGTATGAGAGACAGTTTGTTGTGATTTCCGTTCTTTTACATTTGCTGAGGAGTGCTTTACTTCCAATTATGTGGTCAATTTTGGAATAAGTGTGATTTGGTGCTGAGAAGAATGTATATTCTGTTGATTTGGGGTGGAGAGTTCTGTAGATGTCTATTAGGTCCGCTTGATGCAGAGCTGAGTTCAGGTCTTGGATACCCTTGTTAAACTTCTGTCTCGCTGATCTAATATTGACAGTGGGGTGTTAAAGTCTCCCATTATTAATGTGTGGGAGTCTAAGTCTCTTTGTAGGTCTCTAAGGACTTGCTTTTTGAATCTGGGTGCTCCTGTATTGGGTGCATATATATATTTAGGATAGTTAGCTCTTCTTGTTGAATTGATCCCTTTACCGTTATGTAATGGCCTTCTTTGTCTCTTTTGATCTTTGTTGGTTTAAAGTCTGTTTTATCAGAGACTAGGATTACACCCCCTGATTTTTTTTGCTTTCCATTTGCTTGGTAGATCTTCCTCCATCCCTTTATTTTGAGTCTATGTGCATCTTTGCACTTGAGATGGATCTCCTGTATACAGCACACTGATGGATCTTGACTCTTTTCCAATTTGCCAGATTGTGTTTTTTAATTGGGACATTTAGCCCATTTACATTTAAGGTTAATATTGTTATGTGTGAATTAAATCCTGTCATTATGATGTTTGCTGGTTATTTTGCCCATTAATTGATGCGGTTTCTTCATAGCATTGATGGTCTTTACAATTTGGCATGTTTCTGCAGTGGCTGGTACTGGTTGTATCTTTCCATGTTTAGTGCTTCCTTCAGGAGCTCTTGTAAGGCAATCTGGTGGTGACAAAATCTCTCAGCATTTGCTTGTCTGTAAAGGATTTTATTTCTTCTTCATTTATGAAGCTTAGTTTGGCTGGATATGAAATTCTGGGTTGAAAATTCTTTTCTTTAAGAATGTTGAATATTGGCCCCTACTCCCTTCTGCCTTGTAGAGTTTCTGCCGAGGGATCTGCTGTTAGTCTGATGGGCTTCACTTTGTGGGTAACCCGACCTTTCTCTCTGGCTGCCCTTAACACTTTTTCCTTCATTTCAACCTTGGTGAATCTGACAATTATGTGTCTTGGGGCTGCTTTTCTCGAAAAGTATCTTTGTGGTGTTCTCTGTATTTCCTGAATTTGAATGTTGGCCTGCCTTGCTAGATTGGGGAAGTTCTCCTGGATAATATCCTGAAGAGTGTTTTCCAACTTGGTTGCATTCTCCCCATCACTCTCAGGTACACCAATCAAACGTAGATTTGGTCTTTTCACATAGTCCCATATTTCTTGGAGGCTTTGTTCGTATCTTTTTACTCTTTTTTCTGTAATCTTGTCTTCTTGCTTTATTTCATTAATTTGATCTTCAGTCACTGATACCCTTTCTTTCACTTGATCAAATCAGCTTGTGCATGCATCACGAAGTTCTCATGTCATTGTTTTCAGCTCCATCAGGTCACTTAAGGTTCTCTACACTGTTTATTCTGGTTAGCCATTTGTCTAATCTTTTTTCAAGGTTTTTCGATTCCTTGTGATGGGCTCAAACATCCTCCTTTATCTCGGAGAAGTTTGTTATTACCGACCTTCTGAAGCCTACTTCTGTCAACTCGTCAAAGTCATTCTCTGTCCAGCTTTGTTTCATTGCTGGTGAGGAGCTGTGTTCCTTTGGAGGAGAAGAGGTGCTCTGATTTTTAGAATTTTCAGCTTTTCTGCTCTGGTTTCTCCCCATCTTTGTGGTTTTATCTACCTTTGGTTTTTAATGTTGGTGACCTACAGATGGGGTTTTGGAGTGGATGTCCTTTTTGTTGATGTTGATGCTCTTCCTTTCTGTTTGTTTTCCTTCTAACAGTCACGTCCCTCAGCCGCAGGTCTGTTGGAGTTTGCTGGAGGTCCACTCCTGACCCTGTTTGCCTGAGTATCACCAGCAGAGGTTGCAGAACAGCAAATATTGCAGAACAGCAAATATTGCTGCCTGACCCTTCCTTTAGAAGCTTCATTCCAGAGGGGCAGCCACCTCTATGAGGGGTCTGTTGGCCCCTACTGGGAGGTTTCTCCCAGTTAGGCTACACAGGCATCAGGGACCCACTTGAGAAGGCAGTCTGTCCATCCTCAGAGCTCAAACACCATGCTGGGAGAACCCCTGCTCTCTTCAGAGCTGTGGGACAGGGACGTTTATGTCTGCAGAAGTTGTCTGCTGCCTTTTGTTCAGCTATGCCCTGCCCACAGAGGTGGAGTCTAGAGGCAGTAGGCCTTGTTGAGCTGTGGTGGGCTCCGCCCAGTTCGAGCTTCCCAGCAGCTTTGTTTACCTACTCAAGCCTCAGCAACGGCAGATGCCTCTCCCCCAGCCAGGCTGCCATCTCGCAGATCGATCTCAGACTGCTGTGCTAGCAGTGAGCAAGGCTCCATGGGCGTGGGACCCATGGAGCCAGGCACAGGAGAGAATCACCTTGTCTGTCAGTTGCTAAGACCTTGGGAAAAGTGCAGTATTTGGGTGGGAGTGTCCCATTTTTCCAAGAAGTCTGTCATGGCTTCCCTTGGCTAGGAAAGGGAAATCCCCTAACCTCTTGTGTTTCCTGGTGAGGTGACACCTCACCCTGCTTCAGCTCACCCTCCATGGGCTGCACCCACTGTCCAGCCAGTCCCAGTGAGATGAACTAGGTATCTGAGTTGGAAATGCAGAAATCACCCGTCTTCTGCATTGATGATGCTAGAAGCTAGAGACTGGAGCTGTTCCTGTTTGGCCATCTTGGTGCTATTACCATTTCTATTCAGGGTTGTATAAGGAGACCTACCAAGTACAATAAATCAAAGAGGAAAAATGGAGAGAGACTGAATAGAAAGAAAATTATCTAAATATGGAAGTAACATGATTATGTATGTAGAAAATAGAAAAGTCTATAGATAAATTATTAGAATTAATAAATTTATTAATGTTGCCAGATATAAGATCAATATATGAAAATCAATTATATATCTATAACAGCATGTAAAATAGAAAATGAACATTATTACCACAATAGCATTAAAACACAAATTCTTTTCTTTTATTTATTTATTTATTTTATTATACTTTAAGTTCTAGGGTACATGTGCACAATGTGCAGGTTTCTTACATATGTATACATGTGCCTTGTTGGTGTGCTGCACCCATTAACTCGTCATTTACATTAGATATATCTCCTAATGCTATCCCTCCCCGCTCCCCCCACCCCACGATGGGCCCAGTGTGTGATGTTCCCCTTCCTGTGTCCAAGTGTTCTCATTGTTCAATTCCCATCTATGAGTGAGAACATGTGGTGTTTGGTTTTTTGTCCTTGCGATAGTTTGCCAAGAATGATGGTTTCCAGCTTCATCCATGTCCCTACAAAGGACATGAACTCATCCCTTTTTATGGCTGCATAGTATTCCATGGTGCCCGTCTATCATTGATGGATATTTGGGTTGGTTCCAAGTCTTTGCTATTGTGTATAGTGCTGCAATAAACATATGTGTGTATGTGTCTTTATAGCAGCATGATTTATAATCCTTTGGATATATAGCCAGTAATGGGATGGCTGGGTCAAATGGTATTTCTAGTTCTAGATCCTTGAGGAATCACCACACTGTCTTCCACAACGGTTGAACTAGTTTACAGTCCCACCAACAGTGTAAAAGTAAAAACACCAATTCTTATGGGTAAATTGACCAAAAGATGTGAAGGGAAACTGTAGTTTCTATACAGAAAACCATAAAATATTATTGAGAATCATTGAAGAAGGTCTAAATAAATAGAGAAACATAGCATGTTCATAATTTGGAAGATTTAATTGGTTAAGATGTCAGTTCTCCCCCACTTCAAATATCTATAGTCTTATTGCAGTCATAATTAAAATCCCACCAGGTTAATTTTTTGTCAGATCTGAGAAGCTGATTCTCAAATATCTGGAAATACAAGGGGTGGCAAATGACAATAATGAAGAAGGAAAAAGCTAGAGAACTTATACTTGCAGATGTCAAGACTTAATATAAGGCCACAGTAATTAAGACAGTGTGGTGTTTGTGAAAAGACAGTTGAGTAGACAAATTGGAAGAATGGAGACCAAAAAGAGACACACACATGTATTCACAGAAATGACATCACAGTGCAATGGAGAAAAAAGTGGTCTTTTCAATAAATTATTTGGAGTCGTCTGCATATCCATAGTGGAAAAAATCAAATATTGACCCCTATCTCACTCCAAAGGCAAACATTAATTCTAGATAGATTGTTCATTGAAATGTGAAAGGCACAACATTAAAGCTCCTTCAAGTAAACTGGGAGTTATCTTCCTGACATTAGGATGGGCAAAGATGTCTTAAAAGCACACACAGATCACTGAATGTGAAGAGAAAGAGTACATTGGGCTACATTAAAATTTAAGAACTTCTAATTATTAAAAGCCACCATTAAGAGAGTGAAAAGGCAAGCATGAGAGAGAGAATTTCAAAACATGCAACTGACACATAATTCATATGCAAAATATATTCTAAAATTCTTAAAGTAAATAAGAAAAAGGCATGCAAACCAGTAAAACAAAAAAAAAACCAAAAACTTTATACAGGTCCCTTACAACAGAGACTATTCAGATGGCCAGTAAACATGAAAAAGGGTACAGAGTCAACAGGGCAATGCAAGTGGAAACCACTAGATACAACCACAAGCCTACCAGAATGGGTAAACTTAGACATGCAGACAATGTCATGTGCTGGCAAGGATGTGCAGTGTCTTGTACACTGTTGAAGGGAGAGTGCCTTGACACAATGCTTTGGAGAACTGGCAGTATCTACTGACACTGAACATGGGCATGTTCTGTAGTCCAGTAATTCCACTTTTAGGTGGGATACATGTGGGGTGGCACCAAAAGACAAGCCCCAGAATGTTCATAGAAATGTCATTTGTAATATCACCGAATTAGAAGCAATTCAAGTGTCCTTTAACAACATGAATGATTTTTTTAATTGTAGTCTATTTATACAATGGCATACTATGTCACTATGAGAATGAACCACTATCGCTACATCAATAATATGGATGAATTTCATAAGCATAATATTGAGTGGTATAGGTCAGACACAAGGGCATTTAAAGTTCAAAAATAAGCAAAATTAATCAGTCATGATAAAAGTCAGAAGAGTGGTTACGTCAAGAGGAGTTGTGGCTGGGGTAGGCAAGAGGGTGAGGACTTCTGGGGTGCTGGTAAGGCTTCATTAACCTGGTGGTGAGTTCATGGAGGTGTTCGTTCTGAAAATGCATTGTGCCGTATACTTAGAATTTGTTTACATTTTCATATGTATGTGTTGATTCAATAAAGGTTCACTGAAAAATATTTCATACAGCTGGTTTCCCATGGAATTTGTGGACGCTGCAATTGACAATATAAAGTGATAAGCACTGAGATTACTTTATGATACAGCCTCCTACTGAATTGTATTTCAGAGTTTGAGGAATGTTACAGTTGTTTGATCCAAATCCTTTCCACATACACAAAGCAGTTACATTGGAAACCTACCATTACTCTGTGAAAGTTTGAACCTCTTCCTTTGAAATCTTATTCAGGATTTGTCTAAAGGGCACACAAGAAAATGACCTTTTATAAAAAGTCTAAAATCATGTGTTTTATTTTTGTTCTATTGTTTATTTACTTCATTAGACTTTGGGTGACTCTAGGTTACTTCCACAAAGTATACAGATTTACTATCATAAGAATATTCAATAACATTACCTTTGAAATAAGAATATGTTCCCCAAAGGACTTCTTTGAAAGAGCACCATTACTGGGACTCCTGCATCCAATTGCCTTTCACAGCCTGTGAGCTTGCTAAACATTAAGGACATTAATTGTTGGTAATGCCTCATTAACCCAACATGTTTCCATCTTTAGTATGAACCCATATTTTACGTATGTCTTCAGACAACATTGGAGAAAGCAATGCCAGGTAGAATTAGCACTTTGGTCTTCTGAATACAAGGGCAGACAGCCTTCAGAGAACAGAAGGATGATAAAAAAAAATATATAAATAGAGTGGTAGTTCTCAAAGTGCAATCTCTGGGCCAGAAGCATCAGCATTACCTGGGTACTTGTTAAAAATACAAATTCTTGGGTTCCACTCCAGACCCACTCAGAAAGAAACTCTGGAGTAGGGCCCAGCATCTGTGTTTTAGTAAGTCCTGTGGGTGATTCTGATGCATGCTAATGTTTGAAAACTATGGGCATAAGGAAATGCTGTAGCAGGAAAAGTGAGGTCTTCAGAGTTAGCCTCAAACTTTGCTTTACCACTTCCTAGCTGGGTAATCTCTGGCAAGTCCCTTGATTTTGTTACTATTCAGTGTTTTCAACAATAAAATGGGGAGAATAATTGCTACAATTAATCAAGTACAAAATGGAGGTTTTTGATACATAGTACTATTGATACTATTCCTGTCAACAGTGCTAGTGCTAATACTACTGTTATTATTATTATAATTATTTTATAAATAAAATGAGTCTTGGAAATCTAGTTTTCACAGGAATAGTAAGAGGTAAAGAATTGTCCTTGGTCCATGTGATATCACAAAACAGTATCATAATTTTATTTGTTCGTTGGTGAAGCATATTAAAAAGTAAACTTGGCATTTTCAATTCATAGAAGACTTTCTTTGTTGTTGAGGTCGTTGCCAGGAGGCAGCTTATCCTGAATAAGACTCTGTTCAGTGTGAGACAAGTAGCTCATCCTGGGACTTTGAGGATGACACTGCCACATTAAAAGCAAATGCAATTTGAAGAAAATTGCTGAGTACGCTTCAAAAACATTTTTTTACACCTACATTTGTGCTTTCTTCCGAGTTTTAGTAGATATAAAGCCCAAAGAGTTGCCAGATCTCTCTACTGCTCAATTCTAAGCCATTCTTTCTGGTAAATGGCTCTGCACTTGTGAGATAGGAAGTTGGCAGGACTTGTTTCTCAAGACACAAGTCCCAAAGACACTGCTGATAAAACAGAATGTAGTAAAGAAGCCAGCTGAAACCAGCCAGAATTAAGATGGCAATGAAAGTGACCTCTGCTTGCCCTCACTGCTCATTATACACTAATTATAATGCATTAACATGCTAAAAGGAACTTTCTCACCAGTGCCATGACAGTTTATAAATGCCATGGCAGTGTCCAGAAGTTACCTTATATAGTCTAACAGGGGGAGAAACCCTCAGTTCTGGCAACTCTCTACCCCTTTTCTGGAAAATTCATGAATAATCTACTCCATATTTAGCATGTAATAAAGAAATAAACATAAATACTGATAGCCAATGGCCTATACACTGCTACTCTCTATACACTGCCACTTCAATAAACCTGCTTTCTTCCACTCCTGGCTCACTCTTGAATTCTTTCCTGAGCAAAGCCAAGGACCCTCCCAGGGTGAGCCCCAATTTCAGAGCTCTCCTATCCTGTGTCACTTGGAGAGCCCCCTCCCTGGGAAAAAAAGGAGCAGAGAAAATGACCTGGCTCTTCCCCGCTTCCTTTTTACACCCTGGAGCAAGTGTATCTGGCTCCAGTTTCTTCACCACACTGTAGAACATACGGTAGCAAATACAGTAGAGAGAAGACATTTTCTAGTTCATTTTTCTACCTCCCATTGTCTCTGCTTTAGTAGTAATGGTGTAGGAAGGAAAGTATAAACTAGTCAGGTACACATGTGACTCAACTTGAAAATTAAGTGAAGATGCCATGAAATGTTGACCAGATGTTTTAAAATTTATGTTCTTCTCTGTCTTGCACAGGCTCTGGGCCTGAAAACTGTCCTTTAGCCTAGTAGACATGGCACTGATGGACAATGACTCTTCCTTTGCTTTTAGATTCCTGTTACTTTTCCTTTCTTCTCTTCCCCCTGCCTCCCCAACAGCCTCTCTTATTCCAATAGAAATGAGAGAAAAAATTAGCCCCTTGTAGCTTCTGCTTTAAAAGATAAAGACAGCTTAATTTCCTTGAGATTCTTACTCCAAGAGCAAGTGTATAAAATCTCATGCACTCAATGCGTTTTATTTAATGCATTTAATTCATCAAATTGCTATGTTTACATACAAGTTAATTCATGATACTGTGCAAATTAAAGAGCTTGTCAAAAAAAAATGAAGGCTTTCAAATTAGTCTGAGAGGTACCTATTACTCATTGAATCAAGGAGCCAATCATTGCATACTTCAGTAATGTCTTTTATATATTCAACATTGTCGGAGGTTTTTACAAACCCCACGTTACATGTCACTCTCAACACATGGGTACCTTACTACTCACACATGGAAACCTGCTCATTTTCAGATAAATGTGATTTTTATGTTACTAGAATTTCACTTTCAAAGCATACTGCCATATTGGTTGGCTTTGAATGATATTAAATATTTCCCAAACTTAGAAATGGCACAAGTGGTCCATATCATGGATGCGCATCTGCAAACAGACACAAAGTTAGATGTGTGTTGTGACACCATGCTCATGCACATTGATATGTATGTACATTTTTGCACAGGTGGTATGTGGGCTGAAGGTGGCTACAGGAGACAGAGCTTCTGAGCATTCATCTAAGAAGATTGGGGTTCTGAGAAGAGCAGGACAGGCAGGCAGGATGACATAGTGTGAAAGCATTCAGCTTTTTCAGAGTTGGATTCATTGTGCGGCTTTTTCATTGAACTTACAGATGAGCGATTTCCTCTATATTTGTATGAAGGACACAGGAGTAGAAGGCTACCCATATGCTAGCACACAGATCCACACACTAGTCATAGTGATTCACACGGCGTATGGAAGATGATACTACCCCTCCAGGGGACACTGAGAACCATAGGGGGCCATTTCCAGTTGTTGCATTTACTGAAGGATGGAAGGTGCTCCAGCGTTTAGTGCCAGCATCTGGAGATGTTAAAATTCAACAATGTCCTAAACAGTTCTGAAAAACAAGAAGTGTCATACCAAAAACATAAGTTGCACTTTCTTTGAGAAACAGCAATTTTTTTGTTCATATCCATTGATTGCTCCCACCTTGGGATCTTGGGATCTCAAATAGTTGTTATGAGTTGTAGGAATCTGTAACCTACAGTTGTTATTTTCAATTTCAAGCTTGTCCAGGCTTCTTTACTGACTTCCAGAATCATTATCAAACTGCTTATTCTAATCTCTACCTGGATGTCCCTGAGGACATAATTCAACATATCCCAAATCAAACTCATTCTCTTCTCCCTCGTACCTTCTCTTTATCAACTATCCTCTATGGTGGTAAATTTCACTGCCATGGCAGTCAAGTGAAAAACCTGGGGATCATCCTAGGTATCTTCCTCTCCTCACCCTCAGATGTAATCAGTCACTGAATCTTAGTTTTCTGCCCCCTTAGTTTCTTTCATTTTTGTCACTCTTTTCTTCAATCCTGCTGCTACTGCCTTAGTTTGGCCGCTTCTTATCTCTCATCTGAACTGTTTTGTTAGAACTGGTCTCCCTTCTTCACTGCATTAGTTAGGAAACTTTGGGTTGCAAGTGACAGAAAACTCAACTAAATAAGCTTATACAATTGAGAAATCTGAAGGCCCAGGGACAGCTCAGTCCAGATCATAGAAATATATAATGAGAGCTCTGTCTCACTCCATCCTTATACCCTAGGACTTTCCGCTGTGCGACTCCATCTAGGCAGGCTCTCCCAATGTGCATCATGGTGGCAGCTCAGTTCCAGGCTTACAGCCTGTTCTTGCCATCTCAGCTGAAAGAGACAGCCTCCTCTTTAACTGCTTCAGCAAAATCCCAGGATGGGCTGTCCTTTGCTCTTACCCAAATGAGCCAGAAAAAGAGTTAAGAGTTAAGTTATCCTACACAACCCCCATCAATTGTGCATGGGGAGCAGTTAGTTTCTCAAGAAAAATACAGGTTTTGTTAATAGAAGAGAAAATGTGTACTTGGGCGTATATATTTATTAAACCTCTCTCTAATCCAGCCTCTATCCATGGACCACCCCCAGAGTGATCTTTTCAAGCATACGGAGTCATGTCTTTGTCTTGATAAAATCTTTCCATAACTTCCCATTGCCTACATGATAAAGTCTAGACAAGCATGAGCAGCACTCCAAAGATCTGACCTCTGCATACTTCTTATGCCCTTCTCTCATCTGCTCTCTACTATGTCTTAGCTCCAAACATTGAGATTCATCAAACACCTCACACTGTGCTGTGCCTTGAATTTGCTCAGAAGGCTACACCCTGTTTTTCCACTGAGAAAAATAAGTAAATATCTATTCATTACCTCCTCTCTCCTATTCCTTTTCCCATACTCTCTCATCTTTGCATCTCTACTAAACCTGAGACTCATACCGGAGCGCCTGTGACCCAGTCCTATCCTGACTGGTCTGTCTTTCCTTTCCAGACTGTCACTCCTTAAGGCCAGGGATAGACATCTGTCTTTGCATCCCAAATACCTAGCAAGGTGCATGGTCCATATTTGACACCAATAACTGTCTAGTGAAAGACCAAGTCAGTAAAATATAATAAAAACATGTTCATCATTGATAAAGCCAAAAATGATAGGAATACAATTTTTGACACTCAACAAATTAAGACACATGGGGAAAATAAATCAAAAGAGGTTCTTAGTGCTGGAGAGGAAGTGACTATTTTGTGTGGAACCTCCAATTACGGTATTATGTAGTGGACCACTTTGTTAATTCGTTAAATGATCATTAGTTCGAGGGGAATATTTGGTAACATAATTTGGTGATAACTGTACTTGAGATTTATGTTTATATAATCATGATGGCTTGAGAAAGTTTCCTAAAATTACTTGCATTTACTTCGTTAGTATTCCCAACAACTTTAGGCAGAGAGCAGATTGCAGTGTATGTAAGGGCAGTGAAGCTATGAGCATTGATTGCTTTGTCTTCTAAATCTAAAATCTTCTGTAGGGGTGGGTTGCCCCTACACACCTGTGGGTGTTTCTCGTAAGGTGGGACGAGAGATTTGGAAAAGAAAAAGACACAGAGACAAAGTATAGAGAAAGAAATAAGGGGAACCGGGGAACCAGCGTTCAGCATATGGAGGATCCCGCCAGCCTCTGAGTTCCCCTAGTATTTATTCATCATCTGTGGGTGTTTCTCGAAGAGGGGGATGTGTCAGGGTCACAAGACAATTGTGGGGAGAGGGTCAGCAGACAAACACGTGAACAAAGGTCTTTGCATCATAGACAATGTAAAGGATTAAGTGCTGTGCTTTTAGATATGCATACACATAAACATCTCAATGCTTTACAAAGCAGTATTGCTGCCCACAGGTCCCACCTCCAGCCCTAAGGCGGTTTTTCCCTATCTCAGTAGATGGAGCATACAATCGGGTTTTATACCGAGACATTCCATTGCCCAGGGACAGGCAGGAGACAGATGCCTTCCTCTTGTCTCAACTGCAAGAGGCATTCCTTCCTCTTTTACTAATCCTCCTCAGCACAGACCCTTTACGGGTGTCGGGCTGGGGGACGGTCAGGTCTTTCCCTTCCCACGAGGCCATATTTCAGACTATCACATGGGGAGAAACCTTGGACAATACCTGGCTTTCCTAGGCAGAGGTCCCTGCGGCCTTCCGCAGTTTTTGTGTCCCTGGGTACTTGAGATTAGGGAGTGGTGATGACTCTTAAGGAGCATGCTGCCTTCAAGCATCTGTTTAACAAAGCACATCTTGCACCGCCCTTAATCCATTTAACTCTGAGTTGACACAGCACACGTTTCAGAGAGCACGGGGTTGGGGGTAAGGTTATAGATTAACAGAATCTCAAGGCAGAAGAATTTTTCTTAGTACATAACAAAATGGAGTCTCCTATGTCTACTTCTTTCTACACAGACACAGTAACAATCTGATCTCTCTTGCTTTTCCCCACATCTTCCCAGAGTGTGCTGTTTAGATGGAAACAACTACCAAGCACTCAGGCTAATGGCCAAGGTCATATTTTCAGGGAGGCAGTAGTACAGCTGTGTCCAGTGCCCTAGGCAGGACTTGAAAGAGCCCTGGTGTGCCTCCCCATCACCAGGGTTGGGGGAGCCCCTCCTCCACACCACAGGTCTGCTTTGAACAATGTTCCAAAGAAAGCTCCCCCTTGAAGAGTGAATGCTAAATAATACCTTCTTTTCCCCTCTAGAGGCTCAACTCAAATACCATTTTTTATTAGGACTTTGCTAAGAATTTAGGGAGAGCTAAATTTGGTTTTTATCGGAACAATGAAAGCTCTAGATAATGGGGATCATGGCTGTATTTCTGAATAATTGTGTCCTGAATTGACTGTCTCTAGAGTTCAAATTCCTCTGGAAAGTGCCAGCCCTTGATTTCCCTGCACTGAGCCATCATCTGTGCTAAGAATGGAACTCAGGTTTCTTAATTCCTCAGCCAGAACTCCATCTATTAGAACACTGTGCCTCTCAATTATGTCTTAAATTAGGCATATAAATGAATTCACTCACACTCTTTCTGCCTACCAAGTTTCTGCAAAGGAACTTATCAGTGCTTCATAATATACAGTTGGGAGAATTTCCTTAGCTCTCCAGTTAAACTCCTACAGACTCCAGGAGTGGGAGAAACTGAGATTGAAAAGCTCAAGTCTCCTTGAATCTTCTAAGAGCTGCACAGTCACTGCCCCGCCCTCACACCCATCATCAGTCAGACATGAAACAAAGGAAATCCTCCCAGTCCTAGGCTAAACCCCATCAGAGAAGTTAAATGCTTAATCTGTTAGCCCAGCAAGTTATAAAGATATTTTACAAGTGTGGAAAGGAATATGCCTGCATGCAACTGCACGTTTTTCTTTGCCATGGGTGGAAATCTAAACGGGGGCTCTGCCTTATCCCCAGGCCTGTCTCTCAATTGCACCTGTCCAATGGAAGAGTGAAGAAAGGGCTTTAATGAATTAGAGCAAATTGCTTGGCACTGCTCTGACCTGAGAGCTGAAGGGAGTTCGGTGGCAGAGTGCCTTTTATTTTTGATGAGCTCTTGCCTATCTTTTAAATGTTCTTTTTCTTTTTGGTCACTTGAAGCTCTAGTGCCTGTAGGGGGGAGGGGGAGCCACAAAACAAACTCAAAGGAGAATATAAATAAATATCATTTGGAATCTTGCATAATATCAGCCAATGGCAACAGCAGGTTTTTGACAGGCCTGTGAACTTCCCCAAAACAACATCCTGCCAGCCTGGCTGTGATTCAGGCATGAGTCAATGCTGGGAGATGGGCTGCTGCCAGCCCGCTTCCCCAGCTGAAAACTCTCCCCCAGGCCCGTCAGTCTATTAACATTTAGAATCTGGGCTGGACTGACTTGTTATTAACAGTGCTGGTACCCCTCAAGGTAATCACACAGGGAAATCTTTTCTTCCAGCATTGGGAATGTAACTACAAGGAAGAAAGAAAGAAAGATGCCTCTTCATCACAATATGATCTTTGATACAAAGGGGGTCAGTACACAGTTTTTACAGCTGACACAATTATTTTAGACTGGAGAAAAGCTCTTTCCACACCCCCTGGAGTCTTGTTATAATGAGGCCCAGGCGTGCTATCACCTTTTTGTAATCCCAAAGAGGAATGGTGACTGCTGAACTGGGAGGAGATGTCACCAGGGTTGTTAGAGTCCCAAATGCTGTGGAAATAATTTTCTACTGTTATTAGGAGACTACCTATCACAGGCACTTTTCTCAAAGACTGCTTTTCACTTTGAAATTATGGATGTGCTTCAAAGAGCAATTCTCACTCTGTGCACACGAAGCAGCAATCACAAACTCCCCAGAACCCCCGCAAAACCTGCCACCTTGCTGAATGAGAGATGTGGCCTTCCTGCTAAATGCCCATGGAGTCTTCGGAGCTAAGAAACCACAACACAGTCGTAATTTTGCAGACATGGACTGAGAGTGGGGCTATCAGACGTGAAACTTTCTCCAACTAATTATGCAGGCTGGAGTGAGACATAATGGGGAGAAAACAATATTTGTGGTCAGTTTTTTTCCCCGTCATTGCTTTGTGCTTGAACTAGGGATCAATTTCTAAAACCAGGATCAGGGAGTCTTCTCCCTTCTTAAGGATGAGTTATTTACTCTCCTTTCCTTTAACCTTTTAACCAGCTACTAAAGAGTTTATGTACCACTCACGGTGCTTTTGTTAAATTATATTTCTCCACTGTGGAAAATGCAATGTAACTTTTGATATTCTTACATCCACCGAGAATCCAGAACAGGGAGTTTAGGATGTACGAATCCTGTCTTTGCCTTTGGTTCTTTAGCGATGGTTTTATAACTGCTTTTTCATCCATCCACAGTAGAAGGAACAAAACAAAACGGACTAGCTGGCAAAATTCCTTAAATGGATCATTTAAGCACACCTTAGAAAACTGCAGGTGTGGAAATGGAAAGTTCAGCCCAGGAGGATATTTTGGAGTTATGGTTCTTGCCCATTCCTTTTTTTTTTTTTTTTTAAACAAAACAAAACAAAACAAAACACACACAAAAACAGCTTCTCTTGGCACCTTGAACATCACTTGTCTTGTGGGAACACTTGTCCCTTGTAAAGAAATGACTCAGGTGTTAAAAAAAGTTCTTAAAAAAGTGGCAATCTTGCACTCACAGAAGATGGGGCTGTAACTACAAGATTATGCTGGGAGAGATATGACGGCTGTCAGTGGGCTCTCACTTCCGAAGCAACTTCCCTGCAAGTTATGCCCACATCTCCTGCGCCAGCCAGCGTGTGGGTGTGAATGGGCTTTCTCACAAATGCTGGCCCTAGTTTTTTGTTTTTGAAAATTTAGCCTTTGCTGTTTACTCTAGTTTCAGACATGATATTTTTCAAAACCAAACTTGGGATCTACAAGATCTTTTCTCTCCCTTTCAAAACCCTAACATAACTTTGGCCATGGAAATCAACCTTGTTCATCAGTAGTTCACAAGCCGTCAGATGACCAAGAGCACACTGACAATAGTGACACCCAGCCAGTGAATTCCAGCCCAGATAAATGCAGCATCATTACTATCGCTGCATTTATCTACTACCTGACTCTCCATTGGTTTTCTGGCCTCAGTCTTTGCAGCTGCCTCCTCTTCTCTCCCTCTTGATGGCCGCAGATCTCTGCTTATCACCCGTTTCCATGCTGGCTTTGTCTGCTTCTTTGTAAGCTCTTGTCTGAGCAGTTTCCGCAGCATGCGTGGCATTGTCAGGGTCTACTGGATAAGCGGCCTTGCCTGCTTCAGTCATTCTGGGCCTTCTTTGTCTTGTTTCCTTTTTGATGGCCTAATTTCAGACACATTCTGACAAAGGACTGTTTCAAAATAAACAGGCGATATGGGTGTGCTATTGTTCCATGCACTGCCAGATTATTATTTTTTAAATGTATTCAGTGCATGGATTTATCATGTAAACTCCTATTGAAAACCATTGCCCCCAGCAAGGATTTGAGCATTTGGGTAATTTCCTGAAATTCTCAAGTGTGTGTATTTGTAGTGTCTTTCTTCCCCCACTTTAAATGGATGCAGCCATGTTGGAGCAATTCATAAACAATATTGATTGCATGAAAGCACAAAACTGCCAATTTTGATGCTTGCTCCTCATCTCCTGCAGGAGACCCTAATCTCTAAGAAGCGCTCCCTTTTGCTAAGGGTTCAAAAGGAGCAAAGCATTTGTATTCACATATAACAGGATCTAAGCTTCAATAATATTCTGTCAATTTTCTTGGTGTCAGTGTTGTGTCCATTTGGGACTAAAAGCTGGAAAATTATTCTACCTGTGAAAACACGTGCATTTCTTCCTAACTCAGCAGAGTCAGGCATGAATGCAATAATGCATATATATTCAAACATGGACTGTGCTGCCTCCTTCTATATCACTTGATTTGGTAATCTAATACACTTCAGGACTTTAGTAACTGAAATTGTTTGGGAACTTGATTTATTGCCTAAAATCTGTGCAAGGCAGTGCCATTTAAAGATCTTCTTCCTTTCCTTTAGGGTTTTATCCTTTGAATAAATAATTCAGCTTAATAACTTCTATGATCTGTGAGGTTAATTGACCTGAAAAGAAACTTTCTACTGGTTTAATGGAACCCATCTTTGTATGCTTTTCACTGAGTTACCCAGTTTTTTCTCTTATTTTTTCCTCTTGAGCCTTGTATTTCCCAAAAGATTAATTTTGTTTCAAAAGCCACAACCACATAACAGTGTGGTTCACATCTTGTAATGTCTTTGGAATGCAGGGGTCATGGTTATTATCCAAAGTTCATTTTTGAAAACTACACTTGCTGTGGTTTTTGGGAAGCTCTGCCTTATAATCCAAGCATGCATTAACATATAAATATACAGTCTCAAATCATCACTGACCTCTAACAAGAGTCTAGTATTTTTGGTAATTGTGTATTAATGTGGACAGCAATAAAAATTCTATAGTTTAAAACCAAGACTGGTTGATTCCAGGAATGATATTTTAATAAAGGGCCCACTGAATGTAGGACAGATGCTGGGTGTTATGCTAGGCTGGTAGCTGAATCTTGGATCAAACACAACTTTGGGATGACTCATACATTTTACTAATTTATAAGTGTAGCCTTCCTTGAAATCCGAATGTAAAGACCAGCGTCCTGATCTATGAAAGTGAATATAACCTTGAATTCAGAGAAAATAATTCTCTATTCACTGAATAAAGAATCCCTAAGCTTATCACTTCTTCCTCCCACATCTTCCAGCTTTTTATTTTCTTTGAGTTTCACATGGGGGACTATGTGAAGCTGAAAGAATAAATCTGACTCCTGGAGATTTGTATAGCAATAAACAATAAAACCTTATCTGGACAGCCAACAGAAAATGGTTGGACAGCAAATTTATTTAGAAACAGCATCAGACTACCCAAGTGGGCATGTGGGATTTTGCTCTGAGGCTGCCTAGGATACAACAGTGTGTGATGGACAACTGGGGGAAGTATTCTCGTCCCTCTGCTCACATCAGAAGCTTCTAGTCCTTAGTTATTCACTGTGGCCTGTCTTTATTCACCTGCCCAGAGCTCTCCTCTCCACCTTATTCTGTGGCCATGCCTGAGAGGACCCATCTGTCCGTTGCAGAGGTGCTGAATTCCCTTTCACTCACTTTTTCTACTGCTAACCTCTGATTTTTTACACTTGCATATGAAAATGATCTCACTATAAAATTATAGAGAAAAACAGGATACAAAATTGTACTTCTGAAAAAAATCCCAAGTACATAAAAAGTGACTATATTGGAAACAAATACATCAACATATTAGAAGTCATTGTCTGTATTTTGATCTTCATACTTTTCTCTAGTTTCCTTTTTTTAACCACAAACATATATTACTTTTACAACTGTATTTTTTTCATATAAAGTATATCAGATACAGGCTGAGCTCAGCGGCTCATACCTGTAATCCCAGCACTCTGGGAGGCCAAGGCAGGTGGATTACCTGAGGTCAGGGGTTCAAGACCAGCATGAACAACATGGTGAAACCCTGTCTCTACTAAAAATACAAAAAATTTAGCTGCTCATGGTAGCAGGCACCTGTAATCCCAGCTACTTGGAAGGCTGAGGCAGGAGATTTGCTAGAACCCGGGAGGCAGAGGTTTCAGTGAGCTGAGATCACACCACTGCACTCCATCCTGGGCGACCGAGTGGCATTCTGTCTCAAAAAAAAAAAAAAAAAGTACATAAGGTATATCTTGGGATATATCAAATCAAATTAAGGAAACAATACAAATTTATGATTACAAATTATAATCTTTTGCCTCCTTTAAAGTTCAATGAAATAATTAAAGGGAAGAAGTGAAACTTTTAAGGTACTATTAACAATTTAACATTCCTGGTTTCTATGGATTATGGATTTCACTTAATAAAACAACGGTGTAGAGTGGGCTGAACATTGTCAGTGGTTTTCTCTGACAAAATAAGTGTAGGTAGGGGAGTCTTTGGCAGAATCCACACTGCATGTTGTTGTAAAAGAGCATCTCAGTGGCCACAGTGGGATTCTCTGATGGTCACACTCATTGATTGATAACAGAAAGGGGTCACACTGGGAAGGAGGAAAGAGAACAGAGTGGGAAGAACTGGTGCCCCAGATTCAACTATGTTGCTCTTCAGGAAATAGGAAGCTGGCTGTGCTGGCTGTGTGGGATCCAAGAGGTCTGTGTAAGCCTTGCCCAGGACCCTTCCCCTGCCAGAGCTCTGCTCAGCATCGTGATGGGGACCAACAAGAGCATTTCCATAGGGACTCACATTTTATAAAATTCTATGTATTCACTTTACAAAGATAGCATATACACATATATTCAGTATATATGTATATGTATGTAAATGTCTCTATCATCTAATTTCATTTTTATACCAGCTGTTGAAGTATTGCTTTCTGCTTTCACATAATGAATCTGAGCCTTGGAGATGCCACAAGGTGGGAAAGGAGCATGTGCTGTGCTAGAAATGAAATCTTTTCACCAAGTCCATGTCACTGCTCACTAAATCATAGCTAAATTTATTAAGAAATCATCATTTTACTTCCTGATGCTGAACTCTAGAAAACGTATCTACACTCATCTTTACAGACCCCAAAGTGTTCCCTGCTGTGAATGCAGAGGTGCTCATGCTGTGTTTCACATCTTCCTGGCCACCCCTATGCCAGCCATAGCTGCAGCTGCCAGCTGCCTGCTGACAACATGACACCCTATCTGCCTACCTATTGTCCACTGTGTGCTCAGGGTTCTTTCTCTCATGTTGCATGGGGAGGCAGCAGGAACCCATTCAGCCACTCTGACACATGCTTCAGGGGCAGCCCATGAACAGTCAGGGGTAGAAGCACATAGATGAATCCTCCTCCCCCCATCTCTTGAATGGGCAATCTTCAGGCACACTCTACATGGCTCCTGAGATGGTCCCCAGTGAGGTCATGTATATAAGGAAAAACTACATTCCAGTTGTAAAAGTAATATATGTTTGTAGTAAAAAAAAAAAAAAAAAAAGGAAACTAGAAAAAAGTATAAAGATCAAATACAATTACAGCTCAATAATGACCTTGGATTGGATTTCCCTCCTTCTCTGTTTCACTGTTCCCAGCTATCGAGTTGGGGCCTTTGCCCTTAGGGTTTCATCTGCATGGAGTGCTCTTCCCCATGTATCCATAGGCTCACTCCTCTCTTCTTCAGATCTCTGCTTGACTCATATCTTCTCAATAAGACTTTCCCTGATCTCTCTTTAAAACTGCAATCTTCCTGCCCTCTCCCAGCATTCACTGTGCCCCTCCATGATGTCTTTTTTTTCTTTCTTTTTTTTTTTTTTTTTGAGATGTAGTCTTGCTCTGTCACCCAGGCTGGAGTGCAGTGGCGCTATTTCGGCTCACTGCAAGCTCGGCCTCCTGGGTTCAAGCGACTCTCCTGCCTCAGCCTCCTGATTAGTAGGGACTACAGGTGCACGCCACCACACCCAGCTAATTTTTGTGTATGTGTATGTGTTTTTAGTAAAGATGAGGTTTCGCCATGTTGGCCAGGCTGGTCTCAAACTCCTGATCTCAGGTGATCCGCCTGCCTCAGCCTCCCAAAGTGTTGGGATTACAGGTGTGAGCCACCACACCCTGCCTGATTTATTTATTCCATAGTAAAATCACCTGAGATAATCTATATTTACTTAGTTACACTGTTTCTGACCCATATCTCCTGCCTTATATACACTCCATGATGTTTTGTTCACTCCTATTTCAGTTCTCAGAACAGAACCTGGGACATTGTAAGCACTCATGATGTATTTGAATGAAAATATGAATGAACAAATGAACTTTGTGAGATTGGTCTTGCCCCTAATTTTATAGATACACAATAGACAGTCAGAAAGACTAGGGGATTTTACCAGGTTCATACAAATAGTAAGTGATAGAGTTAAATGTTGCACTAGTTTTCCTCTCTCCAATAATGCTCATGTGAATAAAGTGTAAATAGTTTTTGGATTTTGTGATTCACCCCTAAACTAGACTTATGAGGATACAAATCTTGTGTAGGGAAAAGCTGATAATAAACTTAATGAAGCACATGAAAAGCAAGTACATTTGGGCCTTACATAGTTTCATCTTTGCAATGCCTGTAAAAAAGCTCAGTACCGGATCTATGACCCATCTCCAGGACGTGACAGCATGCATGCCTAGTTTCATTTTTATTTATCCTGCCCTGATTTCTTCTTTTAACACAGCTTCCTCATTTACTCGTTTTTTATTTTGTTGCATTTGATGAATTTTTGTCAGGTAACGCCAGTCCTCTTTTGGAGCGTGGCAGGGTAAAAATAAAGAAATAAATAAAAATCACATTGTGGCATTAATCTACTCTTAAGGACTAGTATGGACTGATTACAGGCAAAGATGGAAGTGGGATATAACCTGAATAAAAGTTGGGCCCTGTGGCTATAGCCTGTTCTCTTCATAGTGTCAACTCAAATAAATAACTGTTAGACAGAAAAATATCATCTAAGTAATTCAAATTTGTGCTTTAGTCTTTTAAAAAGTGGATGGATAGATGGTACCATCAAGAACTGTGCAGGGTGGAGATTTTACCCTACTTGTAAGCTACTGACTATGCCATTAGAAGACATGAGATTACTGAATCTAAGGTGAGAACAGCTTATCATTTACAGCAGTAGCAGTGGCCAGAGTATCAGCATTTTGCTCCACTTCCAGTGTTTCAATTCTTACATGGTGGCCCAAAGGGGGCCAAATGACACCTGCACACACAGTGGGTTGCATTACAGGAGAGAAACTCTGAGATTAGGGAACCTGACTGTTATATTTGGGCTGTAAGTATACCTGCTCAATGCTCTGGAGAGAGATACCATCTCTACTTTCCAAGGCTTTTTGCTAGACAATCATTCTTTAAAAGACAGTCTGGATCATCTGCAAGAAATGCAGAAATGTGAAAGATCCCTCTAAAACAGTCCCATAGCAGGTATATGTTCTAAATGCACAAAGAAACATCTTAAAACTCATCTGTATCTACTTCTTTCACACTTAACATTCCCCACTGGCAGGCAGCTGCTCCCTTAATTTCCTTCCTACTCTCAACTCCCCAAACTAAACTCTGTCCTAACCAACATGGCCTTTGGTTTTTCTTCCTTTTTCTTTCTGCCTTTATTCCTTAGTCTTGGTCAAAAATAAATCTCAACCCTATGCAGCGCAGCATCCCCTCCCTTTCCCCAGTTCTATCTCTTTCTACTCAATCTCCATTTGGCTTCAGAGGCTCAGGAACTGAACTCATAGGACTGAGTTTTCTTTAGCAAGGAGGACTGGATTGATAACCCTTTGGAGACCTTGAGACTTTGGCTGCCCCAAATTGAATATGAGCAGCAATGTGACTTGGTTCACAGGGCTGCTCAATCAGGCTCTCAAAATTGCCAGGCAATTTTGGATGGTTTTCAAGTCAGGTATTTTTTCATCATCCTCACTAACTTTATTATCTTCTCCATTTTCTTCAAAACTCTCAGCCCCCAGAACTCCTGTCTATCACCCTCATTCCCAGTCCCAGCACACTTTACTGCTTTTCTCTTTCTCATGCACAACAGACTTGGCCTCATATTTTATAGAGAAAATAAAAATCCTCATATTTCTGCCAATAAATTGCCAATCCTACCTGCATCTACTGTGTTTTCTTCCTTCTCCTACCAAAAGCTCATTCATCCCCATGTGCCCTTCTGAGCCTGTTTACTTCCCTCTCACTGGCCAATCCTTTCCAATCCTGCCTCAGTCCTCACCCAGAGCTGTGTTCTCAAGCATTAACCAGTCACTCCTGATGGCTGAACCCAGGGCAGTCTCTGCAGTCTTCTTATCTACACTCTGCAGTGCCGGAGCTGCTGACCCCTTCCCTCCTGAGCCACCCTCTCTCCAAGTGTCCTCTGCCCCTCAGACCACCCCCCCCGCTTTGTTTATTCAACATCTAAAGGAGTCTCTCATGCTTGATCATGACCTCAAGAGCAATGGGATGTAGAAAATGGGATACAAAATGAACCTTCACACTCTATATGTGTTTCTTGTCTGTGCTTTTAGTGTGCTGGCTTCCTTCTTTTTCAGACTAGATAGACAACATCGACTTTCTCTACCTTACTGAGAACCTGGTTGCCTTCAACCCTAGACTCATAGGCTAACAGTCCTAACTAGAGAATAAACAAGGATCTTCTCACTTCAGGCAAAGTTTTTAAAAGCCCAGAGAAGGCCCCTGGTGAGCCCCTGTTGGGGTCTGTGCCTTCTCTTCAGATGAGTGATGTGACAGGAGGAGAAGCTTAGC
The DNA here is from genome assembly GCF_000001405.40 of Homo sapiens. Classification (NCBI taxonomy): domain Eukaryota; kingdom Metazoa; phylum Chordata; class Mammalia; order Primates; family Hominidae; genus Homo; species Homo sapiens. Next base: position 88,371,199 of record NC_000006.12, on the reverse strand, counting down.
CATAGGAAATCATACAGACTTTGGCATCTGGAAATGCAGTGCTGTTTTAACAGGTACCAAAAGTTTATAAATGGCTTTGGAATTAAATAGTAGCAGAGGCTGGGAGAATTTTCAGGTGCACAACAGCAAAAAAAATCTAGATTGCTTTGAACAAAATATTGGTAGAAATATAAACATTGAAGACACCTCTAATGAAGGCTCAACTTTTTATTAGAAACTGGAGGAAAGGTGATCTTTGTTATGCAGTGACCAAAACTTAGCTGAATTGTGCCCTAGAGTTGTGTGGACAGCATCCCTTGTAAATGATGAACTTGGATATTTAGCTAAGGAGATTTCCAAGCAAAGCGGACCCAAAATGCCATATCAAGTGTACTTATAAGTGATATAATAAGATCTACTCATAGAAGAGGAGAAGGAAATGTGACCACTGAGGCAGAGATGGGAGTGATGCAGACACAAACCCAGGAATGCCAGCAGCCACTAGGAGCTGGGACAGCTCAGGAATGGATATTCCCCTAAACCTCCAGAGGAAACATGACCCTGAAGGCATCTTCCTTTCAGATTTCTGGCCTCCAGCATAGGAGAGAAGAAATTCCTGTTATTTTAAACAACCCAGTTTTGGGTCATTTGTTACAGCAGCCATGGACAATGAACACAGTAGGGGATGGCACAGCCTGGGCCATGTGCCATCCCAGACGCCAGCCAGCCGATGTGATGACCACTCTTCACCAAGCCATGTGCTTGGTGGCCAGAAGGAAGGATGCTGAAAATATAGCAATAACAACAGCAACAACAAAATAAAACAGAAGCATTTCTATTCTTCCCTTCACATCTTTTAGGTCTGTCTGAAGCAGTGCTTACTAAGCAGTGCTGACTCAGCAATAACTCCCCTTGGGCATTTCTGTTCTTCTCTCACTCTCCCCTCTGCAGTATTTGCCGCCGACTGCTGCTCCCTCCTTCCTCAATGCTCTCCTTCCTTGGCTCTGATGGCACCACACCCTCTGGCTTTCCCTCTGCTCTTCTCTCTTCTCCTTCCTTCTCAGTCTCCTCTGTATGTCACCCTCTGTTAACCAGCCCCTCGATTTTGGGGCCTTTCAAGTGTCTGTCTTGGACCTCCTTTTCCTTTCTCTCTTTCTCATTCTATAGGATCTTTCTGGAATATCCATCTCTTTCCAAGGGCTCAATACACATCGATGGGCTCCCAAATTTATACTGCCAGCTCAGATTTCTTTTTTGAGCTCCAGATCTATATTTACAACTGCTTACTTTATATTTTTGGATGTCTCATACTCATCAAACTTAGCATGTCCCCTCTGTACCCTCATCCTAATGGTCCCTCCTCCAGTATTCCTTGTCCTGGTGATGACTTCCCTCCTCCCTCTGTGGTTCAGGCCAGTGCCCTTGGAGTCATGTCCAACCCCATTTCACTCCTCACAATCGACTTCACTTTGTTTACAAGATCTAACTGCTCTCTCTCTGAAATAGATCCACCTGTAGTCACGTCTCTCCATGTTCACCCACTGCCATCATTCTAGGCCCTGCCATGGCCTTGTCTCACCCAGGACTTCAGCCCTGGCCTCCTGACTGTCTCCTCTGCTTCTACCCTGGCTCCACTCTAGTTTCTGTACAATAGCATGAGTGAGCCACTAAAAATGCAAAAACAGTCATGTCATTCACCTCCTTGATACTCATTCACGGTCCTCAGTCGAGTTTAACATAAACCCTCATTGGGGTCTATAAGGTCATGGATGAGCTGTATGATGGATGCCATCATGTGCTGTCAGAACAGCTTTCAGGAATGGAAGACTTATTCCCTCCACTGCTGGGAGTGTGGCCAGCTGCCAGCCCTCAGGTGACAGTCCCTTTGGGGATTGCCTTTCTTAAGGAGATGACACCCCCTTTCTAGGTGGCCTTCATCCAGTGACGAATGGATGATGGAGGAGAAAGGTATAGAAGGTAAGCCTTCTCACCTAAACTTGGTTATCGCCAACTTGTCAACTCTGAGAGACAATTTCTGTCAATCCTGCATCTCTACTCAACTTCTCCCTTTGTCCTGTCACACTTCCATCTCTTCCTTCCGTGGGTGTGGATCCCACACACTAATCTCTATCTCAGAGCCTGTTTTCCAGAAACACAACCTGTGGCAATCTATGAAGTGATAGTTGAGACTGAGGGAAGTAATAATCCCACTGTCTTTAAATGCTCTAATTATATCCATAATATTGTCATAACTGCAGTCTTTGGGGTTATGTTATAAGAAGGACATTGACAAAGTAAAGCATAATTGAGGAAAATTAGGATGTTGAAGAACTGAAAATAACATCACAAGCCAAAAATTTGACGACATGAGCTTGTTAACCTGTAGTAGTATGTATTAACTCAGTATGTATATAATCATTATCTTTAGATATTTGAAAGCCTGCCAAATAGAAGAAAATGTTAACTTGTGTGGCTCCAGGGACTAGAATTAGTAGCAATGAGTGAGTGCTCCTGAATCACAAGTTTAGGCTCAATATAAGGAAGAAGTTTTTAGTAGCCATATGGCATCCTTGTGAAATAGTGAGTTCATTTTACTAGACTTGTGTGATCTCACCTTGAGGGTAAAGTAGCAGAGATTCCTGAGCTTGCAGAAAGCATTGAGCAGATGGTTAACTTCTCCATGACAGCATTCTATGAGGATTTCTGCTGTAGGACAGGGTTTTGTAAAGTACCCGAGGAGGTTGATAGGTATAATCTGACCAACAGATTCCATGGTCAAGTAAATTTGTGAGAAATAAAAAAAAGGTAATGTTAGGCAAGTCTTTTTACTGCATGATTTCTTAGAGTATTAATATGTCAACCATTCATCATGGAAGTCCCTAGGGACCATCCAGGACTCTGTATTTTTCAGATCTTGAAATGATTAGTCAAAAGAACAGGACAAGTTTTCTGTGGAAACTACGTCAAGAAATTCTGCTTTGAAACATTATATTCCTCTGAGTCATTAGTGAGGAGAGGGTAATTCTTAACCAGAATAATGAAAATATAGATTGCCAAGTACTGGGAATTAGGGCTCCTAAGAATGTAAATACTGGCTAGAAAATTATGAATTTCTCCCTGTTTTACAGAAAGGGTACATTTTGTTACCCTTGCCCCTTCAGTACATGAATGTACCTGCTAACTCCATCCTTGGCAGTATTAGGATGGACAACAGATAAAAGCTAGAGGATTATCATTTTTATTTATATTATTTATTAGCAGCCACATTAAACCCTTTTCAGTTTTACTAACCATTTATACTTTGAGTTGTTCATAAAGTCCCAGGATAAAAAATCTTCCTAAATACATTTGCAGACAGAACACACAATTAGGGGAATACTTGACTACTGTAGTCAAAATTCAGATCTTCAGAGAGAAAACAACCCAGCAAATTTTACCAATTTTACATTGACCAGGACCATTTCTGCCTTGTTGTGCTATACAGACACCATTGTCAGTCCCAATTATCCAGCTGCCTAATCAACACCCATAATTAAATTCTCCACACTCACTCCCTTGTATTCAGCACTTCCAGTGACTGTGTACCCACTCCAGAAGAAAGAAAGAACCAGTACAGCTAGACTGTTGCTTATCCCCATCTCAAATCTGTGAACTCTTTAATAAAATGCCCATTCTAAAAGTCTGGTAGTTGGCTTGATGCTTTCAGTGGCATGTGAGGTGGTCAAAAAGCTCAGCCACAAAGTTCATGTAGGTTCTATGACCATGAAGGGTGTGTCTCTTCCTGTTTCTGGGCCACGGTGCTTTTTGACTGACAGGTGAACTGTTGCCCTTACTTGTAGCTTTAAATAAATTGAAGGGGCAGGAGAAGATGGGAAGAATTGTAGGATTAGCCCATGTTTTCCAGAAATTTTTCAGTTACTATCACCAACAAAAATGTATTAAGTACCCACCACTTTAAAAGAAATTCTGGGCAATAGAATAATTTTAAATGATTCTCTTTGCTATGGAGACACTTTTCAAGGAGGAAAAAAGGTAGCAGTTCAAAGTTAGTGGGTAGCATATTAAAGAGAACTGAGCTATTTAAATTAACATCTCGAAGTCCTTCTAAATTCTATGGAGGCAAACCAGAGGACGGTAAATTAAATATTTAATTAATTCATGTGAGAGCTAATAAATCATCTCTAAGCCAAATAAATGATGCATGACTATGGTGTAAGCAAATTGGTTTTACCCATTTTAGGTGCTACGTGTCTATGGCAGCTCCTTTTTGGTCAAGAATACACCCCTCCCCACACACATACACACTCACACACACATACACACGTAAAACTGCTACCAAACTCTAGAAATCATGTTTCTATGGCAACTATAGCCCATTTTATTGCAGTCATCTTTATACAAAATCAGTTTTAGAAATCCACTGTGATGAAAAGGGGCTTCTGTTCATGCTTGTCCAAATGAAGCTTCCTATACTACATGTGATGACATGTCCTAGCCACTGGCTAGGGCTATATCATGTATCAAGAATCATACAGATCTTAGGATTTGATGATTCCTGCATCTGATATGAACGAAAGTCCTCAGGCACAAGAGTTCACAAAGATGACTCCCTTAAATTACTCTATGCCCAACTGTACCATCTACAGGCTGGGAAATGCTCCAAGAGTGGTCAAAAATGCCCCCATGCATTTGAATACATGGGAAGCTTCAGGTCACTCTCGGGGGATCTTGCTGCTTCTATGTACTTGAGTGCTTTTCCTGCCTCCCTGTGAAATCTCTCTGTAAGAGATTTCATTTCCTCCCCAAACCACTGGAGGATCTTGGGGATATGAGAAGTCTGTTGGCAATGTAATTCGGTGTGTTCTTGCATTCAGTGGAATGACTGTGGGGTTTGGGTCAGTGACCCCTCACCCTGCTATTGATTGGATTTGTGACCAGGGATAGTTACTTAACCTCCTTGGGTCTCAGTTTCTTCATCTGCTAAATGAGGGTTTGGACTAGGTGACCTATAAAATCTGATTTGGCTCAAAAAATCTGTGACGTTATGTTTAACAAAATCAAATAACTTGAGCAAGCGAGACTTCACATCTCTGGACGTGATCAGAAAGGAGAGTAGAGAACAAGACAGTCTCCATTCCTACAAAACTAAAGTGAACTTCCAAAAATGCAAATACACATTTATATAATTTGTTGTTTTGTTATTAAGAAGAAATGGAACCTCTAGTCAAATGATACAAAGCTGAGACTATTTTATATTGAGGAGCTTGTGACTGGATGGATGTTTATTCCAGTTCTGCCTCTATGACCTCATTTCTTAGGGAAGACTATACATGGTGAATTTGCAATAGGAAAAGAGCAGGGCAGGAAAAGCTAGATGTGGCCAGAATTTCAACCGGAGAGTTTCAGTAAGCACATCAGAGCTCTCTCTTACCCAATCAGGGAAGCAATAGGAAAATAGGAAGAAAAGTTTACTGTTTAGGTAGTGCTTGGTTCTCCCTAATGGCTCTCAACATGGTTTTAGATGTTTTGAAAGTCCCCTCTTCTACTCCTCAGTTGCCACGAGGCTTCCTGGCATATAACAGTTATGGATCTTTTCTTCACGATTGCAGCCATTACTGTGGCTGTTAATCAGTCTATCTCCCCTTGGTGTCTTTGCTACATGGTGCTGGCACTGCAGAGTTAAAATGTCTCAGCTGCTGCTCCAGTATTTGATTTATGGTGACAGAGGCCACATTTTCCCATCCCAAAGTTAGAAGAACATGGTGTGACAAGTATGTGTGTACTCATGAGGAGAACAGGACAGAATGTTAAAAACTGAGGCTGTCCTGCAATACTTCTGCTATACCAGATAAAATTGGCAGCTTGCCTTTGTTGTTTTGGTGAAAGAGGAGACCAGTGAGTTTTCCAGTTAGATGATACGATTCCTTCATATGCACCCAGGTTCTTCAGACCACTGTGCCTTGAGTCTCTCTTTGCCTTCCAGATGTATACAAAAGTAGAAGTTTTGGAATCAGGTCTGGAGTCAAAATATACTGGAGCCAAAGGCTTGTAGTTCCCTTAAGCACCAAGAGAAAGATGATACTGGCTCATGATCATCACTTCCTCTCATGTTCTGGAATGTCTGCCACCCAGGCTTTTCTTACCTGACTGGTCTCTGGACAGTCTCTAGAATGGAAGTTCCACGAGGGCAAGAAAGGTTGTATATATTATTTTCTGCTGCATTCACAGCATCTAGAACTGTGCCTGGTACATAGCAGGTGCTCAGTACATATTTGTGGAATAAAATGATATTACCTGATCAAAGACTGAACTATACCAAATTCTTTTCACAAATGTGCGATAATATTAGAAATAAGGACACTTTGATCAGAGAAATCTGTGATAGGAAGAAAAAAGATGACTCCTATATTCTCATTAGGTTTCAATTTTGGTTGAATCCCCCTTTATATGTTTGGCAGTATTTAACTATATTTCCTCCTGAATGACAGAATTCTCAGATGCTTCTTGTTTATTTCTTTGATCTAAACAGCAGTACATAGAAAGGGCAAGAGTCCTTGAGGTATAATGTCAAATGTAGCTGGCATGTAAACCCATTTCAATCCAATCTATAGTCATTGTTGCTTTGTTTGGGGCATTTTATAAGATATGTCTGTACAATTTTATAAAAAAATAAATAAAATTGCCACTTCTTCCTTTAAGTTACTTTTGTCCTATTTTATTTTCCACTAAAAAACCCAATTCAGCTTCAAGTAATAATAACAGGGTTCCATTTATTTCAAATCACCAAAACCTCAGTGTTATTTCAGTAATGTTATTCCCAGAAAAATCTTGCTACTCTGGAGTGGCAATTTTATGTTTTTCTAAATGATAAAACAAGTACAACTGCAATAAAATTTATGTATTTGAAGTTTCTAATAATTTAGACAAGGACTTGGGCTAAAGTTTAGTTTTATGATGTCTTGGAAAAAAGGATTTGTTAAACTAATTATTATAGCAAAAAATTTAACTTAAGTAGAACAGTTACTAAGCAACCTAAAAGCACATTAATATTAACAAATATGCAAGTAACACACTCTTATCTATATATTAAACTAGGTTCCCCAAGGAAGTACACTAGACAGTATCATTTATCTGCTTTAAATGACTGTGAGAGCGCTTCCCGCATGTGTGTGATGCTTTGTTGTACAATGTACTAAACCACTGCATGTGATATGTTTTATTGTCACAGCAACCCTGTGAGATAGGCATCATGCCTATTTTATAGAGAGGGAAGCAGTGGCTCAAAGAGGACAATGGACTAGTCCAAGAACACATGACATAGCCAAGCTGGGACTTCATTGAACATAGGTCTTCAGATGCATAATCCAAAGTTCACTCCACTGCAACACAGATGCCGGTAATGGTTTGAATATGCTCTGTAATTTAGACTTTTCATTAATCTTGACATGCCTATTAGTTTGAATTAATGTGTTTTCCCCAAATCAGTGAATAGAGTCAAGAAAAGGGTTGGATAAAGATAAGAAGTATAAAAGCAATAATTTTCATGATTATTAAACAGTGATGATAAGAAACAATTCTCCTACTCAGAGGGGTTTTAGAATATTCTTATCTATATCTTCACAAGTGAACCCTACATTTGGGAAGGACCTCATAGATCAGCAGTCACTTCCAACTCAGGAGAGAAGCCCAGACCATGTGAGTATCTTGCCTTGAGACAAGGAGTAGGAGAATGGTAAGGATGACTGTGGCCTGGCTTTATTTGTTCTTGCTCTCTACAAATGAAGGAGTGCAAAGAATAGGAATTGGTACAGCTTCAGATTCCTCCACAAAGCCTCTAAAAACACTAGAGCAATGCTTTCAAAGTCAGAAAGATAATTATTTTCAACTTAGAATTTCAATACTCAGCCAAACTATCAGTCAAGGGAAAGGGTAGAATAAAGAGATTTTCAGACATACAAAAATTTTATTCTCATATTTTCTCAGGAGGCTCCTGGAGGGCGTACCAAACCAAAAGCAGAAAGCATATCAAGAAAGAGGAAGGGTGCATGAAGAAAACAAAGCATACAAACACAGGTCAGAAAAAAAGATTCCCAGATTTTGGTGAAGGAGGATCCTAGGAAGAAAAGACAACTAGTCCAGATTGGAGAGTTTCAAACATTTGTGGCCAAGGACAACATAAGTTTCCATATTCATGGCCATTCTTTCCAGGTGGATATAATGAAAGTCAGCGAATTGATGAGATCAGATCCTCAATGATTAGACAATAAAATACATTTCTAATATAAAATTTACCCTAAAGCTTAGTGCCTCTCCTATAACTAATATTACAGTCTTCTACCCCTATTGAATGAATATACTGCAAAACAAAAGTCACCTGAATGCCAAATATATAGTCAGCCCTCCGTATCTGCAGGTTCCAAATCCACAGATTCAACCAATTGAGTATTGAAAATATTAAAAAAAAAAAACATAATACAACAATAAAAATAACAAATAAAAAACCAAGACAGTGTAACAACGGTTTATATAACATTTACATTGCGTTAGGGTACTGGATGTAATCTAGAGATGATTTAAAGTATATAGGAGAATGTGCATAGGTTATATGAAAACACTATGCCATTTTATATAATGGACTTGAGCATCTGAGGATTTTGGTATAGGAAAGTAGGGGGATAAGGAGGAGTGGTCCAGAAACCAATTGCCTGGGGATACAAAGGGATGCCTATGTATATAGTCCTGGTCACAAGGTAAGACATTCACGTGGTCTGTGTGTGTGTGTTTGCATAAAATATTTCTGGAAGGACTCATAAGCTAGTAACAGGTTGCTTCAAGAGAGAGGAACTGGGTGGCTATGGGGTTTAGGAAGGGGAGTTTTCACTATGTGTTGTATATCCTTTTGATTTTTTTTAGTTTCTTATTATATGGAAAAAAATAACATAATAAAACACATCTCCTTCTCCCTCAAATCCCCAATTCAACAAGGATGCAGATGACTGCTCCATTTGATTGGTCGTAAGTGAATATGGGTGCCCTGAAGGAAATGATTCTCACTGCCATGTGTTTTTTTTCTTTCCTCTAGTTAGCTCAGAGGAATCTGTAATGCTAGCTCAAAGATATGATTTCAATATGTATTTCCAGTTTGTCTCCTGAAAGGTGGTTCCAGTATACATAACCACCAGCAACGGATCAAGAAAACCCATTTCCCTACACCCGCTAGACTTACCTTTTTATTGCTTTTACATTATTACATTACTTGGAGATGAAATTACTGAGCAATACTAAGAAATGTGCTTTCTGTTTGTGGTTTTGGTGTGTTAATTTATCTGGACAGCCTGAGTTTTTCACAACCTGGTGGCCCACTGGCTCCTCAGCGCAAAATCCCAGCTTGTGGCCAGTCTCCACGTGCTCTTTCTGTACACCTTAGGATTTTGTTGTTTCAGAACCAGCAGAATAGGAATTTCCCCATGTAGTATTTGTGTAGTAGAGCTCAACTGCTCTGCAAGACAGACAAAATCAACTTGGCCACCAATGGCAACCTTATAAGCATAGCGGGCGTTTATCATCTACTGGGTTACTTAAAACATTCTAACACTGCACAAAAATTTCTACTGCTGCCTTTGCCAGCAGCAAAAGCTCAACAGTGTCTAAATAATGGTTCAGTCCAGGAGCAGTTGAGATGCCATTGTGAAAGCTCTCAGAGAGTCAGGCATTGGCTGGCTTGTTTTGCATGGCAGTGTGGATTCTATGCAGTATGGTGTAGCAGAGACAATGTGGGTTTTAGAATCAGCCCCGTCTGATTTGCACTTCATTTCCACCTCTAACTGGCCATATAACCTAGGGAACTTGCTTTCTTTGAACCTCAGTTTTCTTATCTCTAAACTGGTGATTATAATAGTTATTTCACAGGGTTGAAGTGAGGATTAAATGAGAAATGAGACACATAGGCAAAGCACCTGGCTCGTGGCAAGTATACATTTAAATAAAGTGAGTTAACTCTTTTAGACAACAAATTAATGCTTTTTAAAGCACTTAAAACAGTGCCTAGCTCATAAAAAGCCTTCATTGAATATCAGTAATAATTCCTCTTTTTGGATCCTATAGTGGATAGTTTCACTGAATTGGAAGTATTCTGTAATGAGTTGATCAAGTAACATCTATATTGAAGTTCTTCTACATGCTCAGACCGTGATAAGGTCAAGAAGTACAGTGCCTTCCTCAGGTAATGTACAGTCTAGTTGAGATAACATATAGACATTAAAGAGGTTTTCCAACAATAAAAAGCATGTTATCTGAAGCAGTAAGGGAATGGGTCAGATCACAGAGGCTATGGAGATTCAAAGGAAGGAGAGAGGAGAAGAGAGAAGGAGAGAGACAGAGAAAAAAGGAGGGAAAGGAGGCAGGTGGGAGACAGGGAGGGAAGAGAAGGAGGGAGTAGAAGAGAGAGAGATATCTGTTTTGCCAAGGCAAGGGCAGGCAGGGAATTTGCACTGCCCTTTGAAAGACTTTAAAGGGAAGAACAGAGAGATGAAGAGGAGGATGGTTCTATTCCTCACAGAAGGAACAGTAGGAAGGCATGTTCTGGAGCCTTGAGTGAACAGTTAGAAGGAAGCAGAGGGAAGCAAACATGGTTGCATAATTTAGGACACACTTGGGGAGGACTTTGAACCTCAACAGCAAGAAGCCACTAAGGATGGCACTTTTGCAGGCAAAATAAAATTCAGCACAGGAATCTTATTTTCTCCTAGACCAACTGGCTGACCTTTAGGAGTTTTGTTGCAAAGTCTGATGAATCATTCCATGGGAATCTTCACAGATAATGAGAATCAGGTCGGCTGAGGACAACTGAAATAAAAAATTGTAGGCATGAACCTGACCAGTGAACTTTGAATTACAATGAAATTACTAAGTATATAATCATCATCTGCTCACACAGTGTTCATTCTATAGAGACTGCCAAAGGGGCAAAAGTTCCTGTATTCAATTGCATTGCAGAGTCCTAGAATGAAAAAAGAAAACTTAGAGAAGATTTAGTCAAATTCCACCCAATGGAAGACTTTTCTTTACAACTGTGTAGAGAAAATACCTTGAATTAAGTCCCCACTTAGACACTAGAGCAGCATTCTTTCTTAAACAGATCTGAGATTTTTTGAATAGTTTTAGGGACAATGGCTATACTGTGTAACTTTCATTGAGTGCTAGTTAATATGCACTGTCACTGTGCTGAGTGTCTTACTTACTTAACCTAATTGAAATCTCTCAATCCTCACTTGCAAGCATGTTTCTGTTATTATCCCCATTTTAAAAATAAGGCTTAGAGCAGTTAAATAACTCGCCCAAGGTCACACAACTAGGGAGCAGTAGAGTCAAAATTTGAACCTGGGTGGTTCACCCTCACAACTTCAGCTCTTAATCAGATTCATCTTGCATTGATCTCCCTTAGCGAAGTTAAGTCATTTCTCCTCCAAACCCAGGGAGGGACGTGTTGCCACCCAGTGGTACCATACAATGAGCCACACAGTGGATGCCTACAGTAGAGACTCTCAATGGAGTTGGTGTGAATATGAAAGTGTAGTTTGAAAAGGCCACCCTCACTCTCAGAGCACTTTTCTAGATCTCTCCTTCCCCACCCCCAAACATTAGGCAACATCAAGGAAGAAAAGTCTAATTTTTTAAAACTAATTTCTATGGTTAAAATATATAATTATTTTTCCCATGAAAAAGAATCCTGTGAAAACAAAACCTTCTATGTGACTAGTACAGTTTCTATAAAATAAACTGGCATCTTGATATTTTAGGATGTGAAATCAACAGTAACATTGCTTTTTAAAATTTCCCTTGCAAGCAGAAGACCATGCTTTTGGGGATCACAGAATAATCATATGCGATTGATTATATTTATTCATTTTCAAAAAGGAAACTCCAAAATCTAACCATTACCAAAAAAAGGCACCATTTTGCCTTTTTCTTCTACATTGCAATAACTATGTTGCATCAGGTGTTTGTTCAGCTACAATTTTAAAGACTATCTCCTCTTTGTAAATTATACCTCTATGTAGAATAAAGAACAGTTGGACATTTGCTGGGCAGCTTTGAGTACATTGTTAAGATTGTCATTAGGGCAGTTCACAGCTTACACAATAAATCTAATTCCTTCAGAGTTTCTTTATGAGTCAAGGAATGTAGGTAGAGCTCTGTGAGACATGCATGCATGTGGCTCTGGTAAGCTCAGTTAGCCTCCCTCTGTTCTCTGCTCCTGACCTTCACCTCTATGTCATCAGTCAGCTAATAACAACATGACATAGGCCAAAAGAAAGACCCTAAATAGGCCAGCACCACTCCTGGGAATGGCATGAAGTTCAAAGCCTCTCCATAGAAGGACCATAGCATTATCTTCATGGATAAGAGGCACTCCAGGTACGATGTACTTCTGAATTTTTAGAGCTACAGATGTAAAACACCATTTTCTATGTTTAATTTGTGAGATTAGCTGTGTATGTTTGTTTTTATTAAATAGGGTGCATAGAAGAGTATTACATATATAGCATCACTTAATACTTAGCAAACAAAAGTAAAAAGGGTATGGCTAAGACATCATACAGCTGGAACCTTGTGTCACATGTTCCACATTCTTAGTTTTCTATCTTACTATGATTTTTCTTTTTTATTATTATTTTTTTTTATTATTATTATACTTTAAGTTTAGGGTACATGTGCACAATGTGCAGGTTAATTACATATGTATACATGTGCCATGCTGGTGTGCTGCACCCATTAACTCGTCATTTAGCATTAGTTATATCTCCTAATGCTAACCTTCCCCCCTACCCCCACCCCACAACAGTCCCCAGAGTGTGATGTTCCCCTTCCTGTGTCCATGTGTTCTCATTGTTCAATTCCCATCTATGAGTGAGAACATGCGGTGTTTGGTTTTTTGTCGCAAGCAAACTTGCGATAGTTTGCTGAGAATGATGATTTCCAATGTCATCCATGTCCCTACAAAGGACATGAACTCATCATTTTTTATGGCTGCATAGTATTCCATGGTGTATACGTGCCACATTTTCTTAATCCAGTCTATCATTGTTGGACATTTGGGTTGGTTCCAAGTCTTCGCTATTGTGAGTAGTGCCGCAATAAACATACGTGTGCATGTGTCTTTATAGCAGCATGATTTGTAGTTCTTTGGGTATATATCCAGTAATGGGATGGCTGGGTCAAATGGTATTTCTAGTTCTAGATCCCTGAGGAATCGCCACACTGACTTCCACAATGGTTGAAGTAGTTTACAGTCCCACCAACAGTGTAAAAGTGTTCCTATTTCTCCACATCCTCTCCAGCACCTGTTGTTTCCTGACTTTTTAATGATTGCCATTCTAACTGGTGTGAGATGGTATCTCATTGTGGTTTTGATTTGCATTTCTCTGATGGCCAGTGATGATGAGCATTTTTTCATGTGTTTTTTGGCTGCATAAATGTCTTCTTTTGAGGAGTGTCTGTTCATATCCTTTGCCCACTTTTTGATGAGGTTGTTTATTTTTTTCTTGCAAATTTGTTTGAGTTCATTGTAGATTCTGGATATTAGCCCTTTGTCAGATGAGTAGGTCATGAAAATTTTCTCCCATTTTGTAGGTTGCCTGTTCACTCTGATGATAGTTTCTTTTGCTGTGCAGAAGCTCTTTAGTTTAATTAGATCCCATTTGTCAATTTTGGCTTTTGTTGCCATTGCTTTTGGTGTTTTTAGACATGAAGTCCTTGCCCATGCCTATGTCCTGAATGGTAATGCCCAGGTTTTCTTCTAGGGTTTTTATGGTTTTAGGTCTAATGTTCAAGTCTTTAATCCATCTTGAATTAATTTTTGTATAAGGTGTAAGGAAGGGATCCAGTTTCAGCTTTCTACATAAGGCTAGCCAGTTTTCCCAGCACCATTTATTAAATAGGGAATCCTTTCCCCATTGGTTGTTTTTCTCAGGTTTGTCAAAGATCAGATAGTTGTAGATATGCGGCGTTATTTCTGAGGGCTGTGTTCTGTTCCATTGATCTATATCTCTGTTTTGGTACCAGTACCATGCTGTTTTGGTTACTGTAGCCTTGTAGTATACTTTGAAGTCAGGTAGCGTGATGCCTCCAGCTTTGTTCTTTTGGCTTAGGATTGACTTGGCAATGCGGGCTCTTCTTTGGTTCCATATGAAGGTTAAAGTAATTTTTTCCAATTCTGCGAAGAAAGTCATTGGTAGTTTGATGGGGATGGCATTGAATCTATAAATTACCTTGGGCAGTATGGCCATTTTCACCATATTGATTCTTCCTACCCATGAGCATGGAGTGTTCTTCCATTTGTTTGTATCCTCTTTTATTTCATTGAGCAGTGGTTTGTAGTTCTCCTTGAAGAGGTCCTTCATGTCCCTTGTAAGTTGGATTCCTAAGTATTTTATTCTCTTTGAAGCAATTGTGAATGGGAGTTCACTCATGATTTGGCTCTCTGTTTGTCTGTTATTGGTGTATAAGAATGCTTGTGATTTTTGTACATTGATTTTGTATCCTGAGACTTTGCTGAAGTTGCTTATCAGCTTAAGGAGATTTTGGGCTGAGACAATGGGGTTTTCTAGATATACAATCATGTCATCTGCAAACAGGGACAATTTGACTTCCTCTTTTCCTAATTGAATACCCTTTATTTCCTTCTCCTGGCTAATTGCCCTGGCCAGAACTTCCAACACTATGTTGAATAGGAGTGGTGAGAGAGGGCATCCTTGTCTTGTGCCAGTTTTCAAAGGGAATGCTTCCAGTTTTTGCCCATTCAGTATGATAATGGCTGTGGGTTTGTCATAGATAGCTCTTATTATTTTGAGATATGTCCCATCAATACCTAATTTATTGAGAGTTTTTAGCATGAAGGGTTGTTGAATTTTGTCAAAGGCCTTCTCTGCGTCTATTGAGATAATCATGTGGTTTTTGTCTTTGGTTCTGTTTATATGCTGGATTACATTTATTGATTTGTGCATATTGAACCAGCCTTGCATCCCAGGGATGAAGCCCACTTGATCATGGTGGATAAGCGTTTTGATGTGCTGTTGGATTTGGTTTGCCAGTATTTTATTGAGGATTTTTGCATCAATGTTCATCAAGGATATTGGTCTAAAATTCTCTTTTTTGGTTGTGTCTCTGCCCGGCTTTGGTATCAGGATGATGCTGGCCTCATAAAATGAGTTAGGGAGGATTCCCTCTTTTTCTATTGATTGGAATAGTTTCAGAAGGAATGGTACCAGTTCCTCCTTGTACCTCTGGTAGAATTCGGCTGTGAATCCATCTGGTCCTGGACTCTTTTTGGTTGGTAAGCTATTGATTATTGCCACAATTTCAGAGCCTGTTATTGTTCTATTCAGAGAGTCAACTTATTCCTGGTTTAGTCTTGGGAGGGTGTATGTGTCAAGGAATTTATCCATTTCTTCTAGATTTTTTAGTTTATTTGCGTAGAGGTGTTTGTAGTATTCTTTGATGGCAGTTTGTATTTCTGTGGGATCGGTGGTGATATCCCCTTTATCATTTTTTATTGCATCTATTTGATTCTTCTCTCTTTTTTTCTTGATTAGTCTTGCTAGTGGTCTATCAATTTTGTTGATCCTTTCAAAAAACCAGCTCCCAGATTCATTAATTTTTGAAGGGTTTTTTTTGTCTGTATTTCCTTCAGGTCTGCTCTGATTTTAGTTATTTCTTGCCTTCTGCTAGCATTTGAATGTGTTTGCTCTTGCTTTTCTAGTTTTTAACTGTGATGTTAGGGTGTCAATTTTGGATCTTTCCTGCTTTCTCTTGTGGGCATTTAGTGCTATAAATTTCCCTCTACACACTGCTTTGAATGTGTCCCAGAAATTCTGGTATGTTGTGTCTTTGTTCTCATTGGTTTCAAAGAACATCTTTATTTGTGCCTTCATTTCGTTATGTACCCAGTAGTCATTCAGGAGCAGGTTGTTCAGTTTCCATGTAGTTGAGCAGTTTTGAGTGAGTTTCTTAATCCTGAGTTCTAGTTTGATTGCACTATGGTCTGAGAGACAGTTTGTTATAATTTCTGTTCTTTTACATTTGCTGAGGAGAGCTTTGCTTCCAAGTATGTGGTCAATTTTGGAATAGGTGTGGTGTGGTGCGGTGGTGAAAAAAATGTATATTCTATTGATTTGGGGTGGAGAGTTCTGTAAATGTCTATTAGGTCTGCTTGGTGCAGAGCTGAGTTAAATTCCTGGGTATCCTTGTTGACTTTCTGTCTCGTTGATCTGTCTAATGTTGACAGTGGGGTGTTAAAGTCTCCCATTATTAATGTGTGGTAGTCTAATTCTCTTTGTAGGTCACTCAGGACTTGCTTTATGAATCTGGGTGCTCGTGTATTGGGTGCATATATATTTAGGATAGTTAGCTCTTCTTGTTGAATTGATCCCTTTACCATTATGTAATGGCCTTCTTTGTCTCTTTTGATCTTTGTTGGTTTAAAGTCTGTTTTATCAGAGACTAGGATTGCAACCCCTGCCTTTTTTATTTTCCATTTGCTTGGTGGATCTTCCTCCATCCTTTTATTTTGAGCCTATGTGTGTCTCTGCACATGAGATGGGTTTCCTGAATACAGCACACTGATGGGTCTTGACTCTATCCAATTTGCCAGTCTGTGTCTTTTAATTGAAGCATTTATTCCATTTACATTTAAAGTTGGTATTGTTATGTGTGAATTTGATCCTGTCATTATGATGTTAGCTGGTTATTTTGCTCATTAGTTGATGCAGTTTCTTCCTAGTCTCGATGGTTTTTATATTTTGGCATGATTTTGCAGTGGCTGGTACCTGTTGTACCTTTCCATGTTTAGTGCTTCCTTCAGGAACTCTTTTAGGGCAGGCCTGGTGGTGACAAAATCTCTCAGCATTTGATTGTCCATAAAGTATTTTATTTCTCCTTCACTGACGAAGCTTAGTTTGGCTGGATATGAAATTCTGGATTGAAAATTCTTTTCTTTAAGAATGTTGATTTTTTCTTGTAAATTTGTTTGAGTTCATTGTAGATTCTGGATATTAGCCCTTTGTCAGATGAGTAGGTTGTGAAAATTTTCTCCCATTTTGTGGTTTGCCTGTTCACTCTGATGGTAGTTTCTTTTGCTGTGCAGAAGCTCTTTAGTTTAATTAGATCCCATTTGTCAATTTTGGCTTTTGTTGCCATTGCTTTTGGTGTTTTAGACATGAAGTCCTTGCCCATGCCTATGTCCTGAATGGTAGTGCCTAGGTTTTCTTCTAGGGTTTTTATGGTTTTAGGTCTAATGTTCAAGTCTTTAATCCATCTTGAATTAATTTTTGTATAAGGTGTAAGGAAGGGATCCAGTTTCAGCTTTCTACATATGGCCAGCCAGTTTTCCCAGCACCATTTATTAAATAGGGAATCCTTTCCCCATTGGTTGTTTTTCTCAGGTTTGTCAAAGATCAGATAGTTGTAGATATGCGGCGTTATTTCTGAGGGCTCTGTTCTGTTCTATTGATCTGATGAACTCAAACAAATTTACTAGAAAAAAACAAATAACCCCATTAAAAAGTGGGTGAAGGACATGAACAGACTCTTCTCAAAAGAAGACATTTATGCAGCCCAAAAACACATGAAAAAATGCTCACCATCACTGGCCATCAGAGAAATGCAAATCAAAACCACAATGAGATATCATCTCACACCAGTTAGAATGGCAATCATTAAAAAGTCAGGAAACAACAGGTGCTGGAGAGGATGTGGAGAAATAGGAACACTTTTACACTGTTGGTGGGACTGTAAACTACTTCAACCATTGTGGAAGTCAGTGTGGCGATTCCTCAGGGATCTAGAACTAGAAATACCATTTGACCCAGCCATCCCATTACTGGGTATATACCCAAAGGACTATAAATCATGCTGCTATAAAGACACATGCATACGTATGTTTATTGCGGCACTATTCACAATAGCAAAGACTTGGAACCAACCCAAATGTCCAACAATGATAGACTGGATTAAGAAAATGTGGCACATATACACCATGGAATACTATGCAGCCATAAAAAATGATGAGTTCATGTCCTTTGTAGGGACATGGATGAAATTGGAAATCATCATTCTCAGTAAACTATCGTAAGAACAAAAAAGCAAACACTGCATGTTCTCACTCATAGCTGGGAATTGAACAATGAGAACACATGGACACAGGAAGGGGAACATCACACTCTGGGGTCTGTTGTGGGGTGGGGGAAGGGGGGAGGGATAACATTGGGAGATATACCTAATGGTAGATGACGAGTTACTGGGTGCAGCGCACCAGCGTCACATGTATACATATGTAACTAACCTGCACATTGTGCACATGTACCCTGAAACTTAAAGTATAATAATAATAAAAAAAGACTAATCTATAACTACATCACATATTTTATTTAAATTCTATACTTTAGTAGTAGTATAAAGATGTTATAGAAATACAAAAAAAACCATTAAAAGTCTTTCAATATAATAGGGAAAGATTACTTTCATAAATAAACTATTGCTCTTTTAAAAAACTAAAAAAAGGAATGTTGAATATTGGCCCCCACTCCCTTCTGGCTTGCAGAGTTTCTGCCGAGACATCCGCTGTTAGTCTGATGGGCTTCCCTTTGTGGGTAACCCGAGCTTTCTCTCTGGCTGCCCTTAACATTTTTTCCTTCATTTCAACTTTGGTGAATCTGACAATTATGTGTCTTGGAGTTGCTCTTCTCGAGGAGTATCTTTGTGGTGTTCTCTGTATTTCCTGAATCTGAATGTTGGCCTGCTTTGCCAGATTGGGGAAGTTCTCCTGGATAATATCCTGCAGAGTGTTTTTCAACTTGGTTCCATTCTCCCCGTCACTTTCAGGTACACCAATCAGACGTAGATTTGGTCTTTTCACATAATCCCATATTTTTTGGAGGCTTTGCTCGTTTCTTTTTATTCTTTTTTTCTCTAAATTTCCCTTCTCACTTCATTTCATTCATTTCATCTCCCATCACTGATACCCTTTCTTCCAGTTGATCGCATCAGCTCCTGAGGCTTCTGCATTCTTCATGTAGTTCTCGAGCCTTGGCTTTCAGCTCCATCAGCTCCTTTAAGCACTTCTCTGTATTGGTTATTCTAGTTATACATTCATCTAAATTTGTTTCCAAGTTTTCAAGTTCTTTGCCTTTGGTTTGAATGTCCTCCTGTAGCTCAGAGTAGTTTGATCGTCTGAAGCCTTCTTCTCTCAACTCATCAAAGTCATTCTCCGTCCAGCTTTGTTCCGTTGCTGGTGAGGAACTGCGTTCCTTTGGAGGAGGAGAGGCGCTCTGCTTTTTAGAGTTTCCAGTTTTTCTGCTCTGTTTTTTCCCCATCTTTGTGGTTTTATCTACTTTTGGTCTGTGATGATGGTGATGTACAAATGGGTTTTTGTTGTGGATGTCCTTTCTGTTTGTTAGTTTTCCTTCTAACAGACAGGACCCTCAGCTGCAGGTCTGTTGGAGTTTGCTAGAGGTCCACTCCAGACCCTGTTTGCCTGGGTATCAGCAGCGGTGTCTGCAGAACAGCGGATTTTCATGAACTGGGAATGCTGCTGTCTGATCATTCCTCTGGAAGTTTTGTCTCGGAGGAGTACCCGGCCGTGTGAGGTGTCAGTCTGCCCCTACTGGGTGGTGCCTCCCAGTTAGGCTGCTCGGGGTTCAGGGGTCAGGGACCCACTTGAGGAGGCAGTCTGCCCATTCTCAGATCTCCAGCTGCGTGCTGGGAGAACCACTGCTCTCTTCAAAGCTGTCAGACAGGGACATTTAAGTCTGCAGAGGTTACTGCTGTCTTTTTGTTAGTCTCTGCCCTGCCCCCAGAGATGGAGCCTACAGAGGCAGGCAGGCCTCCTTGAGCTGTGGTGGGCTCCACCCGGTTCGAGCTTCCTGGCTGCTTTGTTTACCTAAGCAAGCCTGGGCAATGGCGGGCATCCCTCCCCCAGCCTCCCTGCCACCTTGCAGTTTGATCTCAGACTGCCGTGCTAACAATCAGCGAGACTCAGTGGGCGTAGGACCCTCTGAGCCAGATGCGGGATATAATCTCCTCGTGCGCTGTTTCCTAAGCCTGTTGGAAAAGCCCAGTTTTGGGGTGGGAGTGACCAGATTTTCCAGGCGCCGTCTGTCACCCCTTTCCTTGACCAGGAAAGGGAACTCCCTGACCCCTTGTGCTTCCCGAGTGAGGCAATGCCTCGCCCTGCTTTGGCTGACGCACGGTGCGCTGCACCCACGGTCCTGCGCCCACTGTCTGGCACTCCCTAGTGAGATGAACCCGGTACCTCAGATGGAAATGCAGAAATCACCCATCTTCTGCGTCGCTCACGCCGGAAGCTGTAGACTGGAGCTCTTCCTATTCGGCCATCTTGGCTCATCCTCCCTGATTTTTTCTTAAAAACAATAAATCATGGTACCTTTTTTTCCACTATTAATCCTATATTTTTTTCTTTGAGAAATCCCACATTGTACATTGATATTTTGATGTCTATTTTTCCAATAAGGCTTCCATTATTTTTATTGAAAGTCTGTGCATTGGCTTCTAATTATTACACATTGTAAGGCTTAATCCTATGCCTTAAATGACAGGTCACCTATTTTAAGTTTAATTAGTATGATTACTATGACATGGAAGCCACTTAGGAATATGTTAAACATCTCATGGGCACAGACATGAGTTCTGCACAATTTCTTTCATTACTCAAAGCCACTCAACATGGAGATTTCCTACCATACTATCAAATTAACATATGGCTTTCTTACCTTTGTATTCTTCGAAGTCCAGGAATCAAAAGCAAATGTTCTTGCTTCCCCAAGTTACTTTGGTATAGTACCTGAGGGATATTTTCACCTTACATTTATACCTTAAATATTTTCTGGTACTATCCCCTTTTTGGTCCATCATATTTCAATTCTATTGAGTCAAGTTTCCACAGGCATTAATCAGGCTTGGGTTTTATCATTAGAATGTATCATTTTCATGGCTGTTCAGCATCAGGAAAGCTTTTTTTGCCTTACTTAACTAAAGTCTGCCTTTCATGGTGCATGATCATTATTCCAAACCCGTCTTCCTCTCCCTCAGCCTGATATGGATGGATATCCCCATACTCAGTAGAAAGATTTTCATTACATTAGTTCTGTGGTGGTATTTGGAAGCGAATCTGTTTCTCACTGGATTGCTTCCTAAGATGAAATATAAACCCTCTCTTATGGAGTATACTATAATGTCATTACAGAATATGTCTCCTAGTTCATACATGAGTATAAAAAAATCAAAGACTTTGAGATCTTTGAGATCTGTAGCCTTTCTTTCAAGATTCCAAACACTTCTCTGGTGGTAACTATTAGTTGAAACCTTTGATGAAGGGAAAGAATCTAAACTTGACCAAAGAAACAGTCACAGAAAGCATTGAAAAGAATTCTTAAAGCATGTCTAGAATATGACATATTATGTTATTTTCTTAAAAAAAAAAAGTAACACTGGTACACGTTTAGACAATAATACTTTTGTCTGCCAAGAAAGAAAGGGTGTTTTCCTAACAATCCAAACATGTGTGTCACAAGAGAAATATTTCCACAAATAAAGGGTCCTATGTTTCTCAAGCTCTAGAATCTGTTCATCTTTCTTTTGCCTTTCTTTCTTTTTAGCATAAATATTAAAGGTAAAACTGGAAATAAAACAAATTTCAAACAATGAAACATTTTAGACAAACTTTTGGAACTAATATTAACATAAAAGATATTTTACATTGTTAATGTTTAAACATCTTAAAAGTATTCACAAATCATTTTCACCTTAACATTATTTATATCACAAATACTTTCTAGTCCACATTATATGGGTGTATAGGTTTTAGATTTAGATGTCTTTTTGCCTTTGTAGAATTATGTTTCCGAAAAAGTTTCTAGTTGATAAGACTTCTACTGGCAAAATCACAGTCTGTTAGGAGACTATCAGGGATTAGGAGATATTAATAAAATGTCACTAAACATATATTCTTAAAAATCACATTAAATAAAATTTCTAGAAGTGTTCTAGAAATTTATTATCTATTGCTGTGTAACAAATTACTCCAAAATTTAATGCTTTGAAACAACAGACATTTATTATCTCACAGTTTCTGTGGGTCATGAATTCAGGAGCAGCTTAGCTGGGTGATTCCAGCTCAGGGTCTTTCCTCGGGTTGTAATCAAGATATCATCAGAGGCTGCAGATATCTGAAGACTTTTGGGGCTGGAGGAGTTTCTTTCAAGCTCAATCACGTGGCTGTTGGCAGAAGGCCTCAGCTCTTTCTCACATGAGCTTCTTCTAAGGACTGCTTGAGTGTTCTCATGACATGGTATTTGTGTTGCCTATGACAAATGATCTGAGGGAGGGTGAGCAGCAAGCCACACGCCTTTATGTCCTAATCTTGGAGGTCACACACCTTCACTTCCACCCCATCTATGCGTTAAGGTGAGTAACTAAGTCCAGCCCATACTTGAGGGAATTAGTCTCCATCTTTTGATGATAGGGATATCAAAGAATTTGTGGATAAATTTTAAAACCATCTCAATTTCCAACACAAACTAGACCTGTTGCCTTTAAGAAGCCATGATCTGACCCTTCTTTTCATATACCACATTTATCTAGGAAGCATGTGTGAACATTGCATACACTAAAGCTGATTTTCCTTCAAGTTATAAATCAAGTGAAATATGAGGGTCTCCAAAAATTCATGAAAAATGCATATTATGAAAAAATTATGTACAGATTTCAAAGAATTTTGTGCCAAAATAAGCTTGTACTAATTTGTTATAACATATCTGAACAGGACATGTTAGTTTGATATCTAGTTTGAGGCACTAAGAAGGATAAGACATCAGTTTGAAAAGAGCCCCTATCAGAGTAACATGAGTAACATGAATTCTGCTAAAACTGAAGCCAGAACAAACATCAAATTTATGGTGATGCTCGGGTGGAAGAATGGTGAAATCATTGCTGCCTTACAAAAAAGTTTATGGAGACAATTCCCCAAAGAAATCAGCAGTTTACAAATGGATAACTTGTTTTAAGAAGGGATTCGATTATATTGAAGATGAAGCCCATAGCAGCAGACCATCCACATCCATTTGCGAGAGTAAATTCATCTTATTTATGCCCTAATTGAAGAGGAGCAACAATCAACAGCACAAACAATAGCCAACACCATAGACATCTCAATAGGTTCAGCTTACACAATTCTGACTAAAAAATTAAAGTCCAGCAAACTTTCATTCAATGGGTGCCAAAACTGTTTGTTATCCATTATGAGCAGAGCAGCTGCAGACAAGAATAGAGCTTTCAATGGAAATTTTAGACAGGTGGAATCAATATCTTAAAGCATTTCTTGGAAGAATTGTAACAGGAGATGAAACATGGCTTTACCAGTATGACCCTGAAAATAAAACACAATCAAAGCAATGGCTACTGAGAGGTGGGAGTGGTCCAGTCAAGGAAAATAAGGACCAGTCAAGAGCAAAGGCCATGGCAACAGTTGTTTTGGGATGCTCAAGGCATTTTGTTTGCTGACTTTCTGGAGGGCCAAAGAACAATAATATGTGCTTATTATGAGACTGTTTTGAGAAAGCCAAATCTTTAGCAGAAAAACACCTGAGAAAGCACCACTACAGAGTCCTTCACCATGATAATGCCCCTGCTCATTCTTCTCATCAAATAAAGGTGATTTTCTAGAGTTTCAGTGAGAAATCATTAGGTATTCACCTTGATTTGGCCTCCTAATTTGGCCCCCGCTGACTTCTTTTTGTTTCCTAATCTTAAAAAATCTGTAAAGGACACCCTTCAGGTAATAAGGCAAAAACAAAAACAAAACAAAACTACATTGACATGGTTAAATTCCCAGGATGCTCAGTTCTTTAGGGATGAACTAAATGGCTGGTATCATCACTTACAAAATTGTCTTGAACTCGATGGTGCTTATGTTGAAAAATAAAGTATTTGTTTTTAATTTCTATCTTTGAATTCAATTTCCACAAACTTTTAAAAGTCCCCTCATATATCTCTTTAGTAACTTTTTCTAAATTAGCCATTAATTGGCTTAACATTTAATGTCTTTTGCACTTACATCCCCCTTTGTTTAATTTTTATAAGTCTTGGTAAAATACTGTATGTAACTGTCAGGAATTTTAACACATCGTCAATACACTTATGGGTGTATATTGGGGTGGGGTGAGGTGCTACCATCTATCCTCATACTGAGGTGGTGGAACAAGAGACTCCTTTGCCTGTCGTACTGCCTAGATCTGCCAGTGTTTTCTAGGAGGGTATGATTCTTGGTGCCATATTATTTCATTTATGACAACAAAAATGATCATTAAACTGTTTAAGGGCAATGAACTAAAATTTTGTTGCAGAAATATAAAATCACACTATTCTAGTACCATAGCTGGCTAAATTACAGTTGAAGGATTGTGTTTTGTTTTTTCTAACATTATTTTGTTAAAAAAAAACTTTTTTTATATCTTCAGCCTTCACATTTATCACTTTAATGGCTCCATAATGGTCTCTGGAGATGATATACCATAGATATATAACCATTCCCTAATCGTTAGCTATTTGTATTGTTTTTGATTTGTCCTCCCACTTTCACAAATAATGTTGCTATAAACATCTCTCTCTACAAATAGCCTTCTTCTTCCAATATTTCAATATTTTCCTTAGGGTAAAGTTTCCCAAACTGAATTATTCAGTCAAAGGATATGTGCTGGTTTTATTTTTTTAACGTTTTATTATGAAAATTTCAGATGTATGCAAAAGTGGAAAGAATAATATAATGCGCTGAATGTATCTATCCTCCCAGCCCCAACAATGATCAATTGATGGCCATTCTTGTTCATATCTGTCTCCACCTACTTCTTCCTCACTTTACCCTCTGATATGGTCTGGATATGTGTCTCTACCCAAATCTCAGGTTGAATTGTAATCCCCAGTATTGGAGGTGGGGCCTGGTGGGAGGTGATTGGATCATGGGGGTGGATTTCTCATGAATGGTTTAGCACCATCCCCTTGATGCTGTCCTTGCAATAGTGAGTGACTTCTCATGAGATCTGGCTGTTTAAAAGTATGTGGCATCTGCCCCCTGTGGCACCTGCCCCCCTCTTGCTCCTGCTTTCACCATGTGAAGTGCTCGCTCCCCCTTTGCCCTCTGCCATGATTAGAAGCTTCCTGAGGCCTCCCCAGAAGCAGATGTCCCTACGCTTCCTGTAGAGCCTGCAGAACCATGAGCCAATACACCCTCTTTTCTTCTTGAATTACCCAGCCTCAGGTATTTCTGTATAGCAATGCAAGACCTAATACACTCTCCAAACTGGGTTGTTTTGAAGCAAATCCCAGACATCTGTCATTTCAGGTATGATAAGTTTTTGAATCAATACTGATTATTTAATTGTCCTCCAGAAATTCAAATGAATTTTCAATCTTAAAATCCAAATATGATATGACACCAAAAGAACAAAACATAAAATAAAGAATTGGTACATTAGACTTTATCAAAATTGAAAATTATGCTCTGTGAAAGATTCTGTTATTAGGATGAAGAGACAAAATTACATATTTGGAGAAAATACTTGCAAATCACATACCTGACAGAGGACATATAGATATCCTATATTGATGTATATAATATATAAAGAACTCAAAACTCAACAAAAACACACACACACACACACACACACACACACAACTCTAGCAATTCAATGAGAAAATGAACAAAATACATAGAGACATTTCACAGATGGCAAATAAACAAATAAAAGATGTTTAACATCACTACATCAGAGCAATGCAAATTAAAAGTTCAATGAATTGTCACTACACACCTATTTGAAAAGCTAAAATAAAAACTAGTGACAATATTGAATGCTTTTGAGGATGTTAAAAACCGAATCTCTCATATACTACTGTTAGAAAGTAACATAGTATTTAGTCATTCTGAAAAGTAGTTCACTAGTTTCTTTAAAAAAACAAAAAACCTAAATATACACTTACCATACAACCCAGCAATCACACTCCTGGGAATTTATCTTAGAGAAATAAAAACTTAAGTCCACACAAAATTCTGTGTATGAATGTTCATTGTAGCTTTATCTGTAATAGCTAAAAAACTGAAAACAACCCAAATATCCTTCAGTGGGTAAATGATTATATAAACTGGTACATCCATACTCAGCAATAAACAAGAACAAATTAGTGAGACTTGCAACAACTTGGATGGATCTCAAGCCATTGTCTGAGTGAAAAAAGTCATTCTCAAAAGATCACATACTGTATGATTCCATTTCTATAACATTTTTGAAATGACAAAAGATCACATGAGGAGATTTTCATGGTGATGGAATAGTTTTGTGCCTTGATTGCCATGGGGGTTCCAGGGTAATCACATGAGCTATTCACACACATTTTACTGATATCAACTTCTTGGTTTTGACGTTGTACTATAGTTACATAAGGTGTAGCCATTAGGGGAAATTCGGTGAATGGTATATAGAAACTTTCTGTATGATCTTTGCAACTTCCAGTGAATCTATAATTATTTCCAAATTAAAAGTTAAACATTCACATATAGATTTTTTGCTCATATGTTTGAGTTTGAATGGATTAAATTGGAGCATAAAGACCTGCAGTGCTGAGGGTCTGCTCTTGCCATGGGGAAAACTACATAACAACTATCTCTTTAGAGTTTCTTAAGACTGTTTTGAAACAGCTCACTTGTGGTAGAAGTTGGAGGACATTGCTTCATACTGAACTGACTTGAGGAACACTTACTTGCAGATCTGGCATATCTTCCTATCAAGACAGGGATTTGTCAGGGTATTTTGTGAGTGGATGTGACAGAAATCATAAAGAGTGGCTCTTTTCTGTTTGCTGAAAGTCATTAGGAAGTCTTTAGGAGAAGGCCTCGGGGGGAAGTGCTTTTACTTGTCCATGTTTATTACAGTGGAAGCATTGAAAAACACTGCCAATTAAGCTGCATATAGTTTGGAACTCAACCTATGAATGCTCAGACTATCAATTCAGGCACAGATACATGAGAGACCTAGAAATGTGAGTGGGAGAGAAACATGCAATATAAAATATTTAGGCAGTCTTATGAAGGTAGTAAACTTAAGAGGAAATATAGATACTGTATATGCATGTGCACACACACACAAACACACAAGAACACACACATGCATACATAAGCACACACAGATAACTGCATATGCCAGGAAACCTACATATGCAGTTTGGCTCCCACTGAAACTGTCCTAGCAAAGACTGAAACAACAACAAACCCTTAGTCTTCAAATCCAATAGGCTTCTTTCAGGCTTCCTGTTGTGCTTTTAATGATATTTTATACTGACAACTTTCTTGAGATTCTAGACTCTCTTTGGCTTTTGGTGACACCACTCTGTCTTAGTTCAACTTCTATCTCCTTAGTTACTGTTTCTCAGCCTCGTTTTCAGGCTTGTCTTTCTCTGTCATCACTTATATATGCCATCACTTTTGGTCCTTAGCACTCTTCTCTGCTTACAAAGTCTCTCTGAGGACTCACTGTTGGTGGTTTCCATGTCCATTGCTATGCTGATGACCTCCAAATCTCTATTTCTAGCCTCACCATTCCTTTACATTTAAAAACCTACTGCATATTTTTACCAGGATGTTCTATCAGCATCTTCAATTTACTATATTCAAAGCAGAATTCATTATCTATCTTTCCACATTTGCTCCTCCTCCTCCTTCACTCCCCACATTGCTGAACACACTTCAAAAGCACTTAAGTCAGGAATAATGGTATCCAACCTTCGTTTTCACTTCTACCCTACCCAATGATCCCAATGTCTTCTCCATCCGACTCTCTTGAAAGCTGTTGAATCTGTGGTTCCCTCTATGCCCATTCATTACTGCTCACAGTTCAAGCCATTTTCATTTCTTGCCTGGTCTGTTTCAAGCATAGCCTGACTACTCTCCCTGCCCCCACTCATATCTTTTCCCTGTCCGCTCCATCTATCTTTCATACTTTCACCCATGAGTTTTCTAAAGCATACATCTGTTTATAATGCCCTTTTGTTGAAAGCGCATCAATGGTTTTTCATTGCTGACAAGATAAAGTTCCTTATCCATGAAGACTCAGATTTTCACCTCCTGCATGAAACTTTTCTTGACCCCCAAATTCACTTGGCTACTCCCTCCTTTGGGCATCCTACACTACCATCTACTGTCTTATCTATGTGTCATCAGTTTACAAGTATGCCTCCCTTCATTGAACTGTGAATTGCCCGAGAAAAGGATTAATATCAAACTCGTCATTGAATTTCCAGCACCTAATGCAGTGTCTGGTACATTATAAAAACCTGATCATTACAGCTAACATTTATTGAGCAGTTACTGAATGCCAGGTATTGTTCTAAGCACTCTGCACACACTCACATTTAATCCTTACAGCTCTATAGGATAGGTTCTATTTTTGTCCTCACTTTGCAGACGAGGAAATGTTAATTAAAATATAATTACATGTACTTAAAATGCACTTGACAAATATTTATTGATTGAAAAATAAGAAGTGGATGAATGCCCAACTACTCAGTGCTCTCCCTGGGAAGAAGACCCTGAAATATTCCTCTGAATTTAGTTCACTGCAGGAAGGCCGCCAGCCCCATATGTCATCCTGGCATAAACGATTGCATTTTATGATCTGGAGAAGGACTGCAACCCATTTCCCATTATTATAGTCCATCTTCTGATTCCCAAGTACACTTGAAGACATATGCCTATAATATGCCACTGAACAATTTTCACATAAAGGGCACAGATCTTATAACCTGGTTGGTAGGGTTTGTTTTTTTTCTGCTTTTTTTTTTTCCTGGGCTGGGGAGTTATGATTCCTGAATTCTAAAGCCAGAGATATATTCAAAGTCCTGTATTAAAAAGTTGCTTCTTTTCTGATACAGTATCTTCATAAACAATTCCTCAGGTAACTCTCTTATCTTTAAGTGGACTCAAGTGCAATACTTGGCACATATTTTGAATCTAAAAGAAGGAACTCCAGAGAGGGGAAAGGGTTTGGAATCAGAAGCCTGAGTTTTGAATCCAAGATCTGTCACACACAAAGCAGATGACTTTGGATGAATTATATAGCTCTTCAGCCTCAATTTCTTCAACAGATCATCAAATATTTGTCAAGCGCCTGTAACAGGCTAGCATGGTGCCAGGTCTTTTATGGATGGGGGCATTATATCTGTGGGAAAGGAGGGTTGTAAAGGTTTATATAGACAGTGCATGCTAGAACGTACATGGCAATCGATACCCAAGGTTTTCAGGTTTTTTTTTTCTTTTGTACACTGCAAGGACTAAAATGAGTATTTACTATTAGAAGGTAACTCAAATTCTCCCCCAAATCAATTTTAGTTAACAAATTTACAAGTATGAAAGATTATCAGAATAATACTCAAAAACAATAGTCTAAACATACATGTGTGGACATGTAAATATACACAACAAAAGCTTAAAAATTAGTAAGTACATTTTGAATTTTTATACTTTTAAAAGCTTGAACTCCATTTGGCTAGTAGTTGTGAAAATATTACATTATAAATAAGTCTCAGGGCAAGTAAACAAAAGGTGAAATATAGTATTGCCTTTGTATATATTTGCGTAGTGTTTTCTAAATGAGAAATGTGGAATTGAAAGGAAAAATATAAAGAAACAACACAATAATCTAAGCAACACTGCCAAGAGTTTTTTTCCATGTTACAAACATCCACCGTTCTTCATCCCCATGCCCGCCCCATTGTTTATGCTCTTCGAGTCCTTTGATCGGGACTTGTTGGCTGGTAGTTGTCCTTTTTGTTAGCTGGCTTCATGGTAGTTGTAAGTGGTCCTTTTTCATTGCTTTGTCTTGTATTTCACTTAACAGAGAAAATGGTGAGCCCTTCTCTAACACTCTGTCTTTACCACATGCTTCTATTAAAAAAAATACTTTTTTAAAGCCTGGGAATTTTCCAATATTAATAACTATTAATTAGTTTTAAATGTCTCACATCTCAAAGAAGTCCTGAATTTTACCTACATAAAAATTCATTGCATAGCTTGAGTAATTACTTACTGCTTTAAACCAGAGCAAAAAAACTATGAGTTTATGGTTTCTTTGCATACACGTTAGTATCTCTGCCTTTGTACCCTCTGACACACACATGCACACACACACACATGGATTTTCCAAACCAAAAAAAGTGAAATTAATTATGCTGTCCTCTGGTGCTACACATGAAATTTCTTTATCCTTGTCTATTTTGATGAATTTGTTGCTAAAAATGCCTTTGTATTATTCTTTTGCTTGTGTTTCACTTTTATAAGTAGGTATTATTTACACAGCTTTAAAAATATTGCTATTAATGTTATTATTTACATTGCTTATATAACATTGTTGAGTATAAATCTAAAATTATCATGTTGACTTTCTTAAACTGCTTGTTAAGGTGTTATATTAATTCTTATCACAAAAATACTCCTGTATCATATAGAAATATATTTTTTAAATGCTCTGATAATGAAGGCATGATAGCAGGAATATAATACCCTTAACCTGGCAATTCATCACCCAAAAAACAATTTTCCCAGATGATATATTGCCAAGATTCATGCTGCTGGATGTGCATAAAGAAGAGAACACGTATTGTTCTGCAACCACAATCTAGTATTACTAAACAATAAAAAGACAGATGTACCAACAGCATTTGGATTGACTATAATTATTTAAATTATTTAAAATATCCTTAAATAACTTCTCCCTAAACTTATTTTCGTTTGAGTTTTTGAGACTGCAATCCTTCCTCAAACTCTTTATGTATTGCTTCTCATCAAATATTAATTTGAGTTCATCCCAATTTTCAGCTTTTCAATGCATTGCATTTCAATTATCCCACAGAAAGCCCTCTCAGTATGACTCAAAGTTGTAAACCAGCATTCTTTAAAACCCATGTAAATCTACCTTTCACTCAAAAATACTATGGAATGGCAGAATTTCAGAACAATCACAGCTGTGCTAAAAACGATGGGGTTTAGCAGCCACCCACTGCCATGGCCACATGTATAGGCAGAATGCTTGTCAGATCTCCCTGAGTAATGGCTTGGTTTTCATACTTAGGATTAGGTAATGTTCTTCAATGAAATAAATTTATGTTTGATATTTTTTCATCCCCTCCAAACATAAAAGCTATAAATAGCCACAACCCTTTGAAAATGGAATGGCCTCCTATGACCCTCAGGCTGAAATTTAAGAGTTTTCTGCCACTGATTTATTCTCATTCCTGTGGAAACAAGTCACCAGGAATGAGTCTGCTGTCATTATTTGTGATTATTTTCAAGCACTTACACTGGTCCCGATGATCTGCTGTTGTGTCCATGGAAGTCTGAAAGGAAATGAGCATTAGTCTTGTAGAATGAACTCAAATAACTGTCAACTGCTAGGTTGAAAGTTATGTATTTCCCAAGAAATCTGTTTTTTAAAAATAGTATATATTTTAATGTTTCTAATTATAAAAAGAATATATCACATAAAAACTCCGGAAAGATGCATAAGAAACTACAAATAGCTATTACCTAGGGAGAACTAGAAATGAGGCATTCAGGGGTATAGAATGAAAACATTGTCATTTCTTTTTAAATGTTTGTTATGGAAATGTTTTAACATAGAAAAAATAGAGTAGTCCAGTGAATCCCCTATGCCCGTGATCCATCTTCAACACTTATTAACTCACGGCCAATCTTGTCTTATCTATACTCCTAACACCTACTGGATTGTTTTTTATTTATTTATTTATTTATTATTTTTTAATTTTATTATTATTATACTTTAAGTTTTAGGGTACATGTTCACAATGTGCAGGTTAGTTACATATGTATACATGTGCCATGCTGGTGCGCTGCACCCATTAACTCGTCATTTAGCATTAGGTATATCTCCTAATGCTATCCCTCCCCCCTACCCCCACCCCACAGCAGTCCCCAGAGTGTGATGATCCCCTTCCTGTGTCCATGGGTTCTCATTGTTCAATTCCTGTCTATGAGTGAGAACATGCGGTGTTTGGTTTTTTGTCCTTGCAATAGTTTACTGAGAATGATGATTTCCAATTTCATCCATGTCCCTACTAAGGACATGAACTCATCATTTTTTATGGCTGCATAGTATTCCATGGTGTATATGTGCCACATTTTCTTAATCCAGTCTATCATTGTTGGACATTTGGGTTGGTTCCAAGTCTTTGCTATTGTGAATAGTGCCGCAATAAACATACAGGTGCATGTGTCTTTATAGCAGCATGATTTATAGTCCTTTGGGTATATACCCAGTAATGGGAGGGCTGGGTCAAATGGTATTTCTAGTTCTAGATCCCTGAGGAATCACCACACTGACTTCCACAATGGTTGAAGTAGTTTACAGTCTCACCAACAGTGTAAAAGTGTTCCTATTTCTCCACATCCTCTCCAGCACCTGCTGTTTCCTGACTTTTTAATGATTGCCATTCTAACTGGTGTGAGATGGTATCTCATTGTGGTTTTGATTTGCATTTCTCTGATGGCCAGTGATGGTGAGCATTTTTTCATGTGTCTTTTTGCTGCATAAATGTCTTCTTTTGAGAAGTGTCTGTTCATGTCCTTTGCCCATTTTTTGATGGGGTTATTTGTTTTTTTCTTGCAAATTTGTTTGAGTTCATTGTAGATTCTGGATATTTGCCCTTTGTCAGATGAGTAGGTCGCGAAAATTTTCTCCCATTTTGTAGGTTGCCTGTTCACTCTGATGGTAGTTTCTTTTGCTGTGCAGAAGCTCTTTAGTTTAATTAGATCCCATTTGTCAATTTTGGCTTTTGTTGCCATTGCTTTTGGTGTTTTAGACATGAAGTCCTTGCCCATGCCTATGTCCTGAATGATAATGCCTAGGTTTTCTTCTAGGGTTTTTATGGTTTTAGGTCTAACGTTTAAGTCTTTAATCCATCTTGAATTAATTTTTGTATAAGGTGTAAGGAAGGGATCCAGTTTCAGCTTTCTACATATGGCTAGTCAGTTTTCCCAGCACCATTTATTAAATAGGGAATCCTTTCCCCATTGGTTGTTTTTCTCAGGTTTGTCAAAGATCAGATAGTTGTAGATATGCGGCGTTATTTCTGAGGGCTCTGTCCTGTTCCATTGATCTATATCTCTGTTTTGGTACCAGTACCATGCTGTTTTGGTTACTGTAGCCTTGTAATATATTTTGAAGTCAGGTAGCGTGATGCCTCCAGCTTTGTTCTTTTGGCTGAGGATTGACTTGGCGATGCGAGCTCTTTTTTGGTTCCATATGAACTTTAAAGTAGTTTTTTCCAATTCTGTGAAGAAAGTCATTGGTAGCTTGATGGGGATGGCATTGAATGTATAAATTACCTTGGGCAGTATGGCCATTTTCACCATATTGATTCTTCCTATCCATGAGCATAGAATGTTCTTCCATTTGTTTGTATCCTCTTTTATTTCATTGAGCAGTGGTTTGTAGTTCTCCTAGAAGAGGTCCTTCATGTCCCTTGTAAGTTGAATTCCTAGGTATTTTATTCTCTTTGAAGCAGTTGTGAATGGAAGTTCACTCATGATTTGGCTCTCTGTTTGTCTGTTATTGGTGTATAAGAATTCTTGTGATTTTTGTACATTGATTTTGTATCCTGAGACTTTGCTGAAGTTGCTTATCAGCTTAAGGAGATTTTGGGCTGAGACAATGGGGTTTTCTAGATATACAATCATGTCATCTGCAAACAGGGACAATTTGACTTCCTCTTTTCCTAATTGAATACCCTTTATTTCCTTCTCCTGCCTAATTGCCCTGGCCAGAACTTCCAACATTATGTTGAATAGGAGTGGTGAGAGAGGGCATCCCTGTCTTGTGCCAGTTTTCAAAGGGAATGCTTCCAGTTTTTGCCCATTCAGTATGATATTGGCTGTGGGTTTGTCATAGATAGCTCTTATTATTTTGAGATACGTCCCATCAATACTTAATTTATTGAGAGTTTTTAGCATGAAGGGTTGTTGAATTTTGTCAAAGGCCTTTTCTGCATCTATTGAGATAATCATGTAGTTTTTGTCTTTGGTTCTGTTTATATGCTGGATTACATTTATTGATTTGTGTATATTGAACCAGGCTTGTATCCCAGGGATGAAGCCCACTTGATCATGGTGGATAAGCATTTTGATGTGCTGCTGGATTCGTTTTGCCAGTATTTTATTGAGGATTTTTGCATCAATGTTCATCAAGGATATTGGTCTAAAATTCTCTTTTTTGGTTGTGTCTCTGCCCGGCTTTGGTATCAGGATGATGCTGGCCTCATAAAATGAGTTAGGGAGGATTCCCTCTTTTTCTATTGATTGGAATAGTTTCAGAAGGAATGGTACCAGTTCCTCCTTGTACCTCTGGTAGAATTCGGCTGTGAATCCATCTGGTCCTGGACTCTTTTTGGTTGGTAAGCTATTGATTATTGCCACAATTTCAGCTCCTGTTATTGGTCTATTCAGAGAGTCAACTTATTCCTGGTTTAGTCTTGGGAGGGTGTATGTGTCAAGGAATTTATCCATTTCTTCTAGATTTTCTGGTTTATTTGCGTAGAGGTGTTTGTAGTATTCTTTGATGGCAGTTTGTATTTCTGTGGGATCGGTGGTGATATCCTCTTTTTCATTTTTTATTGCATCTATTTGATTCTACTCTCTTTTCTTCTTGATTAGTCTTGCTAGTGGTCTATCAATTTTGTTGATCCTTTCAAAAAACCAGCTCCTGGATTCATTAATTTTTTGAAGGGTTTTTTTGTGTCTCTATTTCCTTCAGTTCTGCTCTGATTTTAGTTATTTCTTGCCTTCTGCTAGCTTTTGAATGTGTTTGCTCTTGGTTTTCTAGTTCTTTTAATTGTGATGTTAGGGTGTCAATTTTAGGTCTTTCCTGCTTTCTCTTGTGGGCATTTAGTGCTATAAATTTCCCTCTACACACTGCTTTGAATGCGTCCCAGAGATTCTGGTACGTTATGTCTTTGTTCTCGTTGGTTTCAAAGAACATCTTTATTTCTGCCTTCATTTTGTTATGTTCCCAGTAGTCATTCAGGAGCAGGTTGTTCAGTTTCCATGTAGTTGAGCGGTTTTGAGGGAGTTTCTTAATCCTGAGTTCTAGTTTGATTGCACTGTGGTCTGAGAGACAGTTTGTTATAATTTCTGTTCTTTCACATTTGCTGAGGAGAGCTTTGCTTCCAACTATGTGGTCAATTTTTGGAATAGGTGTGGTGCTGTGCTGAAAAAAATGTATATTCTGTTGAGTTGGGGTGGAGAGTTCTGTAGATGTCTATTAGGTCCACTTGGTGCAGAGCTGAGTTCAATTCCTGGGTATCCTTGTTAACTTTCTGTCTCGTTGATCTGTCTAGTGTTGACAGTCGGGTGTTAAATTCTCCCATTATTGTCGTGTGGGATTATTTTGAAGCAAATTCCAGACATCATATAATTTAACACACAAATATTAGTATTTATCTTTAAAATATGAGAACTTTAAAAACTACAAATAAAAATGTGATTATTGTATTTTAATATTTTAACAATAACTTAAAATATAAAACAGTCAGTTGCAAAATCCCTCATTCTCTGACAGTGGTTTGTTCATATCATGATTTGATGGTGTTTGATTACTAAATCTCTTTTAATCATCTATAACTTTCCCTTTCTTTCTTTTTTTTTTTTTTTGTTTTCCCCCTTGAAATTTATTTTTTAAGACACCAGACCGTCTTGTAAACTTGCCAATACTCTGGCTTTTGCTGATTGCTTCCATGGTGTCATTTTGCAGGTTCCACTATCCCCAGTTTATCTGTAAGTAGAAGGTTAGATATGGAGGCTTGAGAAGATATAGTTTTGATATTTTGACAAGAAGACTTCATATACAGTGTTCTAGCAAGAGACAGAAAATGTGATGTTAGCAGAAATTGCCAAACATTGCCTAGATCCATTATTTCAATGGGGATCTGAATGAAGTGAATGAATCATCTATTTAAACAATTAATGAAAGTGAATTTTTAAAAATGAGGAAAGAAAGTAATGCAGCAAAACCTCATTATGTGATGAATGGCTCTAAAATAATCAAACATGCAAAATGACCAGAGCAAGCTTGTGTAACTGACTCACCTGGTGTTCTGGAAATCCAACAAGGCCATCTAAAACTGGCCTGGCCCAGGAGTGGCTTGATGCCAGCTAGTGGTCTATGACTGCTCTGATGTAAAAATATATCTGTATATTTTAATTATTAATTTTTGTGGATATAGAGTAGGTATATATATTAATGGGTTACATAAGATATTTTGATACGGGCATGTAATGTGTAATCATCACATCAGGGTAAACAGGGTATCCATGACCTCAACATTTATCCTTTGTGTTACAAACAATCCAGTTATACTTGTTTAGTTATTTAAAAATGTACAATTAAGTGATTTTTTTACTGTAGTCACCCTGTTGTCCTAGCAAATACTAGGTCTTTTTCATTCTTTCTATTTTTTTTGTACCCATTAACCATCTCTACTTCCCCCACTACCCTCATCACCCTTCTCATCTTCTGTTAACCATCCTTCTACTCTCTATCTCCACGAGTTCAATTGTTTTAATTTTTAGCTTTCACAAATAAGTGAGGACATACGATGTTTGTCTTTCTGTGCCTGGCTTGTTTCACATAACATAGTGATCTCCAGTTCCACCCATGTTGTTACGGATGACAGGATCTCATTCTTTTTTTATGGCTGGATAGTCCTCCACTGAGTATATGTACCACATTTGCTTTATCCATTCGTCTGTGGATGGACACTTAGGTTGCTTCTAAATCTTGGTTATTGTAAATAGTGCTGCTATAAACACAGGAGTGCAGATATCTCTTCAATATACTAACTTCCTTCCTTTTGGGTATATACCTAGCAGTGAAGTTGCTGGTTCATATGGTAGCTCTATTTTTAGTTTTTTGAGGAACCTCTAACCTGTTCTGCATAGTAGTTGTACTAATTTACACTCCCACTTTCCTCCACTTCCTCGCCAGCATTTGTTATTGTCTGTCTTTTGGATAAAAGCCATTTTAACTAGGGTGATATGTTATCTCATTGTAGTTTTAATTTGTGTTTCTCTGATGATCAACGATGTTGAGCACCTTTTCATATCCCCGTTTGTCACTTGTATGTCTTCTTTTGAGAAATGTCTATTCAGATATTTTGCCTCTTTTTTTTTTTTTGACAGGTCTTACTCTATCTCCCAGGCTCGAGGGCAGTGGTGTGACCAGGGTCATTGCAGTCTCAACCTCCCAGGCTGAAGTGATCCTCCTGCCTCAGCCTCCACCGTATCTGGCTAATTTTATGTATTTTTTTTTAAATAGAGATGGGGTTTTGCCATGTTGCCCAGGCTGGTGTTGAACTCCTGGGCTCAAGCAATCCTCCTGCTTTGGCCTTCCAGAGTGCTTGGATTGCAGGCATGGGCCACCACCCCCAGGTGTTGCCCATTTTGTAATCAGATTATTAGATAATATAATAATCTGATTTACTATAGAGTTGTTTGAGCTCCTTATACATTCTGATTATTATTCCCTTGTCAGATGCGCAGTTTGCAAATATTGTCTCCCATCCTGTGAGTTGTCTCTTCACTTTGTTGATTGTTTCCTTTGCCGTGCAGAAGCTTTTTAACTTGATGTGACCCCATTTGTCCATTTTTGCTTTGGTTGCCTGAACTTGTGGGGCATTGCTCAAGAAATCTTTGCCTACTCCAGTGTCCTGGAGAGTTTCCCCAATGTTTTCCTGTGGTAGTTTCATAGTTTGTGGTGTTAGATTTAAACCTTTAATCCATTTTGATTTAATTTTTGTATATGTGAGAGACAGGGATCTAGTTTTATTCTCCTGCATATGGATATCCAGTTTTCCCGGTACAATTTATTGAAGAG
Source organism: Homo sapiens (assembly GCF_000001405.40). Lineage (NCBI taxonomy): Eukaryota > Metazoa > Chordata > Mammalia > Primates > Hominidae > Homo > Homo sapiens. The sequence goes on along the minus strand of NC_000006.12, from coordinate 88,333,220 downwards.
ACTGTCTTTTTCCCAGTGTATGTTCTTAGCACTTTTGTCAAAAATGAGTTCACTGAAGATTAATGAATTTGTTTCTGCATTCCCTATTCTGTTTCTTTGTTCTATGTGTCTGTTTTTGTGCCAATACCATGCTATTTTGCTTACTATAGCTCTGTAGTATAACTTGAATTCAAGTAATGTAACTCCTGCAGTTTTGTTCTTTTTGCTTAGGATAGCTTTGGCTATTCTGGGTCTTTTGTGGTTCTACATATTTTTTTTATTTTTTTAGATGGAGTCTTGCTCTGTTGCCCAGGCTGGAGTGCAATGGTGCGATTGCTGCAACCTCTGTCCCTGGGTTCAAGCAATTCCCCTGCCTCAGCCTCCTGAGTAGCTGGGATTACAGGCATGCTACCACGCCTGGCTAATTTTTGTATTTTTAGTAGAAACAGGGTTTCACCATGTAGGCCAGGCTGGTGTCAAACTCCTGACCTCAAATGATCCACTTGCCTCAGCCTCCAAAGTACTGGGATTACAGGCATGAGCAACCACACCCAGCTGCTTCCATATACATTTTTAAGATTAATTTTTCCATTTCTGTGAAGAATGTGAGTGGTATTTGATAGACATCATACTGACTCTGTAGATTGCTTTGGGCAGTATGGACAATTTAACAATAATGATGAGGATGATTCTGGGCCCTGTGGCTGACTGGGACTTGCAGGACATCAGCAGTAATTCCAGGAAACTTCTAATGAGCTGGTGCCCATTTTGAATCCAATCTGGAGAAACCAGGTGATACAGTTTGGAAGTATGTCTTCTCCAAATCTCAGGTTGAAATGTGATCTCCATTGTTGAAGGTGGGACCTAGTGGGAGGTGTCTGGGTCATGGAGGTGAATCCCTCATGAATGGCTTAGTGAACTCCCTGAGGTAAAGAGTTAACACAAGTCTAGTTATTTTTAAAAGAGACTGGAACCACCCACTCTTTTTGTCTTTCTTTCTGTCTCTCTCTTTTTTCTTTCCTCTCTCTCTCCCTCTCTCAATCCCTCTCCCACCATGTGTCACATCTGTTCTCCCCTCGCCTTCTGCCATGAGTAGAAGAGTCCTGAGGCCTCATCAGAAGTGGAGCAAACACCGGCGCCATGCTTGTATATCCTGCACAACTGTGAGCCAAATAAATCCCTTTTCTTTATAAATCACCCAGCCTCAGGTTTTCCTTTACAGCAACACAAAATGGACTAACACACCGGGCTATGAGAATACCGGGAACAACCGGACACACATTTTAAGCTTTCTACTTCTCAAGAAGAGATTGGCACTTCCTTAGCAGGCTTTCCCTCTGTTTGATTTTCCTATCACCGCCACCCCACACTCCCCTTTTTAGCATACTTTTGTTTGAAAATGGGGACTTAGCTGAGGAGTACAGCCAATGGCTAATGGAATTGTAGCCAAATTTATATTGCTATAATAATAATTTTACTGTGTATACAGGTGATGTGAAGAAAATAAAAAGTGACTCATAAACTTGCCACTCATAGACAACAGCTGCTACCATTTTGAAGTATTTTCTTCCCATATTCCTCCAATATTTTAATATATACACCCACATATGTGAAACTAGGCTATACACTTTTAGACCTTGTTTTGGAAAATGAGGCTTATAACATAGGTTGTACTAGGCACTTACTGGAGTGGCTGTCTTACAAGGCAGCGTTGATGCTACCCACCTTGAATCTTTGCTTGGCTGATTGAGTCAAGCAGAGAGAAAGTAACCAAAGCTGCACCAACCAGATTGCCTTCTAGCAACTGAAAGGAGGCATTAAGAGATGGATGATGGTTAAGTGGACACATCTGAATCGTTGTGCTCACACCAGAAGAATTGAGAGCTCCTGCTGCTGAGGACTTCAGAGCAACCCCTAGTTGGGTTCTTCTTCTTCTTTTATTTTTATTTTTTTTGAGACATTGTTTAGCTCTTGTTGCCCAGGCTGGAGTGCAGTGGCACAGTCTCGGCTCCCACAACCTCTGCCTCCCAGGTTCAAGCGATTTTCCTACCTCTGCCTCCTCAGCCTCCCAAATAGCTGGGATTACAGGCATGCGCCACCACACACCCAGCTAATTTTGTATTTTTAGCAGAGACGGGGTTTCACCATGTTGGTCTGGCTGGTCTCGAACTCCTGACCTCAGGTGATTTGCCTGCCTTGGCCTCCCAAAGTGCTGGGATTACAGGTGTGAGGCACCGTGCCTGGCCGGTTCCTTCTTAAGGCTTCCTCATTCAGCATTTATTTTGGTTCTGTAAGACAGCCCAGTTTCCTTATAACATGATGGTTGTTACTAAAGTAGGATCCTGTTACTTGAACTAAAACTATCTCAACTGATACATCAGTACATTACCACGTATTTCCCCAAAATGTGAATTTTAATGGATATATGGTGGATATCCCATATGTAATCATTCCATTATAACTGATGATTGATTGCTAATGATTTTCAATAATAAAAATGCTTTAATAATATACTTAGACAATATATAAACTGTTTACCACATTTTAAATTATTTCCTTAAAAGTTGTTTAAACTTTTATGATATACACTGTAAAACCTAATTGCAAAAGGAGTGATACCAAATTTTTAAAATTACTGCAAGTTTGTAATAAGTGTTAGTCTCATTACATCCTTATCACAGTTTACTATAATTTATGAGTCTCTACCAATTTAATAAAAGCGGGAAAGTTATGTCAAGGCAATTTCAGTTAGGGTCTTTGATTGTTAGTGATGTTGAACATTTTGAATATTCGTATATTTTATTTTGCCAATTTATATTCTTCGTTCATTTCTTATAGGGTTATATATCTTTTTCCTGGTTTGTAAGATATCTCTCCCATGTTCTCTTCTGTAATAAATATTACAAATATTTCTTTCTTGTTTCTTTCCCTATGTTTGTTTGTGTTTTTTAAATGTATGTATACTTTTAATTTTTAGGTAGTCAAATTTTCAATATTTTCTTTCCTACAGTTTTCACTTTGTTTTGAACATTCCTATATCCTCATTTTTATATAAATTTTCATATAATGCTTTTACTTCTTTTTTTTTTTTTTAAAGACAGAGTCTCGCTCATTGCCCAGGCTGGAGTGCAGTGGCACGATCTTGCCTCACTGCAAGCTCTGCCTCCCGGATTCATGCCATTCTCCTGCGTCAGCCTCCCAAGTAGTTGGGACTACAGGTGCCCGCCACCACGCCCAGCTAACTTTTATTCTTAAACATTTAAATCTCTGAAGTTTACTTGATTTTGTGATATGGAAAAGATTCATCTTTTTTCTCAAATGAGTAGCTAGATATTTCAATACTATTTATTAAATAATCTATCACTTACCAATGGCTTTGAAGTAGAAAATTTATTATGTACTAAAATCATATGTTCTATATTGTCTGATTTTTTTACCCACCTCTATGCCATTTCTCCTATTATTTATAATTTTTAAATAAAGTTTATATTTATATTTTTAATCTTTTAATCTCATTAAAATTTTTAAAATTTTTATTTTATAGGTGTAGGGGGTACCAGCAAAGTTTTGGTACATGGATATTTTGCATAATGGTGCAATCTAGTGTAGCCATTACCCAAGTAGTGCGCATTGCACCCATTAAGTAATTTCTCATCCCTCACCCCTCTCCTATCCTCTCACATTTCCATGTCTCCAATGTCTGTTATTCCATACTCTATGTTCATATGTACACATTATTTAGCTCCCGCTTACATGTGAGAACATGCAGTATTTGACTTTTCTGTTTCTGATTTATTTTGCTTTTTCTGAGACAGAGTCTCATTATTTTGCCCAGGCTGGACTTGATCCTGGGCTCAGGCAATCCTGCCTCAGCCTCCAGAGTAGCTGGGAGTACAGGCACACACCACTGAACTGGGCTTATTCATTTTTCACTCTATAATATATGGATTTTAAATTCTGACAAGACAAGCCTCATTTCTTATTTTTATTTTTCAAAAATGTTGGCTCTTCTCATTAAGTAATTTTTATTTTACGTAAGTTTAGAAATGTTTGGCTTTTGTCAAATTCCTTTTGTGTAAGATTTTGTTTGGAAAGAAATTGGCATTTTAATATCGTTCAAGCTTTCAAGTACATGGCATCTCTACAATAATTCAAATTTCTCTTATGTCCTACAAGAAAATTGATTGTAGCTTAAAAAATATATTGCGGTAGCACATTACTTGATAAGTCTATTCTTCAATATTCAATATATTTGCTTCCACTTGGAATGACTCTTTTAATTCTTTTAACTGAATTTAATGGTATATCATAAAGATACTGGTTTCACTATGTTTATAAGAGCTAACTCAGTTGACTGGTTTTACAGGGAGACAACCCTATCTTCTATATATAACAGGGATTTTATCTCTTCTCTGGTATTTATGTCTTTCATTTTCTTTTGGTCTTGTTGCATTACTCTTTGATGATACAGACCGTGGTCATTCTTTTCTTGGTTTTTATGCTTTGATATTACATACGATGTTGTCTTCAGGTTGAGATTTTATGAATAAATCATACATTTTATCAAATGCAAATAGTGATTGACACATATTTCTTATTTATTCAATTGGTAAAATAAATGTTATTAATTCAGTTCCTGATGTTGAAGTATTTTGGTTTCTTTTCCTGAATCCTACTAGGCCATAGCGTATTATTTTCATTAAAGGAAAAGATCTTATTTTCCACTACTTTATTAAAGATTTTTTGCTTCCATGTTAATAAGTGAGATCGGTTTAACATTTTGGGCTACTGTTATTAAGTTTTAGTGTCAAAGTTATGCCACCTTCCATTGGTCATTTTGATTAGCCTTATGTTATATTTATAATTGATTTAGAAAAAATCCCATTTATTTATTTATTTATTTATTTATTTATTTATTTATTATTTCTCTTCATGTATTCAAGTCTTGATGTTGAATAACTTTATGTGAGGTGGGGCTCTTTCAGCTGAGAGATGAAGAATGAATAGGAGTTAGTAGGTGAAAGTTTCCAGGGCTTTCCAGGAAGAACTTTTGAAGAGATAAGTGGCACAATCAAATTTGCCTATTGAATGGGTCAATCAAGCTGCAGTGCAAAGAATGGATTGTAAGGAGATAAAGAGTGGATGCAGAGCAGTTGACCCCTGAAAAACTGGACAATAAAGCTGACTGTGGAAAGGAAGAAAACTGAGTGGATGCCAATAATACTTAGGGAGTAAAACAGGCCATGCTAATGGAAGATGTATGAGTATCAGGATGACACTCAGAGCTTCCTCAGGGCGTGAGAAACCGGGTGGCTATTAATGCCATTTATTAAGACAGTGAGCACTGAAAAAGGATCAAGTTTTGGAGTAGGGAGAATGAATTTCATTTTGAACATGCTCTGTTTGCACCACCTGTATATATCAGTCAAGTTCCATTCAGAAAACCAGAAACCACACAAGTTCTATTAACAGTATTATAATCTGCAGAATTTATTAAATAAGTATCAGAAAATTTTAAAGAACAAAAGGGAAACACTGAAGCAATTCAGAGTTAGTAACAAGAGAAAGCAGCTACTCCTCATAAGGCTGAGTGGAAAAAGGGAAGAGGCTGGGGTTTTTAGAATCTAGAGCTTGAGGAAGGACCCTACAGAGCTGAGAGGCAGACCACCAAACCTCCAGCCTGGCACTGGCTGATGCTGGACTCTTAGGGAGGAGGGGTTGGGGAATGAAGCTGGCTTTGGAGTGCTGAACAAAATCTGGAACCAACTGCTGCAGCCAGGGTGAAGAACTATTAACTATCGCTGGTGATGCTGGGGCATGCCCTGGCAGAACTAAAGGCAGCCAGTTGGACAAGAAAGAATGCGAACAGCAGAGTTCCAGTCCTAGCATCACAAGAATATAAAAAAGTTGATCTGGAGCTGAAAGAATATGTTAATAACCACCACAATATGTAATATGAAAATGCAAACCTGTAAGCAGTTGGATTTTGTTATCTGGAGCTCAAACAAAAGGTCTTATCCAGAGTCATAAATTTTGAAATGGCCAATGTCTATCCAGATCAGTCCACTGCTTGATAAAAATATAATGCAGGCCACATACATAATTAGAAATTTCTATTAGCCATACAAAATAATACATTTTATTTAATCAGTATATCCAAAATATTATTTTGACATGTAATCAACATAAAAATACCGAGATAGTTCACATTCTTTTTTATACCAAATTTTTGAAATCTGTGTATGCACTTACAGCATGTGTCAGTTCAGATGAGCCGTATTTTAAGTTCTCAGTAGGTACATATGGCTGGTGGCTACCTCATAGGACAGCATAGCTCTCCTTTATAAGTTTCAGGTATGGATAATAAAACCTAAATAGAGATTACAAAGTGAAAACTGTTATCTGGGCACAAGTTTGAGAAATCCAAACATTTAGAAGCCAGACAAGTAGGATGAGAGACCACGAATGGAGGAATGCCGGTAGAGTGTGGTTCCCTGGAAAAACAAGAATTCAAGAAGGAAGTGATCGACAGATGTGATAAAGACTGAAAAATATTCATTACCTTTAGTGACATGGTGGTTATTGATGGTCTTTAAAACAGTTCCTTTTGAGGAGTAGTGTAGATGGAACCAGGTCAGAATGGGTTGAAGGACCAAGTAGAAGGCTAGAAAATGAGGGTGATAAATATAAATAATTTTGCCAGATTTTTGTAAAGAAGAAGGGGCCATGAAGATGAAAACCAAATAGAATTGGAAGAGAAGGAACAGGGAGTCTGGAAAGATGGGAGAGACTTATCATATTTAAGAAGTAATTGAAGAGAAACAGGAGTAAGGAGAGGTTGATATTGTCAAAGCAAGAAGGGATAATTCATAATGTAAAGTTCCTGAGAAGGTGGGAAAGGATGGAGGGAGAAGGGTGAGATCACTAGGATTTTGTGGGAGAAGAAAGAGGTTGTGTTCAGATGCAGGTAGGTTGGTAGACTGAGTAGCAGGAAGTTGAGAGGGTTCCCATCTAATGAGAGAGGGGCAGATAATTTGCTTAGGCGGAGGAGGATGCGTGGCTGAATGACCATGATGGGAGAGAAAACAAACGAACCAAAGAACTGTGATAGGATTACTCAGGACTGTGAATGACACAACAGAAGTTTTTGACCTATAATCAAGTCATCAGTAAACAATAGTAAGCTGTCACCTATTTTTCATGTTTTAAAACATTTTATGTTTTGGTTGCTTTATATTTTATTTTATTATCTTGAACTCAGTGTATGATTTTGTACAATAACATTATAGCAGATATTTTTGCTTTGCCCCTGATCATAACAGGCATGCCTCTAGTATTTTATCTTGAAATGTGATATTCTTTGGTGATTTAATAATGTTGAAAGTCTTCAACTTCTAGTTTTCTAATCCTTAAGAAAATAAGAATGGGCTGTATAAAAATCTCTTTCAGCATGTCTATTATCTATCCCGTAATTTTTTCTTATTGAATTTATTTAATAGATCTGAATTCTAGGGATAAATTTCACTTGGGTGATTTATAACATATCCTTGAATTTAGTCTGCTAGCAATTTATTTCTGGTTTTGGGATATATCAAAAAGGGATTAGCTTTTCTTTTTGCTTGAGTATCAGAGCTGTGTTGGCGTTATAAAATAAATTATGTAGCTACCTATATCTTTTTGTTCTTAGGAGCAATTTGTGTAGCATTAGCTGTTCTTTGAACATGTGAAAAAACTCTACTTGATTTCAGAGCCACTACTTCTTTTACACCTTTTCTGTGTTAACTGTAGTTGTGAGTCTATTTGATTTTGACTCCTTCTTCAGTCAATTTCAATAATTTATATTTTTTAAAAAAGGCTTATATTTCATTGAAATTTTATAATATTAGCATTGAGTAATACAACACATTGTTTTATAATTTTAAAATTTATGTCTGTCATTACATTCTCCGTATTATTCTCACTTATATCTATTCACTCCTTGTACTGTTCTTTTCTCTGCAGTTCAGTCGGCCAGAGCTCTGTCAACTTTATTCTGCTTCCTTTGTTGCTTACTTGTGTGACTGTTTAAAACACATCTTATTCACTTTAGTTCTTTCTTTAGGTTTTTTGATATTTTTCTCTAAAGAGTTGAATGACTTACTTGTTTTCCTTTTTTAAACATTGAGACTATTGTTTCCATTTTTATCATCTAAAACTATTATGTACCTATTGTTCTGTTTTTAAAAAATAGTTTTTAAAAGTTTTTAGAGTATCATTCTGAGGAGGATAACTATGTGTTTATTGTTATAAAGAAGTTAAAATTTTCATTGTTGCTTAAACTTTTGTTATTTATTGTTTTAATACAAAGTAGACAGATCATATGTCTAGTTTGTTTTCTTTTTATTGGAAACTATTGAGGTTTCTGGTGGAGAATATATGACAGTTTTTGTAAAATTTGCATGATATTGTGAAAGAAGTTTATAGAGCACAAGATGTGCTTTTAGCTTAGCACTCCAATAATTGGTTTTTGTCCATTTTTCTTGGCATATCTAACAGTTTTTAGAATTTATAATGATGCTATATTATATAGGGCTTACAGATTCACACATATAAAATCTCTTTATTATGAATTTTACCTTTTGTAATATAAAATGATCTTTTTTTACTTGTTCCATGCTTTTATCTTGAATCCTTTGGCATTATCTTTGTGATTCCCCCTTTTTCATTTACTCCAATTATGGTTAGCCTGTTTTTTCCCCTCTCAGTCTCTATAATACATTGTTTCTGACCTTTCCGTATTATTTCCTTTATGTATATCTTTTATAGGCAGATAGAATTGATTACTTTTCCCCCCTTAACCTAAGCAGATTGGTTTTGTTATGTTTAAACAGGACATCTTAACCCAATTAATTTTGGTTCTAACTAATATGATTTTGTAAAGACTTGTCTGCTCTTACATCATAAAGATCCTGTGTCTAGTATGCAATTAAGAGTGCCAGTTTACTAATTTTCTTCTGACTTTAGTAGTATATTTGTCTCAGAAGTATGTTCTTTGTTTGTTTTGAAATCTCTTCCCCAGGTTCTGCAATATATTTGAACTATTTTTTTTCTCCTTAGCCTCCATCAGAGAGCTCCATCCAGACCTAGACTTGGACAATAGGCAGTTGTTTGCTTGCCTCTGGCTCTGCTCACTCTCCATGGGGGTCTATAGCTGGTGATCATCTTGTATACCTAATTCTGGCTTCATCTTCAGACTCGGACAGGTAGGTGTTCATTGCACAGAGCACTGACAGAGGTGATGAGATTATCTTCTTACCTATTGGCTATTTTTCTGACACCCAAGAAGCCTCATTCCTTGCTGCTAGTCTTTTCACTGTTCTCTGCTCATTTTGTTCTTGAGGCAGAATTTGACTTGTTTGAATCACCCATGTTGGGGCACCATGCGTCATACCAGACTAAATCCTACTTTCTTGTCTTTTATTTTCTAGGATTTGAGGTACTGATATTTTGGTCTGGAGAGCATTATTTTGACCTCATCAAAAAGAGTGAACTGCTTAGTTTGTTAGCTGGCATAGACTATAATTCTGAGCCAGAGGTCACAGGTTGGGAGGGGAAAATGTATCTTTTGTTTTATTTTTAACCATCAGATTTGCTCTGTTTCTGGCAATATGACATGCATTGAATACAAATTGTTTTATTCAACTTAGACCACGGGGCTTATATTTCATTGTCTGTTCTCTCATTATTTGCAATAGAGTATATGTCAGTTTTAGTTTTCAGTATTGATAAGGAATTTTTGCTTTTGCATCATAGATATGTTTTGTCACTGGTGAAGAGATGCCATTGTAAACCAGAAACCACAGCAACTGTTTTTTTTTTCAAGGATGATCATGTTAATAATGGCCATTTATTAAGCATGTGTTATATTCTAGGCATGGTGCCTTACTTGTAAACATCAATATTAATTTGATGTTTTCCTTTCATTTAATGGACCTGTGGACATATTTTTGCCTGATTCTTATCTAAGCAATTGAATTACCTCATTTTATGCACACTGAATTGATATGTTATCACCCTGTTCTTTTGTCCCATACTGGAAAGACAAGAGCTTACTCATAGCAAGTTTATCAGACCGATGGTGTGCCCTTTTGGATTAATCTCAACAGTGATTTCATTTCATGCCACTATTTTTATTTATGTTGTATTTTTGTTGATGTCATTTTTAGCCTATTAAATCTGCTGTAAATACTTTTTTATAGTATATGAGTAGTATAAAGTATCTAAGTAGTAACAAGGTGAAATATTAATAAACAAGTTCAGGTTCTTACATCTTCCTCCAAAAAAGAATATTGAATCTGAAAGACATGAGACTGCATTTTATATTTGGCTACAATAAACCTTGTGATCTATAAAGCTCTGAAGACTGCATGGCTTAAACTTTTGCTTTTAGCTGATTTTTACATATTTCCTTAGGTGCTAAGTGTCCCAGATGTCAGAGATGACACCAGGCATTGTAAACTCTTTGTCCCCAGAAAGCTTCCCTTCCCCTTTCCCTCTTTCTCCTCACTGGGGACATCAATGGCAAGCGGCAAGTACATGAAATGGTATTGGGCCAGGCAGCCATGCCCAGCTTGAGCTCTGGCCCTTGCTAGCACCTCAAGCTTGGGCTAGTCCCTGAGCTTTGCTGAGCCTCTGTGTAGGAAGTGATCACACATGGATGCCAGAGAGGTCATCAGGTTTTATGAATTTGAATACATAAAATTACTATGTCACATTCCTGAAACATCCTAGGTCCCTAATAATAGACAGACATTGCTACTATGTGTGTGTGCTTTGTCCTCTTTGATGCCTCCCTAGGGGTTAGCATAGGGTTCTCTTGGGGCATTCATTGCAGTTTTCCATTTACACCTGTGCTTCCTATGCTCTGAATCCTATATTCTGACCTCCTCTCCTCTTTTCCCACATTTTGTTAGGGTCATGCTTCTTACTAATATAACATGGCAATCTATTAAACACAAATACGTTATTGTCTAAGATAACATTTTTATTTAACAGAAATTTCTGGTGAACATGTCTTGGACAAAAAATCAGCTGTGTTTATGCATTTTTTGTCTTGGACAAAAAATATATAAAAAAATAAGCATATTTATAATTTCAGGTCAATAGGGGCAATATGTTTGTTTGGACAGTGCCTTTCAAATAACAATATTGTTAGACATTTTGGGAATATGAGATTGCAAACCAGGGGATAGACACTTTTAAACTTTTCTGTAATTTTTTATACTTTTTCTTGCCTTTTCTATACTTTTAACCCTTTCTAAAACAAGACAGGTAGATCCAAGAAGCTCAACCATGGAAGGAACAGCCTTCCAGGTCCTGGGTGAAAATGAGACAGGTTAAAAATGTGGAAAAACAAATGAATTGTAGCTGTGGATACAAAAATTAAAAATACCTTTAATGATTGATAACATGGTACATCAAAGATCCAAACCAAATGAAGGAGATCAAAGCTTTGATGATTCAAATGCAATCATGTAGGATTTGGGATGCAGGAAATCTCATTTTATAGATGAAGTAAACCTTAAATCAGGCTCAAATGGGCTCAGACCATCTCATAGGAGGTACAGGGAAGAGTTGGCTGTATGTGAACATTCAAGCTGGGACTGATGAGGCAAAAAGAAATATTGCCAGCACGGTGTATGCCAAAAAGCAGCAATAGGGCTGGACTAATTTGAACTCCCTGCTGACCCCAAGAATGCAAACAAAGAGCAAAAAGATTCTCTGGTCACCCAGCAATACTGGCTGATAACAAAAAGGATCTACATTCCTTTTAAAAGCTTGGGTTTATAGTTCTTGGGATGTTCCCAGAAAAATAAATGTGCATTTGTGGCTTAGAATCCATGGAAATAAATCCAGGTATTTCAGCAGTAATTACAAAAATGTTGTATTTTGCAAAATTCTCTAGAAAATTGCACTATAACTATGCATCCTATTTTACCTATGTATGAAAGAGCCCTACAGAATTGTCCATAAGAGAGAAACTATGCTTATCCCAAAATCCAAGTGCTTGTGGCCCAGTGTGGTAGCTCACACCTGTAATCCTGGCACTTTGGGAGGCCGAGGTGGGCAGATCATTTGAGCTTAGGAGTTTGAGATCAGCCTGGGAAACATAGCAAAACCCTGCCTCTAAAAAAATACAAAAAATTTAGCCTACTGGGACTACTACATGCCTGTAGTCCCAGCTACCTGGGGTGGGGGCTGAGGTGGGAGGCTCGCTTGAGCCCAGTAGGTCAAGGCTGCAGTGAGCCGTGATTATGCCACTGCATTCCAGCCTGGGTGACAAAGTGAGACCCTGTCTCAAAAAAAACAAAAAACAGCAAAACAAAATCCAAGTTCTTAGATTTGGGTTTGAATATAATGGCATAGTCATGTTTGGATTCTCATTTAGAATTACCTACTACTTTTTTTGAGAGCGCGAGAGAGACAGTCTCACTCTGTTGCCCAGCTGGAGTGGTGCGATCAAAGCTCACAGTAGCCTCGAACTCCTGGGCTCAGGCAATCCCCCTGCCTCAAACTCCCAAGTACCTGGGACTACAGGCATGCGCCACTATGCCTGACTAATATATATATATTCTTTTGTAGATGTGGGGTCTTACTAAGTTGCCCAGACTGGTCTTGAACTCCTAGCCTCGAGTGATCCTTCTGCCTTGGCACTGGGATTATAGGTGTGAGCCACTGCATCTGGCTACCTACTACTTTGATACTTTGAATTTTTTTTTAAAATTATTATTATACTTTTAAGTTTCAGGGTACATGTGCACAATGTGCAGGTTAGTTACATATGTATACATGTGCCATGCTGGTGTGCTGCACCCATTAACTCGTCATTTAGCATTAGGTATATCTCCTAATGCTATCCCTCCCCCCTCCCCCCACCCCACAACAGTCCCCAGAGTGTGATGTTCCCCTTCCTGTGTCCATGTGTTCTCATTGTTCAATTCCCGTCTATGAGTGAGAACATGCAGTGTTTGGTTTTTTGTCCTTGCGATGGTTTACTGAGAATGATGATTTCCAATTTCATCCATGTCCCTACAAAGGACATGAACTCATCATTTTTTATGGCTGCATAGTATTCCATGGTGTATATGTGTCACATTTTCTTAATCCAGTCTATCTTTGTTGGACATTTGGGTTGGTTCCAAGTCTTTGCTATTGTGAATAGTGCCGCAATAAACATACGTGTGCATGTGTCTTTATAGCAGCATGATTTATAGTCCTTTGGGTATATACCCAGTAATGGGATGGCTGGGTCAAATGGTATTTCTAGTTCTAGATCCCTGAGGAATCGCGACACTGACTTCCAAAATGGTTGAAGTAGTTTACAGTCCCACCAACAGTGTAAAAGTGTTCCTATTTCTCCACATCCTCTCCAGCACCTGTTGTTTCCTGACTTTTTAATGATTGCCATTCTAACTGGTGTGAGATGGTATCTCATTGTGGTTTTGTTTTGCATTTCTCTGATGGCCAGTGATGATGAGCATTTTTTCATGTGTCTTCTGGCTGCATAAATGTCTTCTTTTGAGAAGTGTCTGTTCATATCCTTTGCCCACTTTTTGATGGGGTTGTTTTTTTCTTGTAAATTTGTTTGAGTTCATTGTAGATTCTGGATATTAGCCCTTTGTCAGATGAGTAGGTTGCGAAAATTTTCTCCCATTTTGTAGGTTGCCTGTTCACTCTGATGGTAGTTTCTTTTGCTGTGCAGAAGCTCTTTAGTTTAATTAGATCCCATTTGTCAATTTTGGCTTTTGTTGCCATTGCTTTTGGTGTTTTAGACATGAAGTCCTTGCCCATGCCTATGTCCTGAATGGTAATGCCTAGGTTTTCTTCTAGGGTTTTTATGGTTTTAGGTCTAACGTTTAAGTCTTTAATCCATCTTGAATTAATTTTTGTATAAGGTGTAAGGAAGGGATCTAGTTTCAGCTTTCTACATATGGCTAGCCATTTTTCCCAGCGCCATTTATTAAATAGGGAATCCTTTCCCCCTTGGTTGTTTTTCTCAGGTTTGTCAAAGATCAGATAGTTGTAGATATGCGGCATTATTTCTGAGGGCTGTGTTCTGTTCCATTGATCTATATCTCTGTTTTGGTACCAGTACCATGCTGTTTTGGTTACTGTAGCCTTGTAGTATACTTTGAAGTCAGGTAGCGTGATGCCTCCAGCTTTGTTCTTTTGGCTTAGGATTGACTTGGCGATGCGGGCTCTTTTTTTGTTCCATATGAACTTTAAAGTAGTTTTTTCCAATTCTGTGAAGAAAGTCATTGGTAGCTCATACTTTGAATTTTACATTCCTTGAAAGTATACAGACATATATTTAGAATGGAAATATTTTGAAAATATATGATGCAACTAGATAAAAATCTCTCTAAGAAGCTCTTCTGGAGATGCTATCTGTAACATGGTCTCAAGTCCCACTACAGTACCATCTGAGGTCTATGAAACTCACACCTAATTAGAAATGATGTTGTGAAATGAGTTTAAACCTGTCTATAAACCTTTTAAATATGTATGAAATATATACTTAATTTTTTTTCAAAAAGATAACTGGCAATTGGTAAGACTGTAAGAAAAGAGGCTTGTCAACTGCTAATGGTAGGTACATTGGTACAACTTTTCTGAGGACACACCAGCAAAAATTTCAAAGCCAAAAATCTCAATGTTCTTTTACTTATTAACATATCTTTCAGAAATTTAACCTCAGAAAACAATCATTGATGTGCACCAAAATTTATTATAAAGATAATCAAGCAGCACTATTTATAAATGTGAAAACTTAGAAGCAACACTGTTAGAGGGCTGCTAAAATTAGGGACAATTTCTTCTTTGGGTAAGATCATATCTTTTTGGTAGATATAAGATGAAAATTACAGGACACTAGTAGACATAGACCCCTCTGAAAGCTTTCTACTCCCTGTAAGACACAGTGTCTGGCAATACCTAGTAACACATATTTCATCCCCATTGCCCCTGCCCTTGGCCCAAGGTAAGTCCATATTTCCCTGTGTGGTCCTGAGTCCTAGACGGCCTCATCTGATGATGGAGGTGACCTTGGCAAAGTTGACTGAGTCACCTGGTCAACTTCTGGGTGGCCACTGCAAGAAGCAAAAGGAGTTTGATCTGATCCCCTTTATAGAAGACATTGTTTTCCTAAGGCAGAAATTGTGGGAAATTCTCTTATCTCATTTGGGACATTGAAGAGCAGGTTTTGCCCTCCTTTATAAAGAATTTAAGGTAAACAATCAAGCAAACAAGAAAACTTTTTGTGGACATTCTCTTGCTGTATTAGCCAGGGTTCTCTAGAGGGATAGAACTAATAGGATAGATGTATAGTTGAAGGGAGTTTATTAAAATAATTGACTCACACGATCACAAAGTGAAGTCCCACAATAGGCCGTCTGCAAGCTGAGGAGAAAGGAAACCAGTCCAAGTCCCAAAACCTCAAAAATAGGGAAGCCGACAGTGTAGCCTTCAGTCTGTGGCCAAAGGCCTGAGAGCCCCTGGCAAACCACTGGTGTAAGTTCCCAAAAGCTGAAGAACGGGGAATCCAATGTTTGAGGACAGGAAGCATCCAGCATGGGAGAAAGATGAAGGCCAGAAGACTCAGCAAGTCTGTTCATTCCACTTTCTTCTGCCAGCTTTATTCTAGCCATGCTGACAGCTGATTAGATGGTGTCCACCCAGATAGAGAGTGGGTCTGCCTCCCCTAGTCCACTGACTCAACTATTAATTTTCTTTGGCAACATCCTCACAGACACACCCAGGAACAGGTCTTTGCATCCTTCAATCCAATCAAGTTGACCCTCAGTATTAACCAGTACTTGCTTTATGGCATCTATGCTGCTTATTTCTAGGAAGAGTTATGTGGTCTATGACACATCTTATTTAAGAAAGGATACTTATTCTCAGTTTGTTTATTCCATATGCTTCTTATAGAGAAGAATTAGATACATGGCAGCAAAAAGGATTTTCAAAGAAGTCTCCTATAATAAAACTCAATAGTCTACTGGGCGAGGTGGCTCATGCCTGCAATCCCAGCATTTTGGGAAGCTGAGGCCGATGGATCACCTGAGGTCAGGAGTTCGAGATCAGTCTGGGCAACATGGCGAAACTCTATCTCTACTAAAAATACAAAGTTAGCCAGGCCTGGTGACGGGTGCCTGTAATCCCAGGTACTCAGGAGGCTGACGAGGGAGAATCACTTGAACCCAGAAGGCGGAGGTTGCAGTGAGCCGAGATCGTGCCTCTGCACTCCAGCCTGGGCAATAGAGTGAAACTCAGTCTCAAAAAACAAAACAAAACAAAACAAAACAAAAAACTCAATAGTCAACAAGTGACTAATTAAATACCTTATGGTATGGCTATAC
This sequence comes from Homo sapiens, assembly GCF_000001405.40. NCBI lineage: Eukaryota > Metazoa > Chordata > Mammalia > Primates > Hominidae > Homo > Homo sapiens. Next base: position 88,316,841 of record NC_000006.12, on the reverse strand, counting down.
CATAAAATATTATGTACCCATTAAAATCATGCAGTAGAAGAAAATTTTATTATATGAGAAACTGCTTACATGTGAAAAACAGATTACAAGCCAAAATGTGCAGTGTAATGTTAATCAAGGACAAATTGAGAAAAAAACATTGGATATATTCATGCCACAATATTAACATTTCTGGCTGAGGGTGTTTTTATTTTCTTCTTGGTGCTTTTCTGTAGCTTTAAAAGTTCCCATCTTTCTTGTACTATTTTTGCATTTATCAAATGATTATGGAACAATTTTACCTATTTATTAGACTCAGTAGTTACTTATTAAGTACCTATCATGTGCCAGATATTATGCTAATGCTTGCTAGGCACAAAATAATCAACACAAGAAAAAAATTTCTTTACTTTGAGAGCTCATTTCTACTCTGGTGAGAACATGGAAAACAAACCAATAAATAAATAGAACATATAATAGGTCAGATGGTGAAACATGTTTTGAGAAAAAAAAAGAAAAGTAAATGAGGGAAGGGAGGTGGGAGTGCTTGGGACTGGAAGCAAGTGCAATTTTAAGTAAAGGAAGAGAAGGCTCTGTGCTGGGTAAGTGTGCCACTTTCAACTGAGTGCATTTGAATTTCAAATCTGTATTGGTGGCCACAGGTGACTAAAATAAATTACTATTAGTTATAGAGTAACTCAACTATCATCATACAATCACAGAAAAGGCAGAGTCTCTGGTGCACATGGGAAACAGCTTAGATGGGGACCTAAGTGCCAAGACAGCCAGTAACACCAGCAGACACCCTGTGGTGGGCCTGGATAGTCCAGTTGTGACTCTATAAAGTAGCAGTCTAATTAAGATTTTTGCACAAGGATCTGTGACAAAAGCAGAAAATTGCACCTTAGCATATATCTCTTGATAAGAATATATATTTTTTCCACACATGCACACACACACACAGAGAGGAGGATAGAGGGGTCGGGGGGAGAGAGAGAGAGAAAGAGAGAGAGAGAGCGAGAGGGAGAGATTGAGAGAGAACCAAATAATCCTCCATTTGTAATACTTGCTCTTCCTGGGAGAGTGTGAACATCTCCCTTCTTTCTCTTCCCACCCTGACCTCGCCCAGCCAGGAATCCAGGAATGTGCAGCATGGATGCCCAAGTCTGAGTGGAGGTTGCATCAGTTTCAAAGACATTGTGCTCTTCCCTGCCGTGGTGGAGTGGTGAGCCGGTTGACATCCCGGAAAAGGTTGTTAGGGAGTGGAGGTGGGTGGAAGGTGAGAAATTATTTAATGGGTACAATATATGTTATTTGAGAGATGGATGCCTCAAAGCTCTGACTTAACCACTGTGCAATCTATGCATGAAACAAAATTGCACTTGCACCCCATAAATTTATACAAATAAAAAAGAAGGTTGTTTAGAACCCAGACAGTTTCCCATCCAATAGAGACTTTCAGAGAGTGCAATGCTATCGTTTGTTTAGAAGTAATCTCGAATTCCCAGAGTAATGGGCACACTTACATTTAAACAAAAGCACAAGCACAATGTACATTTCAAACCCAAATATAAGCTATTTTGTGCTAATGTAAGGAACTGGATACTTAGAAGTTGACCAGAGAAAAACAACTTACTTGACTTGAAGAATTTTGCTAAATAATTTAAAATTGTCTTCCCCATGTATGACTGCTAAGAATGATTCTAAATTTGTGTTTAAGCTTCTGTGTATTTACCACTTCTATCCCAGATATGGCATGCCTGGAATAAAACAGGCACTCAATAAGTGATGGCTGTGAATGACGATGATGATGATAATGATGATGATGACGATGAGAGGGATATTGACAAACCAATTCTTGCTAAAGTATAACAGTATTCAGCAACATTTTGTCTCCCGGAGCCATTTGTGTTTAAAAGGAGAATTGCAAAGACAAGATATGCAGAACTCAAAGGAATAAATGTTGAATGGTGTCATTCGAGGCCCTGGCATTTAAGGATTTCAGGGCTGGCTCTAAAGCCCTCAAAACTTGATACATAGTCATCTATAAACTCTGACTGGATATAAACTCAACGCAGATTTTATAATCTTGGCATCAGTCACCAAAATAGTCAGGCTTGTTCTTCATTCCCCAGAGCATAAACCCCTGGGAAGGACCTCTCTTCCCACCCTTACAGGCGGACAAGATTCACCTCTCTCCAAAGGACATAGTGCAGGAAGCTAACTCTCCTCTACTGACCCAGGCACTTCCTCACTTTTGCCTACATAAAAGGAAGGGGAGGATAGGGGTGAGGGTAATTACATCTGATGCCTTTTAAGGGACATCAAGGCTACTGATTTCAAACCTCTGGACTGGATATTCCTGTGGCTTTTACTACATATTAAAGATGAAAGAGAAATGGACTCAGCACCATTCCACATTAATTATCTGTGGCCTTTTGGCTCCCAGCACAGTGTCAGAAGTTTAGAGAGCCTCAAACTATATTCTGCTGATTTTAAAAAGAAAAATATAGCAAGTGGGATAATAGTATTTGTCAGTTTCATTTACAGCTCTTTTAGCTTGGCTGAATTAATGAGTATCTATTAGGCAGACTTGCAAGGATCCCTTTACACGTTCTTAAAGAATACCATACAATTAAATATCACTGTGGTAGAATCATAAATAGTAGAAGCAAAAAAATCCCTTAAATTACTCAGATTAGCATTTTTTTTTTAAGAGCAACTACTTTTTACTGGTTCAGAACATTGCGGGTAAGGGACAGAAAACCAGACATTTATGGGACACCTTTTATGTGCACATCATTGCACAGAGCAGGAATGTGCAAGAATGTGCAGGATGGATGCCCAGGGCTCCTCCTCTCTGAGACCTGTGTGTTCACCCTCCATCCACTAAACTCTGGAAGTGTTTTGTATATGCTTCTCATGGGTCACTTCCTATTTTCTGTCCTTGGGTCTAGTTTTTGGTCCGTGACTTACCCCTCCTTTGAATTATAAACTTTAGTCCTCAGACATTGCATTTTACAGCTTCATATTCCCCAAAATAATTAGCTCAGTGTTTCTCACATAATAAGGTGTTCAATAAACAGTTTTTGATTAATAAATTATAAAAAAAGAGATGTTGCTTCTCCTACAAGTTTATAATAGCTAATAATGATAAGCAAATACTTTTTTATAAGTACTTTCTATGTGCCTGACATTATGCTTGACACTTTAAATCATTTAATCGTGTCCCCATAGTAAGAGGACAAAACTCACCATTATGGAAGTTAAGTGAATATTAGACTAACATTACACAGCCAGATCCAGGATTTAATCACAAGTGTGACTCTAGATCATGTGATCTTAACTTTTATACCATACATTCCTATATTTTTTAATGGTTGTTGATATTTTAGCATGACTATTTTATAATTATCACTGTAAAATCCAGGATGCCATAATTCATTATGAAAATTGCTGAATGCTCTAAAGCCAAAGATCAAAGACGCACTGAAGTAGGTTGGAAAAATTCAGTATTGTCCTTGAGTCTGGTACTATTGTGGCCTGAAGAACGTTGGCATCATTCTGAATATTCAAGACAAATTTAGATGGAGTAAAATAGTGGGGTCTTGTTACTTTTTCCTGCGTATCACGGCACTTAGTAGAGGGACAGAATTTTGTGGTACAAGATTACTAATCAACAAAGTGTCTCTCAGGTCTTCTGAGTAACTGGGGATGGTAATATATTGTTTAATAGAGAAATTTTTTAAGTATTATTGTACCTCAACTTTACTATTATACATGTTGACTGACTATCTATGAAGGTTCAGAAGTATTTGTAAGTACTTAGAATGTAAGATGAATAGAATTCTGTGCCTGACTTCAAGGGGCTCACAGTCTGGCAGGTAAACCAGCTGGGTGCAGACCCAGGCTCCTGCTCCATGGAGCAGGTAGGAGCCCCACCCCCACCCCAGGTGCAGCTGCTGCTGCTGAAGCCGCAGCAGCAGACTCAGATATCCCTGCACTCTTGGGGGTCCAGGAAGGCCCCCCTGACCTGGCAGGCTCGGAAGTGCCTCCTCCTGCTGCCTGGCTTCTCCCTGCTCTCTGAGCCCACTCAGATCTCAGAACATCAGGCAGAGCCCTGGGCACCATGAATAGCAGCAGGAGGCAGAGAGACTCCTGGGTGGAAGGCAGTGGATCCCCATGAGTTCCCACCTTCAGGCCATGGAGGGCCTGAAGGCTGGGGGCCGGGTTGCCAGTCTCACAGACCGGAGTGGGAACTTGCGGTGCCTTTCCTGGTGCCTTTCCCATGGCCCAATCCTTTCACGCTCCCTCCCCTCTGAGGCCCATAAAAACCCAGGCTCAGCCACAGTTGAGGAGACAATGGGATGACCAGCTGCAGAGAGGAGCAACACTTTCTGCTGATAGCAAGAGACATTGGGACAACTGGCAGCAGAGAGGAGCAATCCACTCCAGTGCCTCCTCTCTGCCAGGAGCTGGGAGGTGACAAGACAGCCTACCTGTAGACCCACTCCAGGGCCTCCTTTCTGCTGAGAGCTGGGAAGACAACAGGACAACCTGCCTGCAGAGAGGAGCTTCCAACTCCAGGGTCTCCTCTGTGCTAGGAGCTGAACACTTGATGCGACACCCTGGCTGCGTAAAGGAGCTACCCACTGTGGGTCCTCTGTGAGATGTTCTATTGCTCAATAAAGCTCCTCTTCATCTTGTTCACCCTCCACTTATCTGCATACCTCATTCTTCCTGGTTGCAGGACAAGAACTCGGAACCCACTGAATGGTGGAGCTAAAAGAGCTGTAACACAAACAGGGCTTAAATATGCCCCTTGCTCACCATGTTGTGGGTGAAGAGAAGGAGAGAAGAGCTGCAGCCCCTTGGGGAGCCCAGACCTGGGAGCTCCCTGAGCCAGGGCTGTGACTCTCTCTTTGGAGGTGTGCGGTGCCTGGCATTTCCAAGCTTACGGGTTCCACTGTGGTCTCTGGTGCCAACGAGGGAAGCTGCTTGCAGTGTGCCTGGTCCATCCACACCCTCACAGCCTGGCAAATAGCCGGCGCCCATGCTGGCCCACCCAGCTGCAGCAGCCAGCGTGTCTGACTGTGCAGTGGCTGGATCCCATGCTCACTCACACACCCCTCACCGCTCCATGACTGATTCACCCTTGGCAGGCATGCGATCTAGGCCAGTAGTGTGAGCCGAGTGCAGCCTGCCAGGCCAAGTGGGCAGCATGAGCCCAATGGGCCTGAGCAAAACTTGGGCAGAGGCACCACAGGCCAGAGGTTTCAGGCCAGAAAAGCGACACCCCAAAGGTCCCATAACAATAATAGGGCCCAGATGCAACTACCAGGGTTCAGGGACAAGGCTCTGGATCTAAGACCTATGGGATTAGACTGGTTCCTCATCCTCAAGGGCCGTGGAACTTTACTGGACCCTTGACAGGTAGAGAGCTGAGCCTTAAATAGGAAACAAGATTACAGCAAGAATAACCTTAAAGCTGACTTAACCATGAACCTCGATGCTACTGGTGAAGGGCTTTTAAATTCCCCTTAAACTAGAGAAGGAATAGGGTTGGCTTCAGAGTCTGAGTGAATGTGGGTTTAAGATGAGGCAGGTATTTTAGCAGAAAATAACAAGACCTAGTTATGTAGATTTGAGCAAAAGGGGCTAATGAACATTCATATATTATTACAGGTAATTCACTGGGCCCTTCTTTGCCATCCTAAAGCATTAACTGCTAAAGGTTTTCTTAGCATTTCATTTAGAATAATGACATTGCTGTAATGATGGTATCACTAGTAATTCATTTGGCAGTCTGATCTGTTACTATTGAAATGCTTGTAAGACTTTTCATATTCTAGAAAATCTCTGGTTTCTAATTATGGTAGCTTATTCTAGCACCTGAAAAAATTTACTACTTAATTAATACATAATTTTAGGTAATTTGACAGAGGCTAGCCTGAAGTTTATCTTTGATGGATTCATATTAACTATAATTTACCAGGCTAATTAAGTTGGGCAAGATTGCACGGAAAATGTTTAAACAACTTTTGAAACTAGTTTTCAAGTACCTTAAATACTTTAAAAGCTATCATTTACATAGCAATACTGAGTTGATTATAATAATAATAATCATTACCTATTCATGAAAGTAGTGTCTGTAGTATATTTTCTTGGCAGCCTAGAGATAATCCTCTTTGAATCATTAGGGACGTTTATGATAGTTAGATCTTTTCTGGGTTTTAAATGACAAAAACCCAACTTGATAAACATAGCAAAAAGGACAATTTTGTCACCCTGTTAACTGCAGGAAGGGCAAGTGTCTTAGTCTGTTTAAGCTGCTATGGCAAAATACCATAAACTGGGTAGTTTATAAACAATAGAAATGTATTTCTCACTGTTCTAGAGGCTGGGGAGTCCAAGATCAAGACATCAGCAGACTCAATGTCAGGTGACAGCCCCACTTTCTGGTTTGCAGAGGTCCCTTCTCACGTGTTCTCACATGATGCAAGGGGCTAGCTGGGTCTCTGCTTCTTCCTCTCTATGAAACACAGACATAACTGCCCTTAGTAGAAGAGCCCCACATCTTACTGCATCCAGCACCTCAGAGAAACTACAACTATTTCTCTCTTTTCTTGAATTTTCAATTTCTTATAAGAGCTATGATTGTCACAGCTTGAGTCAAGTGTGCATCCCTGAACAAATCAGTTATGGTCAAGGGAGTCACAGTGTCATTATGGTTGGCTCAGTTGAAACCACTCATGTGTAGATTAATTACCATGACATAAGACTAGACTAAATATTTTTTAAAAGAAAACTTAAAATATGTAAGTAAATAGAAAGGCATAACATCTTCCACTATGGGAACTCTCAATAGTACAAATTTCTCATTCACTCAATAATTATTTACTAGACACCAGGCATTTTATTTAGCAGTGGTCATTCTCCCCCAAGTATTTACAACTTTATTGAAATTCCAATCAAACCCCAGATGAATGTTTTAAGGGCACAGACAAACTGATTATAAAGTTGATAAATAAGTAAATGTACGTAAAAATGTTTGAACATTTATTAAAAGATGATGTTTTCAACATATGTAAGTATAATTTATAAACTACAACATAAAATGGAGGAGGGACCTATAAAATGGTAAGATTTCCACATTCCATTTGAAGTGGTAAATCGCTGATTCTAAGTAGATTGTAAAAAGTTAAGTGTGTATATTGTACAGTAACCACTAAAAAAGCTATTGTCTTAGTTTGGGCTACTATAATAAGACCCAATACACTGGGTGGCTTATAAATGACAGAATTTCATTTCTCACAGTTCTAAAGACTAGAAGTTTGAGATCAGGGTGCCATCATGGCCAAATTTTGGTGAGGGCCCTTTTCCAGGTCGCAGGCTGCCGACTTCTCATAGTATTCTCACATGGTGTAGAGCTGAAAGAGGAAAGATGCTCTCTCATGATTTTTATGAGGACACTAATCCCATCTGAGGGCTTCACCCTTATGACTTCATCTAATCCTAATTACCTCTCAAAGGTAATTTCCTCCCAATACCACCACAGTGGAGGATAGGGTTTCTACATATGAATTTTGGGGGACACAAACATTTACTTCATAACAAAGATACAAAAAATATAGTTAATAAATTAAATGGAATAAGAAATGTGTTCAAATAACCCCACAGAAGGTAGAAAGGGGGAAACAGAGGAATGAAAAACTGAGGAAACAAAAAATGCATAATAAAATGGTAGTTCGAAATACAAGGAAACCAATAATTAAATTAAATGCACATGGTATGAACACATCAATTAAAAGACAGATTAGAAGAATGAATTTTTTAAAATGTGACCCATCTATATGCTGGCTACAAGAAACACACTTTGGATATATGATATAGGTAGATAAGAAATATGTTTGTAATAGTGTTATGCAAAAATGTAATAATATATGGTGAAAAGGTTAAAAAATACCATGCAAACACTGATTAAAAAAAGTTGTGGATATATTAATATTTGGCAAATAAATATTCCAGACATAAAGAGGGAAATAATGTAATGAAACAATAGTCAATTTAATAAGAAGACATAATGATCCTAAATATGGTTACATTTGGCATCAGTGTCGCAAAGCAGATGAAACAAAAATAACAGAGCTGAAAGAAGAATAAACAAATCCACAATTATATTTTGAAACTCAAGTACTCCTTTCTCAATAATTAATAGAACCAATAGACAGAAATCAGTTAAGATATAGGGGTGCAGGCTGGGTGTGGTGGCTCACGCCTGTAATCCCAACACTTTGGGAGGCTAAGGTAGGTGAATCACTTGAGGTCAGGAGTTTGAGACCACCCTGGCCAACATGGTAAGGGTTAAAATACAAAAATTAGCCAGGCATGGTGGCGTATGGCTGTAATCCCAGCTACTTGAGAGGCTGAGGCAGGAGAATCACTTGAACCCAAGAGGCAGAGGTTGCAGTGAACTGAGATCACATCACTGCACTCCAGCCTGGGCAATAGAGTGAGACCCTGTCACACACACACACACACACACAAAGATATAGCAGTGCTGAGCAATATCATTAAACAACTGGATCTAATTGACATTTACAGAACACTTCATACAACAGAAGATTAAACATTCTTTTCAGGTATACTTGAAACATTCACCAAGACAGACCATAATCCTAACAAGTTAAAAATATTCAACATCATACAAACTATGATCTCTGACAGTAATAGAACACAGACCAATAACATAAAGACAACTCTCCAAACATTTGGATTTTAAACAAAATATATCTTAACAATCCAAGGGTCAAAGAGGAACTCTGAAGGAAAATTAGAAAATATTTTGAATTTAATAAAAATGAAAATACAAAATATCAAAATGTGTATGATACAGCTAAGAGGGAAATGTATAGCATTATCATTATATGCTTATAGTATTAAAGAAGACTGGTCTTGAATCAATCTAAGCTTTCTCCTTCACAAACTAGAAAATTAAGGGCAATAGAAATCTAAAGCCAGGAGAAGGAAGAAAATAATAAAGACAAGAGCCAACATCAATGAAATAGAAAACAGAAAAGCAACAGAGAAAATTAATGAAACCAAAAGCTGGTTCTGTGAAATGATCAATAACATTTATAAACTTCTAGTAAAAATGACAAAAGAAAAAAGAGAGAAAATGCAAATTACTAACATTAGAAATGAAAAAGGGGATATCACTGCACCTCATAGATATTAAAAGAATAATAATTGAATACTGTCGATAACTCTATACTCATAAATTTGACAACGTACATGAAATGGATCAATGTCCTAAAAATCACCAACTACCAAAACTTACTCAAGGTGAAATAGACAACCCAATTAGTCCTATAACTAATAAAGAAATTAAATTTGTGTCTTAAAACCTTCTGTAAAAAGAAATCTTCTGGCTCAGATAGTTTCACTGGCAAATTCTACCAAATATTTAAAGAAAGAAACAACACCAGTTCTACACACTCTATTCCAGAAAATAGAAGAGATACTACTTCTTATTTTATGAGCCTAGCATTACACTGATACCAGAGCCAGATAAAGACACTTCAAGAAAAAGAAAACTGTAGACCAATATCCCTTATAAACATAGACACAAAAATCCTCAACAAAATAATAGCAAGTCAAATCCAGCAATACATAAAAGGAATAGTACACCATGACCAAGGGGGTTTATTTGTGAATGCAAGACTGGTTCAATGTTTGAAAATTTGTCAATATGATCCATATATTAACAGTTAATGGTAAAAGATTAAATATTTCAGTGGTTCAAAAAATTGAAATATTTAAGTATGAATCTAACAAAACATTTAAAGGATTTGAATAATAAAACTACAAAATGCTGATAAAAAATATTTTTAAATAAAGACCTTGATAAACGATGAAGTACACTGTCTTCATGGACTGAATGATTCAACATAGTAAAGATGCTCATACTCCTGAAACTAATTTACAGCAGCAATTTTTGGAGCTACAAATTGGTTCTAAAATTTGTAGGTAAAGTCAAAGGAACTAGAAAAGTCAAACAATTTTGGAAAAGAAAATGAAATTGGAGGAATCACACTACCTAATTTTAAGATTTGCTGTAAAGCTATGCTAATCAAGACAGTGTGGTATTGGTGAAAAGATAAACACATAGATAAAGTGGAGAAAATAAAAAAAGAGATCCAACAATTATGGCCAATTGATTTGGATAAATGGTCAAGGTGAAAAAAAGACAGTCTTTTCAACAAAATAGAAATATTGAACATCCATATGCAAAACATAAAACTTGAGCCAAACTTCACAGCTTACAGCAAAAGTTAACTCGAAATGGTTCATAGATTTAAGTGTAAAAGTCAAAATTATAAACCTTAGGTAGAAAACATAGGAGAAAATCATTGTAAGCAGGGGTTAAGTAAAGAGTTCTTAGAGATGACAATAAAAGCACAATCCATAAAAGAAAAAAATTGATAGATTGGATCATGTCAAAATTAAAAATTTCTGTTTATTTTCACACAACAACCTGTGCATGAATATTTATAATCATTCTATTCATAATCACCAAAAACTGGAAGCAACCCAAATGACCTTCAGTGGATGAATACTGTAACTATATCCACACAATGGAATATTGCTCAGCAATGAAAATGAAAGAATTATCAATACATGCAATGTCTTAAATTAATTTCAAAGACATCATGCCCAGTAAAAGAATCAATCTCAAAAAGTTATATACTCAATGAGTTCATTTAAATGACATTCTGGAAAAGATACAACAATAGTAATGAATAGATCAGAGGTGCCAACAGTTGGGGGTTAGGGAAAAATGTAACTAAATAGGAATAGCACAAGGATATTTTTGGGTGATGAAGCTTTTCCTTATCCTGAATGAAGTGATGGTTATGCAAATCTACACATTTATGAAAATTCATAGTACTGTATACCAAGGAAAACAGTCAATTTTAAATTATGCTAATTTTAAAAAATAAACACACAAGAGGATTAGGAGACTTTACCTCTTTAAATTTTTTTTCTTTAATTTCACTTGGGGTTAGAAAGAGAGAGAAAAAAAGTACTGATCTGACTACAAAATCAGTAAATTCTATATGCCAGAAAATAACACGAATAGTATTAAAAGATAAGTGACACACTAGGAGAAAATATTTGCAACATATTTAATAAGCAAAAGATTAATGTATAAGACATATAAAAAGCTCCTTTATATCAAAAAGAAAAGACAAACAAACCAATAGAAAAAATACACAAAAGATCTGAAGAGGCAATTCCCAGAAGAAAAAATCCAAATGGCCAACAAACATATGAAAAGATGCTCAACCACAATAGTAATCAGGAAAATGCACATCAAAACAACAATGAGATATTTTCCACCCATTAGAATGCCCAAATTGAAAAAGATGAATAATGTAAGCAAGAATAAAGAAACTGGCCCACTCTTCCATGTTGGTGGGCGTGGAAATCAGTGACACTCTTTTGGAAGGCAATTTTCTGGTCTCAACCAAAATTTAAAAGCAATGCCCTTGGACCCAACAATTCCATTTCTAGGAATTTTTTTCTCTTAAAGAAATATTTACACATATGAAAAAGATGTATGTGTAAGGATGTATATTGTGACATTGTTCTTATAATAATAAATTATAAATAAAGCTAAATATGTACTGATAAGAGGTTAATGAATTATGGTAATTCACAGTAACAAATAATATTTAGCCACTATAAAGAGTAAAGATAAATCAAAACACATTGACATGAAAATATTTCCTAACAGAGTAGGAGTAAAAAGGCAAATAACAGAACAATATATATATAACATGATAATTTATTAAAATCAAAACAATTACATGTTTACATATATACATATACATGTGTACATGTATATGTATACACATATATAGATGTGTAAAGGTAAGAAAAACAGTTTGGAAGGCTATTGATGTCTATAGTTTTCCCTGTGGTAGATAGCTGTAATACGAGTGAGCAGTATGAATGGGCACAGTATCAGCTTTCTAACAGGAAATTAATTACATAGCCTTAAATCAGAATAATTTAAGGAGTGTTTAATAATTTACAAAGCTGTGGGCTGGCTGTGTGGAAAGAGATGGGGCAATGCCATGGGGTTAGAAACTGCTGAAGCTATCCACAGATCTGACAAATAAGAGCAGAGAGTAGTTTCTGGAACCCAGTAGAAGAGAGTGGTGGGAAAATGGCTGTTTTGAGAGGAGTCACTACCTTTGGTCAAGACATACAGTCTCTGATGACTGCTCAGGGAAGAAGTCAGACCAATAAAAGAGAATCTTACCCACTTGCCATAAGAATCTAAATAGTTCATGTTCAGTGGACTGTGCTAGACACTTTTGGTTACCCACCTAGAATCAATTGCCTCTTCATTGTTCTTAAAGGACCCTGTTTTTGTTTAGGCATTCTCCATTCTCCCATGTAGCTGAACAATGCCTCCAGGGCAGCTGCCTATCCTGGTGCTGATGAGAATGGTCTAAGGGTTATCCAACTGCCCTTTTCAGTGACACGGAATAGTCAGGTGGTCCAATCCAGCCAACAAGGCAAGAGGGAAAGCCCATTGGAGAGCCTCTGAGAAAGTCTTTCTCATTACAGAACCAGAGTCAGACAGTCTGTTCTTCTCTGATGGTGTCACATCTGGATAGAGTGGCTGGAGCTGCTGCATCCAGCTTGCTACAAGCACAGGGGATGGCAGAGCTCAGAGATGGGATGACCCTGTGTTCTTGATGGAATCAACCAGTCATGCGGATCCTGCTATTTCTGGACTGGCTGTTAGGTGAGATAATGAATTATTTCCACAATGCATGCTTCTTGGAGCACAGGGAGACTCTTACTTGAGGACCTCGTTATTTCTCACTGGGGCCATGCTGGCGGCGTTCAAGTCAGGCTGCTCTCAGGCTTCTCCAGAAGTACCTAACAACTCATGGCCACTCTTCTGACCCTATCCTTCACAAGTAGGCCTACTTTATAGGTACTGACCACATATTTTCTATATTAATCTGAAAAACATGATGGTTTTGAGGTGTCACATTTCCCAAGATATACCTTAGAATTGAAGTTATGCTTTAATGAATAAAAAAATTAACACTTATTTTTGAGGATAACATATTCTATATATCTTTATAAAATATAGAACATGGAGGAAAGTGAAAAGAAGGAAATAAATATTTTGTATTCATAGATAATTTGTGTGTAGACATATACTTTTAGGTTTTTTTCCAGACAGCTATCAGAAAATCAAACCCTGCTTACCACTTATAAGATACTGTTCTCATTTAGTCTGTAACATCACAAACAGTTCACCTTTGGTTGCACAGTGCCCAGTTGAATGGATGCAGTGCAATATGCTCACCTACTTCTGTATTGCTCAGGATTTGGGTTGGTTCTAATTCTTGAAGTCTCTTTGATAACAAAGGAAAGGGAGAACAAAGAGAGGGGAGAAACTGGGAATTTAGTATTCAAATATTAAATTTGAACACCTCTAAACTTGAAGAGTAAATTGGAATTGCTCCTCAGAGTAAAGTACCCAAAGAACTAATAACTTACTCTTTTCTTCAAATGGTGTCTCTCTATTGGTTTATCACATTAGCTTGCCTTTGAGTTCAAGCAGGCAAGACACAGAGGCAGGTCCCTGAACCACAGCACTCTAATTTTACATGTCAGAGTTAATACCAGTATCAATGTCAATGTGGGAAGCTGGGCTTTAAAGTAATCACCTCCTACTTCTGGTTTGTTGAATAGGATTGAAAACCCAATGTTTTCTAAAGGCTCACCACTAAGACTGGATTGGCATTCCTAAAAGTAGGAGGCTCAAAGACATTTCAAGCATGTTTCTGCCACAGTGATTTGTTGTGGTGGTTCATTAGCAAAATCTCTCTTCTGACTCACTCTAATAATAACAATATAACCTATGATATCTCTAGAGAACTTTACAGTTCAGAAAAGGGATTTCACCTCACTGTCTGATCTGATTACCACCATAGAACTTTGAAATCAGTTGGTAGCAGGGAAATCTCCTACCCCTCCATCTCCTGCCTCTGTCTCCAAATTCCATTCTGACTGGACTGTGCTTACTGGTGATCCAGATAACTGTGTTTTAAAAGGCATGTGCATTACACGAATCCTCTCCCTTTGACCTGTTGCACCCAGCCTTGTGTGGCAAGCTTGCGCAATGTCTGGATTGGGAGAGTGGGCTGGCATTTCTCTAGCTTTCTTTTGTGTGTGTGTGAACTCTGAATGCTCTGGTCTCCAGGGACTGGCTGGCAGTAACAGTTGAATTTCAAGCAAAAGGAGAAGACCCATTAAGTTTACCTGAACTTAAGCAACAAGCGGTAGTCCAGATTACTACAGGGTACAGGCACTAGTCCAGCTAGTCATAAAATGGTTTCTGCTCCCATTTTGACACTGTGATTTATGTGTGTGTGTGTCCCTGCAAATCTGCATCACCCCAATATCACCAATACTTCTAGTCTAGTGGTTTATGCTCATAACATAGAGAAGGAAACCAAGACTCAGACCCCAGTGTGACTTGCCCAAGGTCACAGGGCTGGTAATAATGGAGCCTGACCTAGCTCTCAGAGTTCCTGATCTTCAGTCACCACACCAGGCTTCCAACACTTTATCTTTCCCCAGAAATGACCCACATCTTTGGCACTCTTCATTTTGTCAGTAATAAGCAATGGGCAAGCTCCCCTCTGGAGAGATAGCTTTTCCTGTTATCACCCAGTCACATGCAGGCCTCCCTGTTATCACGTCTTTTCTCCTGCAACAGGAACAAACAATAACAGTACTATAGCTCCCTCTTTCCTAGGAGAAGGAAGTTTTGGTAACTATTGTTCAGCCTCTGTGTTCAGGAGTGACATGGACAATAGGTAGATTTCTGCAGCCTTAGGGAAGTATCAGAATGAATCTGTTGAAAAACCGTGGTTCCAGAGACTCTTTCCTGTAATTCTCCCCAGCACGGTCTTTCATATTTTATTGCCTTGCATGACTTCTTCTGCTTCCATTAACACTGAGACAAAGGTATTTTTTTGTACTTACTGAATTTTTTCCCTAAGTATCATGTGAGTGGTGTACAAACTCAACTTTCAACCTCCTGCTATTCAACTTGAGAGCTGTTTTATATGTTTTACCAATTTCAAGTTACTTTCTAACTGACTGCAGGAAAAGTTCTTTATGTCATTCTGGAGAAGCAACCAATTTTCACTGAATGGTAATACAATGGAGTCCTTCTTATTTGCTTTCAGTCTCATCACAAATAGTTAGCATTCTGTTCCTTTTGCAGAAAAAATGGCCTTATGTTTATAATAAAAACAAAATGTGTATGTTGCAATATAGATTTAAAAGTCAACACTGAAATATGCTGTCTTCTGTTAGTAATATTATTTTTTATTACTTCTCTCTCTCTATTTTTTAAACCCACATGATATAGACATCTGACTCATGAAAAGAAAAATAGAAGTGAAAATTGCCATTTTTCTCAAGAAATAGCACTTTCTTCCCACAATATAAAGAAGACCATTTGACTTTTATTACTAAGTTTTCCAAACCACTGAGCATGCACCTCCACATGCCTGCAGAGTGCACTGGTTGCCATTGGGTTGAGTGAATTCCAGTTACACATTACTATCACAGACAAGTAAAGGGTCAATGAAATACATATTCACGACCCCACAAATAATCTTTTCAGTAGTCTGTTTCCTAGTTACATGATTTCCCTTTTCTTAAATCCTTGAATTATTTGATAAAAGTCTCCACAGTGGTGTTTTTACTGTGGCTGAACTTTGGTGGGTAAAGAGATAAAAGAAAAACTTCAATCTATGGCCTTGGGACACACATGAGAAATTTGCTACCCAGGTGAGGCACACTTGTGGAAGCCAAAAATCTTCATGCTTATATCAAATCCATGAATATTCTGGCTTCTGAACATGGCCCAAGTACGGGAGGGTTATGTGCAGTAGTAAACAGATGACTAAACTACATCTGATGCCTAAGTAGTGACTTCTTGGTGAACACACAACTTTTTCACCATGCTATCATGCAATCATTTTTAAAACTCGGGATGTCATCTTCCTCCCTTGTAAGTTCAAGCCCCCAGATATGGCTTATCAGGCCACTTATAATGTGTGTGCTTTCAAGTTCACGATATACATTGCATTACATTTATAATATCAGGTGACGTGACACAGCAAATGATACCTTCAACTATCTCCAGCCCCAATCTTGGGAAATGTTTCTGGTAGTCCCAGTAGCAGGGACAGCAAGCTAAAATAAGGGGTTTAACGTTTAAGATCTCTAAGAGCTGATACCACTGGGGCAAACTCCCTCAACAATGAGGTTTTCTCCAACCTCAAAAGAAAGGCCAGTGAACAGTCATCTGGTACAGGTGGCATTGCTGGTGGGAGGAGTGGGTTTTCCACGGCTGTACTACACATTTTGGGAGCCATCAATAGCTGGCGCAGTGGATGCAACACCCTCTTGATTGTCAGCAGAAGCAAATCACTAGAAGCCCTGGAACCCTAGTAAAACACCCAAAAGAAAACATGGAATTAAATATCACGTTGTCATCCCTGCTGCTTAGGTACAGAAGAGGTACAGCTCTATTCTGGAAGGATTTGGAGTCATTTGAGAGAGCAGCTTTACATCAGAAGTTTTGACTAGTATTCTCATTTTAGGGACAGATAGTGATTCTCATTTGAGGACAGCTGAAAAAAAAAAACAGCTGAATTATCACCAACTAGTTTAGGTTATGTCTTGGGTTGAATTGTGTTGTCCAAAAAGATTCATTGACGCACTAACCCCCAGAACCTCAGAATGTGACCCTTATTTGGAATGAGGGTCTTTACAGAGTTAATCAGATTAAAATAAGATACGATTGGCACTAACCCAATATGAGTTTTTAGAAAAAGGGGAAATTTCAACCCAGAGACATGCATTGTGGGAGAACTATAAGAAAAGATACAGGCAGAACGCCATGAGAAGACAAATGCACAGACTAGGGGATGCAACTACAAGCCAAGGAATGGCAAAGATTTCCAGCAAACCACCAGATGCTAGGAGAAGCATGGAACAGATTCTCCCTCACAGTCCTCAGAAGGAACCAACCCTGGCGACACCTTCATCTGAGACTTCTAGCTTCCAGAACTTTGAGACAATAAATTTCTGTTGTTGAAGCCACCAGTTTGTGGTACTTTGTGATGGCAGCCCTAGGAAACTAATGTTAAGTGTCAAATGAATCATAGAAAAATAATTCAGTGCTGAACAAGACCAGTTACTGGAGAGATTTCTGGCATTGTACAATTGATGGGTGACATTAGGAAGATAGACCCATTTTTAGGGTCATAATCACAGTTTTATGCACAGTTTATAATTGCATCGTGTTAAGATAGGATACCAAAGGCCAGC
Source organism: Homo sapiens (assembly GCF_000001405.40). NCBI lineage: Eukaryota > Metazoa > Chordata > Mammalia > Primates > Hominidae > Homo > Homo sapiens. Next base: position 88,299,411 of record NC_000006.12, on the reverse strand, counting down.
CTGTGAGCACAAGGCATCTTTAGTTCCATGAGTATAATAAGCAAATGTTTCCTCTGCTGAAACTACAGCCCTGCCCTTGTGTGGTGCCTGCACCTTGATTTTTTTTTTTTCAGTCATCTCTATAGCTTTTCTCTCCTTGGAAAGGTTCCATCTGCTTTACAACGATAGTGTTTACTTAGCTGGCTTCCTAGGTTGGAGTAACAGGAGGGAAGAAGAGAAATTATTGTAATTTTTTAGTCTTAAGCTAAATCTTGATATTACTGTCATAACCCTGGCAAGCAGTTTTCCTGTGATAGTGTTATAAGAAATCTCAACCATTAAGTAGCAACCACAATTGTATTCTCATTCCCACTATCTTTTTTTTTCCTTCTTGTTTTGGGTGTTTCTCTGCTGGAGGCAAACTGAGCTCCTGAATCATTAGGATGGACGCGCCATCAACAGAATCTGCTTTTAGTGGAATGGGTCTTCGGATAATCTGTTTTCATCACATCAAGAGCTAAGCCAGTCAGTTAACACAGAGGAAATATTAAAGGCAGTATTTTTTCATTAAGGTAAGGCACCAGATAAACCACGTGCTATTTTTTTCACTTAAACACTAAAGTGAAAACATTCAGCAAAGTCTTATTGAGGAAGAAATAAGAAGAAAATTGATTTAAAAACAAACAGATGCCGCCAATACGATCTCTGGGAGGCTGGGAATCGGGTCCACTTTGGTCTCATCTTTTTCACCTTCTACTGAAGTACTATGCACTTTTTTTTCCATTCATTTCAGCCTGTCTCCCAATATACCATCTGTTCACCTCATCTGAGAAAGCTTACAGACAAAGAAGAAAATAGGGTAACATACAGGAGGCCAAATTATGCTAGATGGTTATATAGAGATCGGATAACACTCGTCCCATTGCTTTTCCACTGTAAACCATTTCAAACTGATAGGACAAGAGTGCCGCCATCTTCAGAACACCCCACCGTCTTAAGCTTTGAGTTTCTATTTGGCCACCTGGCCAGAACCCCGAATGTCACCCCTGCCCATAGCTTCAACAGAGCATAATGGCCCTAACAGAACAGCCAGCACTTCTCCAAACCCTCCCTAATAGAATCTTGCTTCAAAGCACAATTCCCCACCGGGCCCTTTAAAAAAGCCTCAGGCTATAAGAAAAGTTTGCTCCTGACCCTGCTGGCCAGAAGCCCTTTTGAGGTTTACTCTTGAAAACCTGTCTCAACTGTTGAGCCACCCTCTCGCCTCCTCTTTTCTCATTCTTTCTATTCCCACTTCCATGCCAATTTTGTTTTTAGATGTAGATAATACCAACACAGCCAAAGACAGCCAGCCCAGAATAATGATCTCCACATTTCTGAGGACACAGACTTCAGGTTAGAAATTCAACTGAACATGACCAGAGTTTCTCAATGTAATGCAGAGAAAAATAAGTAATGCTGTGCATGCAAAGGTCATAAAATTGTCAGGGATTGTAAAAATGTCTTGGGTATTCAGATTTCCCTCCTACTCTTTTTGGGGGTGGGTGAGGGAGGGATGCTAACTGTAATAGCAAGAGACCATTGCACAAATGTGGCTATCAAGCTGTGGTAGAAACGACTGGTCCTTTTCATTCCTCTATTTCAGTGATTTGAGTAGCTACTTCATTCTACTTCTTTCTATTTCCTCATATTTTCATTGTTACTCACCTCACTCTTATCTAAACAGAAGTTTTCATGATCTAATTTCATCTACTGGGGGCAAAATTAATCCATCCTCATTTAGAAACCTCCTTTTATGTATTTTCACAACAGAATGATTTGCTTTATTATCCTAACCTTGAAGGGTTTCATTCCTTTACCACTCACAACCCCTCCCCTCTAAGTCTTTTGGCAAGGCATTTGACATGTTTCTTCCATCCTACAAAACTTGTCATCTATCTGTGAATTTAGCCATAAATAAGTCAAGGAAAGGATCTTTTCTTAGATGCCTAATGACTGGAATTATGCCTTTTGGAGACACATTTACATTTCCAATCATAATGACATCACATTGAATATTCATCTTTGTTTTTTCATCAGCTATCAATGCAGTCTTTTGATGCACGGCTGGGGTCTAGCCTCTGGTTTTTATTATCAAGCAGTAATTGAGACTTTCACATCCTCCTTGAACTATTCTGTACCTACTTTTACAAATTCCTTTTTTTTCCGACATCTAATCTTTAATTTAGGCTGATCAAATTGCCTTGTCACAAATACCTTTTAAAAATATTACCTATCTTTTTGTTATACTTTGCACATTCGATCAATGCTTTAAAAAAAAATCTCCCTTTAGAGTTTCTTGTAAATGCATAAAATAGCATCAGGCATGGGAGACAGACTTCTCAATCTCCATGATTTATTTGTGAAATGTCCTGGAGTAGAGGAATCCATAATTGTCCTGAAACAGTGTATTGAAGTAAAGAGCATGCAGGGAGACATTTAGCAAACAGTAATGACAATTATAAAAACAAAGAGAGGAGAAGAGAGAGGCATCCCCTGAGGCTGGGAATTAATTGAAAGTGGGAAGTCATCAGAATGGACAGGTTAGCCCTTCACGGCCCCCAACTTCCATCATGGACAAATCTCTCCTTTCTGACAGTGAAGTCAAGGCAGAGAGAGGCAAGAATAGCAGGCGGTTTTTTTTGTTTTGTTTTGTTTTTTTGTCAGAATGTCTTGTTTTTGGTTAAAAAAAACAAAGAAAACTGCTAACACATTTGGTGCTGCTTGTTCATAAGGAAAGTGGCTGTGTAACATTTAGATATCTTTTGAAATCTATACACGCTCTTCCTACCTGCCGTGCTCAATTTCAGAACCCAGAGCTGTCATTAAGAAAAAAATAGCAACCTTTGTTCTCTTCTCCAGGCACATGTTGCACCAGTTTTTTGTTTCCAGGAAAAAAAAGTCTCCATTATTTTCTTAGACCAGAGAAGCCAGACTCAAGCTTTCCCTTTCTCTGACCCTTGTTGTGCACTGGTACTGGACACACCATTACTGTGGTTCAGTGGGCAAGATTTTCTTTCATGTATTTTGAAGTCCCTCATGAAGACATCAGGCCACTTACTGTAACTGATGGTTTTCATTCTCAGTGTAATAAAGGCACATTCCTGAAGCAGACATTTCCATCAGAGATGGCAAACAACAGAAGTTTCAAAGGCTTAGTTCAGACGCACATCTAAACTTTCAAAGCTTAGCTGCATCTCTGGGATTTGAAAACTGGATTGGAAATCTGAATTGTATATATTTTATACTTCTTAACTTAGCCTGAATTTTATACACTTAGTTTTTATGTCTTTAAACATATCAGAGAGACCAGCATTATGAAAAAATGTACATATTATACAAATAAGAAATAAAAATCAAGCTTTGTGTGCTTATTGAGATGTGATAAGCATTTTGGTTGTGGAATGTGAAATTTTGTTTTTTCTTCTTTTGCTTGTTGTTCAGTGCAGGAGTAATTTAGATGCATAGAGATCATCTTTCAACATCTTAGATGTATGAAAGATGACACAAGTTTTGTCAGAGGCATTTGAACCGGAGCAACTCCATCTTGAATAGGGGCTAGGTAAAATGAGGCTGAGACATACTGGGTTGCACTCCCAGATGGTTAAGGCATTCTAAGTCATAGGATGAGATAGGAGGATATCACAAGATACAGGTCATAAAGACCTTGCTGATAAAATAGGTTGTAGTAAAGAAGGCAGCCAAAACCCACAAAAACCAAGATGGCCACAAGAGTGACCTCTGGTCGTCCTCACTGCTACACTCCCACCAGTGCTATGACAGTTTACAAATGCCAGGGCAACATCGGGAAGTTACCCTATGTGGACTACAAAGGGGAGGCATGAATAATCCACCCCTTGTTTAGCATATAATCAAGAACTAACCATAAAAATGGGAAACCAGCAGCCCTCGGGGTTTACTTTTATTCCTTTACTTTCTTAATAAACTTGCTTTCACTTTATGGACTGGCCCTGAATTATTTCTTGTGCAAGATCCAAGAACCCTCTCTTGGGGTCTGGATCTCGACCTCTTTCTGATAACAGTTTCATCTGTCTGCAAACTAAATACAGGGCTGAAAACCATGTAAGGTCCCACCCTGGGTCAACAAAACAGAAGGGCCTTGTTGTTCCACCACGAAATCTGTAGGCCCACCTGCATGTGCCTCGTCTTCCCCTCTTTCGTTTTACTGTGGGACTATTGTTTCTCTTCCTATGTTCTGCATCTCAGGTCCTACCACCTTCTCAAGAACTCTACTAGTATATACTAAAAATACGCTCCACAATCCCATTTCTCTCATCAGCTACCATCCAGTCTTTCCCTTCCTTTTATATCCAAATTTTGTAACTTAGCTATATTTCTTATCTCAATTTCATTACCTCCCACAACATATTGTTTTTTGTGTCAAGATGATGTTTCTTTTTGTTCCTTATGGTTTATATTTCTCTTGAATTCTATTTCATCACATACGAAACTTGCTAGCTTTCATAATTGCTAGGTGTATCTTTCACATCCTTTTATTTTCAACTTTTCTATGTTCTTTTTATAAAAGTACATCTCTTATAGACAGTGTATTACTGGATTTTATTTTTAAATCCAATCTGAGAGTCACTGTTTCAGAATGAGCTTAACATATTTGTGTTTATTTAATTATAATTATAATGTTTATTTCTTATGACTTTACTTCATATTTTATATTAACTATATGTTATTATTTTCTCCATTCCTGAAGCCTGCCACTGGATAGTTCCGCTTTCATTCTTTTGGGTTGAAAGTTTATACATTTCATTTTGTCATTCTGACATTTGTGCCTATGTAAGATTTATCTTAATTTCTTAATTGTATCATTCACTCTATCTATCTACCTATCTATCTATCAATCAATCATATCTCTGTCCCCAAGCAGGATAAGTGCTTTAGCACATTATCATCTTCTTTGTCGTCTCCGTTAACTCCAATTCCCAGATGTTATCATGTAAAATGCAAGTTCTGGGTTATGCACATTCTTTTTCTTTTCTTTTTTTGTTCATTTGTGTTGTATTTTTTATTTTTCTGATTTGATCCTTTCTGTTTAAAACAATATATTTTCTAAGTTACTTGATCCCTTTGAGCCCCATGTCTCTTATAGCATCTTTTTAAATTTATTTCTCTTCTTATTCATGTAGTTCCTCAAGAGTATTTTCAGGCCGGGCACGGTGGCTCACGCCTGTTATCCCAGCACTTTGGGAGCCCAAGGGAGATGGATCACCTCAGGTTAGGAGTTCCAGCCTGGCCAACATAGTGAAACCCTGTCCCTAATAAAAATACAAAAGTTAGCTGGGCATGGTGGCAGGCACCAGTAATCCCAGCTACTCAGGAGGCTGAGGCATGAGAATCACTTGAACCCAGGAGGTTGAGGTTGCAGTGAGTTGAGATCGTGGCCCTGGGTGACAGAAAAAAAAAAAAAAAAAAGGAATGTTTTCGAAGAAAGTTTTTATGTAGCAATGTTTGAAGCTTTATGCCTGATATGCCTGATAACTTTTTTATTTATTCTTGCATTTAAATGATAGTCAGGCTAAATATTAATTCTAGGTTCAAAGTTCTTTCTCATTAATATTTTTAAAATATTTGTTCATTGTCCTCTCATATTCAGTGTTGCTGTCGAGAAGTCAGGTATCCATCCAATTCTTGTTCTTTTCGAAGTGATCTACTCTTTCTGGAAGCTTTTAGGTATTACTAAACTTAACTCTAAAGTGAGAGTGTCAAATTTTATTGTAATGAGGCTAGTTATGGGTATATCTTTATCCTGTTTGAAATTCTATGGAAACTTCCAATTTGAGATTTCCATCTTTATTTCTGACAGGTTTATCACTGTCTATTTTCTCCCTCTTGTTTGTGTTTTTCTTTATCGTTCTTCCTTTTGAGACTTCTTTAAATTGGCTATTGGTATTTCTACTTCTATCTTCTATATCCCTTTAACATAAAAAACCATCCATTTTGCATCTCTCTGCTGTCTTCTAGGGTTAGTTCTTCAATCTGATCATTTGGCACCAATTGTAATCATAATGCTATTTAGCTCATCTATTGTCTTTCTAATTTTATCTATTAATTTTTTCATATTTAATATTTTTATGTTCATCTTTATGACTTCTTGTCATAAATTTCTCTATTTTATACATCAATTTGGACATGACTTCAGTATGTCATTGTCCAAACTGATTACCAATTGATTACCAAAATTGTTCCTTATCTTTTTGAAGATAAAAATGATGTTTCGTTTAAATTACTGATCGTCCTGTTTTATTATTTTATTTGTTACGGAAGCATCTACTCACTATACTATTTTTCCTTTTTATATTGGCTATACTCTTCCAGTGTTTAATTATTTTTGTTCATGAACTTTTCCTTCCTTCCTCTGGTGACATCAGCTAATCTTCTGAGTAACGTGTCTCAGTATATGTCATTGTTGGTATAGTCCAAGCCCTAGCCTGTGTCTCTCCTTTTAAGGATAAGAAGGAAGGAATGGATATACTTCCAGAGAAAGAGCTTTAGGTAGTAAGAACTCATATTGGGTACTATCTTACTTAGCAACCATGTCTTTCATAAAATGCCTTATAGGAAAAAAGAGCACACTGTTAGGTGGTCAACTCCTTTGATTGTAATCGGCTAGCACAGATGATATGGAGGAGGATATGACAATGCTGGATGTCCTACAGATAACTTTTACCATCAGTTCCTCACCTGAAGCAGTCAGAAATGATGTAAGTCCCCCTCCACTCCAGCACTAAATGATTTGAACTGCTGCTGCTGTTGCTGGCTCTTTCACAGAAGTGATGGAGCTGGGACCCACTCCAGGTCATATGCAATATAAAAAGGAACAGAACTCAAAAGCTTGCCTGCAATCTATTTTCCTCAGCTACCAGAGTATCTCTGGGTTCTAGGTGGGCATTTCTTCCATATACTTCATTCTTAATGCCATCTGGCCCTCAGGCATTTCTCGCATATTCTGTGGTTAATTTATAGTATCCTCTTTATCTCTTTGTTTTGTTCCTACTGTTATATGCTTCCATCGAACTTATCCCATGTCCTTAGGCACCACTGCATCACTACTACCATAAAGTAGGTAATCCATAAATTATTGGCAAATAAATAAAAGGTAAAAATTGGCAGTATCTGGTATGACCATGGGAAATGACTGGGCAACACTTAGGGTTAGCATATTCCATTTCTTGTCAAGTCCAAATCATAATTGCTGTCTAACTCTACAGATGAGGAAGCTGAAGTCTTGTTAAGTCTTCCATGGCCAGAGATGACATTGCAATTTATCATTACTGCATTATTTTCTAATGAGGATAAAAATTCAAATAACAGCCATTCATGTGCCACGTGTGCTTTTCTTTCATCTCTATCAGTTTTTTCTTCCTATATTTTGAAGCTTTGTTGTTGGTGAATACATATTTAGTGTTTACAAGTCTTCATGGTGGGTTAATCTTTTCATTATTATATATATTCCTTGCTCCTACTAATTTCCTTCACTCTAAAATCGACTTTATCTAATATTAATATAGACACTCCTGCTGCTTTTTTATTACTTTGCGTGATATATTGTTTTTTATTCTTTTACTTTCAAATAACCCATGTATTCACTTTGAAGTGAATTTCACATAGGCAGGGTATAGTTGGGTCATGTTTTAAAAATCTGCATTATTTTTTATCCCATATGAATAAAAAAAAACACTACCCAACTTTGTTTTCATTGGCATATTAGATCATGCACATTTAAAGTAATTATTGATATTTTAGGATTTCAGTATGTCATTTTATTATTTATTTTCTGTTTATTCATTCTGAATCTTGTTCCTCTGCCTTCTAGTGAATTACTTGAAAATTTTTTGACTTACATTTTGATATGTGGTGCTTTTGTATATATTTGTTTTTATAGTTTTTTAGAGGTTGCTCTAAGTATTACAATATACATATGTAACACATCACAGTAAACTGGTATTTTGCCACTACAAGCAAAGTGTGCAACCTTACTTTCATGTAGGTCTTTTTACCTTCCCTGCTTAAAAAATATGTCTTAAGTATTTTTTATACATATATAAGTACCACATCAAATGTTACAATTTTTTCTTCAATTATTAAACATAATTTGAAAAATCTCATGAGGAGAAGGGTAGTTTATTGTATTTACATCTATTTTGTCTATTTCATTGTTATTTCTTTCCCAAGTCACAGTCTCCATCTGTTATTTTCTGTTTAGAGAAATTCCTTTAGCCACTCTTTAAGGGCAAGCCTGCTGGCAACACATGCTCTTTGTTTTCCTTTCTCTGAAAATGCCTTGATTTTCCCTTCATCTCTGAAGGATATTTTTGCTGGGTATAGCATTTATGGTTACTTGTTATTTTCTTTCAGCACTTGAAAAATGCTGTGCCAATTCTTTCCAGAGGAATCAGAGTACCAACTATTCTGTTCTCTTTCCATCTTGGAGTAGGGGATGAAGCTCAACTCCTCATTGTGCCTGGCTGACTCTGCTGAAAAAGAGTATAGTGCAAATTATCTCCATCTTATGCTACCTTGTTCCCTTTCATTGATACTAGGTGAGAATGAAGGCTCAGCTGCCCCTTGAACCTCTGTGAAACTACCCTGGCAAAGGAATTAGAGCACCACCTGTTTCCACTGAGTAACCATGGGCATTCTTCTGCTCCTGGCCTGCCTAGCTGCCTTATGATAAATTTGCTGCAGATTAGTACATTGACCTGAGAGTAATAGAAGAAGTGAAACAATACTTTACAGACCTAATTAGGGAAGACTGAACTAAATAGATAAAACAGCAACAAATTAACTTCCCTTGTTTCTCTCTCTTTTAGAGCTAGATTTAGGCAAAGTGACTAAGTAAGTGAAATTTGACTGTAACGTGTCTTCCCTATTTACTGCCTTTTACTGTTTTCTCACGTGCCACAGGACACTCAGCTGTCTTCTGGATGTGCCACACATTTCTCCAAAGATCTCAGTCAAAATTTAGCTGCTCTTCTCAGTCCAAGCCTTTCTGCACTGTTGATTGTTTTTTAACCACATCATGGATAAAATAATCAAAATCAAAATAGATAAGTTTTTTTACATGTAAATTTTTCTCTTTAGGGCTTCATTCCTTCAGGTCCTTGCTAAATGAATGACCAGCAATAAATTAAAAAGTTAAAGGAAAAAAAAATTTTTTTCTTTTTCTTTCTTTTTTTTAATTTTTTTATTTTTGAGACAGGGTCTCACTCTATCACCCAAGGTGGAGTGCAGTGGTCCAATCACGGCTCACTGCAGCCTCAACCTCATGATCTCAAGCGATCATCCCACCTGACTACAGGCACACATCACCATGCCTGGCTAATTTTTAAGAAAAAATTTTATAGAGATGGGGTCTTGCCATGTTGCCAAGGCTGATCTCAAACTCCTGGGCTCAAGTGATCCTCCTGCCTCGGTCTCCCAAAGTGCTGAAATTACAGGCGTAAGCCACTGTGGCCAGCCCAGGAAGAACATTTTTGATTCCTACATTGTTATCCTTGCTAGGGAATAACTGGAAAGGAGTATGGAATGGAGTTAGAAAATTTTTAAATTTTTTCTATATAATTGCATTTAAACAGAAGCCTTAAGAACTTTAAGTAGGATCATTAACATTTTGGGAACATTTTCTTTCTTTCTTTTTTTTTTTTTTTGAGATGAAGTCTCGTTCTGTCACCCAGACTGGAGTGCAGTGGCGCGATCTCAGCTCACTGCAACCTCTGCCTCCTGGGTTCACGCAATTCTCCTGCCTCAGCCTCTCGAGTAGCTGGGATTACAGGCACACACCACCATGCCCGGCTAACTTTTTTTGTATTTTTAGTAGTGACGGGGTTTCACTGTGTTGGCCAGACTGGTCTTGAACTCCTGACCTCGTGAGCTGCCTGCTTTGGCCTCCCAAAGTGCTGGGATTACAGGCGTGAGCCACCGCGCCTGGCTGTCCGTTTTGGGAACATTTAAGGCACAGAGTTGAGGCAGAAGCAGAGGCACTTGGGATAAAAGATCTTCAGAAATACTTAAATAACATTTTTTACTAACAGGTGGACTGGCCCACCTCTCCTTAATTTTCACAGAAAATCAAGAGCTATCTTCTGGGTGTTTAAACAGCATGCATGATTACTACACTTCTGTATCTTATTGATTTGATCTTGTTTCTCAACTGTCAGAGCTCTTGAATAAAAGCAGTTGCTTTCCGAAGAGTGTCATTTCATCTTCCAGTCTGGATTTTTGGATGAATTATTTTAGGTTTTGTGGCTGTTATAGTCTATCGTTGCTGTTTGATTTTCAAAATTTATGATTTGAGTTCCACAGGACAAAAATTTAAGATTTTCAAAGGGAATAAGTCCCTGATACATTAGGGTTATGTAACTTTTTTCTCCCATCAGGATGGATGCCTGATTTTTCTTTTATTGTATTTCTATGGAAGCAGCATATTGTGGAGTTAAATGCTCATTAGAAGTTGGTATTGCTCTTTAAAAAACCACAGACTCCTTGAAATGGGTAGATGTAACTTGTAGCTTACTTTGAAATTAACCTTAGAAATTGGTTGGTGAGCACTAGGATATTGACTATAAAAGTCAGAAGAGCTCCTCTTAGCTTTTCTTAGGACAAGAAAATTCAGAGAAAAGAATCTAAAACCAAGACATATAGGTGTAAATTTTTGTAATGCTAAGAATAAATTATGGCATGTGAATATGTTTGGATATTAATAACAAATTGGAAATGTTTCTACTACAATGTTAAGTGAGAAAAAAGAATGTGATATTGTGCATACAGTATATCTTAGCCATATAAAAACATGCGTTGGAGGGAGCTACTTAAAAATGTTAGTTAACAGAATTTATCTTTGAGTGGTGGGATTGTGCATGATATTTTTCTTCTTTCTGAAACATAGATGTCAGCCTAAACCCCCTCAGGTTTTATCGACTAGCCTTTACCACCACCCTGAGCTCCAGACTTATATGTCCAACCCTCTCTTTAGCACCCTTAACTGGTATCTAATAAGCAACTCAAACTTAACATATCTGAAACAAAACTACTGATTTTTCTTTTCATTTCTTTTCTCTCATTTTCCTGTATCTTCACTCAATTACTAAGGTTAAAATATTGAGGAGTTAGGTACACTTACTTTCATCATACTGTTTTTTATATTATAAATATTATGTATATTGTTAATTATATGTCTAATATTTCATAATCTTAAAGAGAAGTCTAAGGACTTTGAAAAATACTCTAGCCAACCTAAAGGAGCTCCTAATAGCCAGAGCTGGAATAATTTGAGCAATTAAATACATAATAATAGAGTGAATCAGCAAGATGGCCAAGGAGAATATCATTATTCTCCTGCAGAAGCATAGATTTTGGCAACTACTTATGGATGAGTCTAGCTCTGTGGGAGTCTGTGAATACAGTGGAAAGCTTTCAGCACATCATTGGACAAATAATTTGAGAATAAATGCTTTGGAGGGTGTAAAAACATAAGTATCACTTATGCAGATTATCCCTCCCCCAAGGCAGTCCAGCTCAGTGCCAAGAGAAATCCCCTAGGATCAAGATTTTTCTCACAAGGGGAGATGATACCATAGTGAGTGTCCAGCTTCCCCAGCTGTGCAGAATGCTGCCAAAGAAGCCCACATTTTTCCTGACCTTACCCAGGTTACTAAGGTAATCAGCACAACTGAGAAGCTGGAAGAGGCTGGGAACAGGTAAGAAAGGTCTTGGACCCTATTAACTGCTCTGTGGCTTCATTAGGAAGCCTGCTTACAAGCAGCTTGGGACAACTTGCCTGTGGGCCCTCCCCTAACTGGTCCACAGAAATTCCAAAAGTTCTGCATGTTTCATTACCTTCAGGCCTGCGTCCTGAGCATGTTCCCTTAGACAGTGTAAGTGTCTTGTGAAGACAGCTGAATCAACTCTGTCAGATTGAGAGAAGGCATATAAACTTCAGCATTTCAGGGCACTGCCCTAGAAAAAACAAACAGTAGCAACTCAGCACCTAGCCTGGCTTTGTGGGATCAAGTGAATGAATGCATACAATCCTGAGACTTTTCCTTAACGAAGGAATAGAATGTGCATAGTGGGCACGTTCACAGAAGTCTGAGAGAGCCTGAGAATCCCTAGATAGGCTGATTGATAAGGGTGTTTCTCTCCTAAAGCCAGTAAATAAAGACTGAAGGAAGTGACTATTTCTTCAAATGTGAAGACAGCAACACAAGACTTCAAGCAACCTAAAAAATCAAGGAAACATGGCACTACCAAAGGATCACAATTAATATTCCAGTAAATAACCTCAAAGAAATAGAGAGCTATGAATTGCCTGACAAATAATTCAAAACAATTGTTTTAAGGAAACTCAGCAAACTACAAAAGAACAGAGATAACACAATCAGAAAACCAATACATGAACAAAATGAGAAGCTCAACAAAGAAATAGAAATCATAAAAAAGAACACAACAGAAATTCTAGAGCTGAAGAATACAATGAGTGAAAAGTTTTTAATGCAACAGAAACTGTCAACAACGTACTTGATCAAGAAGAAAAAAAAATCTGTGAACTCAAAGACAGGTTATTCAGAGTTATACAGAAGAGAAAAATAAACAATCAAAAAGTGAATAAAGCCTATGGAATTTATGGGACATCAGTATGAGAGCTAGCATTTGTATTATGGGAATTTGAGAGAGGGAGAAAAAAGAGAAATGAGAAGGAAGCTTATTTAAAGAAATAGTGATTGAAAACTTCCCAAACCTGGGGAGAGACAGGGACTTCCAGGTAAATGAAGCTTGAAGCTTCCAAACAGGTTTAATCCAAAGAAGGTTTCATTGAGACATTACAATAACTTTCAAAAATCAGACAAAGAAAAATTTGAAAACAGCACATACGTGGGAACCTCCATAAGGCTACCAGTGGATTTCCCAGTAGAAACTTTCCAGGACAGAAAAGAGTCAGATGATATATTCAAAGTGCTGAAAGAAAAATAAACACCAACAAAGAATACTTTACCCAGCAAATCTATCCTTCATAAATACCTTACGAGAAATTGTAAAGAAAATTCTTCAGAGTGAAACAAAAGGATTCTAACTAGTAGCATGAAAACATTTGAAAGCATAAAACTCATTGTTAAGGTAAATATATAGTCAAATTTAGAATACTCTAATACTGTAATAGAGGTTTGTAAATACTTTATAACTCCAGTATAAAAGATGAAAGTATTAAAAATAACTATAACTAAAATAATTTTTAATGAATATACAATATACAAAGAGGTAAATTGTGACATCAAAAACATAAAATGGGAGGAATAAAAGTGTAGAGTTTTTGTATGCAATCAAAATTGTTATCAGTTTAAAATGGTCTGTTATAACTATAAGATGTTTTAAGCAAGCCTCAGGGAAAGCACAAAGCAAAAACCTACAGTAGATACACAAAAGTTAAATAGAATCAAAATATATCACTATAGAAATGAATAAACCACACAGAAAGACTGCAAGAGAGGTATAAAGAAACAAAGAATCTATAAAACAACTAAAAAACAGTTAGTATATGGTAGCGATAAATCCTTACCTATCAACAATTAGTTTAAATGTAAACAAATTCTCCCATCAAGTGACATAAAGTGGTTAAATGATCAAAATAAAAATATATGTAGAGAGATATATATCAACCCTCAGCCTCCTGAAGACCTGGGACTAAGGACTGTGCCACCACACCCAGCTAATTTTAAAAAGTCTTTTTTTTTTTTTTTTTTTTTTGGTAGAGAGAGTCTCCCTATGTTCCCAAGGCTGGTCTCAAACTCCTGGCCTCAAGCAATCCTCCCACCATAGCCTCCCAAAGTGTTGGGGTTACAGGCATGACCACCGTGCCTGGCCTATAATTTTTTAGATATGATACCAGAAGCACAGGCATCAAAAGCAAAAATAAACAAGTGGGACTACATCAAACTTAAAAGCTTCTGCATAGCAAAGCAGAAGGCAACCTATAGAATGAGAGAAAATATTTGCAAACCACATGTCCATTAAGGGACCCATACAACCCAATAGCAAAAAAAAAAAAAAAAAAAAAAGACTTGATTTTAAAATGTCCAAAGGACTTGAATAGACATTTTTTGAAAAAGTATATACAAATACCTAACAAGTATATAAAAAAGTGTGAAATATCATTAATCATCAGAGAAAGGCCAATCAAAACCACAATAATTTGTCATTTCACATCTGTTAAAATGGCTATTGCTAAAAAGTAAAGAAATAACAAGTGTTATATTTTGTGTGTGGAGAAAAGAAAACCCTTATACACTATTAGTGGGAATGCAAATTGGTACAACCACTGTGGAAAACTGCATGGAGGTGTCTCACAAAAATTTAAAATAGGGTTACTATATGATCCAGCAATCCCGCTTCTAGGTGTGTAGATACAAAGAAAATACAATCACTGTCCCACAAAGAAAATACAATCACTATCCCAAAGAGATATGTACAACCACATGTTCATTGCAGCATTATTCACCACAGCCAGATATGGGAACAACCTAAGTATCTCTTGAAGGATGAATGGGTAAAGAAGATACAATGGAATATTATTTAGGCTTAAAAAATAATAAAATCCTGCCACATGTGGCAACGTGGATGACCCTAGAGGACACTATGCTAAATGAAAAATCAGGCACAAAAGGACAAATACTACATGCTACCACATGTGGGAGGAATCCAAAAATAGTCTAATTCATTGAAACCAATAATAGATTGATAATTGCCAGGGGATGGGAATTGGGAGAAATGGGAGGATTTTGGTCAGAGGGTGCAAACTCTCTGTTATAATATGAATAAGTCCTGGAGAGCTAATGTAGGAGATGGTGACTATAGTTAATAATAATGCATTGTATACTTGAAATTTGCTAAGAAAGTAGATCTTAAGTAATCTCACCACACACACACACAAACACACACACACACCATATGGTAACTATGTGAGGTGATGGATATGTTAAGTAGCTTGATTGTGGTAATCATTTCACAATGTATACATGTATCAAAACATAATGTTGTACACCTAGAATACACATGATTTTTTTTGTCAGTTATACCTCAATAAATGTGGTGAAAATAATGACAGTATTGGATTTTAACCCCTATAATAAAATAAATATCCATGAATCTATACAGATTTAAAGGAATAATCAAATGAATACATAAACGGGGGGAAAGGAAGAGCTCTTCCTTACAGAATAATTTCAATTAATAAATATAGCAGAAAGTAAGAGAACAGAAAATCACAGGAGACATAGAAAATCACCACAAATTAGTAAACACCACAGTAATAATTTTTGCAGACATAATCCACTGACAGAATCTAAAATTGCTGGGTGAAAATTTGAGGAGAAACAGTATTTGCATAGTCTCAAACTGTCACCCCTAAGATATATTTTAACTACAAAGGGGAGAATAGTGACTTTATAGTAGAGAAAGCCAGAAGACACCACTTTCACCATGTGTTCAAATTCAACATCATGGATATCATATCAATATTGTATCAATATGATGAACCTACGATGTGTGCTGAGAAGGACACAGCAGCATTTGTGCCAGAAACGCACAACCTCATTTCAATTATGGGAAAATATAAACCCCAAATCAAGTAACATCTACAAAAAAAACTGATCAATACTCTTCAAGTGCCATGCACAAGGAAAAACAGGAACTCTCACAGATGGGAGAAGACTAAGGAAAAATAACAATAAAATCAATGTGGAATCCTGGAACAGAAAAAAAGGACATTAGTGGAAAACACTGATGAAATTTGAGTAAGACCTGTAGTGTAGCTAGTAGCATTATACTAGTGTTAATTTCCTAGTTTTGATCATTGTAGTATGTAAGATGTTAATGTTCTGAAAAGCTAGGTGAAATGGGAACTAGAAATATGGGAACTCTAGTATTTTGCAATTATTTTTAATATTGTAAGTCTAAAATAGTTTAAAGTAAAATGTTCTAAAAAGCAATCTATAAAATAATATACTCAAAATATATTCTAACTACAAGTATAGTTGGAA
Source organism: Homo sapiens (assembly GCF_000001405.40). Taxonomy (NCBI): domain Eukaryota; kingdom Metazoa; phylum Chordata; class Mammalia; order Primates; family Hominidae; genus Homo; species Homo sapiens. Next base: position 88,283,326 of record NC_000006.12, on the reverse strand, counting down.
AATTCAGATAATCCATCCATCCATATATATGTACATCCATATATATATTTATATATATTTATATATATATTTATATATATATTTATATATATATTTATATATATATTTATATATATATTTATATATATTTATATATATATTTATATATATTTATTTATATATTTATATATATATTTATATATATTTATATTTATATATTTATATATATATTTATATATATATACTGACACACACATAGACACTTAGACACACACACACAATGTTGTATACTAAAATGTCTACAATTCTGGAATTATGAGTAATTTATTTTTCTCTTTAAATTTTTCTGCATTATTTAAATTTTCTGCAGTGAACATATGTTGCTCTTAAAATTATAATTTAAATCACAAATTATTTCTTTAAAAAAATAAGCAAACAAACCTAGGTGTCATTTTTATCCTTTTCTTTCTCTCATATCTCATATCTAATCCATCTGCAAGTCTTGTCAATTTCTCATTCAGAATAAATCCACTCCCACCACCTTCTCTGCCTTTACCCTAATCCATGCCAGCCTCATCATTTTATCATCTCATCTGGTTCTCCTGCTTCCACCCATGTCACCTAAGCCTCTTCTCCACACAATACCAGTTATCTTCTGAAACAGGAAATCAAATCCTGTTGCTTCTCTCCTCAAATGTCTCCATTACTCTCAGAATAAAACCCAATGGCTGTATTCTTCCCAGGAGGCCCTCACGACCTGGCCCCTGCCTCTCTGGCCTTGTCTCCCATCACTCTCCCCTCCCCGCGTCAGTCAGGCACAATGTCTGGCAGACTTTCCTCTACACACATTAGGTGGTTTCTGCCACAGGGCCTTTGTACTTGCCGTCCATGCCTAAAATACTTCCCCAAACAGGCATTCACTCTCACTCCTATCAATCTCTACTCTCTTATCCTACCTTATTTTTCCTCATAGCAGCTGTGAAAATAGAACATTAGATCATAGTTATTGTCTGTCTCTGCTTATGATCTGACTCACAGAAATTAAGATCCTTTGTTTACATTCCTTACTTCCTGCTACTCAGAACGATGCCTAGCACATAGTAGATGATCAGTAAGTATTGAACAAATAAACTGCCCTCCTGCCCAACGCACAGCCTGCAGGAGAGCAAAGCCATCCCCACCAGTTTCTGCAGGTTTTCCAGGAAGGGATTGGGGCAGGACTGGGGCAGGGGGTGCTCTCATCTGGCACCTGGTTTACAGCGTGGCAATTCTTCCATGTCCTAGGGCTCTTTACCCATTTCCTCAAAAGCTACAATTAAAAAAAAATCATTTATAGAAAATATTGGTGGGTTTAGCTGACTTTAGTGAAGATTTCCTGGAGAAAGTGGAGGGGAAAGGGAGATAACTTGGGACAAACAAGAGTCGTGGTCATTCTCAAAGAGCTGTGTTCTCCTCGCCACCATGAAGTTTCTTGCGTCCTTGCAGCTTTCCATCTCGCTGGCTTTCCTCCCTTATTCCCCACTTGTCTCTCTTCTGCCACTTTCTTCCTTCCCTTAGAAGTAAAACATCCCTCCCCTTGCCTCACAAAGAGTAGCTTTCCCTCCCTTCAAAGCCATGGTGCCTGCCAACACCCAGTTCCTGGGGTGAGGGTAGAGAGCACCTTCTGTTACAAACATCTCTCAGAGCAACTTTCCAAAGACTGTTCTCTCCCTGAGAATCCTAGTGCCAGTTGTTAATATTTTCTCTACCTCATTACCTCTACTTTTCCGTATTTTTCTATTACAGCAAGAAACTCAGGTTAAAGAAATTATTCTGCCAGATATCCAGGCACAAAAGAAAGTAAGGCGGGCCTCAGATCTTACTTCTATAAAAATTAATACTTGCAGAAAATGAGAATGTCTGTTTCTCTTTTTCTGCACCAAATTGAATCTTTTTCATTTTCTGAGTCTTTGTTAATTTAGTACAGGAAAAAAAAAATGGTATCTTTCTTTAAACTGTTTTTATTCTATCACTTACCTATATTCATTTTAAACATCTTTATACAATTAGTTGAATCTTCTCCCTCAAAAAGTGGACAATAGAAAAACTTGACTATATCCCTGTTACTTGCCTCTTTCATCTCTACCATAGTCATTTCATAAATACCTTGTTTTAATTCTAAGACACAAGTTTTTACATTTCACATCTTACTGCTGATAGTGTGCGGTTTTTACTGCTCATGTTGAGTTTGTGGTTTTTAAATGTATTTTAAAAGATTACAGCATAATTTGACATTGAAATAAAAAGATTTTGTATACAGAGAAATGAATAGAAACAAAACAGTGGGGCATAAATTTGATATTGATAAAGCAAATATTCACTGCTGGAGAAATAACCATAATTCCATCCATTTTCAAAGCAACCAGCAAGCACTTTATGGAACTTAAGAAAGGAAGACCCCACAAGTGGACGAAGCTGAGTTATGTTCTGCTCCCCCCACCCAGATACATACAACAGGACTGCCTATCACATGCCAACCAGTGCAACTGAAGGAGGTATTGCCAAGTCCCCTGGAATACATGGGGAAAAAAGTCAAAGTCAAAAGATGACAAATGCACAATGTTAAGGCATAGTTTAATTTTTAATTGGCAGCATTTTTTTCTTTCTTAATAGAGGGCCTTACAATTGACAGAATCTTGGATTTGAGGAAACACTTAATAGTTTTGTGTGTGTGTGTGTGTGTGTGTGTGTGTGTGTGTGTGTTTTGAGATGAAGTCTTGCTCTGTTGCCCGGGCTGGAGTGCAGTGGCGCGATCTCTGCTCTCTGCAGCCTCTGCCTTCCAGGCTCCAGCAATTCTCCTACCTCAGCCTCCCAGGTAGCTGGGATTACAGGTGCACGCCACCACGCCTGAACACCATGCCAAAACTGGGGCTCAGAGACTTCAAGTGATTTGCCCAAGTAACATAGCCTATAAGTAACAGAGTGTGAGTCTTGTGGTCTTACCTTGAAAAAGTGTGAAAACTCTATTCTCTGCAAGCTTTGTGATATACCAGATTCAGTTCATGGGCTCTCTGAACCTTAAAAGAAAAAGGGTGCCTGTACATTTCTCCAGACTGAGCCTACCTTCTCTGTCCCTGTGTGGAAAGAAGCTGATTTAGTAAGGTGCTTTGGTTTGTAATATAGAGGAATCCCAATTCAAAACTGGTTCCAGCAAGAAGAAGATGTATTGTCGCACAGGAAATCTAGAAGTAGGATAGACTTCAGGGTTGATTGATTCAATGTCTCAATTACATCAACAAAGACCCAGGTTATTTTCATGTCCCCATTCTGTTATTCTCAGTATTGGCTTCATCTGCAAATTGCCAGTGAATTAACTACAGCCATATTAGGCATAATATCCAGATATGACAGCACACAGAGAAAAAGAGAGAAAGTTCCTCCCTCTGGCTCTCTGTCAGGAAGAAAGAAATTCTTCCTGGAAGTCCCTCAGCATGACTTCCCTTTTGTCTTGTTAGTCAGAATTAGGACACAGCTCATTCTTGAACAAAAAATAGGTAAGAAAGATGGAATTACCCTTATACCAAGTAAGGTGATACCTGGAGTTAGAGGTAGAGTCATCTTTCCCCAAGTCACAACCAACCTCTTTAGGCCATGAAAACAAAATAGTCACAGATGCTATTTATCAAAGAAAGATTTACTTAGGAGGCATGCTATTAGAAATGTACTTACTTTTTAAAAATGGTACATGTATAATTATTTACTCTAGTGTTTTGTTCCAACCAATAATTAGAAAATCAGGTTCATCTTATAATATACCTGGAATTACACACACACACACACACACACACAAAATTATAAAAACATATCGTAGCTCCCTCTGTTTTTATCTTCTGCAATATTACTGCAATGAGTTTACATCCCTTGAAACTCCAGGCACTTAATCCTTTATAATCACAATGGAAATAGCAGAAAAGAACAAAAGTTAGGTTTGTAAAACAAGGGATAAAACCAAGAAGACCTTGGTTGGTTGATAGCTGAATGACAAGATTGTATGTGGCAGTTGCACTATTAGATCTGAAGTGAAATCATGAGCAGTTTACAGAAAAGTCCTTGTTTTCTTTCAGAAGCCATTTAACAAGTAGCAAATAAGAATGAAGTTGAACTATGATAGGATAAAATACTTCTCTGCAAGGAAAAAAAGAGACTATGCAATCATTATCCCAAGAAACAAAATAGGAAAGGACAAGCTTAAAGTGTGACTTTGTTCTGGAAAGCATTTGTAAGTAAATGCATTCACAATTAAATAAAAACCATATGTGCTATTACCTATGGAATATTGTGCTCTGAGTCTAATACTGAAAAAAATAGTAATTTTGCTAATATAAAGAACATGTATGTGACTACTGTCTTCAGTTCACACTAAGTGCTAGAAATTGGGCAAGTGGAAAACAGCATATTCATATTTTAGATTATTAAGGAGAGTACTTACAAAACTTCACGAACATGAACTTCAGAAAGTAGTCTTCTCTGTTTAATAAAAAAAAAGCCTTAAAGAACCACCTAATAGAAAAAAAGCCAAAGAATATAGTAGACAATTCACAAAAGACAAAATATAAAGGCTAATAAACATTTGCAAAGATATTCAACCTCAGTAGCACAGAAATGCACAACAGAAGAAAACACTTTCCATATTACCCACCATATTGGCAAAAGTTAGGGACAAGATCCACTGTTGTTAAAGAAAAGAAAGAAGACACTTTTGCATGATTGATGAGTGTAAATCGGTATAGTTTTGTGAGACAGGTTGTTAGTGTATCTGAAATCTTTCATGTACCACTTCAGATCTCCTTGACAACACTTGTGTCTTATTCCAGTCATGACTACAGTGATTTAATGTGGACTTAGGTGGGCTTCACACAAAAACAAGTGGATTTATCTCCTGCCCCACCCCCAGGCTTCTTGGATGACCCACAATGAAGGACTCCAAAGGAACGTGCTCAAGGGCCGACACATGTGCAAACCAGAGTGCTGGAGAATGAACAACTCATGGGCAAACATTTGACAAGTGGGAGACAGACCTGATGGATAAAGGCTTCTCCCTTTCCCACTCTCCCCTCCTCACCACAATGGATGGTCCTGAAATACATTTCATATGGCTTCTCTGACAGTCTTGAGACATATTTCCTTTGGCTTCACGGAAGTTTCTGTGGGATTAAGCAACCAGCCAACTAAAAGCAGCAGCCATCCTTGCCTGAGCCTGGACGTGGGAGCCTGGCTGGGAGCTCACCCATGGCCCCTCCTTGCGTTGTCAATTTATTAACCAATAACCAGCAAAATAACCAATTAAAGACTATGAAAACTTTATTTAAAAAAATAGCAATAAAATAAAATAAAAGCAGCAGCCAGCTCAATAAGGCATTTTAGTATTGGCTCTCCCTCCTTACCCCCTTCACTCTTATCTCTCATTCCCTCTCCCTGGGATCATGCTCCTCAGAAAGTACTAATGCATAAGCCCTCATCACAAGCCCTGTGGAAACAGGGCTAAGGCAGGTAATAGCTGACATGCTTTAAAGTGCATGTGCCCGGCCTGGCCATCTCACTCTCTGAAATCTATCCTGCAGACAAGCTTGCTAAAGTGTTTCAGAAACACATGTACAAGGATGTTCACCTGAAGTATTTTATGTAATAGGTAGAGAGGATCACACTACTATAGTATTAAATGAAAAGAAGGCTGGGCACTGTGGCTCATGCCTATAATCCCAGGACTTTGGGAGCCTAAGGCAGGTGGGTCACCTGAGGTCAGGAGTTCGAGACCAGCCTGGCCAACAAGGTGAAACCCCGTCTCTACTAATAATACAAAAATTAGCCAGGCTTGGTGGTGCACGTCTGTAATTCCAGCTCCTAGGGAGGCTGAGGCAGGATAATCGCTTGAACCTGGGAGGTGGAGGCTACAGTGAGCCGAGGTCATGCCATTGCACTCCAATCTGGGCGACAAGAGTGAAACTCCGTCAAAAGAAAGAAAGAAAGAGACAAAGAGAGTTAGAAAGAAAGAAAGAGAGAGAGAGAGAAAGGAAGGAAGGAAGAAAAAGAAAGAAAAAGAAAGAAAGAGAAAGAAAGAAAGAGAAAGAAAGAAAGAAAGAAAGAAAGAAAGAAAGAAAGAAAAAGAAAGAAAGAAAGAAAGAAAGAAAGAAAGAAAGAAAGAAAGAAAGAAAGAAAGAAAGAAAGGAAGGAAAGAAAGAGCAAGTTACTATAGCGGTAGGGGAGATGTTGTAGAAATATATATAAACCTCCTTACACCGCGGAGACCGCGTCAGCCCAGCGAGCACAGAACCTTGTCCTTGCCGCTGCGCCTTGCGTCCGCACCCGCCGCCAGCTCACCATGGATGATGCTATCACCGCGCTCGTCGTCGTCGACAACTGCTCCAGCATGCGCAAGGCTCCCCAGGCCGTCTTCCCCTCCATTGTGGGGCACCCTAGGCACCAGGGAGTGATGGTGGGCATGGGTCAGAAGGACTCCTATGTGGGCAAGGAGGCCCAGAGCAAGAGAGGCATCCTGACTCTGAAGTACCCCATCAAGCATGGCAACGTCACGAACTGGGACAACATGGAGAAGATCTGGCACCACACCTACAACGAGGTGCGTGTGACTGCTGAGGAGCACCCCGTGCTGCTGACTGAGGCCCCCCTGAACCCCAAGCTCAACCATGAGAAGACGACCCAGTTCATCATGTTTGAGACCTTCAACACCCCAGCCATGGATGTGGCCATCCAGGCCGTGCTGTCCCTGTATGCCTCTGGAGGTACCACTGGCATCGTGATGCACCCCGGTGACAGGGTCACCCACACTCTGTCCATCTAGGAGGGGTACGCCCTCCCCACGCCATCCTGCGTCTGGACCTGGCTGGCGGGGACCTGACTAACTACCTCAAGAAGACCCTCACCCAGCACAGCTACAGCTTCACCACCACGCTGAGCAGGAAATCATGTGTGACATCAAGGAGAAGCTGTGCTACGTCGCCCTGGAATTCGAGCAGGAGATGGCCTCGGCGGCCTCCAGCTCCTCCCTGGAGAAGAGCTATGAGCTGCCAGATGACCAGGTCATCACCATCGACAATGAGCGGTTCCGCTGCCCCGAGGCACTCTTCCAGCCTTCCTTTCTGGGCATGGAATCCTGTGGCATCCATGACACTACCTTCAACTCCATTATGAAGTGTGACGTGGACAACCACAAAGACCTGTACGCCAACACAGTGCTGTCTGGCGGCACCAACATGTACCCTGGCATCACAGACAGGATGCAGAAGGAGATCACCACCCTGGCGCCCAGCACGATGAAGATCAAGATCATTGCTCCTCCCCAGTGCAAGCACTCCGTGTGGATTGGCTACTCCATCCTGGCCTCCACGTCCACCTTCCAGCAGATGTGGATCAGCAAGCAGGAGTAGGACGAGTCCGGCCCCTCCATCGTCCACCACAAATGCTTCTAGGCTGACTGTGACTTAGTTGCATTACACCCTTTCTTGACAAAACCTAACTTGCACAGAAAACACGATGAGATTGGCATGGCTTTATTTGTTTTTGTTTTTGTTTGTTTGTTTGTTTTGGCTTGACTCAGGATTTAAAAACTGGAACGGTGAAGGTGACAGCAGTTGGTTGGAGCGAGCATCCCCCAAAGTTCTGCAATGTGGCCGAGAACTTTGATTGTACATTGTTCTTTTTTTAATGGTCATTCCAAATATCGTGAGATGCATTGTTACAGGAAGTCCCTTGCCTCCTAAAAGCCACCCCACTTCTCTCTAAGGAGAATGGCCCAGTCCTCTCCCGAGTCCACACACGGGAGGTAATAGCATTGCTTTTGGGTAAATTATATAATGCAAAAATCTTTTAATCTTTGCCTTAATACTTTTTTATTTTTTTAATTTTGAATGATCAGCCTTTGTGACTCCCCTTTTTTGTCACCCAACTTGAGATGTATGAAGGCTTTTCATCTCCCTCGGAGTGGGTGGAGGCAGCCAGGGCTTAACTGTACACTAACTTGAGACCAGTTGAATAAAAGTGCATACCAAAAAAAAGAAAAAAAAACCTCCTTGCATATGGTAATAGGCATGAAAAAAAAAAGTCTGCAAGAAGAAACCCCAAATTATTAACAATAGTTATCTTGTAGGAGATACAATAATGAGGTTGGGGGCATGCAGTTTCTATATTTTTGTAATGATACTAATAAATCCAAGCCAATAAAGGTTTTTTCAAAAGAAAATCAAATCCAGTATTTTTAGTATTATACAAATATTTCAAAAATATATGACTCAAGTATAGAATCAGAAGTTTGTTTTCTTCCCCAATTTTAATTTTTTCAGTGCTTGTATCTCTTCCCTAACAAATCTCTACTCACTTTTGGCCTCGGAATGACTTACCTCCTATCTTCCTTCTCTCATTCTCAAATCCATCAAAATTTTGCTTCTTTTTTCCATTCCTTCAGGGTGCTAAGTTAAAAGGGTAATAATCTAGTCACCAAGTCAGAATTTCCTAACTAGGAGAGATCTTTACTATCATCTCGTCAGTTTAAAGATGAAGACACTAAGACTGAAGGAGAGAAGTGATTTGCCCGGAGGTGCACAGCCACAGAGCAGGGACTAGAACTCAACTCCCTGTTCCTAGTTTGCCTCTCTTTCCATTAAATAGTAATCAGGTAAAATAATTAGATTATAGGATAGGCTGATACTGGATGAGTACTTGATTTTATTCCTCCAGGTAATAGAATTCATTAATCCACTTCAAAAGCACACATCATCAAAAGGAATTGAAAGATAAAATTTGATGAATGTCAGTGAGGAAATATTTGGAGGTGAGGTCTTCTGCTACTGCACAAGTCACACCTCACGTGAGCTCAGCTGGTCCACCTTCAGCTCTACAAAGAAGATGGTTACCAATGTGCAGTAGCCATCACAGAGGATCAAATGATGGCAGATGCTTTGATATGACTGCAGAATTTCACTTCTTCTATTAGGCTTGAAATAGCTGTTATAATCACCAGAATAGGCCAAGGTTCATTGCCCCTTAATGCCCAAATGTGTACAATTCGGGAGGATTGCCATCAGGTTCTCTCTGATCATTTTTCTTTGATTTTGCTAGCCTTTCTTGATGCAATTTATCTTATTTTTTTCCCTTTTGGGTAATGTCTTTCTAAACATCCATGTTATAATCAGTGCTGGAACTCACCAATTGTGCATGACAGAAAGGAACTTCAAGAAAATGATGCATTCTCTGATCTAGCCTAGGGCACACAAATCAAAGCTTCCTTTGTAGACAAGACATAGTAAAATTGAAAGTAGCTACACTTTATATGGAAATTAGCTGCTCCTAGAATGCAATATAGTTATGCATATATCAAAGCACAGACAATGAACATATGAAATATATTTCCGCACTTGTAATGCTCCCTTCTTGTTTCATGCATAGAACAATTCTCAGTGTATTATATTACATCAAAAATTAAAAAGTTTATTTTCTTAGCATTAACTTATGCATAGTTGGTATATTTGACAGAATTTAGAAACCTTCCTTCTTTAAATAATATTTCATGAAGACTTCAAAAATAATCAGGACCTGAAGCACTAATTTGAAAGCGCTGTGTTCTAAATGCCTTTTGCTGATGTAATCAAGAAAGAAATGAAAAAAGAGTATATTTTTTCTCCAGAGCAGACATATGCAAATGAATTTATTTTTCTCTTGATTGCTTTTTCTTTATAAACTACAAAAGAAAAAATCTAAAATAAGGTAATGTGTATTTAAAGAAAAATTTAAAGGAAGGAAATTATTTTGTGCAAAAGAGCAGTCCTGATTATAGATCAATCTACCCCTAGGGTCTGGCACTCAACAGCTGCCATAGGTCAACAACTCTTTATGTGGAAAAAAGAGGAAAGAGAGATACCAGTCTTTCAGATTTGGTTACTGCCGTGCAGATCGTTACAGATCACAAAATTTGCTGGTGATCAAAATTCTTGGTTTAAATGGGATGAGAACCTGACTTTTTTTTTTTTTTTTTTTTTTTTTTTTTTTTTTTTTTTGAGATAGAGTCTCGCTCTGTTGCCCAGACTGGAGTGCGGT